>NC_000004.12:176421381-177046381 GCF_000001405.40 Homo sapiens | reverse complement strand
TAGTCACCCAAAAAGGAAATTTAGATAATCTTTGGAATGGCCTTTTTCTTATTTCCCATCTCCAATCACCAAGGCTTCCTTATTTGTGTTCTTTGTATTTTAAACATTTGTTCTTCATTGTCATCTCAGAGGCATAACTACTACCCTAGGACATTAAGAATCTCATCTTAAATGTGGAGGGCAAAAATCAATCATTTCTCTGAGTCTGGTGAGATATCTTAATGCCTCTAGAATGATCTTTCTAAAACCCAGATTCATATTTGATTATATCGCCCTTTTCTTTTCTTTTCTTTTTTTTAGGCAGAGTTTCACTCTTGTTGCCCAGGCTGGAGCGCAGTGGCACGATCTCGGTTCACCGCAACCTCCGCCTCCCGAGTTCAAGCGATTCTCCTGCCTCAGCCTCCCGAGTAGCTGGAATTACAGGCGTGCACCACCATGCCTGCCTAATTTTTTGTATTTTTAGTAGAGACAGGGTTTCTCCATGTTGGTCAGGCTGATCTTGAACTCCTGACCTCGGATGATCCGCCTGTCTTGGCCTCTTAAAGTGCTGGGATTACAGGCCTGAGCCACCGTGCCTGGCCTATATCACCCTTTTCTATATGGCCATAGTTCCTCATGTCTATCTATGCCTCAGCTTCTGACCTTCTCTTTGCATAATTTTTTGCAAGCTCATGTACCATATTCCATTTTCTACCATGTGCCTTTGATGATACTGCTTTCTGTGCCTGGCATGGATACTTCCCTTGTTCCCTTGTTGAGTATCAGCATCTACTCAATATTTGCTCAAGCACTCCATCTTTTATGGACACTTTGTTAATCTCAGAGTAGAACTACCCACTTCTCCACGCTGCCCCACTGCACTGTGGAGGCCCGACTCACAGCACCAAGACATTTGCTGTTGGTCGTTAAATGTCCCCCGTCCTGGCATGCTGCACCTTCTTTGAAGTCAAGGATGGAATTTTGTTTGTCTTTAATATCTAACGAGCAGTACAATGCTAGCAATTAGTATAGGCACTTAGTGTTTATTGAAAGAGTAAATAAATGAGTGAGCGAAGAACATACTGTTTTGTGCTGGGATGAGGTAGGTGAGGAGCCAAAGGCTTCACGAAAGGTTTATAACACAACAAGGATAAGATAAGTTCCCTGACACAGACGGCGTGTTCAGGCAAGTGAACAATGTCAAAGTTAATTGATGAGTTAAGTCTTATCTTCTTTTATTTTCTTCACTATTATTCTATGGAAATGAGAGAGTCTATTTCCCTGAATAAATCAAATTACTTTGATTCTGTCTTCATGGCTGGAAAACTGTAAGTGGACAGAGAGAGAGAGCCAAACATTACTACAAATTCTTTTGGAGATATATTATCCCACCTTCACAGAAGACTGAGGATATCACCGTGAAAATTTCCCTCACAAAGCTCTGCCTAGGAAAGCCAGCTTGGAAGATCAAGATGGATATTTATTTGTTCCTATAAAGAATACTCATTTTACTATTTCAACAAAAAAGGAAAATAAAAAAGAATACCAGAGGGCTCTGTCAAGTGACAAGGAAAACTGCTGGTTTACTTATGACTGCTTTCAGCTGAATGTTAAAGGAGCCAATTGCCAGGATGTAAACAAAGGTTTATTTTACTGACACAAATCAGTAGTTGCATTAAGGTCTCAGGGACTCAGTTTCCCTTTTCTTCTTTTTGCACCATCCTTGGCATTTGGCTTTTTGTTTCTATGGTCCTTAAGGTGGCTGCTGTGTCTCCAGGCAACACGTCTGCATTCCAGACAGGAAGAAGAGCTGAGAGCAAAGGAAACAAGCATGTGGAGTGGAATCTGCCTCTTCTTACTCTTTGCAGTTTCACTCTGTAGACTTCACCTCTCACAGGCCACAGAGATTGCAGGGAAATGGGCAGGAAGCAGCTTTTTGAACATATTAGACTCCCTGAGCAAATCGTGGTTCTTTTAGTGAGAAAGAAAGGACAGGGGAAATTGACTGCCCCAAGTCCGTGTTTCAGCTGAGCACCTCATAAGAAAGAGGAAAGCATGACTCTGCTGTAATCTAGTGACATCTTTTCCTGTGTGAGTTGATCCAAGGTAGGGATGCTGAAAAAAACGTATAACGACCCGTATGCTGACTGCTCAGGGGGCTCACAAGGTGCATAAGGTTCTTCCGTAGACCCTGACATGCAACATCCGCTGGGCTTCATCTCCCAGGGAGTCTTGTGCAGGCCTCTACAGATGTTACCCTGGATTAATGTCTGTAATACTGTCTCTTAACTAGTTTCTAACGTCTCCACCTTGAGTTTTTTCCCATTCTGATATCTTCTCTAGTTTACTATGACAGTCAGCTTTCTGAAATGCCTGCTGATTATGTCCCTGCCTGCCTTAGATTTCTCCTATAAAGTATACTGTGAAGTAGAGTGTGTCTGACAACACACTTCACTACCCTTTAATATTTCGTCCCAGCTTTTCTTGACAGCCTAATTTCTTTTGATCGCTCACCTCACACTTGAGCTCCGGCCATCCTGGATAACTTTCAGATGCACTGAGCTTCCTGCACCTCGCTCTGGTCTCTGGGCCTTTGGGAATGTGGTTCCATTTTTGACCCATTCTTCATCTCACTTCGTCTTCCTCACCTGAATATTCCCAGCAGAGATGTTACTTTCTACAGGAAAATTCCTCTGCTTCCTGGGTTGTATGGTTTTCCTCATGTCTCCAGAACACTTCTCCTTTCACTGCACTTACTCCACCATATCAGGGTTCCCCTTTCATGCGTTCGCATCTCCCTCTAGAATAGAGGATATGTTTTGTGAAATCAAACAATCGGCACTTCTTTTTCACAACTGCAATCTCATTTTCCTAGTACTATGTCTGGCACATAATTATTACTCAGTAAGTATTTAAATAAAAAGGTAAACACATCCTAGTTTTTCATTCTCTTTATTCCTTATTGGGAATAAGTTTGGGGAAGCCGTAGTAGATGGGCACTGAGAAAAGAGTTGACTCCATTTCCCCATCTGTGCAATATCCACACAATTTCTATATTAGTGGCTGAGGCAAAGACTTACTGATGCTCTTCTCACACCACTTACATCCTAGTGGCTTCCTTTTGGTGATAGTTTTTGCTCATTAAGGCTGCCTTTGGAATTTATTTAAATCAATTTGACCCATAAAACAAGCTTGGTGGGAAAATGGTGGAAATGCAGAATGCGATTCCTCCTGGCTGCGCTTAACTCTCCTACAGATAGAGCACCTCCAACCAATGATTTACTCCCCTCCTGGCTGCACTTGGCTCTCCTACAGATAGAGCACCTCCAACCAATGATTTACTCCCAGCTGTACAATCCCTGCTCAGGGCTGTTCCCTGGGAAACCATGATTGCTTTTGTCATTGTATGTGGTAGTTTCATACATAAGAAGATGAGGACTTAGCTAATTATGAATATTTATGTTATTGGAAGACTCGTTTATGTAAAACACTTATGAAAAATTTCTTTGAAATAAAATGACCCATTATTATTTATGAGCAATAAACTGCATCTTTTTCTAGGTACACAGGTGAAATCTCATGAAACATGAAACAGTGACTCCTTCTCTTAGGACATTTACAGTCTAGCTGAAACTTAACTATTTTTTAAAAAACTATACATAAAATTATTATACTGTAAATTTTCTTGAGCTTATGGAAGAAGGAAATCAAATAGATCTGAGCTGAGTTGACAGAACCTAGGGTTTTAAAATGTGTGAAGGAAAATAGGAAATATTAGGATTCAATTCTTAGAGAAATTGAAAGAAAGATGAATATCAGAACTAATGTCACATTCAATATTTGCTTTGGGCAGCAAATACTAGAAGCTGAGTTAAACAAGTTCAGTAAAATATAGGGGGTATTGAGATATTTTGCTGAACTCACAGAACAATGACTGTGCCTCACAAGAACCTCAAACCGAGATGACAGCAGGAATCTAAGAATTCATTAAGGACCAGGTAGTCTCTTGACCCTGCTTGTTTTCTGAACACCAAACCTTGTGCTCATAGCCAGACCTCAGCTGAGTTCTGGTTTCTCGCTGAGATTGCAGAAACCCTGAGTTCCTGTGGAAGAGAACTTGACTGGCCCAGAACTTGACTGTGCACCTCTGACCAACTCAGCCTGGGTTCCGCATTCAGAGAGACACAGGCCACACGTGGTTTCCAGAGCTACATGCCCCTCGTGGTGGAGGAAAGGGTACGTGAACCTTATTGGAAAAAATGTTTTTTGGAGTGTGATGGAATGCGTCCCCCAAAATGTGCTCGTTGCAGTAGAGATGATATAATTTTTGATTCACCCAGGTTGGTCACCTCATTTGCGAGGCTTTCCTACACTTCTCTCAACCGAATTCATATTTTTCTTCTAGCTATTTATTGATTTGTGTCACTTAGCATATTGTTTTTGTCTCATTCAACTAAATCTTCAGCTACTATAAAGAGCAAACCTCTATATACAATAGGTAGCCAATTATTTGTTGATAATGAAAAGAAGAAATATAGAATTATCCAAATAGCACTGAAGTATGAGCACATGGATTTGGGTCTTACTCTCAGTTTAGTGCCTAATTAGCAGGATGACACTGAGTTATTTCACCTTCTTGAGTTTAGTTTTCTCATCTGCTTAAAGCATGATACTGCCAATTTAAGGGAATATCAATTGTCTTTGCCCTTCCAGTATCCATTGCTCTTTCTCCTTATGTGAACGGTCTTATTTCCTTTGGGAAACTGCCCCTGCTAGGCACTCAGTCTTGTTTTTTGAGTGAGGCATGGTATCCAGGCTTTGCCAATTAGTGTATTTCATAGCTGATTCATCAGTCATCAGTTCACAGTTGGTTCATCATTTCGTCTCATGGCGCAGTGATTTGTTCCAAGATTAACAAGGACCGAGCCATGCCAATGAAAGTCAATTCTAGGACATTTGTTAAAGTTATTGAAATGAGAAATGTGCTCACTTTTTGCTAGACTAAAAATCTGGGAGGATGGAACTTGGAATATCTATATGCCCAAGTAGACAGAGCCTGCCTGAGTGAAGCCATCGGAAAAAAATCAGAGCTGTGAGATGGAAAAAACCTGAGCCCAGATGCTCTTGTCTGAGCCCCTGGATCTCTCAACACCTGAAGCCAACAATAGCCCTTTATTATTTAGTTACTGGAGCTTAAATCAATGTCCTGAACCTCCTGCTCCCACTTTGCTTTTCTAACTTAATCATAGTTTGAGTTAGTTTTATGTTAGTCGTAATTTAAAAGTCTGGATCAAATAATACAAAATATGTTTGTTTTATATATTTTTAAGGGGGGAATTATGAATTGGTATACTCTTTAAGAAGTTAATTTGGTAATAACTACCAGAAGCCTTTACTATATTTATGCTTATTTTTTTTCACATTCAGAAATCCCTAGTAGGGTAAACATTCTGAATGTAGAAAACACTTTATGATGGAGAAGACAGCAGACTCTCTGTAAGCAATCATCGTTTCTCACCTATCATTGTATATGCAACACTGAGCACAATGATCAGCATATCTTACTTATTAAACCAACCCACCAGTTAAGTAATGTAACCAAAATTTTTATTGTAACTTAAAATTTTAAAAATATTCACATCATTATGGAAATGGTTAAGTAGGTTTTCACATATGTACATTGGTATTAGAAAGTGATATTTTCAATGGTCATTAAGACATAAAAGATTTGTAATACCATGGAAAACTAAGTATGATATACCCTTCAGAGAAATAAGTTGAGAACCGTATATGTAAAGCATGAGCATACTTATGTTATTAAGGACATAGTCCAGAGGAATACTCCAAAATGGCAGTGAAAAGAGGGTCAAATTTTTTTTCTTTCTCCCACTTTTCTATGGTTACCAAAATATATTAACATATGAATATGTGAGTGTTTTGGTATTGTGAAAGAATAGGCACCCTTTCAACCCTTTGCTGATTTTTTGTTTTAACTCCATCATTCTAAGATTCTGAGAACCACTAAGTTATTAAGGTTTTCATAAGTTTCATTGGTTTTGGAAGTAGTGAAAATTTAGTAACAAAATTCATGGACAGAACTGACCAAGTTGAGTTATAGTTGCAAAGTACTCACACTTCGTTGTTGTTGTTTTTAATGGTTGTTTCTGGCTTTGTCCTATACTCATGAAATCGAACAAAAACAGAAATTGCCACAGAGACCAGGAAGAGTGTCATGTGTTTTCTTGGATGTGATCCTGATCCTTTTATTTGATCCAAATTGTCACGAATGGTTCCTGTCATCTTCATGTTCCCTGCAGCACTGACCAGGGATTCTGTTTCCCTCGTCAGTTTCCTCTCCCATTCTTTGTAACATCCACTTCTTGCCTATGCTTACCCATCCTGCCTTATTGTGCTTATTCAGAATACCCTACCATAGTACTCTCTTGCTCCCATGACCTCACACCGAACACTTGCTCTGTGATACTCCCCTATTGGACTTCTTCCAGTTCCCCCAGGCTCCTGCCCTCTTGCTTTTAGAGTGCTCTTTCTCTACCCATGTCCAGATGGCCAACTTCCTCCTCATTATTTGATTCTCAAGGAGGATGTCTCTTCCTTATAAAAAGCCTTTCTTGACCCCTAAAATGAGGTCACTTGCACTTGACATAGTTTCTCCCAGGTCCTTGATTTCCCTGATCCTGCTGTAACTGTCTGTGCACTTTTCATGCATTCTCCACATCATAACGTAAGCCACGTGACCACGGGCAGTATGTCTATTGGTCTATCAGGCATGTAGTCACAGCTGTGCTTGGCTCGCATTAGTAAAACTTGAAAGAATAGATGGATATCACACACATATTTAATACCACTGCATTGATTGGCAAATGATCATCTAGTCTTTTGGACTCCCAGGTGAGTTTCATTCACTAATCACTCTGACTTCCTTGATTCCTGACTTAAGTGGACTTTCTATTTTCAACTCTTCAAAGGAAATGATATAGCATTATGCCATTTTATTTTTTGCAAAAACTTCTGGAATAGGTTTTCATTTGTTTCTGTAAATGGAAAACAAGAGGGACTTGGGAAGAAAAGGAATGAGGGTAACAGGGAAGAATGCAATAAAGCAGTGTGCTCAGAGAGATCATGTTTTCAGAAAATCAGTGTTTATTTGTTGATCATGCCTCTATGGTAGCAGAAGTCTATGGAAAAACATCCCTTAAATTAAAAAAAGCTATAATAAACAAACATTTATTAATGGCTTAACATCCCTGGATCAGAAGTCCCAGAGAGGAATTTACAAAAATATTTTGTTTCAAAACCATTTTGTTATGATGTCAGTAAATTGTGGCCATTTGTGTACACTAGTAAATAATACCAGTAGAAAACTTCATAATATAGAAACCAAAAATCAACAAATGCAAAAGAATAACAAAATCTAAAAATGGAAGCTCATTCATGCTCATCCATTTGGTGCCCTTCAGATACCAGGATGACAGGAGCTTCTAGGCTGATGAGTCAACTGTCTTGAAAATTAACAAGGGAGTCATGAAAAACTGTAGAAAACAGGTGATATTAAAAACCTGTAATGATCTAGCATTGTATTATAACAGATGCTAACTCCCCGTGAAATTGTAGACTAAAAATAGGAAAGACAAAATAACCTTGAAAGAGTTTAAGGAAAACTGCCAAACTTCAGACTCTGTAATTTTAAGAAAATTACACTTCAATCCAATGAGCATTTATTTAGATGGTATTCAATTACCTCATTGCATTCATTATTTTAAAACTTTCTATGAGATATTTTGGCTGGTCTGAGGGTAAAGTATTTGTGTTTTGGGGCACAAAAAACGCACAACCAAAAGATATGATGAAACTATTTTATTTAACATTTCTTTTTCAAACAACTTTCAGAAAATAATGATAAATTTTACTTCAGGGATTTCTCTTGAGCAGTTATGAAATTGAGCTGAGACAATCAAATGTTCTGTAATTGGGTCATGACCCTATATGCTCTTGCTTCACAGGAGGAAGCAAAACAAGTTTGAAATAAATATTTACACATAGAGAAAATTTTCTAAATATTTGGGGGTTTTTTTTGCAATGGTTAATTTAGCCACATAATATATTTTTTCAGGTTCTGCAATCCTAAAAAAAAAGTATGAATCCCTACATAATTTTTAAAAACCATATAAAATTAAAAACAATTTTATCTTAAAGGATTGATTTTTTCTGTGATTTATTTTTATATTTTAAATGTTTATTTTATTTTAGATTCCAGGAGCACACGTGTAGGTTTATTGTATGAGTATATTCTGTGATGCTTGGGTTTGGGCTCCTAATGATTCTGTTGTCCAAGTGGTGAACCTACCTGATTGATAGGTAGTTTTTCAACCCTTGCCTCTACCCGCCTTCCCTGCTTTTGAAGTCCCGAGTTTGTATCGTTCCCATCTTTGTGTCCTTGTGTACCCAAGGTTTAGCTCTTACTTATAAGTGAGAACATGTGGTGTTTGGTTTTCTGTTTCTGTGTTTATTTGCTTTGGATAATGTCCGCCAGATGCATGCATGTTGCTGCAAAAGACATGATTTCATTCTTTTTTCATAGCTGTGTAGTATTCTGTGGTGTGTATATACCATAATAAATGACTGACTTTTATTGTACAGATGTCATAGTGTATCCATTGTCAGTAAAGGAATACATTGAGTTCTATTCATCATGGAGATTCAGCAAGGTAGTGAGTCAAGGTTTTGAGGAAGCTGCTTGGAAACAGTGCCTACAGAGTACTAGACTACCTTAAAAAAATGGGCCAGAAAACCAAGTATTTTGAAATTCACCAGTCTTAGAGTCAGATATAAAGCACTCTTTGACTGAAATAAAGGATTGTTTTCAAACGCATTGCCTTTAGAAGAATTCAGACCATGTAAAAACAGGCTATATCAGAAGTCAAAACTTAACTAGTCATGTCAAACACTTTGATGATGCAGTTAACCAATATTCATAAGCCATTATTATGTGTTAGGAACAATGCTAGAACCAGAAATATAAGACATAACTTCAGATCTCAAGGAAAGTGCACTTTCATTGGGTGAAAAAGAAGAAACACATGAGAGGCTAAATAGAAATATATGTATCATAATAATATAAGTAATTATAACAACAGCGACTTTTCCTGTCACAATTAACACAAAACCAACTCTTTAGTTTAAATGATAAAGATAATTGATTGGGGTCACGTAAATAGAAGGTTGCCGATCTTCAGAGCTGCAATGGCTTACTGATAGAATAAAAGGCACCCCTTCTCTGTGCTCCTCCTTCCCCAGTGTCAGTTTCATGCGCGCTGACGCAGGGCCAAGTGTCTCATGTACACATTCAAAAGGAGAAAGTGCAATGGCCTCTCCTGGCTCTCCCAGAAGAATAGGGAGCCTTCTGGTCCAGAAGACTTTGGCCTAAACTAAGTCAAGCATGTCTCTGAACCAATCACTTTACCCAGGGTGATACTATGCACTGTTGACTTAGTTGTGAATTTCCTCAATTCATTTCTCTGGCAAGAGGGTTGAAATCAACCTAGAGCTAGGAGGAGGCTGAATTGTGGGCTCTACCTCATCCTAAACCACTTGGGTATATACAATGGAAGGAATGTATATAACCAAAAGTATCCACTCTTTTGGTTTTCCCAAACTTCTCTCTCTCTGTCTCTCTCTCACACACACACACACATGCATACACACACACTTTCTTTTATATATATATATACATATATATACACATATATATATACATATATATATATATACATATATATATATATTTCAAACCCCCTATAACTGTTGAAAAACATCAGCCTTTCCCAAAGATGATATCAGAAGGTGTCATGTGCCACATTCTGGTCCATATATATGATCTCTTGGTGACATGCCATCCTGTTCACTGAGTTGGCTGTAACTACATACAGTCCAGTGATGTGTGGCTGAAAGATATATTTTTCCATCTCCAGTTTTCCAAATACATTATCATAGAGAAATAATACAGTAATATAAATGAAAATCCTCATTTTAAAAAGGAAAGGGAAACAACATATAGTTCCACAGCATAAAACATATTCTGCTGTTAAGTAAAACCTAGCAGTAGCCTGTCCTTGAAATGGAATCCATCCTTTGATGAGATTTAACAACTGCTCAGGAAGTTACTTTCTAGAAATATCTCCCTTGTCTATTGTCTTGTATGGCCACCTCAGGGGACAATTTCCTTTCTAGGTAGCGTGCCACCTTACAGTCTCAGTGGAATGGTTCTGGGATCTGAAGATTTGTCAGAGGGATGAAGAAGCCACTCGCTGGTTTCAGTCAAGTTTGGAATTTCTTTGATAATCCAGCTCACTTAAAAATGTAGTCAGCTTTGGTCTGTTTGCTTCTAGGAAATTCCACGGACTGGTGTATGGAGCCAGAAATTGAGTTTAGCCCCAGGTTCCAAAGGCTTAAATTTCTCTCCTCTTGTAGCGATGAGAATCTGTGCATAAGCCACATCTCCTGGCTACCCATTCAATAGACTTTAACTTAATCCCAGCATCTAGCTCAGAACAAATGGGGGGAGGTGCTGGTAACCTGCCACTTGTCCCATTCTATGTCCTAGGCACATCTTCTGGGTGAGATTGATTTCCATCATCATCTGTCAAAGGATGTTTAATGAAAGTACCTCAGAGACACCTGGGACATCGGGATTATCTTTTTTTTTTTTTTTTTAAGTAAGCATCTCATCTTTCTGCTCCTGTTCACATGAACTTCAGCTTGGGATGAGCACTTGGCTTTGGCGACCCTGCCAGATTTCAAATTACAAATATTATAGACACTACAGATTGTTGTTTACAAACAGAAATTACTTGGATTAGGAGGGCCATGTACTTTTTTCTCCTTTATGTTTTCAGATTGACTTGTTTTAAATTAATCCTATTTCTTTCTTCAGTGTTTCTACTGAGAGTCAAAAGAAGGAACCAACACTCCAAAAGTCAGAGGTTTTTTTCTTTTTTTTTTTTGTCAGTTCTCTTAATGCTTCTGATGAGTGCATGATCCTAGTCCTGATGTCTTGTTGAACCACACTTCACCCATGTTTACTTCTCTACCACACGACAAGGACTGAGAACAACTCCCTCCCACTTCCCTCGTAAAGCAAAGCAAATCCTCACATTAGGGTTTGCTACATGGAATGGCCCATTTCAGTATGAATGCTGTATTTCTAACTTCATGCTTAGCCATCTCATGGAGATTTGATAACATAACATAACATCATAAACAACATAATATAACTTAACATCAAAAAGAGAGGGTGCTTCAAAATTCTAGCCCTGAGAGGAACATCTAGCACTTACATCCAAGTGAATACATTTGTGAGAAGAAAGAGAGGAGTAATTTAAAACATTCCTGTTGTCAACCACCAGCTCTGATAAAATTATGCTAAATTGGGGAATGTGAAAGATATAGGTCGGAATCAAAACTTGAGTAGACACTTGGGGAAAGGAGTGTCCCTTTCACAAATGATCCTGTGTTTAGAGTATTTAAAAAGAGCACAACCCCGTGCTTATATTTGTAAAAATTTCCTGGGAACATAACACAATCCCAGAGCAAAAAGGGTTTGGAATGTTGAGGCTGATGGCCTGAGAAGGCTGCATAGAGTTCCCAGGGCCCTGGTAGAACTGAACTTCTAACGTTCCCCCAGTGGCATGAAATAGTGAAGAATCATGTAGGACCAGTTCCAGATAGACAGACGAGAGATCAGAGAGTTCTGGTTTGCATAGGTGATTACCCAAACCAGATGAATTTCCTTGGAAAGTAGATGAAACCCTGAATAGAAAACACACACACACACACACACACACACACACACACACACACACACACATCCAAACTTTGGAAAGAAGGACTAGAGAAAATGTGTGTGCTTTGGGAGAGACATTTTGACTGAGATCAAGTTTCTAACTCTGCCTGGATAAAAATCTCAAGAAAATTATATACGGGTATAATCAAGCTAAACTTTCTGAAAGCTGAGTTTGTCGTCTGAGATCTTTACCTGCTAGAAAATTTCTGTGATAAAAAGAACTGGAGATGAAAGTTCAGGTGTGCTTAACAGATAGCAAATAAACCAAGACAGCTGGCACAAAGTACTTATGTTTACAAATAGAAAAGGATACTAGAAAGATAGGGTCTCACTAGGCTAGAGACTCCTGGAGAATCAAACCAAAGAAAGACTTTAATCTGGATGGAAAGAATCAGGGTAGGTGTATATTCAACTAAGAGATTAACCTAGCAACTGTGTACATGAGGAATAAATGAGAACCAGAAGATGAAAATATCATTGTTGGGTAGAACCTCTAATTTGTCAAATTTTACAGATTTGACTTTTACAATGAGAAAAAGGAGCTTCTCATTTATTTTTCATGACATGTTTTGCAACAAACATGATCCTTGTTCTATAGTTAAGCAAGCTGCAGTTCAGAGAAACTTGAAAGAGATAAAGTCATTCACTCAGAATCACACATATGGCAGCAAGAAGGGCCTGGAAGTTGAACTGCTAATTTTAGATACCAAGTAAAATATGCTTTCCACCCCACCATAACCAAAGGCATATCTGGCTCACTGTTCCAATGTTTCCCTAACCTCAAGGTCACAGTTTGAATCAAATTAGTGCTGTTTATTTTCTGATTTTTGAAACCCAATATTTCCGCCAAAGGCTATCCCTGTGAGTTTGGATTTCCTCCTTCTGTACCTCAGTTTTCCATAATTAGATTGCCGACTCCTACTGTCAGATCTATCCATGATTGCTATCTTGATGTCTCTGGTCTCTTGTTGTTTGTATCCAAGTTTATTATTTTTCCCCCTATTCTAAGGTAGGGCTGGTGGGATATACATTTCTTGTCTATAAAATTTGAGAAGGACAGTGCAGTGAAACATAAAGGGAATAACATGGCTTTTAATTGAGATGGATTCAAATCCCTTCTCTACTACTTAGCAGCTGTCTTAGAAGCCTAATTTATTCCAATTCTGATTGTCTTCCTCCGGAGAGCTCTGTGCCTTCTTGTCTCACCACCACCCCTCTCCACTAGTGGCTGCTGTTTTATCCAACCCAAGACTACTCGGAAACACAAACCATTCAGACTATGCATTTTGAGTAAAAGAAACCCTGAAGATAGCTAATTACACCATGACGTTAAAGATATCAACATATTTAAGTGTCTTTTTTTCAAAACAAAAAACATAAGCCCTTGTGACTACCTCTACTTTCATCTCTGTACTGCAATGTGCTTTCCCTTGACACAAGCCCCCTCCACATCCTTCTCTCCCGGGCTTGCACCCTTTGCCCACTAGAACCCCAAGATCATCCAATGTCACATAACTTCCCAACCTCCTTACTCTCAGAACTGAACACATCATTTGCTTCTTGGCAGTAAGTGAAACCTAGCTGACTCTAAAGAAATATTGTCCCCTGTAGTCCCTACAAGTGTTAGCTGCTTGTTCCCCCCTATGCTATGAATCTCAGGACCAAGAGGTGAGCTGAAAACCAAGGGTGCTCAGCATTCTTCTCTCTTCCCAGTGCAGCTTTTGGACAAATATTGATTTTTTTTTCAGATTAAGAGCAAATATATTAACAGCTTTCCCCCTCCAGTCTCCAAAATCTGCTCTTTTGTAATCCCCCTATTTGTCAATCATCACTTCTTCCTCATCTTATAATTTTCATCCATTGCCTTTCCAGTAATTATGCTCAGTTGCAAAAACTTAGGGCCCTGAATAATAGCCATAGCCTTTCAATGCCTTTATCTGGATTCCAGTTGTTTTCATATCAGCTGCCTGTCAGCAACCCTTCCTATGGCAATGTTCTAAACCGTGTGTTCACCAAGAACAGCTGCACTCTCCACATTTGAAGCTCCAGTTTATCCTTTTACACAACCTCTGACTCTTAGTTCATTCTACATGCTCATTGAGATTTCCATTTTCTTGACCTTTCTAGTATCTCTAATAATCCATCCTCCCCTATCTTTACTTGCTATCCTCTCTATTCTACATTCCATGAAACATCACTTTCAATATTCTCGTGTCGTAATTTCAACTCCCATGCCCCTTTGCCTTTTGTCACACCTGCCTGGCTAAGCCCCACATTGGGATAAATGTAACAGTCCACATTCCCTTCTTTGCAAATTTCATTTGAGACAAAAAGCCATATGCAATGGCACTGACTGCTGGCACTATAGATTGATGGTCCACACTTTCGTCCCCATGTAGCTTAGCAATGCCTCTGGGTTTCTATAGGTGTCACTTTCTCCAATTCTCAGCAGTATCTAATGCAAAATTTGTGCATGTTCATAAAATCTTTCATGAATTATCTCCAAATCTATATCTTTTTCTAAATACTTTTTTTCTGAACTGAGGTTAAGTGTCCAACTCTACCCTTGGAGAGTGACTTGAAGAGTCTCCTTTCGGTCACTTACAAATGTGAATCATTAATCATTCCAAAACTTGTTTTCTATTTAATACCCTATTTCTCATAGTATTTTTTGCCTAAGGCATAAAATCAGGGGTCCACTTTCTGCCTTTTTTGTTGCCCTACAGACGTAATTGATTGATTCAAAGACCCATGGAGCCAACCCATTTCTTTGAAACCATCAGATATATCCCCATCTATCTCTACCGCCACTATAATTCAGAAAATATTTCCCACCTACATTACTAGAAACAATTTCTAGCCAGCCTACTCATTTCTGGTCTTGCCTCTGATGCATTTTTTTCACGTCACAACACCAGCTATCCTTCTAAAATATGAATTTCACTGCCTGTGCTTAAAGGCTTCATTACTTCCCAGTTCCCTAAAGTCTCAACTCTTCCCTGTAGGTTTTAAGGCACATAGTGAAATGGTTATGCCAAATTTTTAATCTTACGTAACTTTGCACTATACATAACCACACTAGCTCTTTTTTTTTCTTAAAGTGTCCTGCCCTGTCTCACTTGCAGCCCTTTGCATGACTTGGGTTAGGCAGAGAAGGATAGAAATTGGTAGAGTTCGAATAATCTTGGGATGTATTACCACCATGTATTAATGGGTAGCCTATTTTACCTAGAGAAATAAGCAAAAGAGTGTCTTAAATCCATTTAGGTGAATCGATATTGACAAAGAAAATATAAATACAATAAAGATAAAGAAAAAATAAAACATAAAAATAAGTATGTGATATACAAATGAAAGAAATATTTTTTAAAAACTAATATTTTTACATTGCAACATTCCACAATCTGTGTTGTAGCTTAGCCCTTCCCTCAACACTAATTCTGCAGCAAATTTCAACACAAGAAGTGTCAGGAAATAAATAGAAAGAAATAAACAACCTAATGCAACTGTTATCCTAAATTTGAAAAAGTATGCGAATTGCCCTTACACAGCGATACTATCTTCTTTAGGTGGGCTCTCGGTATATTGTAACACAATAGACTGATCTTCTTGGGAGTTCTACAGAGGTTATGTATGTTTGGCGCAGGAACTCTTAACTCCCCAGCACATAGAGTTAGGTTGCAGTCGTGTTCAGCATTAATAAACCTGGAAATATAAAAATTACATAAATTCTACCTATCAAGGAAGCAAATAATGAAAGCAAGATTTCAGATTAAATGGCTGTAGCTTATTAAAGGGAGTATAAATTAGAAGATAAAGAAGAGTTTGAGTTCTGAATCCTGGAGAACAATGAAAGACAGATAAATATTTGTCAAAAAAAGGCATGACTGGACTCTCACATGTTAAGTAGGGTGTTTACCTCAATTCTGATTAAGTATCTCTTATAAAAATTTTCCTTTCAAATCCAGATAATTTATTTAAAGTACCTATCATAAGATCCAGCACATAGAAAGTATCTAATGTGGGCCAGGGGCGGTGGCTCACGTCTGCAATCCCAGCACTTTGGGAGGCCAAGGCAGATGGGTCACCTGAGGTCAGGAGTTCGAGACCAGCTTAGCCAACATGGTGAAACCATGTGTCTACTAATAATACAAAAATTAGCTGTGCGTGGTGGCACACACCTGTAATCTCAGCTACTCGGGAGGCTGAGGCTTGAAGCTCGGAGGCGGAGGTTGCAGTGAGCCGAGATCATGCCATTGCACTCCAGCCTCAGCGACAAGAGTGAAACTCCGTCTCAAAAACAAAAAAACAAAAAAACAAAAAAAAAAACTAATGCTCAGTGCTCAGTATCTATTATGGATAAATAGCATTGGTACCAGTAACAGGGTAGTTATTTTCAGCTCATTAGAAAAGTGGCCATCAAAAGAAATTTGACTTGAAGTAGATATGGAAGCAATATAAAATCCAGGGGAAAGCATAGTAAGGTGATGAGAACAAGTATGATGGTAAGGTAAGTTGCAAGTTAGGCTGAGTAAATAAGAGATTTGGAAACTGGCCTTCAATTCTTACATGAGCTTTACACTGACACAAATTGATGGGCAACTCAGCATTCTTTAAAGGTCAAGGCCAGAATAAATAGTTGGTTCTATTATGGCTCAACATCAGTTATGAAAGATTGAGGGAGATTGAGACTAGAAACAGAGAGATAAGAAGTTTTGCAAGTGTACAATCAGCAGCCAAATTACAAGAAGTGCAACATTTGGATCAGCATAACATAGTTCTACTGTATGTGCCCTGGTATAACTGCAACTGGAAGAGTGGGTCTATTTCTGGCATTGCACTTTAAGAACTGAATAATATATACATATATATGGAAATTTCAATAAACTAAAATACATAAGGAGATGTATATAAGGAGATGTAACCCCCTCCCAGGGGTTAAAAATGGTTAAATTTATGAACAGACAGCAAAGGATGGTGTAGCAGATATCTTCAAATATTGAAATGTTGCCATATAAAAAATTGTTTTATTATAAGTTTTTTTCAGAGGGTAAAAATAGGACTAATGGGAGTAGGGTATAGAAGATTCAGAGGCAAAATTTAAGCCTAACATAAAAAAATATTTGAAATGTTAGGTTGAATAATGAAATGGTACATCGTTCTAAGTATCAGGCTATCTGACCCTGGTAGTGTTGGTGTGGTGACTAATAAACATCTCCCAGGGATATAGTAAATGATATTTAAACTTTGGGAAAGAGGTGGGACTAAATCATCTCTAAGCTATTTTCTAACTCATTCAATGAACACTTAGTTCATACTATACGTCAGGTCTTTCATGATGATATAAGAATACAAAAATTAATAAAACACTATCCTTGTCTAATCTAGTGGGAAAAGCTTATATATGGAAGCTATTATTTAGTGCCATTGTGGAGCTATTTAGTACCATGGGAACAGGAACCGGGAATGATTAATTCTATCTGTCAAGTCATGGTTCATAAAGCCTACTATATTTTGAGTTTGGTCTTTAGGGATGAGAGGGGGTTTTTAGAGTTGGCAGGAAGAAAGGCATTGCGTTAATGAGGAGATAAAGTGTGTAAAGTCCCAATTGTGAAAGTGTATGTATCTTTAAGAGAGCTGTGAGTTGATTGTTTTGGCCAGAGCTTCGGAGAAGGGAAGAGTAAGATGATGATGAAGCTAAAAGGTATCCCGGGTCCCTATCATGGCTGGGTAGAGTCAGCCCTCAATATCTGCAGATTCCACAGACTTGGATTTCATGAATCAAAAATATTAGGAAAAAAACAACAAAAATAACACAACAATACAGTATAATAACTACAGTCATTATACTGTCACATAATGATGTTCCAGTTAACAGCAGACCGCATATACAATGGTGGTCCCATAAGTTTATAGTAGCTTATTTTTACTTAACCTTTTCTTTGTTTATATATGTTTAGATACACAAATACTTATCACTGTGTTACAATTGCCTGTAGTATTCAGTGCAGTAACAAGTATACAGATTTGTAGCCTAGTAGCGATAAGCAGTACCATGTAGTCTAGTTGTGTAGTAGGCTATACCACCAGTGTTTGTGTAAGTACATGGTATCATGTCCACACAAAGTCAAAATTGCCTAAAGATGCATTTCCCAGAATGTATCCCTGTCATTAAAGGACACCTAACTGTATTTACCTAGAATGTATGTTGTATTCAATGTTATAAATAATCTAGAGATGAGTTAAAGTATCCAGGAGAATGTGTGTAGGTTCTATGCAAATGCTATGCCATTTTATATAAGGGGCTTGAGCATCCATGGATTTTGGTACCTGTAGGGGTCCTGTAACTAATCCTCCGAATCAAGGGATGACTGTATGCTAAGGTAATCGGCATTGCAGAAAAAGAATTTTAAGAAATGGGGTTGATATAGTAAGATGTGTACATTAGCATGATAATGCCACCTTCAGTGTTGAGGATGGATGAGAAAGGTCAGGAGAGAGTAGACGTAGTTAAGAACATTACAATGGGCCAAGCATGAGCTATGAAGATTGGCACTAAGTAGCAATTATTGGAGAATTAGGACTACTGAGCCTAAGGCAATTTCTGAGGTAAATTACTAAACTCAGGTGACAATTGGATGTAAGTAGATAGAGACGGAGGAGCCACGGGATGCTATCTCTTCCATTAGGAATCTCATGTGGGTATAGTTATACCCATAATCTAATCAGGAAAATCACAACAGTAAAAATAGTTTTTCAAGAGAAGGGGATAAGAAACATTGAGTTCAGTTTTGGACCTGCTGATTCTGAGAAGCTAAGAAACACTAACTAGATAAGGGAAATTCAAAGGAAAAACTATGACACAGGAAGATATGAGAGAGAGGATGGAGACTGAGATACAGATTCTCAGGCCATCAATGTAGAGGTGACAGTTGAAGTTTCTGGAATAAATGAAACCCTTCAGGGAAAGCAAGTAGTGGGAGAAAAGAAGGCTGAAGCTGAAACCTAGCAACTTCTCTGCTTTAAGGTGCTGAGTGGAGAAAGAGGAGGAAATATGTTTTTATGTAGCTTGTAGGGGAAATCCTATGAGAGCTTCAGGTTGCCTACATTTCCTCATAGAAAGGAGATTTTCACCGTGGCTAGACAACAGGTTTTGAGTAATAGCTATATAAAAATAAATTTAGAATTTTTTTCTCAGGGTGAAAAACCTCAGTATTTGATGTAATGTAAGTAAACCAGTTGACTTCGCTTTTAACAAGTCTACTGCCTTTAACAAGGAGATCTTTTATATCGAGTCAATATCTTTTAAGCCATGTCAATTATGGGACATGGTTTAAAAGATCACCTTGTTAAAGGCAATAGGCTTGTTAAATGTTAAGTCAACTGGCTAAGATGACAGGACAGTTCTTTTTGGAGCATTTGTCCATGATGTGTGTTCAAATATGTCTCTGATGTGACCTGAGCACGCCCCTGTCCCATGAGACTGGCTGCCTGTCAGTCAGGATTTGGAGGAAGCTTGTGTCCAAGGTGTTTACCTTTCCTGTGTGATGAATATTCTTGCTATCTAAACCAACCTCTCTTTCAGACTAGTTTGAGGACATGCTAGTACATTAGAGATTGGTGACTGCTGCAATTCCCTTGCCATCCTTCTCTCTCTTAGTGCCAAGATTTCCTGATGACAATATCCAGGTATGGACTCCTTTGGATAATATTTGTCCTTCCACTTAATTAGTATCGGAATGGTGGAAGACGGCAATACAGATTGTGACTGGCTTAAGTGAAAATCCATTTCTGTGTATTATGCTCTGAGCTTCTTCACACCTGGGAAGTTGCAGAGCAGTTAAAGACAAAGTCCAATTAGAGAGAGCAGAGAATTTTACGGAATACAAACACTACCATAGCCAAAAATGTCTTTGATATCACATGTGATGTAAGGGCAAATAATGACATCAGAATAACTTATGGGTAGATTATAGACAACTACAAATTCTTTGCTACTCCTTCCACTAAGAGGGTGAGCTCTTATTTGCTTCTCCTGGGATCAGACAGGCTTTAGCCACTTGTTTGACCAATAGAAGGGAGTGGGTCTGAGGCCAGGTCATAAGAAGACTTATGGCTTCTACCCAGGCCTCCTGGAACACTCATTTCTGAAACCTATCTGCCCTGCTGGGAGAAAGATAGAGAGGCTCTCATGGGAAGGAAATGTCATTTCCTTCTGAGCAACTTTGGAAGTGGATCCTTCAGCTCCTTTCCAGGTGACACTATGCAGCACAGAGACATAGAGTCATCAAAGAGCACTGCCCAAAATGTGCATTCATGAGCAAAGTAAACTATTTTACTTGATTTAAGCTATCAAATTCTAAGGTGGTTTATTACACAGCAGAATATAATAATACTTGGTCATAATATTTCGAATTGCATAACAATCTCTTTAAATCATTAAAAGCTAACAGTTAAGATTTAAACTCTCCCAAAGACTAAAACTATAATGAGAGCTCAGCATTGAGAAGTAAGGTATGAAATATATGTTATCACTCCTTCCAAATCATGTTTCCTTTTTCTTCTTCTTCTTCTTTTTTTTTTTTTTTCTGAGACGGAGTCTCCCTCTGTCGCCCAGGCTGGAGAGCAGTGGTGCAATCTCAGCTCACTGCAACCTCCGCGTCCTGGGTTCAAGTGATTCTTCTGCCTCGGCCGCCCAAGTAGCTGGGACTACAGGCACGCGCCACCACACCCAGCTAACTTTTTGTATTTTTAGTAGAGATGGGGTTTCACCATATTGGCTAGGCTGGTCTTGAATTCCTGACCTCGTGATCTGCCTGCCTTGGCCTCCCAAAGTGCTGGGATTACAGGCGTGAGGCACCGCACCCGGCCCAAATAATGTTTTCTCTGAGTATACATATAAGTTGATGGAAGAAAAACTGAGAAATGTGATAGGAATCAACTGTTGTTTGATCCTCTTGTAAGAAAGATTAGTTAGATGATAGATGACTGGGAAGGGCAGTTGTTAAATGGTCGAATTAAAGGTGAACGTAGCTAAAACAAATCTCTGTAGGTCCAATGAAATTTCATTACTGAATAATTTTCCAAACTGCTTTGCAGGTGTTACTTGTAGAAAATGACTTAGCTTTTAGTCATTTATGCATCGTGGCCCATACCTGTAGTCCCAGATACTCAGGAGATCAAGGCAGGAGGATTGCTTGAGCCTGGGCAGTTGAGGTTGCGGTGAGCCATGATCATGCCACTGCCTCATGCCTGGACCATAAAGTGAGACTGTCTCAAAAAAAAAAAAAAAAAAAAAAAAAGAGGATTAAAATAGTTTTAAAAAATTTAGTTTAAAAAAAAAGAAAAAGAAATTATACTGGTGGAAGTAATGTAGCCATGGTCACTATCTACAGTGACAAATGGCAAAATTGGTCATAAAAATAAAGTGACAGGACTGTAGTATGAGTTAATAAAGATGATCAAACTAATTATAATCCCTGGCTAATATGGAGTTGATTTAGTCTCATTCTTGCCAATGGCTAAAGCAACATTGTTCAATAGAAATATAATGCAAGCCAAATTCAAAACCACATATAAAGTTTTAAGTTTTTTAGCAGCTACATTAAAAAGTGAAAAGAACTAGGTAAAATTATTTTTAATAATATATTCTTAAATACCAGCTCAAGTGTCACAGGTATTCCTAATGAAGTTAGGTAAAAGCAAGTTTATATTTTTTTCTATATCACTAAAATAAAAATACTTCTAGGATATTAATAAAATGAAGACACATCATCAAGAATGTAACTAATTGATAGTCTAAAGAATAACTTGTCTTGACACATTTTTTCATTATGTTTTTGGTGCTTGACACCATTACAGTTCTCTAATTTATTGTGTTATGTTTCAAATTAAAACTTGTCTATTTTGAATAAGCAAAATATTATTTTAGAAATAATTGCCCAAAATAAAAATAAAGTAATATTATAATTTCAGCACATGAAAGCATATAAAAATAATCTAGAGCATATTTTCAAGTTTATTCTATGAAAAAATACTTCTTAATTTAAGGCATAACATTATAAGAATCAAATTGTAAGGAACCAAAATTGTAAAAGTGCCTTCACAGTCACTTTGACTAATTGATAAGGAACGATTTCTAAGTCTGTCTAGCCCCTGGCGCCTGAAGCTTGGTAAAGACACATGATACACAGCAGTGTGGGGGCATTTGCAATACGTTCTCATACAAAGCCAGGCTCCTGTGAGCATTTGGTAAACAGTAATCAAATTGAAATATATGCCTCTAATACTGGACAGTTTCTCATTTGTGGAATGCTTTGAGAAACTTCACAGAGTTGAGTACTCATAGAAAATTCCCAAAGCATCGAGCAGTTAAGAATGCATATATTTATGGCATAAGATTGAGGAAAGAGTAATATGTCTAGGCATGTCAGATTGGCACTATATTGAGCGCTAACTAGGATTAATATAGAGCTGGGAATGTGTGTGATATGGAATACATGTACACATACATTATTTCTAAGTTGAACAATGAGAAATCTAGTATATTCTGAGAAGACATAAAGAACATAAAAAAAAACTAAAATTTAAGGTGTGATGTTTTATAATGAAGTACCAATCAACAAAAAATTCTTTCTTTCTCTCTTTCTCTCTTTCCTTCTTTTTTCTTTCTTTCTTTTTGTCTTTCTTTTCTGTCTTTCCTTCCTTCCTTCCCTCCCTCCCTCCCTCCCTCCTTCCCTCCTTCCCTCCTTTCTTTCTTTCTTTCTTTCTTTCTTTCTTTCTTTCTTTCTTTCTTTCTTTCTTTCTTTCTTTCCTTCCTTCCTTCCTTCCTTCCTTCCCTCCCTCCCTCCCTTCTTTCTTTCTCTCTCTGTCTTTCTTTCTTTCTCTTTCTTTCTTTCCTTCCTTCCTTCCTTCCTTCCCTCCCTCCCTCCATCCCTTCTTTCTCTCTTTCTTTCTTTCTCTTTCTTTCTTTCTTTCTCTCTTCCTTCTTTCCTCCCTCCCTCCTTTCCTTCTTTTCTTTCTTTCTTTTTCTTTCTTTCTTTCTTTCTTTCTTTCTTTCTTTCTTTCTTTCTTTCTTTCTCTTTCTTTCTTTCTCTTTCTTTCTTTCTTTCTCTCTCTTTCTTTCTTTCCTTTCTCTCTCTCTCTCTTTCTTTCTCTTTCTTTGTTATGCTTTAAGTTCTAGAGTACATGTGCACAACATGCAGGTTTGTTACATAGGTATACAAGTGCCATGTTGGTTTGCTGCACCCATCAACTCTTCATTTACATTAGGTATTTCTCCTAATGCTATCCCTCCCCAAGTCTCCCACCCCCTGACAAGCCCTGGTGTGTGATGTTCCCCGCCCTGTGTCCAAGTGTTCTCATTGTTCAGTTCCCACCTATGAGTGAGAATATGCAGTGTTTGGTTTTCTGTCCTTGTGATAGTTTGCTGAGAATGATGGTTTCCAGCTTCATCCATGTCCCTGCAAAGGACATGAACTGATCCTTTTTTATGACTGCATAGTATTCCGTGGTGTATATGCGCCACATTTTCTTAATCCAGTCTATCACTGATGGACATTTGGGTTGGTTCCAAGTCTCTGCTATTGTGAGTAGTGCCGCAATAAACATACATGTACATGTGCCTTTTAGTAGCATGATTTATAATCCTTTGGGTGTATACCCAGTAATGACACTGCTGGGTCAAATGATATTTCTAGTTCTAGATCCTTCAGGAATCACAACACTGTCTTCCACAATGGTTGAACTAATTTACGCTCCCATCCACAGTGTAAAAGCATTCCTATTTCTCCACATCCTCTCCAGCATCTGCTATTTCCTGACTTTTTAATGATCACCATTCTAAATGGCATGAGATGGTGTCTCATTGTGGTTTTGATTTGCATTTCTCTGATGACCAGTGATAATGAGCACTTTTTAATGTGTCTGATGACTGCAATAAATGTCTTCTTTTGAGACGTGTCTGTTCATATCCTTTGCCCACATTTCGATGAAGTTGTTTTTTTCTTGTAAATTTGTTTAAGTTCTTTGTAGATTCTTAGCCCTTTCTCAGATGAGTAGATTGCAAAAATTTTCTCCCATTCTGTAGGTTGCCTGTTCACTCTGATGGTAGTTTCTTTTGCTGTGCAGAAGCTCTTTAGTTTAATTAGATTCTATTTGTCTATTTTGGCTTTTGTTGCCATTGCTTTTGGTATTTTAGTCATTATGTCCTTGCCCATGCCTATGTCCTGAATGGAATTGCCTAGGTTTTCTTGTAGAGTTTTATGGTTTTAGGTCTACCATTTAAGTCCTTAATCCATCTTGAATTGATTTTTGTATAAGGTGTAAGGAAGGGATCCAGTTTCAGCTTTCTACATATGGCTAGCCAGTTTTCCCAGCACCATTTATTAAATAGGGAATCCTTTCCTCATTGCTTGCTTTTGTCAGGTTTGTCAAAGATCAGATGGTTGTAGATGTGTGGTGTTATTTCTATGGACTCTGTTCTGTTCCATTGGTCTATATATGTTTTTTGGTACCAGTACTATGCTGTATTGGTTACTGTAGCCTTGCAGTATACTTTGAAGTCAGATAGCGTGATGCCTCCAGCTTTGTTCTTTTGGCTTAGGATTGTCTTGGCAATGTGGGCTCTTTTTTGGTCCCACATGAATTTTAAAGTAGTTTTTTCCAATTCTGTGAAGAGAGTAATTGGTAGCTTGATGGAGATGGCATTGAATCTATCAATTACCTTGGGCAGTACGGCCATATTCATGATATTGATTCTTCCTATCCATGAGCATGGAACGTTCTTCCATTTGTTTGTGTCCTCTTTTATTTCATTGAGCAGTGGTTTGTAGTTCTCCTTGAAGAGGTCCTTCACATCCCCTGTAAGTTGGATTCCCAGGTATTTTATTCTCTTTGTAGCAATTTTGAACGGGAGTTCACTCATGATTTGGCTTTCTGTCTGTTATTGGTGTATAGGAATGCTTGTGTGCTTGTGATTTTTGCACATTAATTTTGTATCCTGAGACTTTGCTGAAGTTACTTATCAGCTTAAGGAGATTTTGGGCTGAGACGATGGGGTTTTCTAAATATACAATCATGTCATCTGCAAACAGGGACAATTTGACTTCCTCTTTTCCTAATTGAATATCTTTATTTCTTTCTCTTGCCTGATTGCTCTGGTCAGAACTTCCAACACTATGTTGAATAGGAGTGGTGAGCAAGGGCATCCTTGTCTTGTGCCAGTTTTCAAAGGGAATGCTTCCAGTTTTTGCCCATTCAGTATGATATTGGCCGTGGGTTTGTCATAAATAGCTCTGCCGTGGGTTTGTCATAAATAGCTCTTATTATTTTGAGATACGTTCCATCAATACCTAGTTTATTGAGAGTTTTTAGCATGAAGTGTTGTTGAATTTTATTGAAGGCCTTTTCTGCATCTATTGAGATAATAATGTGGCTTTTGTTGTTGGATCTGTTTATGTGATGTATTACATTTATTGATTTGTGTATGTCAAACCAGCTTTGCATCCCAGGGATGAAACCAACTTGATCGTGATGGATAAGCTTTTTGTTGTGCTGCTGGATTCGGTTTGCCAGTATTTTATTGAGGATTTTCACATCAATGTTCATCAGGGATATTAGTCTAAAATTCTCTTTTTTTGTTGTGTCTCTGCCAGGCTTTGGTGTCAGGATGATTCTGGCCTCATAAAATGAGTTAGGGAGGATTCCCTCTTTTTCTATTGATTGGAATAGTTTCAGAAGGAATGGTACCAGCTCCTCTTTGTACCTCTGGTGGAATTGGGCTGTGAATCCATCTGGTCACGGACTTTTTTTGGTTTGTAGACTATGATTATTGCCTCAATTTCAGAACTTGTTATTGGTCTATTCAGAGATTCAACTTCTTCCTGGTTTAGTCTTGGGATGGTGCATGTGTCCAGGAATGTATGCATTTCTTCTGTATTTTCTAGTTTATTTGCATAGAGGTGTTTATAGTATTCTCTGATGGTAGTTTGCATTTCTGTAGGATTGGTGGTGATGTCCCCTTTATCATTTTTTATTGCATCTATTTGATTCTTCTCTCTTTTCTTCTTTATGAGTCTTGATAGCAGTCTATCAATTCTGTTGATCTTTTCAGAAAACCAGCTCCTAGATTCATTGATTTTTTGAGTAGTTTTTGATGTCTCTATCTCCTTCAGTTCTGCTCTGATCTTAGTTATTTCTTGCCTTCTGCTAGCTTTTGAATGTGTTTGCTCTTGCTTCCCTAGTTCTTTTAATTTTGATGTTAGGGTATCGATTTTAGATCTTTCCTGCTTTCTCTTGTGGGCATTTAGTGCTATAAATTTCCCTCTTAACACTGCTTTATATGTGTCCCAGAGATTCTGGTACATTGTGTTTTTGTTCTCATTGGTTTCAAAAAACATCTTTATTTCTGCCTTCATTTTGTTATTTACCCAGTAGTCATTCAAGAGCTGGTTGTTCAGTTTCCATGTAGTTGTGTGGTTTTCAGAGTTTTCAGTGAGTTTCTTAATCTTGAGTTCTAGTTTGATTGCACTGTAGTCTGAGAGACAGCTTGTTGTGATTTCTGTTCTTTTACATTTGCTGAGGAGTGCTTTACTTCCAATTATGTGGTCAATTTTAAAATAAGTGCGATGTGGTGCTGAGAAGAATGTATATTCTGTTGACTTGGGGTGGAGAGTTCTGTAGATGTCTATTAGGTCTGCTTGGTGCAGAGCTGTGTTCAAGTCCTGGATATCCTTCTGTCTCGTTGATCTGTCTAATATTGATAGTTGGGTGTTAAAGTCTCCCATTATTATTGTATAGGAGTCTAAGTCTCTTTTTAGGTCTCTAAAGACTTGCTTTATGAATATGGGTGCTCCTGTATTGGGTGCATATATATTTAGGATAGTTAGCTCTTCTCGTTGAATTGATCCTTTTACCATTATGTAATGGCCTTGTCTCTTTTGATCTTTGTTGGTTTTAAGTCTATTTTATCAGAGACTAGGATTGCAACCTCTGCTTTTTTTTTGCTTTCCGTTTGCTTGGTAGATCTTCCTCCATCCCTTTATTTTGAGTGTATGTGTGTCTCTGCATGTGAGATGGGTCTCCTGAATACAGCACACTGATGGGTCTTGACTCTTTATCCAATTTGCCAGTCTGTGTCTTTTAATTGGAGCATTTAGCCCATTTACATTTAAAGTTAATATTGTTATGTGTGAATTTGATCTGTCATTATGATGTCAGCTGTTTATTTTGCCCATTAATTGATGCAGTTTCTTCATAGCATCGATGGTCTTTACCAATTGGCATGTTTTTGCAGTGGCTGGTACCGGTTGTTCCTTTCCATGTTTAGTGCTTCCTTCAGGAACTCTTGTAAGGCAGGCCTGGTGGTGACAGAATCTCTCAGCATTTGCTTGTCTGTAAAGGATTTTATTTCTCCTTCACTTATGAAACTTAGTTTGGCTGGATGTGAAATTCTGGGTTAACAATTCTTTTCTTTAAGAATGTTGAATATTGGTCCCCACTCTCTTCTGGCTTGTAGAGTTTCTGCCAAGAGATCCGCTGTTAGTCTGATAGGCTTCCCTTTGTGGGTAACCTGACGTTTCTCTCTGGCTGCCCTTAACATTTTTTCCTTCATTTCAACCTTGGTGAATCTGACAATTATGTGTCTTGGAATTGCCCTTCTCGAGGAGTATCTTTGTGGTGTTCTCTGTATTTCCTGAATTTGAATGTTGGTCTGCCTTGCTAGGTTGGGGAAGTTCTCCTCGATAATATTCTGAAAAGTGTTTTCTAACTTGGTTCCATTCTCCTTGTCACTTTCAGGTATACCAATCTAATGTAGATTTGGTCTTTTCACAAAGTCGCATATTTCTTGGAGGCTTTGTTCATTTCTTTTTACTCTTTTTTCCTCCAAACTTGTCTTCTCACTTTATTTCATTAATTTGATCTTCAATCACTGATATGCTTTCTTACACTTTATCGAATCAGCTATTGAAGCTTGTGCATGCATCATGAAGTTCTCATGCCATGGTTTTCAGCTCCATCAGGTCATTTAAAGTCTTCTTTACACTGTTTATTCTAGTTAGCCATTTGTCTAACCTTTTTTCAAGGCTTTTAGCTTCCTTGTGATGGGTTAGAACACGCTCGTTTAGCTCAGAGAAGTTTGTTATTACCGACCTTCTGAAGCCTACTTCTGTCAACTCATCAAAGTCATTCTCCATCCAGCTTTGTTCCATTGCTGGTGAGGAGCTGCAATCCTTTGGAGAAGAGGTGCTCTGGTTTTTTGAATTTTCAACTTTTCTGCTCTGGTTTTTCCCCATCTTTGTGGTTTTATCTACCTTTGGTCTTTGATGTTTGTGACCTACAGATGGAGTTTTGGTGTGGATGTCCTTTTTGTTGATGTTGATGCTGTTCCTTTCTGTTTGTTAGTTTTCCTTCCAACATTCAGGTCCCTCAGCTGCAGGTCTGTTGGAGTTTTCTGGAGGTCCACTGCAGACCCCGTTTGCCCAGGTATCACCAGTGGAGGCTGCAGAACAGCAAATATTACAGAACAGCAAATATCGTTGCCTGACTCTTCCCCTGGAAGCTTTGTCCCAGAGGGGCACCCTCCTGTATGAGGTGTCTGTCAGCCCCTACTGGGAGGTGTCTCCCAGTTAGGCTACATGGGGGTCAGTGACCCACTTGAGGAGGCAGTCTGTCTGTTCTCAGAGCTTAAATGCTGTACTGGGAGAACCACTGCTCTCTTCCAAGCTGTCAGACAGGGATGTTTAAATCTGCAGAAGTTTCTGCTGCCTTTTGTTCAGCTATGCCCTGCCCACAGCAGTGGAGTCTATAGAGGCAGTAGGCCTTGCTGAGCTGCACTGGGCTTTGCCTAGTTCGAGCTTCCTGGCTGCTTTGTTTACCTACTCAAGCCTCAGCAATAGTGGACGCCCCTCCCCACACCCAGCATCAGCCTTGCAGGTCGATCTCAGACTGCTGTGCTAACAGTGAGCAAGGCTCCATGGGCATGGGACCCACTGAGCCAGGCATGGGAGGGTATCTCCTGGTCTGCCAGTTGCTAAGACCATGGGAAAAGCATAGCATTTGGGCGGAAGTGTCCCATTTTTCCAGGTACAGTCTGTCACAGCCTCACATGGCTAGGAGAGGGAAATCCCTTGACCCCTTGCACTTCCCGGGTGAGGTGACGCCCCGCCCTGCTTCGGTTCACCCTCCGTGGGCTACAGCCACCGTCCAACCAGTCCCAGTGAGATGAACCTGGTACCACAGTTGGAAATGCAGAAATCACCAGTCTTCTGCGTCGATCTCGCTGGGTGCTGCAGACCAGAGCTGTTCTTATTCAGCCATCTTGGACAAAGACTACAAAAAATGTTCAATACCCACAAACACTTTCTCCAACTCTATATTTGTATTGGCCCTACCCATATTTTCTGGTGCCAATTGCTTCTTGTTCAACTTGGTCTTAATTTCTGCTATTTCTCTGTATCTATGCATCAGCCTGGACTCACTTCTTAAGTATGTAGGAAAGTCAGTGTGTCTTACCAAGTCTGTCAAATTTACCATATAATAAGATACAGAAGTTATTAAATATCTCTGAGATTCAAACTCTGATTTCCTTTATGCCACTCTGCCTGGGGGTGTTTGGCTCCTGTCTGGTTCTTCTGAAGTCCTGACCATATGGTCATTTGTTAATGTGACTGATGTAATTTACATCCTGTTCAAAAATGACAACATGTTAAAACTTGCCACGTGTTTTTTTTTTAAACAATTAAAAAATGCTTGAAAGTTTATCATGCAATTTGCAGCCATCCAAACAACATTTTCTAGCCATTACAAAGCATGACAAAACACATTTTTTAGATCATCTTTGATTTTTGTGTTCCTTCTAAAAAGCTAATTACACAAATATTCATGGTTACTATGACACATTATTAAGGGACAACTCACATCAGAGAATAGGAACATGAAACTCTGAGCTTAGGGGTAGAATTAAAGGAGACTGTTTATCACAAAGATCAAATGTTTGCTTGTACTTCAGTGTGAGAGTAAGGAAAAAAAATTAACCAGAAAAAAGCAGAGTGAGAGAATTGCAGAGAGTTTCCTGACATCAAAAAGCAGATATGGATAAATGTAGAAATAAAAAACTTTGAGGAAAGATATTTATTTTTTAATTTTTTCAAGTGCTTTCTATGACATCAGGCACTTTGGCACTATGCTAAAGGTTTCCGGTAGATGATTCCTTTTTATTCACATAGTCTTAAAAAACTTTACAAGACAGAATATATTGTACACATTTGAAAAAGGTATCCATCTTTTTATTGATTTCTAAGGTGGATATATTTCCCAGCACTTTTCTTAGACTTTACTGTGCAGAAACAGAAAACATTTTGAATATGTATCCTATTCAAACAATGTATGTTACAGGGAAAAATATAAATAAAAATTTGTTTTCTAAATATGTCATTTCTACTAATCTTTGATATAAAACAAACTCAGGTCATGATTAAGTTTCTTGATAAAAATATTCTATGACCAATTAGAATGGATTGAATGAAAAAGAAATCTATAGTCACCAGAAATTTCTGGCATTGGTTATTACGTTTCTTTGTTTTTTTTCTCTTCTCTACTACAACTTATTGGAAAGGTGTGTGTGTGTGTGTGTGTGTGTGTGAGTGTGTGTATTGTATATGTCCTAAGAAAACAAAGGCTGGGCACAGTGGATCATGACCATAATCCCAGCAATTTGGGAGGTTGATGGGGGAGGATCGCTTAAGCCCAGGAGTTCAAGACCAGACTGGACAACATAAAAAGACCCTATCTCTACAAAAAATTTAAAACTTAGCTGAGCATGGTATTGCATACCTGTAGTCCCACCTACTCGAGAGGTGGAGGCAGGGGATTGCTTGAGCCTGGGTGGTTGAGGTTGCAGTGAGACATGATCATGCCACTGAACTCATGCCTGGACAACAAAGTGAGAGACTCTACTTCAAAAAAAAATAGAGGGTTAAAATAGTAAAAATATGTATTTTTTTAGTTTTTTTAAAAAAGGAAAAATAAATCACACTAGTGGAAGTAATGTAGTCATGGTCACTATCTACAGTGACCAATGGTAAAATTCTTCCATAAAAATAAAGTGACAGAGCTGTAGTATGAGTTAATAAAAATGATCAAACAAAATATGGTCCCAGGCTAATATGGAATTGATTTAGTCTCATTCTTGCCAATGGCTAAAGCAACACTATTCAATAGAAATACAATGCAAGCCGGGTGCAGTGGCTCACATCTGTAATCCCAGCACTTTGGGGAGCCACGGCAGGCAGATCACAAGGTCAGGAGTTTGAGACCAGCCTGGCCAACATAGTGAAACCCTGTCTCTACTAAAAATACAAAAAATTAGCTGGGCGTGGTGATGGGCACCTGTAAATCCAGCAGCTTGGGAGGCTGAGGCAGGAGAATTGCTTGAACCCAGGAGGTGGAGGTTGCAGTGAGCCGAGATCATGCCAGTGCACTCAAGCCTGGGTGACAGTGCAAGACTCCATCTCAGAAAAAAAAAAAAAAAAGGGAAAAAGAAATACAATGCAAGCCAAATTCAAGTCACATATGAAGTTTTAAGTTTTTTAGCAGCCACATTAAAAAGTAAAAAGAATCAGGTGAAATTAATCTTAATAATATATCCTATTTTGCTCAATATATGCCAAATGTGATCATTTTGACATATATAATCAGTATAAAATGTTACTGAGATACTCTATATAATTTTTTGTCTTCAAAATCTTTTGGGTATTTTATGCTTACAGCACATCTTAAATTCAGACTAGCCACATTTCAGTGCTCAATGTTCTCCTGTACCTACTGACTACCATGTTAAACAGCACAGGTCTGTCTAAAATTAGAGCATTTGTGTAAATCCGGGAATTGGAAGTGCATCCTGATGCATCAAAAAAAAAAAAAAAAAAAAAAAAATAGAGCACCAACCCTTTACCAGCTTTTACCTCTTTTATTATATCAACTGGGACCACACAGATAGCAAATATATAGCATCCTGTGGCCTAACACCACCAGGAATTTAAATACTTTGCCATGTTTAATTCAAATGAAAATAATCTTGAGTTTAAAAAAGAAAAGAAAGTGATGTCATAAAAATTGCAGGTTCAAGGTTGTGAAACCCCAATGGAGCCCAATAACTAGGAGGGCTATTTCAAGAGGGCAGACCTACACCTAGTCAGCAGGCTCACCAGACTCAGAAATGGGTCTGTCCATATGGCTTTGGTTCTACCAACAGAACCATCCACCAAAGAACCTGAAGGAGTAATGCCCACACATCCCTCAGGTAACAGGCCTGTCAACCCTGTTCCCAGTTGTGGACCCTAAAAGGACCTTCTAACTCAGTTCTGGCCCCTTTCAGCTATGGTCTGAGAGCAGTCCTGCCTGCCCAGGGACCCACCGAGAAACATACACACCCATGCCCCTATAGGTAGGTTAGCCAGCCTCAGTCAAGTAGCATATTTTGAAGAGGCCCTATAATGTGGCTCCAATCCCTGCCAGCTGCAGTTTGAGACCAGTTCAGCCTGCAAAGATATCCAAAGGGAAGTATACCCAATTATGCTTCTGCAGGGAGGCCCGCCGTACTCCTCAGTCCTACTGTGAATCTTAAAACAGCCCTGTAACTCAGCTCTAGCTCCTCTCAGTTGTGGCCTTGGTCTCTGCTGCAGGCCCTGAAGCAGTCTCTAGCTCCTCTCAGATGAAGTCCAGGGCAAGTACTGCCTTCCCAGGGACACACCAAGTGGCAGCTCTCCCAGGGATTTGGACAAAGCCATATGTGTCCATGCACCTGGTGACTGGTCCACTGACTGTGGATCCTGAAGTGTACCCTCATCCCAGATCTATTGATCAAGGGCCTTGAGGCAGTCCAGTCCATTGAGAGACCAGACAAGACCCATACCCACTCAAGCAAGCCCCCGGTAATAGGTTCATCAACCATGAATGCCATTGTGGACCAAGTAGTAGCCACATGGCCCAGCTTCACTCCCACTCAACCGTAATTCTGGAGGCAGTCTAATCAGCTTGGAACTCAACAGGAGAAGCTCTTCATCTGCCTAATCCAGTCTTAAAGACTGACTGGAAGAGGTATTTACTTCTTCAAAAGCACAGACACCAGCACAAGTATACATGGATAATGAAGAATCAGGAAACATGACAACCTGATGATAAAGCTTCAGTAACTGACCACAAATAAATGAATACCTATAAACTGCCTGAAAAAAAATACAAAATAGTCATCTCAGAATGACTCAATGAGATGCAATAAAACACAGAAAGACAACTAAATAAACTTAGGAAAACAAGGCATGAACAAAATGAAAAGTTAAAAAATAGGGTAGAAAGCATAAAAAAGAACCAAACAAAAATCCTGGAGCTGAAGAATACAATGACAGAACTGAAAAAATCAGTTGAGAACTATGACAGCAAACCTGATTATGTAGAAGAAAAGATTATTAAACTTGAAGACAGGTCATATGAAATTGACCAGTTAAAGTAACAAAAAGAAAAAAGAATATAAAATAGTAAAGAAAACATATGATACCTATGGACACCCTCAAGCTAACAAATATGCAAATTATAATAATCCTAGAATGAGAATTAAAAAAAACAGGAACAGAAAGCTTATTTAAAGAACTACTGGTTGAAAACTTCCCAGTTTTCAACAAGAGGGGCCTGGAATATGGACATCCAGATTCATGAAGCTCAAAGGATCCCAGGAAATATCAACTCAAAGAAAAATGCTCAGCTACACATTATGATAGAATTTTCAAAAAGAGAGAATCTTGAAATAACAAGCAAAAAGAGACTTATACTAGGGAATCTTCATTAGGCTATGAGTGGACTTCTCAACAGAAACCTTACAAGCCAGGAGACAGTGGGATGATGTATTCAAAGTGCTGAAAGAAGAAAACCTTTCAAGAATAAGCTAACCAACAACACTATACCCAGCAAAGCTGCCCTTTAGAAATGAAGAGCAGATAAAGATAATCCCAGAAAACAAAGGGTGAGGAAGTTCATCACGAAGAGCTCTGTCTTACAAGAAGTGCTAAAGGGAGTTCTTTGAGTTGAAATGAAAGGACAGTAAGTGACAACATGAAAACATGTACAAGTATAAAATTTATTGGTAAAGGGAAATGCATAGTCTAATACTGTAATGCTGTTGTGTAAATCACTTTTAACACTAATATAAAAGTTAAAAGACAAAAATATTATAAATAGCTATAACAACAATAACTTTTAGATGTATACACAGTATAGAAACATGTTAAGTGTGATATTAATACCATTAAGAGTGGAAGGTTAGAAAAATAAAAGTACGGGGTATTTTATGTGATTGAAGTTAAGGTGTTATCAGCTTAAAATATAATGATATAACTATCTGGTGTTTTATGTAAGCCAGATAGTAAACATAGGGATAAAACCTCTAATATATACACAAAAGATAAAGAGAAAAGAATCAAAGTATATTATGTTTAATCTTATATTAAAAAGTGTCAACATTTGGACTATCTGCATTATTCATTGAACTAATAATTTCCCAATGACTAATGCATGATATTAAAAAAGCATTTATGTGTCAACAAATTTATCAACATGAAACATGGACCAAAGGATTTTGATATAACAGGGTACACTTTTTACTGATATAATTTCAGAGAACACATTACAATTAATCTGTGAGAAACTACTATTTGTAGAGTTTGGTGTGGTATCCAATAATAATATCATAATTACCTGAAAATGCTATTAAAATATTCTTTCATCTTTCTATTATGTATCTGTGTAGGGCTATAGTTTCTTCTTACATTTCAACCAAAACACATCAAATACAGAGCACATTTCAGAGCATACCTATCTTCTATTAAGCCACAGATTAATGAGATTTACAAAAATGTAAAGCAGTACCATTCTTCTCCCTTTTTTTTTGTTTTGGAAAACATTATTTTCATAAAATATTTTACTTACGTTAACATGAAATAAATTTAGTATTCTTCTTTAAAATGATTTAATGTACAAAACATTTTAAAGTTTTCTCATTTTAAATTCCTAACATATATTGATAGATGCACCCCCACATAGACAAAACTCTTTGGGATTCTCTATAAGGCTTAAATGTGTAATGAAGGCCTGAGACTTACGATTGCTGGTCTAAGAATGAGCACAGAGGTTTACAGTAATAGACACATACAGTTATATTAGTTCAGGCCATTCACTAGACAAGGTAGCTCAGTCAGTTACTAGGCTAGTAACCTTATTTATGTTATTAATTAGGAATTATGTATATAAATAATCCAGTACATTTCTAACACATAGATGACCACTGATAAATGTTAGCAATTATTACTATTATCACCATAACCCTGCTCAAATTGTGTACCTACAACTCTTATGCCCTCTGACTACAAGGATATACAATTACTTGGGAATAAATTATAATTTCCCCATCAGAACAATTATTTTAGTACAAAGCACGTATTCTGTATAATTCTGGTCTTTTGGCCTAGCAACTTACCTACTTGCTGTTGATTATGTCACTCAGCAAGTGCAGAAATTCCAAGATCCTCTTAATATGTAAATATATTTACACTGATAAACTGGACAGACTGCCATTATGAAAAAAGGAAACTACAGCACATTTTAATTGTTATAAGTGATTGATTAAGGGTGTGTATTTTTTATTCTGGTCTGTTTGGGTTCATAATACCGTGTGAGTTGGCAGGCTGTCTTCTCACGCAATCCTCCCCTTTGGGGTGTTATGAGACGTGCCTTCAAGTTTAGAATCTTGGAGGTAGACAATTAACTGTGGGTGTGAGAAGAGGAAGAGCTCTTTGATCTTGTCACTGCTCATTCCTCAGAGGCCCTGAGCCAACCTGTGGGTGGTGGGAATTATTTTTGTGCAAGCTAAGAAAGAGTGGAGAAGGGATATGGTTCTACTGTGGGTGACATTAGGAAAGGAAAGAGATGATTCCTTCCCTGTGAGTGTGTGAGATCTTGGGTGTGGATAGTTGTGTAAGACTGCTGCTGATGCATGGAAATGGGCCATCCTCTGTTAATTCTGCATGAAAATGCTTTCCAATTTGGGGAGATATTGTATACTGTGCTGGTTAGGTGAGTATCATGCTTCTTTTTTAAGGATTTGATTGAAGTAATTGCTCACATTTCCTTCATGTAATTATTTTGTATACATATATGGATTAGAAATTCTGTGTGAATAAAAATTTTACATCATTAAGTGGAAGTATTTACTGGAGACTCTCTTTTTATCTTGGACAGGTTAAACTATGAGGCCAACAAATTACTTTCTATAGTAAAGAGAAACATGAGTTTGGACTTCTCATTTTATTAAGTTCTTGTCCAGAGTAAAACACTGTGAATGGAGAAATACATGCTTAATAAAAAACAGAGGAGATTTAATGTTTTTCCTTTCATAATACCTTGCTTAGTAAAATAAAACATATTATGCATTTGCCAAAATGATAGTCTCTAGTGTGTATATTGTAAATGTAGCTCAGTAGTAGATAATACGAGGCTAAAATAAAGAAAATAGTTAGAGGACAGGTTATGGAAAATAATTTTTAATTCATTGATTGATTCTTTCTTCAATTACTGTTCCAGAAAAAACATATGTAGCATATTTTCAAATTTCTTGGAACACAGTAACGGAAGAAAGATCTTGTTTTGCTCTGGGGGTTGTTAATATCTCTGTAAGTCCCTGGTAACATTTAATCAATTTCCATAAATATTTAGTGATGAAACTAAATCACTTTCAGACCCTCTTTTAAGGATCTGCAAACAAGACAAGATTTCATTTTTCAATTTGCAACCTACGCAAGAGATAGGAACTTGGTGTTGATTATCCAGCTGTTTGCAATTTTAAAAATACTCTCCTTGGTTACTTCCTTCTTAGGTAAAGAGAGAAACAAAACTATTTTTAACTCTTATCAATAACATTTTTCTAGCATGAAGAGGTGTGGAAAATGTTTTATTTCCTGATAAAAATTTCACATTTCTAAAGTGAAATATTCCAAAGTTATGCAAAATAACACCATATTTATCAAGTTTTATAAAAAAAAATGTGATAATGACCCAACTCTAGTATTTGTTATAAAATTTCAATTCATATCACTTTTAGGACAAAAGCTGTTTTGCATACCATCCTTTGGAGTCGCCTCTCTAGGAGCTAGAGTTTCTGCACCACTGTAGACTGTCTTCTGTTTCACTATTAGATCTCCCTCATGCTATCCTTATATATTTTTCAAAAATCATGGCTTCTGATAGAGCACTAGATGCCTGTTACTAGAGAAACTCTTAAGTATTAATTACTTACATTATCTAGTAAGCTGCCCATGAACTCTGAATAGACAATGTAGGAAATTATCATTTGATGAACATATTTTTAAGTATGTAGGTTGTGATCTTTTATCTACTTGTAACAATATTCATTTAACTGAGTGGTCAGTATCTTTTTGCCTGCCCCAAGCGGTTGAATACTGTTGCATTGTCATTTTTAAAATAAATGGTATGCAGCTGCAGTCAGGTTCTCAACGTCATTGAGAAATTCCTTTTTGTGTTCTTAGCCGTGTCTTTTTTCATTTCTCTCAATAACTATTCCAAACCTATACTACACTTCTAAAGTTTCTACCCATTCCTAATACCTTCCTCCATCCAGTGTGTCTTTTATTTTGCAATTAAAAAAAAGGAGTAAATTATTTTTTAACTTTCTATGCCCACACCTACAATCTTATTTTTATCTGCTTTGTATTCTTTCTTATTACCAGTTTTAGAAGAAAAGTTGTTCTTTCTTCTATTCCCTAAAGGCATGTTCATCTGCCTTTGAGTCATCTTCTCCCATTGAGTCATGGAACTTTTCTGCTAGTCAAGCAATTGTTCATTAAACTCACATTTCTAGTGCATAGTATGTGCTAGACACTGAACTAGAGATTATGAATACAAAGATAAAAACCATTTATCTGAACAACAGATGAGCAATTAATTATAAGATATTTAGGTTTATTCTATGCTAAGGAGTATGTGTAGATACAGCAGTAGCATGGCTGCAGAAAAGTTCCAGGCAAGTAGGAAAGGGCTTTTTCAAGGAATTAGTATGTAAGTTGAGACATAAAAAGTTAGTAAGAATTTGCCTGTTGGATGGATAAGAGGAGGCTACATTTGTCTTTCCCTAGAGGTCCTGTTGTAAATTGAACACCTAGCTTTATTAACTAAACATTTTTCAGGTATGACTACATAGTCCTTTTGGCATAGTAATGATGAGTAAGTAGAGAGGACACATGGGGAGAGGATAACTCTGCTGGGTTAGCACAGAGGCTTCTCCTAAAGTTCCTTGTGAAAACTGTACCAATACTAGTATGAGAAAGTTCAAAATATTGTGACTTCCCAGCCCTGTTTTCTTCGCCTGGATTCCATTTTGGTTCAGGTGCCTGCAGGTCAAGTCCTAGCACAGGTTGTTATTTTCTCTCCTGGTCAGGAAAGAAAATAACACATTGTTAGTTGCCAAAACCAAAGGTACAATTTCAACTTCCTTCTCCAATAAAAAAATTATTTTTTGACATAATTTGATTTATTAGTTTTTATTTTGTTTGTTGTATTTCATTTCTTTCTCTTACCTATTAAAATATCTAGGACCCTTTTTTTCCTTGCCTTGGAAGCCACTTGTCTTCCATTATGTGCAAATAAAGTCTCTTGGAATACAAAAGCGAATAAAGAAAAAAGCCTTGAAAACAGGTGGAGGGAAAAGGGCAAGATGTCTCCCAGATATGAGGAGGGCTGAAGTGAGTAGGGCTTACCTATAGGTCTGTGGCAGATGGAAAATGGGAGATAGGGAAATTACTGAAAAAGTTGTGTGGTACACCCTGGTGAACTTGACCCTAGGCACTAGGCCTTTCAGCCATTTCAGAGATGAAAGTAGCCTGTTTGACTACAAGGTGCCTAAACAGTAGTTATAAGATAGCTGTGACTTATTTTAAAATACTTTTGTTTAGAGAGTGTAATCTGCATGAGTATGTTAAAGTTAGGCCTTAGATGCAGTCAGTTACTTCATTCAGAAATTAATAGGTCAACAGTCTATTAGATTGTAGGACTGGTTACATATTGGAAAGCCTACACTCCAGACAAAGCAACTACAAGTGTTTCCATTATTTTTATCTTTGACTAACACCAAAGGCTTTAATAATTATGTTAATAAATTTTCTAAAAATGGATTTTCATTGGTGAAATCAGTGTCTTACTAATCAGCATAGTTATAGCTGAATTCTCTCTTGATATAACTAGCATTCAATATATGAGGATTAACTAAACTTTTTAAGAAAATACCTACCTTGCATGAACAGAGTATGAGACTTGAATAAGTCTTATAGTCTGTAACCATAGGAAGGGGACCCAAGCAGGGATCACCAAATGGTTTTGTGTCTAGCCACTGAATTGGAGATTTCTGACGACAGGGGTAACAGGATCTACCTTTAGAATATTGGAGCCAGCATCCAGTGATATTTTATGCAAAGTAAGATTGAACCTCTCACAAAAATAGAGAGTTCACACTTCATCCAAGATTACAGAAAACATTGCATGAACTGTTTTTTCCCAGATTCATGAAATTTCATACATATGTATGCATGGAAAAATTTATGTGAGACTTGCTTTCATTATAATTCTCTATGTCTGTGAGGCTGTTGAGAAGCCTCATCTATGCAAACGTTTTGGTTGCTACCATTACTTCCACGGTGTCTAAACAACAGGCTTAGGTCAATTTACCCCTGGACAGATGGTTTTCTCTGAGAAAAACCATGGTCTGTCCTTTAATTGTCAACTCTAGGGGACTCTGCCTTGACTGACTTCAAGGGATGGAGGTTAGTAGGGGAACTTTGTGAGGCTCAGTGTTTATAGTTTCTTTTAAGTGTGCTCATCTAACAGTAATTCATGAAAAGGAACCACTTTTCCTTGCCTTATGGTCTGTTGGTATAGTCCCCAGGATTGGATAGTCCCTGGGATTGTTATTTCAAATGTTGGTAATAGGGTCCAGATGGTAGCATTATCTGTTTTATAGATACATGTAGTTAGCAATTTTACTGGGATGTAGCTGACTTGCTAAAGTTTATGCTTCTAGGGTATAGGGAGTAGATAGCATAGCACTTGCACACTCTCTTACCTCTGGGCTAAAAAGAAAAATTTTCCCTTCTACAGAGGGAAAAAATTCATGAGTAAAGAAGAAAGTAAATATGTGGTGATAACTATGTAAATAAAAAGCAGAATAGGGGTAGGTATACACTTTCAGAAAGCTGTAAATGGCCGGTATGGTAGGCAGAATTTTTGAGATGGCCTCCAAAATTGCCAGCCACTTGAGGACACCTTTTATCAGAGGCATTTGAACCAGAGCACCTCCATCTTGAATAAGGTCTGGGTAAAATAAGGCTGAGATATGCTGGGCTGCATTCCCAGGAGGTTAGGCATTCTTAGTCACAGGATGAGATGGGAGGTTGGCACAAAGACCTTGCTGATAAAACAGGATGTGGTTAAGAAGCTGGCCAAAACCCACCAAAACCAAGATGGTGATGAGAAAGAAGTCTGGTTGTCCTCACTGCTCATTATATGCTAATTACAATGCATTAGCATGCTAAGAGACACTCCTACCAGCACCATGGCAGTTTACAAATGCCATGGCAACATGAGGAAGTTACCCTATATAGCCTAAAAACGGGAAGAACCCTGAGTTCTGGGAAATCCCTGCTCCTTTCCCCGAAAACTCATGAATAATCCATCTCTTTTTTAGCATATAAAATCAAGAAATAACTATAAGTATACTCAGTGGAGCAGCCCATGTGGCTGCTCTGCCTGTGGAGTAACCATTCTTTATTCCTTTACTTTCTTTTATTTTTACTTTTTTGAGACAGAGTCACACTCTGTTGCCCAGGCTGGAGTGCAGTGGTGCCATCTCGGTTCACTGCAACCTCCACCTCCTTGGTTCAAGAGATTCTCCTGCCTCTTGATAAACTTGCTTTCATTTTAATCTATGGACTCACCCTGAATTCTTTCTTGCATGAGGTTCCAGAATCCTCTCTTGGCGTCTGGATTGGGACCCCTAGCTAATAACGCTTCTTCCAGTTGTTTGTACCCCAATCTAGGTGTTCTACTGAATCAATTGACCTTAAGATAGGTTATATGGGAGGACCTATTAAAAAAAGTTATGCTGGGAGGCTGCAAATTAGCTGTCTTTTAGATCAACACACTGGTATCAAAGGTCTTTTGATTATAAGAACTATCAAGAGATTCTGGAAACTGTCCCAGTACTAAACACTGGAGTAATCATAACAACTATTTATTTACCCACTGATCCAATGCATTTCTTTGATGTTTAGAACCAAATAATAGTTAATAATAAAATACAATGAATTTATTAGGAATGGACAATCCTATTTTTACTACTGGCACAGTCATAGAATGAGACTGTCTCTTTATCATTCACTTAAGATATGATTTAAGGCTGGCCATGGTGGCTCACGCCTGTAATCCCAGCACTTTGGGAGGCCAAGGCAGGCGGAACACAAGGTCAGGAGATCGAGACCATCCTGGCTAACACGTGAAACCCCATCTCTACTAAATATACAAAAAATTAGCTGGGTAAGGTGGTGGGCACCTGTAGTCCCAGCTACTCAGGAGGCTGAGGCAGGAGAATGGCATGAACCCAGGAGGTGGAGCTTGCAGTGAGCCAAGATGGTGCCACTGCACTCCAGCCTGGGCAACAGAGCGAGACTCCGTCTCAAAAAAATAAAAAATAAAAAAAAGATATGATTTAAAAGGGGTAAAATGTCCACGGAAAATCTATGTTATATTTAATACAATAGTAAGTTACCTAAATAGTTTTGTTTTGTTTTGTTTTGTTTTGTTTTGTTTTGTTTTGGAGACAGAGTCTTGCTCTGTCACCCAGGCTGGAGTGCAATGGCATGATCTGGGCTCACTGCAACCTCCTCTCCCAGGTTCAAGCAATTCTCTTGCCTCAGCCTCCCAAGTAGCTGAAATTACAGGTGCCCACCACCACGCCTGGCTAATTTTTGTATTTTCAGTAGAGATGGGGTTTCGCCATGTTGGGCAGGCTGGTCTGGAACTCCTGACCTCAGGTGATCTGCCCGCCTTGACCTTCCAAAGTGCTGGGATTACAGCCGTGAGCCACCACGTCCGGCCGTAGTTATTTTTAAGATTAGCCTGCACCTGATTATTGAGAGAAACTTTTCCATAAGCCTCCGGTGTTTCAAAACATGTTTCAAGCAATAATTGCCCTTTTTCTCTAGACTGTCTTTTCAAAGATGTCTGTACAGTGAACAATCTTGAAAAATGTAGTGTCTTCATCAGGAGCAATGAGCAGTTTTACTTATCATTTGGTGTAGTAAAGATAATTTCTCCTTCCAGGAAAAAGGACAGGTTTCCTTTTGCCCTTTGTAAAAGATTCTGGTTTTGTTGTATGATGCAAACATATGCATGTGCAACATACACCTGGATCCATCAGCATCACCCCCATGTAATGTGGGGAGCAAAAAGAACCAATACAAATATGCTACCCTCGTGCTGCTTTCTGCAATGTGAATAACTTGTCTCTAATCTGGAGTCTTGTGTCTTCTGCTAGCAATGAAACTGGCAGCAGAACTGGTTAGCTGCAATTAGTTTAAATTCTCATACCCTTCAAAGTTCTTGACACTGATTAACTCATACATACAATTCATGATACGCTCTAGGGTTTTCCTGATTTATAAAACTTTCGTTGGAAATTTTTGGTAACAAGTAACCAATGTATTTTTCCTCATAGAACTTTATAAAATACATGATGAGGTTAATTTTCTGCATCAACTTCTGGATGTGTGATTCATTTAAAAAATTAGAACTGACACTTTCATAACCTTTGCAACCTCTACAAAATATTATCTTTTTAAGTCACTCAGAGAATTTGGCTTCAACTACTTCTTCCACCTTTATCAACAAAAAGAATAATAATGAAGGAAAGCTCTTTGCTCATTTATTTATAGTTGCCAAAATTTAGGGGTGGAAAAACAAATACTTTTTTAGAACTTACCTCTTTGGTTAATTATAGAAAAAATTATTCTCATTAATTCTTTCTTTCTTTCTTTCTTTTTTTTGACAGTCTCTCTCACTCTGTCACCCAGGCTGGAGTGCAGTGGCACGATATTGGCTCACAGCAACCTCTGCCTCCTGGGTTCAAGCAATTCTCCTGCCTCAGCCTCACGAGTTGCTAGGAATACAGGTGTGCACCACCACACCTGGCTAATTTTTGTATTTTTAGCGGAGACGAGGTTTCACTATGTTGGCCACGCTGGTCTCAAATTCCTGACCTCAAGTGATCCGCCCACCTTGGCCTCTCAAAGTGCTGGGATTACAGGCGTGAGCCACCGCGCCTGGCCTCATTCTCCTTTCTAAATGCTCTATCAAATTCCTTGCAAAGATATGATTAATTTCCTTCAATACTTACTGTACAAAAGTTATTTCAGGGCTGGGTGTGGTGGCTCATACCTGTAATCCCAGCACTTTGGGAGGCCGAGGTGGGCGGATCATGAGGTCAGGAGTTCGAGACCAGCCTGGCTAACATAGTGAAATCCCATCTCTACTAAAAGTACAAAAAATTTAGCTGGGCGTGGTGGTGGGTGCCTGTAATCTCAGCTACTTGGGAGGCTGAGGCAAGGAGAATCACTTGAACCTGGGAGGCGGAGGTTGCAGTGAGCCAAGATTGTGCCACTGCACTCCAGCCTGGGCAACAGTGTGAGACTCCATCTCAAAAGAAAAAAAAAAAAAGAAAAAGAAAAAGAAAAAAAAGAAAAGTTATTTCAGAACCTTAATGAAAGTGAGAACAAATATGATAGCAACTGTGACTTTAAGCACTTTATTTTATTCAGTGATTCCCATTCAATTTTAAACTGATTTTTGTAAATGTCAATACATTTGTTTTCCCTATAAATTTTTTTTAAAATTCTATGTCAGAAATAGAATGCAGTGAATCTGATGGCTCTGTAGACTTAATCACTTTGGACTCATTTACTGAAAAAAGTCTATAATAGCTGGAGCGATCAGCTGGTTGCGTGTATATGGACAGTTAGTCTTTCTCCGGAACCAATTAAGACCACCAAGAAGCTGGAAAAGCACGTTAGCTGCCGGCTCTGCATTGAGGGTGAGGGTGTTAAGTAACTGGCATCACTGACCCAAAGTTTTGTTTTGGTTTGCTTCGTTTTGCTTTCTGAATTGCTCAGCACTATCTCCTCTGGCATCTTTAAAATATAGTGGTTTGAGGGAGTTTTTAAGGACAAAAACAAATTAAAACATTTTTAACTTTTTAACTATTTGGAAAACTGCCTAACAGTTTAGTATAGGCAATATGATATCATCAACAGCCTGTGAAGTTGCACACCTTCGGGAGTGGTTGTTAGAAGAAGATATTATTCAGAAAGAGAGCAGTGAGACAAAGAGACAAACACATACACACACACACACACACACAGAGAGAGAGAGAGAGAGAGAGAGAGAGAGAGAGGAAATTGACTTTCTGGAAAGCAAGCATCACCTTCTGCAATCATGACAAGAGGCTTTTATTCTCAGCAGGCACTTGATCATTGTTACAGATGCTTTCTTTACCTGCTAAAGAAGACTGATTTTTTTCCCTGAAATATGGGGTCCTCTGACTTTACATTTGCAGATGTAGATTACTTGCACTATCGGTATTCCATTTGCACATTGTTACCCCTTAGAAAATTTGTAATTAAATTCTACCTTCCTTTTACATCTGATAATCCCTAGAAGACCCTGGGTCAGGGAGAACTCTTCAAGTATTCAAAAAAATATTTAATTGGCTTTAAATTCTCTAGAATCTTATGAATAGCCTATTCTTCTGCAGCCTGAAAAAGAGGAAGATTATAAGCCATAAATCTACAAGGAAATTGGTGTTCTTTTTGTCAGACAGTTTGAAGGAGGAGAAGGTGACTCACCAGCTATGAAGACTTCAAATCCTTTTCTTTTTTTTTTTTCAACTCAAGGAGGTGATGAGTTAAATGAACTATCAGCACACACAGCTTATCACTGTATCTTTCACAGCTCTGAGCAGTTCCACCCTTCATCACTCACATGATTCCACCCTCCTTTTACTCCTACAGCAAGGAGGCGAAGGGAGTTTTTGTAGCTAAGCTACCAGAGCATTTCTTTTGCAGGGACTCCAAATCATGCTTCAGAATCAATCAGTTGGCATGTGGTGCTAACGAGGTCAAGGTTACAAATTTGGAATCCACCTGAGCCAGTTATTAAGCAGCAGACTGAGAAACTTTGTAAAAGTGTGCCACTCTTTATTTACTTACTAACATAATTATTAATTTAACTGTATTAGTGAGTCCCGACTGTATCGGACATTTTGCAAGACCATAATGGTGTAACAGTGAAAAAGGTAACCATGATTCCCAACTGCACGGAGTTTACAGTGGGGGAGATGAAAATAAATAAGCATACAAACAAAGTAACAGGCAATTGGGTTAGAAGTAATTTAGTCAGCCAACAAAATGCTATAGTAGTAGATAACAAACAGGGTTAGCTGGACCTACATAAGATAGAATAATCAAAGTCCTTTCTGGGGAGTCTGTATTAATGTTGAAACCTACAGGGTGAGAAGGATTCAGCTATGGGCAGAGCAGGTAAAGCTGCAGGGCAGAGTGTTCCAGACACATGGTTGCTGTGTTAGTGGAACTAAAAGAAGGACAAGGTGGTATCCATGCAGTGAGCATGAGAGGAAGTGAATTGAAATCCAGTTGGAGAGGGAGGCAGTAACCAAACTGTTCTGGGCCTAGTAGGCCACAAAAAGGGCTTTGGGTTTTATTTCAAATCCAGTAGGAAGCCATTGGTGGCTGTCTTTTAAGCAGGCAACTGGTATAATCCATTTTGCCCTTTAAGCAGATCACTTTAGACACTAAAAGGAAGAGTACTAAGAACAGCAATCAGAAATCAGATAGGAGTACGTTGTACTGGGTATATTCTTATTGACCCCCTCAGATCCACTTTCTTCTATTCTTCACACTTGCCAAGGCCCCAGGAGGCTAACTACATGGATTTCAACACCCAGCCACACCCCTTTCTCTGTGATTTCCTGCTTGAGTTGGCATGGACAGGAGGTATTTCCTGGCTTAGTCTCTGCTAGGTGCCACAAGACTGGGCTGTGTCCCTCTATTGGAAGCCAAAGTACCTGCCCTCTGGCCCTCATCACTTAGGTCCCTGGCCAGGTTGGATAACCCTTTCTCTTCACTTGCTCCCTTTTACTAGTCTTGGGTACTGTGCCATCCTTTGTTTTCTTTGTATAAACCTTGCTAATAGCTTTGCATATGATCCCTTTATAAAACCTTTCTCAAGAGGGAAAAAATTCATGAGTAAGGAAGAAAGTAAATATGTAGTAATGACTATGTAAATAAAAAGCAGAATAGGGGTAGGTATACACTTTCAGAAAGCTGTAAATGGCTGGTATGGCAGGCAGAATTTTTTCTATTTCCATATTCCCAGATTTTTAAATTACTTTTTTTATTGTGATAAAAAGCGCATAACATAAAATTTACATCTTAACCATTTTTAAGTGTACAGTTTAGTAATGTTAACTATATTCTCATTGTTGTGAAACATCTCCAGCATTTTTTCATCTTGCACATTTGAAATTCTACATCCATTAAATAATAAGTCTCCTTTCACAACCTCTCTCAATACCCTTTTAACTATTATTCTGCTTTCTGTCTCTATGAATTTTACCATCATACGTATCTCATATAATTGGAATCATGCAGTATTTTTCTTTTGTGACTGGTTTATTTTACTTATCATAATGTCTTTAAGATTTATTCATGCTGTAGCATGTGACAGAATTCTTTTTAGTTTTAAGGATGAATGATATCCAATTGTGTGTGTATATATATGCTATTCAATTGTGTATATATATTTTGCATTAATCTGTTAACGAACATTTGGGTCGCTTTCATCTCTTGGCTGTTGTGAATAGTGCAACTATGAACATAGATGTGAAAATTATCTTTGAGACCCTTTTTCAAATCTTTTGAATATATACACAGAAGAGGGATTGCTGGGTCATATAGTAGTTCTACTTTAAATTTTTAAAGGAAACTCCATATTGTTTTTTACATCAGTTGTACCATTTACAATCCCACAAACTGCATAGAATTTCCAATTTCTCTACATCCTTGTCAACACTTTTTTTTGTTTCTTTTTTTAATGTTAGTCATTCTAATAGTTATTAGATAATCTCTCAGTGTGGTTCTAGTTTGCACTCCTCTGATGATTAGTGATGTTGAACATCTATTCATATGCTTGTTGTCCATTTGTATATCATCTTTGGAGAAATGCCTATTCAAGACCTCTAATCAATTTCTAATTGGTTTACTTGATTTTTGTTGTTGTTGTTAAGTTATATGAGTTCATATATATTCTGTATATCAACCACTTACCAGATATATTTGCAAAAATATTGAAATATTTTCTCCCATTCTGTAAGTTGCCTGTCACTCTGTTGTTTCCTTTGATGTACAAAAGTTTTTTTGATTTATCTAGCCCCATTTATCTATTTTTTCTTTTGTTACCTGTGCTTTTGGTGTCATATTGAAGAAATAATTGCCAAGTACAATGTCTTTAAAACTATATCCTATGTTTTCTTTTAAGAGTTTTATAGTTTTAAGTCTTATGTTTGACCCTTTAATTCATCTTGAGTTAATTTCTGTACATGGTGTAAAATAGGGTCAAACTTTATTCTTGCATATGTAGATAACCAGTTTTTCCAAGAGAGCTTTTTGGAAAAAAACTGTGCTTTCCCCATTAGTGGTCTTGCCACCCTTGTCATTAATCATGTAGTCATTTATACACATGTTTATTTCTGTCCTTTCTATTTTATTCTGTTGGTCTAATCTGTTTTTATGCCAGTACCACACTGTTTTGATTACCAGAGTTTCATAATATAGTTTAAAATTAAGACATGTAAGTCCTTTAATTTTAGAATTCTTTTTCAAAATTTTTTGGCTAGTAAGAGTTCCTTGGGATTTCAAATAAATTTTAGGATGAATTTTTCTACTTTGGAAAAATTGTTATTGGTATTTTGGTAGGGACTGTGTTGAATGTGCAGACTGCTTTGAGTAGTATGGGTATTTTAATGATATTAAATTTTCCAATTCATGAACATGTCTTTCATTTTGTGTGTGTCTTCTTTAATTTTTTTCAGCAATGTTTTCTGGTTTCCAGTGACAAATTTCCTGTCTCCTTGATTGTTTATTTCTAAATATTTTATTATTTTTGATGCTATTATAAATGGGGTTGCTGTCTTAATTTTATTTCCAATTGTTTGTTGCTAGTGTATAGAAATGCAACTGATTTTTGTATGTTGATTTTGTATTATTCAATATTGCTGAATTAATTTATTAGTTCTGATACTTTTTTTGAAGAACATTGAAGGTTTTCTTACTTGATATGATCATGTCATCTGTGAATAGAGATAATTTTACTTTTTATAATTTGAATGCCTTCTATTTCTTTTTTCTAGCCTAATTGCTCTGGCTAGGACTTTGAATAACATGTTGCAGAGTGAACATTCTCACAGTATCCTAGATATTAGAGGAAGAACTTTCAGTCTTTCGTCACTGGATGTAATGTTAGCTCTGATTTTTTATAAATTATCCTCATTATGCTGAGGTCATTTTTTCTCTTCCTAGTTTGTTGCATGTCTTTTCATGAAATGGTGTTGGATATTATCAAATGTTCTTTCTTTGTCAATTGTGATCATGTGCTATTTATTCTTTCTGCCACTAATATGGTGTATTATATTGATTATTTTGATGTTTAACCAAACTTACATTCAAAAAATAAATCCCACTTGGTTATGGTATATTATTATCTTCATGTGTTATTGAATTTGGTTTGTTAGTATTCTGTGAGGACTTTTTCATCAACATTCATCAGGGATATTGGTCTATAGTTTTTTTTAATGATGTTTTTATCTGCCTTTTGATTCAGGGTAATGCTGGCCTCAGAGAATGAGCTTGGAAGTGTTCCCTCTTCTCTAACTGTTTTTAAAGCATTTCAGAAGGATTTGTGTTAATTCTTCTTTAAATATTTGGTAGGATCCTCCAGTGAAGCTATTTGGTTTAGAGCTTTTCTTTGTTGAAAGGCTTTTAATTAGTGATTCAATATTCTTATTTGTTTTTGGTCTGTTCAGCTTTTCTATTTCTTCATGATTCATTTTTGGTAGATTTTGTTTCTAGGAATTTATCTATTTCTTCTACATTTTACTATGTTCTGCTCACCTCTGTTTTCAGTGGCTTCCAAACTCTGAAACTGGTCCTGGTACTACTGCAAATAAGGTGAGACAGAAGCCAGGCCCTTGGGTAGTCTCCATACAAACCAGGACATTGCACACATGGTCCATTCTTTTGCTTCTGTCCTAAGGAAAAGCCCTGGTATGAGGGGTTTCTCCCAGTTGCTCCAGGCTGTGCTTCACAGGGGGAGCGGCACATATAGGCATGCCAAATGCCACAAATTTTCCTTACCTCTTTTACTGGAATCCCTTCTCAGCTTTATAATGACTTAGGTGCTTTAGCTTTTCATTTGCTTTCTAGAGTTTTCTAGAGGCATTCTGGTCCATATATAAATTTTTTAACTTGGTTCCCCTCTAGGGGAAGGAGAGCTTGTAGCTTCCTAGTCTACCACCTTACTTACATCATTCTGAGAATGAACTTTTATAGGATGAAAATTTTCTTGTCATGTAAAATTAAGGAAGAAGAATATGCATAAATATTAAGGTCTATTTGTGTATTGCTATGGTTTGAATGTTCTTTCCAAAACTCATGTTGAAATTTAATGCAATTGTGACAGTGTTAAGAGGTGGGACTGTTAAGATATGTTTAGGCCACGAAGGATCTGCCCTCGTGAATGGATGAAGGCTGTTATCCCAGGACTGGGTTCCTGATGAAAGGATGAAGGTTGCCCACTTCCTCTCACTCTCTCGTGTGCACTTTTATGCCCTTACACTTTCCCCCATGGGATGACGCAGCAAGAAGGCACTTGCCAGATATGGGCCCCTCAACTTTCTAGCCTCAAGAACTATAAGAAATACATTTATTTTATTTATAAATTACCCAGTCTATGGTATTCTGTTAGAGCAACACAAAACGGACTAAAACAAACGTGGTGTGGAGAAGGATAAGGTGAAATAGTGTGAAAGCTGCAGCATAAATTCATCTCATACTGAAGAAGTATTAAGTCCATGTGCTATACAGATATGTCTTTGCTAATGTTTGAAGGCAAACATTACTATAATAATATCATCATTAGTTTGATTGTGAGAACATTGTTCTATGGCTTCTGGAGGAACCAAACTAAGAGGATTAGTACCAAAAGAGATTTTAGAAAGCACATCCTTGGGATGGGATTCTGTGATTAGATTTCTTTCTGGGTAGATGGCAACAAGTAACTCATTTCTGGTTGAGGGTAGAAAGGTGATAACTTCTGACAACTGCAGTATAACAATTAATAACAGTCTCAACTGTGGTGAGTTGGCATTTAATACAGGTAGAAAGGGATATAATAGCTTACATAATATCATTGGATTTTCATTGCGATGGCAACTATAAGGACTGTGGTGTTGGTGATTAAATGGGATGAATGCCTTTAAGAAAGCAAAAGCAGTAGGCTCAGATCAGCCAACTGTCAATTGAGGGCTCAGTGTGACTGTGAGAAGGCATCTATAACAGCACTTGACAATACCCTCATCTTCTAGAAGCAGATGCAGACTGGATGGAAAATCTTGTTTAGGGCCTGTTTGTGCAAATAACAGAGTAATAAAGGCTACATTCACAGTTCTGGAAAGTTCCTATCTGAAATACAGGATTTGGTTAAAAATGAAGGTGAGGGAGAGATTTGAGTCATGAGATTTAGGATGGGTATATCTCAGTAGATGCTCCCGATAACCCTGAAATGACATCTTCCTCAATACCTTCCCCTCTTTTCCTCATGGCTTCTAGACTGATAACTTGGATCAAGTCTGGGTCCAAACTGGAAAGGTCCCTAATATAAGTGGAAAAAGATTACTCACCAAAAGAACTGAAGGATCTGATTAATATATACTAGGAGGAACTATGAGAACATACATTATATTGGAACTCAAGGGTGCTGAGCCACGAGGCCAGAATTTAAGGCTAGAAAATGGAGAGTTTATTGACATGGGAGCACTCTTGCCTGCCTAAGGATTTAGTATCCTGACAAGAACACCTAACACTTAATACACTACCAGGACAGCTGCTTAAAACCAGTAAATAAAAACAGCCTATAGAAAATGAGGTGGGGCCAGGCACGGCGGCTCACACCTATAATCCCAGCACTTTGGGAGTCTAAGGCTGTTGGATGGCTTAAGCCCAGGAGTTTGAGAACAGCCTGGACAACATTGCAATACCCTGTCTCTACAAAAAATACAAAACTTAGCGAGGTGTGGTGGCACACACTTGTAGTCCCAGATACTAGGGAGGCTGAGATGGGAGGATAACTTCAGCCCCAGAGGTGAAGGCTGCAGTGAGCTACGAGTGTGCCACTGTATTCCAGCCTGGGTGATAGAGCAAGATACCTGCAAAAGAAAAGAAGAAAGAAAGAAAGAGAGAGAGAGAGAGAAAGAAAGAAAGAAAGAGGAAGGGACAGAGAGAAAGAAAGAAAAAGAAAGAAAGGAAAGAAAGAAAGAAAAAGAAAGAAAGAAAGACAGAAAGAAAGAAAGGTGGGGAGTGAGGGGAGGGGAGGGGGAAGGGGAAGAGGGAGGGGAGGGGAGGGGAGGAGAACGAAAGAAAAGAAAAGAGGTGGAAATTCCAGAATTGTCTTGTCACAGTATTTAGGGAAGAGATCAAGAGGCGAGAAGATGCGGGAGGTGGGCATGCCATATAATACTGAGGAATCTACCCACTAACTTTTTTTCCCACGAGGAGTAGAACCTTCCCTTTACTAAAGTGCAACATGCTAGTGAGGGGGGCAGAGTTCAGTGGTGCCTGTCATCTATAGTAGGTGCAGAGTTGATGGTTGGAGATAGTGCCAGAGAAGTGGAATTCCCAGTCTTAATGGTGTTGATAAGATTCAAGCATAGCGGTATTCCGATGGCAATATTTGGCCATCAGAAATAAGGACGACATAATTACCAAAACAACAGCAATCGCAGGTCCTGCATAGATCTGTGGTTATGGCTCATATTCCAATTTACTCCTGAAGAAAAAGAGATATGGGCATTGAACAAGACTTTTACTGCTGCAATAAAACTATCACGATGCCTTATGCAGGTTCTAGAACTGAGGCAATTCTCAGACTCGGAGCCCACTGATTGAAAAGGTAGCCAGTTCTTCTAAATAAAAGACCCTGACAAGTTGCAGCAAGTATACATAGTAGCTATAACCCAATCCTTCCCCCAAAAATGTGTAGTAATATACCAGAGAGGTGTACAGTAATTGAAGGTGAATACCAGTATCTTTCAAGGGTTGTTGTATAGAGTACCTGAATTGACGCTAATGCTATCATCATGGGCCCCCTGTTAAACTGGGGCATAGAAAGGCGGGCAGACAGATTGAGACTTTTTCCAAGGCTGTCTCACAGTGGGTCTAACAGGACCATGATCTCACTTTGTGATCATGTCTCCAGTTCCAGAATGCACTATCAGGATGGACATATTTATCACTGGAGATCCTTCACTGGTTTCTTAACCTGTGGAGGAAGAGCTAAAATATGGTAAAATGGCAAAATAGAAGACAATGAATTTACACTGCATACTCCCTGTTCAAGCCAATCAAGGAAAAATATACTGGCTGAAATGGAGAAAGTTGGGGGATGGTGGTCTCCAACATATGGCCACTTAGCTCACAGGTGCGGCCTTCAAAAAACAGATTAATCATGGCAGAGAGTACACCACCATAAACCTAAACACTTCACTTAATCATAGTTTTTGTATGAGATGTGGTGTCTTTGCTAGAAAAAATCAGTGCAGCTTCTCTGTATAAAGTTACTTGCTTGGCAAATGCATGTGCTTTCAGTCCCTGTTAGGAAGGGTATCCGGAGCAGTACACATTCGTTAGACTAGGCAGCAACACTCATTCGTGATCTTCTCCAGGGCTACGTTAACACTTCATCATAATATAGTTCAAAGGGACACTGATCATATGAATGTACTACATAACAATATGCTGATTTTCTCTACTAATGTCATTAGATTAATAGAATCTTTGTAACATACATGCATGTGAGTGGTTACAAAATAAACTCTACAAAAATTTATAGACATGCCACAATAGTAAAGTTTTTTAAGTCCCACTGGTCTGGGCATGCTAACAGGGCCACACAAATTAAAGAAGTTATTTAATCTTGAATCTCAACAGTGAAAAGAACTGTAGTGTTTGAAAAACATCTTAACATTTTGGAGACAGCACACAACACAACTGTTGTTGTGCATAATACTTGCATAATCATTTACTGGATAATTTAAAAGGCTATTAGTCTTGAGTGGGTCCTAGGGCAACACAGGACCTTAGTAGGTTCCAACCGGGTACAAGCATCATTGCTGTCCCATTTTCCCAAATGCCATCAATGGTACATGGTGTTGGAGGTACTGGCAGTAGATGAAGGTGCCATGCAAGTCTCTAGCCAACTACAATAAAAGAGTCACATCACAAATTCCTAGGATTCTGAAGCAAGGCCATGCTCTTCTCCGGAGAAAACTAGTCATCCTTCGAAAAGCAAGTGTTGGCATGCCTTTGGGGCCTAGTGGAGTCTGAGGGTGACCCCACTCCCATGGCAGTTCTCTGCCTGGGACCCTAGGCTCTCCAGGGCATCCTTTAAAATGTAGGTGAAGGCAGTCATACCCTCATAGCTTTCCTGGGCACAATGCACTTTTCACTGGGGCCTACCAGAGTCACACTTGGGCAGCCAAGGAGTGTGGCAACAGAATTTGGGGAGCAGAGCCAGTAATGTGAGGTTGTACTGGGCAGTGGTGCCCCCATTCTGTCCTCCACGCCCTTGTATTATGCATTTGTGATGGGAAGGGTAGCCCCAAATGATCTCCAAAATGCCTTTGGGGCTATTTTCCATTTCTTGCACAGTAGGTCCTGGCTTCTGTTTAGATGGCTGACCATTGTCTTGATGAATAGCACCTGGCTTCCAGTGAGTTGGCTGATCCATACTAATCTCCCTATCAGAAGATTAGCTGGTCACGCCCTTGTTCTCTCATCAACAGGCTTTCTGATTTTTTCCAATATAGATAGTCACAGAATTTTCTAAATTTTTAAGATCTCTTTCTCTTTTGATTAACAGTTTCCAAGTCTCTAAATAATTTTACTCTTTTTGCATTGTAATGTAAGCTTTCAACAGGCCATACCATCAATACTTTGCTTAGAAATTTTCTCAAATATCCAATTTGATTGCTCAAAAGTTCTACCCCACCCAGACACTAGAATACAAACACAATTCAGCCCAATTCCTTGCTACTTTGTAACAAGGATGGCCTTTTCTCCAGTTTCAATAACTTGTTTCTCATTTTGATCTGAGACATTTCAGAATTGCCTTTACTGTCCCTATTTCTACCAGCATTCTGCTCATGAACACTTGGGTATTTTCTAAGAAGATAGGGACTTTTTCTACCTCTCTCCTCTTCTTCTTCTGAGCCCTGACCAGAATTGTCCTTTACAGTCCATTCACATCAATGTAGCCATTTTCTAGCATACACCTTAAACCTCTTCTCGCCTCCACCCATTTTACCCAGTTCCACCACCACTACCACATTGTTAGGTATTTGTTACAGCAGTGCCCCTGTTTCTCAGTACCAATTTCTGTCTTAGTCCATTTGGGCTGCTATAGCAAACTGCCATACTCTTGGTTCCTGAAGTTAGCATATTTCTCAACTAAATCTTTACCTTTATAAGCATCATCTTACAAACATTTTCTTGTTGGTGTTTGGTGCAGTGGACCATCTGCACCACTTACAAACCCAGTAATCTACAGACATGACACTGTAAAGAGAGGAAATTCATTACATAAGCTTTGCTTTCTCAGAAAATGAAAATCCTTTGGTTTGTCAGAAAAGACAGACACAGCATGGGCAGAAACCAAGATGTATAGAAACATCCCATCATTAAGTTAATTTTCCCAAAATATTAGCTTGTATTTAATGTTACAGAGGCACATTTTCAGTAAAATCATGTTCAATAATTGTATCCACTCAACAGGTATTTAATGAGTGCATGTTCTGTACCAGGCTCATGAAGTTTGTTTTTAAATGATTTATTTGTCTTGCCTGTTTTCATAAGCTATTTGAGGTGACTTTCTCAAGATGGTTTTTCTAGCCATACAATTTGTCATGATTTTATAGAATGTACACAACTAACTAAGTCTATTGGTGGCTCTATTTCTTTCAAAGGGCTTTGCTCTCCAGGGATGTAGTATATGTTGATTGTTTTGGTTAACAAGTTAAGAAAATAATCTTGCTCTCAAATAAACCAATATTTGTTGAGGTTCTTAGTTTTATATTATACACTGAAAATAAGTATTCCTTTATACACTGTGAAAATAAACAACAAAAATAAAAGATGTTGTCCTACTCCTGTTGTAACTTCTTGCTAAGGAAGACACAAATAAACAGAGAACAAATTCCTGCCCATGGGGACATTATATTCTCAGGCAACAAGACAGCTGTGGAAAACAACTAAAAAACAATGTGAATCCTTTAGAGCAACACTTTTCAGATTTTAAAGTTTATAGAGACACCTTGGGATCTTGCTAAAATGCAGATTCAAGTTCAGTAGAGTTTCAGATTGGATGCTGAGCTTCTGTATTTGCAACAAGTTTCCAGGTGATACTGGATGCTGCTGGTCTCTGCACCCCATTTTGAATAGCAAGAAGACCACAAGGTCTGAACTAGACTCTGGCACCAGCCAGTTGAGCTAGTCACTTTCTCTCCCTAGATTTAGTCTATTATATGCAGAAGAGTTTAAGGAAATAAACAAGTCTGTGATGTTTCTTGCAACTCTACCACTTTGATCCTCCATGAGTTTATATTGGTGCACAGGCAGTTCCTGATTTATGATAGTTTAACTTACTACTTTTTAACTTACGGGTGGTATTGGGATATAACCCTATTATAAGTTGAGGAGCTCCTTACAACTTACAATGGGGTTACGATTTCTACTAAATGTATTATTGCTTTCACACTATCCTAAAGTCAAAAAAATAATAAATTGAATCATTGTTAAGTCAGGGACCATCTGCTGTGTTGTCTGCTTTAAATGCATTTTCAAGTTATAGTATAAGGAGCTTATCAGGATGTAATCCTATCATAAGTTGAGAATCATCTATAGTTTTTCCCTTTTCTCTCTTAACACTTATTTCCTCATTCAAAATTTAGACCAATCCTGATTGAAATCTGTGATAGGAAAAAATGCAGATGAGAAAGTGAGCTATTCTGTTTCCTAAATCAGTGGCTCTCCTCCTTACACAATTTATCCAATAATTTAAGTAATTATTAGATTATTGCATAAAATTCTTCCTTTTCAAATAATTCCTGTATTTTACATAAATTGTCTTTTAAGTTTTCTGCTTTAATATTCCATTCCTCTACTCCATTCAGCTCTTTACCATCAGAATGTAAGTTTGAATGTTTTTATCTGCCATGAAGTTCTCTAATGTCTTATTCTTGTTTTTTAAAGGAAATATCCTCCCACAAAGTGCCTAAAAATCTGCATTTTTAAACTGAAAGGAAAACATTTTAAATTTAATATTTTACTAGAAATAATTGCTCACATCATATATCTTATGTTAAGAATGACTGGCGATGGAGGCAGGAACATTTAAGATTCTCACGAAGATTTTCCCTTCAATGTCCCCTACTGTAGTGCTTCCCCTCAGGCCCTATCTGACTGCCATTGCAGTGAGCAACTGTGGATTGAGAATATATTGAGCCACACACTGAGGATATATTAAGCACATATTGAGAATTACTGAGCGAAAGAAAGCATGGTCAGACAAACTTTGAAACAAAGGAGGAGTTGCCAATTTCTGAACAGAGTTAAGTTATCATTATGAAATTGCATTTCCCATTTGTTTAGACAAATAAAACAGCTGGGTTGGACATCTTAAGGTTGCCTAATGAGAAAATAAGGGCTTTTTGTAAAGAATTGATATTTCTAAAGTATTAAAAGACCTGCTGCTTAAGACTTTTAGAGTTTTTTTCTGCAAAAGGCTATACATAGAGGTTTTATTATCTCCAAGAGCCACACTTCCATTGATACCAGAAAATGAGTGTTCTTTGAATTTTCTACCAGCAAAATCAATGTACTTTTCTTTCTCAGAATCTGTGTAGAAAGTAGCACTCTTTAAAATAAAAAAAATACTGTCTACATAAAGAAGTATAAATAAATAATATTGGAAGCTGTTTATGGGAAATACCAAGTGGCTATCAGTTAATATACCTAATTTAGGGAATTCATCCCTCTCTTGGGTCTGGTCTTTAACATTGTAAAATCAGACACATAAATATCAATACTCAAGGTAGATTTGCCTTTCTAGAGCACAGTTCCATTTTCAAAGCTTACAGGTACACAGGAATATAATTAGGAAAGTAAAAGAAAGAAAGGAAGATGAAGAGAGAAAGAAAGAGGGAGGAAAGAAGGAAGGAAGGAAGGAGGGAGGGAAGGAGGGAAGGAAGGAGGGAGGGAAGGAGGGAAGGAAGGAGGGAAGGAAGGAAGGAACTTGCTTAGGAATAATTAATACACTTTCTCCCTCAAAAAAAAACCATCTGGAAAATATCTCATGACTAGAAAGTTACTCAGTAAGCAGGGAATCAGAACAAGGGTAATTAAAAAATTATTTAAATATTTACTATCTTGTGCTTTGATATTTTGATGGATAAATCCATCATCATAGTATTAGGGAGGGACCAACAAGGGCAACAAAAACCACTCAGTGTTTGAACAGACGTAATTTAATCCATGATTACACAGCTAGTGGAAAGACTGACTAACCAGCAGGCAATGTTAGCAATAGTAGGAAGTTATAACCTTCCCTAGGCTAGAGACAGACAAAAGGAAAAGGCCAGATTATAGAACCTGATGAGTCAGCCAGCCATGAGTGCAACTATAGTGAGTCTATCCAGTGGGAGCTAGAGCCATGGAGGAGCAATCACTTCCTGAGATATGATCCAAGGAGGAAAGGGAAGGGAAAAATACACTGATTTCTCTCTTATTCTCACCTTCCAATCTCCTGACAATGCATGTCATCTACTGAACCCACCCACAAATCAGCTCTTGAATTGATTTTCAAGCCATTTTTTTCTTTACTCTTTGGAAGTTATTCACTGCCTATTCTTTTGGCAATTTCTCTAGAAATTTTAATATGCAAACTTATCAAAATCTAAAATTAATTAATATCTTCATATTTTCCCCAAACAATGTGATTATGTTCACCCTTCTTACTTTTTATGTAATTTTAGATATTTTAAATCCCATATAACATTGTCATTATTTTATACATTATTATTTATTACATTATCATTATTATTTTACTATTTATGTAGTAATAATTGTCATAACATACACACTATATTCCCAGTACTTTACTAAGTACTTTACTGTTTCATATCATTCTTATGATTACCCATGAGAGAGGTGACTTTATTATCACCACTGTACAAATGAGAAAACAAAGGCATATTGAGGTTTATTAATTTGCCCATGGTCATACCAACTAAATGATAGTCATATTTTCAATTCAGGTTGTTGGCTTCAGAGTCCAATCCCCTAATCACTCTGTAGAGTTTCTGCCTATGAATGTTTTCTTACATTTTCCCCACATATTTGCAAATTTCAAGCTTTAGCATCTAACATCTCAGCCCATCTATCTAAAAGCATTTTTTCCACCTAAATACCTTACTGTAGATTTGCTGGTGACAACCTTAGGTTTTGGTTGTATGAAGTGGTCTATATATTTCCTTCATTTTTGAGAAAGATTATTTTTGTTGGCTGTACTATTCTAGGTTGACAAGTATCTCCGTTCAGCATATTGAAGATATTATACCATGTATAAGTTTTCATTATTTTCATAAGGATGTCAGCTGTCATTCTAATTATGGCTCCTTTGTCAGAATTTCTCTTTGGCTGCTCTAAATGTCTGGCCTTTGTCTTTGATAGATTGTAATCTGACTATCACATGTTGTTGGATTCATTTTTTATTTTTATTTAAAAATCAAGTCTTTTTGAATCTGCATTTGGTGTCTTTCAAGTTCTTGAAAGTTCTCAGCCATTATACCTTTAGCTAATACCTCTGTCCTAGTCTCTCTCTCCTCCCCATCCAAAATATTAAGACTTAACTCTCCCATAGCTTTAAGATTTGTATCACACTTTCCATTTCTTTTATTACTTTGAAATGAATTTTGGATATTTTCTCCAGTTTTTAGTTTGGATTAATAAAATTCTAAACTTCAAGTTTTTTTTTTTTAATTTTAGGATTTCTTTTGATTCTTCTCCCAATCTTCTTGTGCCTTATGATTATTTAAACTTTTTTTTCTACTTTTATAAAATGTTTATAATTCCCATTAATGAGGACTTTGCAGGCCAGGTTTTGCTGTTTGTTATTTCTTCCAGTGTTGCTTATGGTGCTTTGTTTCTTTATATGTTTCTGTGATTTTATTTTCCTATGAGGTGCTCACTTTGCCTTGACATTTTACATGTTGAAAACTTTGAGGTCTGGAGTGTTTTTTCTCCAGAACAGATTTAGTTTGCTTCTGCTAGGACAGTCCAGAAACAGTAAGTAAAATTTACAGTTTTAGTTTGTGTGTGTGTCTCAGATAGTGTGACTTCAGCCTGGCATCTGTGAAGATAGGCGTATTTTTACATGTTTTCAAGGGGATATATTTTCCCTTCCCAACAGGAAAACTATGACATTGCAGGCCTTTTCCTTGAAGTTCTTTGTGGTTAATTGGGGTTATTTCTAGTTCCCCCTTATTCTCAGATTATGGCTTTTTTGGAATCCAGTAATTAGTAGGGTAGGAAGACTGTTATGACTTCTACGCATAAAACTTTGCAAAGTATATGAAAACTAGTGTTTAGATTCACTTGGTTTAGAAAAAAATTCATTTCACAGACTTACCATGTACCCACTGTTACCTAAGCTGTAACCTTAGTATTTTTTACTTTCTTGCCAACATATGGATAAACTAAGAAGATATATTTCATACTTAAAACAGAAAATTTTGTTGTTTAACTAGGATGATTAGTCTACCAATATATTCCACCAAATAGACGAAAAAGGATAAGAATCATATTCTCCTCAGGTGATATCAGTTGCATTATACCCAAAGGAGCTGTGAGCCCATCTGTGCCTCAAAAAAAGTATCCATTTCTATTTATTTTATAATTCACTCATCATGAATTGACTTTTAGAGTTTCTCAAATAATTGCCATTTTCCTTTATTTTCAATTTTTTGGGAGAACTTTTTATTTCTCCATTTTTTTTTTCATTTCCCGATTTGCTCATCTTCAAGAAACTCAGCCACAAACTACCTATTCTCAAAACAATTAGACAAAATCTATATGCAAAAACATATCTTAGAGTCATATTTTTAACAGACAGATAATTTGACTTCTTATTTTCCTGTTTGGATGCTTTTTATTTCTTTCTCTTGACTGATTGTTCTGCCTTAGACTTACAGTACTTTGTGGAATAGGAGCAGTGAGAGTGGGCATCCTTGTGCCATTCCTGTTCTTAAGGAGAATGCTTCCAGCTTTTTCCCATTCACTGTGATGTTGGCTGTAAGTCTGTGATACATGGGTCTCACTATTTTGAGACATGTTCCTTTGATGCCTAGTTTGTTGAAGGTTTTTATCATGAAGAGATGTTGGGTTTTATGAAAAGATTTTTTTTGTGTCTAGTGAGGTGATCGTATGTTTTTTGTTTTGAATTCTGTTTAGGTGGTGAATCACATTTATTGATTTGCATATGTTGAAACAATCTTGCATCCCAGGAATGAAGCCTACTTGATCATGGCGAATTAACTTTTTGATGTGCCGCTGAATTCAGTTTGCTAATATTTTGTTGAGGATTTTTGCATCCAGTTCCTCAGGGATGTTGGCCTGTTGTTTTCTTTTTTTTGTTGTGCCTTTGCAAGATTTTGGTATCAGGGTTACGTTGGCTTCAGAGAATGAGTTAGGGAGGAGTTCCTCTGTGATTTTTTAAAATAGTTTCAGTAGGACTGGTACCAGTTCTTCTTTGTACATCTGGTAGAATTCAGCTGTGAATTCATCTGGTCCAGTTTTGTTTTTTTTTTTTGGTTGTTAGGTTTTTTAAGTTACTGATTTGTTTTCAGAATTTGATATTGGTCTGTTCATGGTTTCAATATTTTCCTGATTCAATCTTGAGTTTTGAGTTTCCAGGAATTTATCCATTTCCTCTAAATTTTCTAGTTTGTGTGTGTAGAGGTGTTCATAATAGTCTCTGAGTATCTTTTGTATGTGATATTGGTTGTAATTCCACTTTTGTCATTTCTGATTATGCTTATCTGTGTCTTCTCTCTTTTTTCTTTGTTAATCTAGTTAACGGTCTATTGATCTTGTTTATCCTTTTGAATAACAAGCTTTTGGCTTTGTTGATCCTTTGTATAGATTTTTGGGTCTCAATTTTGTTTAGCTCTGCTCTGATTCTGGTTATTTCTTTTCTTCTGCTAGCTTTGGGATTCGTTTGTTCTTATTTTTCTAGTTCTTCTTGGTGTGATGTTAGATCATTAATTTGAGATCTTTCAAACTTTTTGCATAGGTGTTTAGCACTATAAGTTTTCCTCTTAACACTGCTTTTATTGCATCCCAGAGATTTTGGTATGTTGAATCTCCATTTTCATTTATTTCAAAGAATTTTTTGATTTCTGCCTTAATGCTGTTGTTTACCCAAAAGTTATTTAGGAGTAAGATGTTTGATTTCCATGTAACTGCATGATTTTGAAAGGTCGTCTTGGTATTGATTTCAATTGCTATTCTACTGTGGTCTGAGAATGTGGTGGATATGAATTTAATTTTTAAAAATTTATTCAGAATTACTCTATGGCCAAGCAGGTAGTCTATCTTAGAGTATGTTCCATGTGCAAATGAGAAGAATGTATGTTCTGTGGTTGATGGGTAAAGTATTCTATAGATATCTATTATGTCCAATTGGCCAAATGTCAAATTTAAGTCCAGAATATCTATGTTAGTTTTCTGCCTTGATTATCTGTCTAATATTGACAGTGGGGTATTAAATCCCTCACTATTATTGTGTGGCTGTTTAGTCTTTCTATAGGTCTAGAAGTACTTTTTTATGAATCTGGGTGCTCCAAGGTTGGATGCATATATGTTTAGGTTAAACCTTCTTATTGAATTGAACCCTTTATCATTGTGTAATGCCCTTTTTTATCCTTTCTTATTGTTGTTGGTTTAAAGTCCCTTTTATTACATCTGTCATAACAGTAATGACCCCTGACCTTTTTTTCTTTTCCATTTGCGTGATAGATCTTTCTCCAATCCTTTGCTTTGAGCCTATGAGTGTTGTTACATACGGGATGGATCTCTTGAAGATAGAAGTCAGATAAGTCTTCTTTTTTTGTCCAACTTGCCACTCTGTGCGTTTTGTTTTTTTTTTTTTTTTTTTTTTGGGAGGGAGTTTTGCTCTGTCACCCCGGCTGAAGTGCAATGGCACCATCTTGGATCACCGCAACCTCTGCCTTCCGGGTTCAAGCGATTCTCCTGCCTCAGCCTCCTGAGTAGCTGGGATTACAGGCACATGCCACTGCGCTCTGCTAATTTTGTATTTTTAGTAGAGACAGGGTTTCACCATGTTGGCTAGGATGGTCTCGAACTGCAGACCTCAGGTGATCCACCCGCCTCGGCATCTCAAAGTGCTGGGATTACAGGCGTGAGCCTCCATGCCAGGCCCACTCTGTGCCTTTTTAAGTGGGACATTTAGCACATTTACATTCAAGGTTAATATTTATATGTTAGGTTTTGATCCTATTGTAAATTTGATAGCTGGTTGCTTTGTAGTTTTGATTGTATAGTTGCTTTATAGAGTGTGTGGACTATGTATTTATGTGCGTTTTTGTGGTAGCAGGTATAGTTCCTTTGATTCTCTGTTTAGAATTCTCTTAAGGATCTCTTGTAAGACTTGCCTAGTGGTAATGAGTTCCCTTGGTGACTGCTTGTGTGAAAAATATAAAGTTTCTCCTTCACTTATACACTATGGAATAATACATAGCCATAAAAAGGATGAAATTATATTCTTTGTAGCAACATGGATGCTGCTGGAGGCTATTATCCTAAACAAATGAATACAGTAACAGAAAACCAAATACTGCATTTTCTCACTTATAAGTTGGAGCTAAACATTGGCTATACGTGGGCATAAAGGTGGGAACAATAGACAGTGGGGCCTATTAGATGAGGAAGAGAAGGAGGAAAGCAAGAGCTGAAAAAGTAACTATTGGGTGCTATGTTCACTACCTCGATGACGGGACCTTTTATACCCCAAACCTCAGCATCACACGGTATGCACATGTATTACACCTGCACGTGTATTCCCTGAATCTAAAATAAAAGTTGAAATTATATTTTTTGACAAATCTTAGCATGCCTTGGCAAATTAAAAAATATAGACAAATTTATGCTAGAGTATAAAGAAAAGAAATTCCACTTCTATATTTAGATTCTCCAGTAGATTCCTGACATTTATGAGCACCAAACAATTTTCAAATTTACAAATGGATGGACACTACTAATATGGAGTTTTTACAGCTATTGATTTATTCTCAAATCACATTTCTATTAAGAATTAGATATTTTCAGACTGATCGTGGTGGCTCATGCCTGAAATGCTAGCACTTTGGGTGGTCAAGGTAAGAGGATCGCTTGAGCCCAGGAGTTTGAGACCAGCCTGGGCAACACAGGAGGACCCTGTCTCTACAAAAAATGAAAAGAGTGGCTGGGTGTGGTGGTGCGTTTGTAGTCGTAGCTACTCAGGAGGCTGAGGTGAGAGGATTGCTTGAGCCCAGGAATTTGAGGCTACCATGAGCTGTGATTGTGCCACTGCACTCCAGACTGAGTGGTAGAGAAAAACTTGTCTCAAAAAAATAAAGAATTAGATATTTTATCTGCATACCTTTGCATTTCACGATAAGTTTATTAACTTTCACTATGTTTACTCAAGAACTTGCTGTTATTTCTAAATATAATAAAAATTATACTTTATTTTGTGGCAATTCCTACTGGTAAAGACCAACTTTTATGCCGAATAGAAAATAATAAATCTCTTTAAATTCACATTTGGGTGGAGAAAAGGGAGAGAAATCCGTCAATATCAAAATGGTGAGAATGTGTAATCCACAAAAGCAACAATCCTCTAAAGCCAGTACTTGCTCTGAGGACATCTGCTCATTCCTGGTAGCTAGACATTTTGAGTTTAATCATACAGACACAGAGAGGACTGGAAATGAAACTTAAGGCCAGCAAAATTTTGGAAGTCTTGTTAGGCTTCAAATAGAGCCAAGACCCTGAAAGGCAGTATTTCATAAACGAATGAATTAGGAAGAAAAAACTCTGCCCTATGAAGTACCTCTATAAAATAATGACAGAGTATAGCATATTAAGGTCCCAAAAACCCCACTTTTGCTTTTGCTTTCACATGGAACTGAAAGTCAGAGATTGCCTGAGTTTGGAATTCTGCTGTACCACTTACTAGTTATGCAAGTTACTAAAACATTGAGCAACTTACTTGGACTCTTTGTGCTACAATTTTCTCATCTATGCAATGAATGTCATCATAATAATACTGACCTTATAGGGCTGTGGTGAGATTAAGTCCATACTACGTATGCACATTACTTACAATTGTACCTGGCACATAGTATAGAAGTAAGTGATAGATCACTAATATTATTGTGCTTATCTGAAGCACTATGGCTAAGAGCACAGGCTACATGTTCTAGTAGCCACAGTTACTTCAGTTAGTGGTGGAAACATGGCCCAAGCTGGTGAGTCTGAGTCCTTCTTTGGGTCTATTGGGCTTCAGTCAATCCCTCTGTGGCAGGGGCATTCATGAAAGTGAGGTTAATTTAGTGGCAGATACCACATTTCCTGATGTTTGCTGAAAGCTCCTGTAGAAAAAAAAAAAAAAGACAATATGAAAGATGAAGTTCCTGAGCTCCAGCTGTTAAGTTTGTCCTCTCTTCAATTACATGAGTCATCTTATTCTTCTACAACTTCCTCCTTTTTACCTGAACTATTTCCAATTACTTGGTTACCACTTACACTATTTAATGTTAAATATAGCTATCACATACAATCATTTTATACAGTGTTAAAATCTTTTGTGATGTGGAAGTAACAGAATTTATCTGTTAAATTTTATTTACCAATTATATCATTATTTTGAATACAGAATTAGCTGCAGACATTAGCAGAAAATGTGCTAAGATAGACTTACTGATTACATCATAGGGCTTCAAGTTATCTAAATCTTAAGATATTTTAACCATTAATAAAGTTTAGAGATAAAACTCTGAAACAGAATTACTAATGCGTTACATAGTTAGGATTCCTTTCTATAAGAAGTTTAGTGTATTTTAATGTAAAGCTAAGGTAGTGGTTTTCATGTGACTTAGGAAAAGGTAAGAAGAGGTAATTGACACCTAAGTATATTATCCCAGTAAATAATAATTATACATGCAAATATGTAATTATGAAAAATTAGTAAAATATATAAATATCATTCATCGACCATAATTATACTGATGTATTATAAAACACAGTAGATAGTGAACTTGCTGAGAAAAGGAAGAAATAGCATGTCCCACCATTCAGGAAATGTTTATCGAACCAAACATATTTCTTCCAGATGTTCACACATCTAAGTTCTTAGTCTTCTAACATCCTCATTAATAATTATGGTGGCAATATCAGGTCCCTGTAACTGCATTTCCTCTAAATCTAACAGATGTTCAATGTACTGAGCCCAAAATGACCCTTTCCTCCCTTTCCGCTAGTATCTGCATTAGTCATGGTAGTGACATTTCTCTTGGATGGGGAGGCCACTATGAAATAGGCAAGACTTTGGACTATTCCTGGAATAATTTCAGCTTTCCCTTGATATAACAATGTAAATCACCATTTTTAAACTTAAAGTAGCTTAGGCAATTTAAGCAATGCAAAAGTAATTTATATTCTGTTTATATGAAATTAGTGTTAATATTTTATCATACTTTGCTGTATGGTTATCAGTAATTAAACTCTCTACTTGTTAAGTAAATAAATTATCTACTTTCTTCTTCAAGTTACTTTTGGTGTAAAATAAATTTAGTGTCTTAGTCCTTTTTCTCTTGCTATAACAGATAAACACTGACTGGGTAGTATATAAAGAAAAGAAGTGTATTTAGATCAAGGCTCTGGAGACTGGGAAGTGCAAGAGCATGGTGCCAGCATCTGGTGAGGGCCTTACTGCTGCATCATCACATGGTAAGAGAGCCAGAAATAACTCCGTTTTTTAACAAAGACACTCCCACAATAGCAACATTAATCCACTCATGAAAGCAGAGGAATTTAGTTTCCAACACGTAAACTTTTGGGGGACACATTCCAACTATAAGGAATACTAAGTCAGTCAAAGATGAAGTTCAGTATGGGAATTTATATATACATGTTTAAACTCAGTGACTTGAGGAACACTGCTGTCATTTAGGAAACAGAAAGATATTGTGGACAAGTAGTATATGAGGGAAAGTGATATGAAAAGTAATCAGGGAGGCAGAGTTTAGGCTTGGGCAACAGGAAGTTCTAAATTCTAATTCTGTCACTTTCTGTCTGAATGACTGAGTAATTAACCTTGTAAGCCCCATCTTTCACAATTCTGTGACGTGTAATGGTATCTTCACATAGGATTGTTGTTGAATTAGAGGGAACAATATTTTTATGTGCTTAACACAATGCCTAGAATACACTAAGCTCTCAATAATTGTTTGCAGAATCCAGAAAAGACCAAAATAAACTGGGAAACAATTTATTAAAAATAAAATAAAAAGAGAAAAGAAGAACATTGAAGCACTGGAGAGATAGTTGATTAAAGAAATTCTTGTGCAAGATTATTTTTGACTGCAGTTTAATAAAAAATATGAATATGAAAAAGTCTCGATGAAAAATTTGCTACCAGCAACATGTTGGTGATGGTCCTATTATTTTAAGAAAATCAACACTATTATCAAAGACCTAGTGATTTTATTTAAAACATCTATATGAATTCTTCTTTTAAGGGTAGTCATCCAAATCTCCATAATAAAACCTTTTTATTTGCTGCCTAAAAATAATTATGGAACACAGACAGTGCTTATGGGAATTGCATTCCCTGATGTTCTTTTTACAACTACAGTAGATTTTTAGGCTTGTCTTTCTTTTATTGTGGTGTTTTCTATCAGCTATTCCTTAGGGTTACACATATTAGTGAGCTACAATGCTCTTTGTGGTTCATTATAAAGATGTAGGTTCAATGTAAGCAAAGCTTGCCTAGTTGGGGAATTAATTTTCTCTCCTGATTATAGTCAACCCATCATGATACCATAACTGAGTGTTAGCATTGGAAATTTTATTCATAAGGTTTGCTTCAGATTTCATATGTTGAAACCATAAATTTATTTAAGGTGTAGTATAGCTAATATGCTATTTTTAAGTCCTTTTAAGAAATGTTTTTAGTTAAACCTAAAAAAGTAGTCCCTGGAAGCAACTTCCTTCTATGCTTTGTAGAAGGAGGCCACAGCAGTAATGAGTTAGAGGCGTGATTAAAATTAGAACAGTAAGGGCAAGCTAGAGCTATCAGCACGTTTTACTAAACCTCCATACACTAGAATGAGATAGGATTTAAAACTGTTTGTAACTGAGTTTGCCAAAAGCTAATTAATGGGATTAAGCTGCAGAGTTTCTCTTTTCCCACTGGGCAAATTAAAACAACATTTAGAAAGATACCTCATATCTAATCTTAAATTAGTCTTGTGCTACTATGTTTATGTCTAAGCTTTAAAGTGGATTTAAAATACATCAAGAGGGTGAAAGCTATGGCATTCCTCTAACTGACTATTCCAAATTGATAACAAAATAATGAAAAGGCATATAACTTATACTTGGAAAGTAATAGAATGAAATAGAGGATATTTCTGAAGATGCAGATTGTCTTAAGAATAAAGTTTTAAAACATTTGCTATGAAAAATATGTCCAAATTTAACCAGTGTAACTGAATTCACTATTTTCATAAAAGACATTTATTAAGTTGATCTTGTGAAATGCCATTTTTCATGTTAACAATAGAGTTTTAAAAATAATAGAAAGTATCACTACATTCCATAGGCTATAGTACATTCTTGTTCTGTTTATTATGCTGTAATTTTCCTTACACCTGTTCTCTTCGTGAAAAGATTTCCTGGAAAACTAATAGTGAAATCAATAGGGTTTCAGTGATATGTGTGGCAAGATGGGTTGGGAAAGGAAGAAAGAGTATTTAATACTCAGATTTCAATTGTTTTAGATAGTTAGGACATTATCATTGTCTTAAATTACTGTAAAATATAATGAAGTCTCATATTTTTATGCAAATATAACTGCTAATTGGAAACATTTCTAATAGTTATTCTGAGTCTCTCTAGGAGTTATTATAAGTCTCTTTTTCGGAATGAAAAGGCCATTTTTAAAATTTTAACAAGATGCCAGAATGTTGCATTATACTAAATGTGTAGATTTTCCAAAGTAATTTAAATTATAAACTGTCTAATCTGTTACTAATCAACAAAATTACTTTGAATTAATTTTTTTTTATGCACTTAAAATTGATATTTTTCTTTGTTGGTTCATTTTTATTTTTTATTTTAAAACACAACTGAATAAATAATTTACATCAGAATTTATCAGTCTTAGTACTATTGACATTTGGGCTGAATAATTCTTTATTTGAGTGGCCTGTGCTGTGCACTGCAGTATATTTATCAGTATCTTTGGCCTCTGCCTCTTAGTTACCAGTAGCACCTTTCCAGATGTGCCAATCAAAAATATCTCATGTACCCTGGAGAGGAAAGGGGCAAAATTACCCTCTACTCTTCATTGAGAACCACTCGTTGATATGTATATCTAAAGATATAAAATGATTGAAAAATCTCAGTGTACCCAAATAATAAGCAATTTAAATATGCCAACATTTATGTAAAATTAAATAAATTAAAGCCAAAAGTAGAACGTACGAAATAGTAAATATAGAAAAAATGTTAAATGTTTATATTTTCATTGTGAAATTTAATACAGCATGGAAAATCCTAGTAAGATTATTCAAATGAAAACTGATAATTTTTTACAAATTTATTGATATAAAGTAAAATAAACCTTACCTATTTAAGTTAAACAAGTTGATCATTTTATATATATATGTCAAATATATGTGTGTGTGTATATATATATGTACATACTTATACAATCATCACCACAATTAGCATAGTGAACATGTTCATTATAATAAAAAGTTTTCTTGTTCCTCTTTGTTATCAATCCAGATGCAATTCTTGTTCCCCTTTGTTATCAATCCAGCCACAATCTCAGGCAATCACTGATCTGCTTTCTGTCACTATAGATTGGTTTGAATTTTCTAGAATTTTCTCTACATGGAATTGTATGGTATAGTCTATTTTTTGCCCTACTTCTTTCATCAAAATAATTATTTTGAAATACATCTGTATCTTCTGTGTATCAATAATCATTTCTTTTTATTGATGAGAAGTATTCCTTTTTATGAATATATTACAATTTATTTATCTATTCACCTATTTTTGGACATTTGGGTTTTCGCCACTTTGTGATCTTAGAAATAAAGCTACTCTAAACATTTGTGTGAGTCTTTCTTTGGACATTAGATTTTATTTCTCTTGAGTAAATAACTAAGAGTGGAATGGGTGAATTGTGTGGGAGGTACTCGTTAGACTTCTCAAGAAACCGTCAGTTTTCCACAGTGGTTTACCTTTTTAAAGTTTCTCCAGCAGTATGTGAGAGCTCCAGCTGCTCTACATGCTGGCCAACATTTTGTGTGACAAATCTCTTAATGTTAGTTAATTTAATGCATTTTTCTGATGAGTAATGAGGTTGAGCATTTTTCATATGCTTCCTGGCCATTTTGCATATCACTTTTTTTTTGAAAGATCTGTTCAAATCTTTTGCCCATTGTATTCTTTTGTTTTGTTTTTGTCTTATTATTGAGTTCTAAGAGTACTTTACATATTCTGGATATGAATCTTGTATGTTTTGCAAATGTTTTATATGTCTGCAGCTTGTCTTTTTCATTTTCTTAATGGTATCTTCTGAAAAGCAAGAGTTTTTAACTTCAACGAGCTCCAATTTATTTTTGAAAAACGTTTTGGACTTTTTTTGCATCTATCCAAGCAATCTGTCAACCTCATGTTCTCCAAATATTTTCCTGGAATTTTATAAGTCAGGTATTTCATATAGATTGTGATCCATTTCAAGTTAATTTTTGTACATTGAAAGGTAAGGATTCATGGTTTGGTTTTGTTTTATTACATATAGATGCACTGCTGATCCAGCACCATTTATTGAAAAGACTTTGCTTTCCTCATTGAACTGCATTGACATGTTTTTGAAAATCAATTAGCTATATATGTAAATACGTTATACTTTCTATATGTGTGTACAGAAAACTATAAATGTGTATATGTATATAAATATATATTTCTCAACTCCATTCTGTTCTGTTGATATATATGCCCATCTTTTGCTAATACAAAATTGTCCTGATTACTGTGGCTTTTTCATAGGAACTGACATCAGGTAGGAAAGATCTTCCAAGTTTGTTATTGTTTCCTTATTGTTGTTGTCATTGCTGTTGTTGTTCTTCCTTTAACTGCCCTGTATATTCTTAGTTCTAAGCATTTCTGTATAACTTTGACGATCTTCTTATTCATTACTCTTTAAAAAGTTCTAGAATTTTTATTTGAATTGTGTTGAATCTACAGATCAACTACGAGAGAATTTCTCAACAATTTTGAGTCTTCTAATCTAATAATATGGTAAATTTATCTGGATACTCTTTTATTTATCTCATCAATATTTGGTCTTTTTGATGTAAAAGCACGGGTGATTTTTGCTACATTGATTCCTAGGTATTTTATGGATTTTGGAAATAGGATAAATATTTGTGTATATTAACTAAATTGTTCTAAACCCACCTATTAGTTCTACTCATTGTTTTGTAGATTGCCTTGAATTTCCTACCTAAACAATCACATCATCTAAAATAGAAAAAATTAAACTTCTATTTTAATGATCTTTATGCATTTTATTTCTTTTTTTCTTGGTTTATTGGATGGCTATAACATCCAATACAATGTTGACGATAAGTTAATACAGAGAAAAAGAAGAAGTGTGATATCAGATTTATCATCAGAGACACTGCAAACTAGAAGAAAATGGAGCAACTTCTTTAAAACATAGAAAAAAAGTGAATCTAAAATTCTTTAGAGAAAATAATCTTTCTAAACTGAAGAAAAATAGACTTTATCAGGCATACAAAACCTTAAAGAACACATTATCAAGAATTCTTCACTAAAAGAAGTGTTCAAAGAAGTCCTTCAAGTGGAAGGAAATAATATCAGATGGAAATATGGATTTACCCAGAGAAATAAACAGCACCAGAAATGGTAGCAACATGGGTAAATGTAGAGATTGGATCCTTTATTTTATGTCCCTTTAAAAGATAATATACTGCTTAAAGCAAGAAAAATAATAATGTATTGATAGATATATAGCATATGTCGCAGTAAAATGGAGGACAATAGTACAAAGCTGGGAGGAAAGAAATAGAAGTATATTGTTCAAGGTTCTTACACTATACATGAGGTAATATGATATCACTTGAAGATATACTGTCATAAATTAAAGATGTACACTATAATCTCTGTGACAACCATGAAAATAACACTATACAGAGTCATGAGAAGTGAGCCAACAAGGGAAAAATAATAGAATTATTAAAAATGCTCAGTTAATACAAAAGAATAAGTAAAAGAGAAAAAAGGAATAAAGAATAGATGGGACAAGTAGAAAACAAAAGTAAGATAGTAGATTTAAACCTAACCATATAAAGAATCAAATATAAATTACCTATCACACGAATTGACAGAGAAAGATTGACAGATCTTATATGCATGTAAATATAGTTTCAACCATATTGTTGGAAATAATAAGATTTTATTCTTTTTAATGGCTGCATAATATTCTATTGTGTATATATACAGCATCTTCTTTAACATTTCACCTGTTAATAGACACAGATTAATTCTACATTTTGACTATTGTGAACTGTGAATAGTGCTGCAATAAACATGAATGTCTTTTCAGTATATTGATGTTCTTTCTTTTGGTTGTATACTCAGTACTGGAATTGCTGGCATAAAAGAAAAGACAAATATTTAAGGTGGTGGATATCCCAAGTAACTGATTTGATCTTTACAAATTATATGAATGCATTAAATTTTCACATGTACCCTGAAACTATGTACATCTATTATATATCAATTTAAAAACCCGTAACACACAACTAAATATTACCTATAGAAAACACATCTTAAGTATAAAGGCCAAAATAGTTTAAATGTAATGGAATGAAAAAAGATATATCATGCTAACACTAATCAAAAGAAAGCCGGAATAACTTTGGAAACAATTTTTTTCTTACAGAAATTGCTGGTGTGGTGTTCTACTAGGCGTTTAACCAGCATGAACTCACCCTGCTGCATCATTCTTCCCCACACCGTGATGCAGCTGCTCATTTTTGGGTGTGTGTGTGTGTGTGGGGGGTCTTCGCCTTTCTGCTTTTGTAATGTGGTGTCTAGAGGGTGTCCCTTGTCCCTAAACAGTTTGGCAGTCAGTTCAGTGTTTATACTGTATTTTTGGGTCCATCTTATCTGTTTGTCTTGTTTGCCTGGCTCCTCGCTTAATTTTCCAGTTGCTATGCCAGTCCCAGTTTCCCTGTGTTTTCCCTGTGTTCTCAAGCTAGCCAGCATTGCATTTTCATTGCATATTTTGAGCTGTATAGATAGAGGAACCCATACATTCAAGGGTGTGGTGAACTCATCTCATCAGAAGCAGTCTGCTTCTGAACAGTAGGCCTCTCTGTAGTTTCTGCCTGCTTTATTTGCCAGCCTCCTGCACACGTGCATAGTTTAGCAGTGAGCCAGGAATTTGGGAACATGGACTTTGATTTTAAATCTCAGCACCTATGTGGCTCTTTCATTTCTAGAATTTCCCTTTCAATTTCCACGGGTCTGCTTCTCTCAGTGCTAACATCTCTCACCTTGAGCTGATAAGGCCATGCTTAGACCTGGGGGTGTAAGAGAGCACGCTCAGTCAAGAAAGTCACACAATTGCTGCTTTTAACCAATGCAGTTGCATTTCTTCAATAGTAAACTCTCCTTTACTTTGTGCTTGTAACCGGTCGCTTTCCTGGTGATTTATTTGCAATTTAATTGCATTCAAATTACTGGTTTTAATAATTTTGTCCATTTTTAAAGTAATTGTGATTTTCAGAAGAAATGTAACAACCTTCATGCTGCCATTATCAGAAATTCCATGCACTGCTTGATTTTTGAGTGACCAACCACACTTAGTTTCCCAGCTGAAATATCACTTGCTTGTGATGCGTGTGTCAAGAATGGTGAAAAGTCTGAGGTTCTGTCACACTATTAAGCTAACAAATTATCCCACCACAGTTTCATGGATATTGGCAGAAGATACGAGATCTTGGGTCAGAGAAAGGGACTTTATTACTCACAGCACAGAAAGCAGCATGGCCATGATGCTCACATCACTTGCTCCCCAGTAGGTTTGAAAAGGAGGGGCTCAGATGCATGGCACCCATGCAGTGGGTTTGGTTCAAATCTGAGGTTCCTCGAGCTTAGGGAACAAAAACCTTTTATATTAGGCCGTAAGCAAACCTGCCCTCTGCTCTTAAGGTAAAAATTATCTCTATTTTTCAAGGCTGTTTTTTAATACAAATAGATAGTACAGAACAAAAGCTAAAAGTTCCTATGTTTGCAAGCCCTGCAGAAACAAAATAAATCTATGGAGAATATTGTATCTTAATAATATCTGTTCTTTGTTCTACACTGTCTTGGCTTCTGGCAAATATTCCCAGAGATACGCAACTTTGTCATCCACTCTGATTAATCCGATTGACAGAAGCTGGGACAAAATCTATTCAATTTGTCTCACACAACATTTAATTAAGGCATTTATCAATAGGACTCCAAACAGCACAATGAGGTCAATCTGCAGTATCATGTTAGCCATGACCCCCAGGGCTCAGCGCCCCTCAACAAATCCCATAAACGATCAGTGTTGACCTTAGAAAGCTAGTTGGATTTCTCTTTAAGTCTTTGTATTGAGCTTTCCACTTTGCCAGAAACACTAATGCAAGAACAGCAGGATGTATTAGTAATTGTACAAACTCCGTCTTGGCTGGCAAGAAGAAAGTCTAGAGCATTTCTATCATTCAAAGCAACCTGGGCCAGTGAGTTAAGGCTATCATGAATGCCTTCCAGGGCTAACGCTGTGTCATTGTTCACTTCAGCTATAGTCAAGGACAAATTTTATACTACTTTTTCTAATTGGATGACTCCGATAATAGAGGTAACTTCTAGCACAAAATAATGAGTCATTTATCCCTCTAGAAGCTCCCATCTGGGTCCTCATTTTTCAGAGGTTTCCCACAATCATCTGAGGGTTACACGGTCTAATGTGTTTCTTTAAACACTTTAAGATCTCTATGACCACCCCTAAGATACAATTCGCTGGGCTTCTACACAAGAAGTATTATTCTGGGACCACATGGGTCCCCAGAGATAAAGTATTTTTGCAATTGTTGGGGGCACTTGTGTGTGACACACATCAGGTGAGGGGTGCAGGTTCAAAGTACCTTCAACATAACCATCCAGCCTGCTCTGTGAGTCACGTAGGTTGTCTAATCACCAGTCACAAGGTTTCCACAGTTAGCATCCCCAAGAAGGGTGTCATTCATCTGCCCGTGTGTAGTTTTTCAGGTGGGATACCAACGAGTTAGGCCATTGGCAACAGATCAAGTATCAGAAAATCTCTAACAAGTTTTATTAAGCACATTATCGGCTGGAGCTACGAGACCAACCTTGATTCTCCCCACTGAGTGGAAGAATCATGCCTATTTTCAGTTCCACAACAGCTCAACGGAAAACATCAAATTTCAGTGTTGCCAAACCACTAGGGTACAAGAACCAGGCATTTAGTGCAATTTCTGTAAACCAAACGCACCATTAAGCCAGGGGCTGTACTGCCAAAGGCAGAACAGAAGATAAAGTTTTCCCCAAAGGTTATATAGAGCCAAGATAGCGTTAGAGCCAGGCAAGCTGTAAGACTGAATATACTCTTTCAATGTGACAAATAAGGCTTGTGGGGTGTTTCCTGCTGTGTTAGTCATTGTATCTGAGTTGTCCCACCCCAAATTGTGAATTTCAGGCTGGAGAATCACAGAGCCTCCCCAGATCAGACATTCATTTTCGACAAGAGCTGAGTGGCAAACTAATGGCCACTTTTCAAAAGGAGTGTGCCTAGTAACTGTGTCAGGAAGGTGACCAGTTCTAAGCTCCAAGGAGAACCGTTATTTTGAGGCTGCCTGTCTTTGCTAGAGGGTCCAATCAGCAAAATTATAAGTCACGAAGGTTACAGTTCAAAGGAATCATTAAAATGGGGAGCTTCCATAGGTAGAGCGTGTGCTTCAGCTTGCTGGATAGCTTCCAGTTCTGCCTGCTAGTTTGGGATCCATTCAAAGGGTGATGATTTGCACGTTAGCCAACATAAATGAACAAATGAAGGGCCAAGTGTAGCACATACTGTACTCAACACTCAGACTCCAGTAAGCTTTTCAATCTGCCTTTTGGTGGTGGAAGGCTGAAAACAATGTCAGTTTTTCCCTCACTTCCAGAGGGATTGTGTTTTTTAAATCCATCCACATAGGCCCGAATAAACTTCTCTCATAGAGCAAGCTCCTGTACTACTTTGGAGTGTATCAGGTATCCCTCAGAGAAAAAGTGTGATATCTCTAAATTCAGTGCCATTGTGACTGAGGCTTGTGACTTGCCAACCAGCAGGAGATCACCAATATTCTGAAGACTTTAAAATAAGAGGATAGAGGCACTTCCATTCCCCTCCAACATTCCCCGATGGCAAATGGTGGAGGACTGTGCTCCACTGACACTTCTCTGCTTGCAGCACTTCCCAATCAGGGATCCCTCAGTGCACGTGGAAAAGAGAAGCACAACTGCGTCCCACATCAATTTCAGACATAGAAGCAACAACAGAAACGTGAATACCCCAAAGGTCTCATCCACAAGGTCACATTTCTTCCTTTCCCCACTGTGAGCCTTTCCCAAATTTCATCAGTTGAATTTGGGTGTCTCCTTTCCTCACAGGTAGAATTGTCCCTTGGCCCCCTGTCTTCAACAAACTTTCTATTTTATTTATATACTTTATATTTAAAGTTTATAAAAATTTTGTCCCTCCCCATAGTTCCCCAGGATACTCACACAGGTGCATATGGCTTATGTACTCTTTGGCTCCTTAGTCTTTTAATTGGAGAATTTAATTAATTTAAGTTTAATATAATTACTGACATATTTGGGTTCAGATATACTCTACCATCATTTGCTTTTAATTTAATCCATCTGTTTTATGTTCTCTTTTCTTTTTTCCTCTTGTAATAAAATATTGTATAACTATTTCATTTTGCTCAATTAAACTGTTAAAATTACCTTGGCTTCTTATTTAGTAATAATGATAACAATTACAACATGCATCTTTTACATAGTGCAATCTAAAAAATCACTGCTTTTACCTCTCCCTCCCCCTTATTATGTTAGAAGCTTAGAGCACTTTAATTCTATTTACCTTCCCATCATTTTGTAAAATCATTGCTATGCATTTTAATACTAAATTGTTATTTAAATCAACACTACCCATTATTGTCTTTTTACAGGCATTATTCATTTATATTTACTTTTATATTTATTTTTTAAATGTATTCAATTTTCACTGTATATTTTCTTTTGCTTTATGAATACCAGTTAGTGTGATTTTTTAAAAAGATATTAGTATTTTTCTTGGAAAATATCTGTACTTCACTTTATTCTTGAAGGAACTTTTGCTGACTAATGGATTCTATATTAGCAGTTATTATATTTCATCCTTTTAAATATACCCTGAATTATCATGATGTTCAGTGTTCCTCTGCAGAAGTCATCTGCATATCTCCTTGTTGTTCTTTGAAGGTAATGTTTCTTCTCATCAGGTTTCTTTACGATTTTCACTGTCTTTGCTTTTCTGTGATTTTATTACGATGTGGGGTTTTCTTTGTATTTGTCTTGCCTGTGTTGCAGAACTTAATCTGTTGTTTGATGTTTTTGTAGCTTGTTTTGTCAAATTCTTGCCATTATCTCTTTAAAAATGGCCTCTGCCTTATTTTTTCCCCTCTTGTTTTGGGACTCCAAATGAATATAACATATATATCAAAACTATTTTGTCTCACAAATCTCTTAGAACTGTTCTATTTTCATGCTCTTTTTTCTCTATATATTTCAGTTTTGAATTTTGTATTAACCTGTCAATTTCAGAATTTTGACCTCTATGTTCATTCTGTTGATATAACCATTCTTTGAAAATTTATTTTTAGTTCTGAAAGTTTATTTCTTTCCTTTTATAAATGTCAATTTTCTGCTGAAACACCTTTTTATTCATCTAGTTTTCTAGTATTGCAATACTCTACTTATACTTGTTTTGAAGTCTTTCTCGGCTAACTCCAGTGTCTCAAGCATCTCAATCATCCATAAGTGTGCTTTCAGTCCATTTTACTTTTTTATTTTGTTGTTTTTGAGCTTTTTATTGTGGTCTAGTAATTTTTATTAAGTGTTAGTGATTCCATAGTGAAAAATTGTAGAGGTTTAAGGTAATAATGTTTCCCTCCAGACAACATTTGTCTTTCTCCTCTTAGGATAAAACACTAGAGGCTTATCTGGAACTGTTCTGAGTCTTGACTGCATTGAAGCCTCATTAACATTTTATTCTACTTTTAGTTTGATCTTGAGTCAGCCAAAAGCTTTGTGTATTCTCTGTGACCCCTCCCGGGCTCAGATTCTGAACCATAGTTGTTGTCTTATATGATTGCTTATAGGTCTGTTATACTTTTCAGAGTCTGTCCTCTTAGCTTTTTAATCTCTCTATAGCTCAGCATTTAGCAAATGTTTTCAGGGGAAAGTTGACCATATGATTGGGCTGCCAAATTCCACCATAACTACTGATTCCTTCATCTTCCAACAGCATTCGCAGCTCTGATTCTGAGCCTCTTGCTGCTGCCTGGAGCTATCAATTGACCCTAGAGCAAAAGCAGATGCAAAAATTATTTAAATATTGAAGGGTCTACCTCCAAAACCTATGTGTGATTTTTTCAGGCCTGGCCTGAAATACGCAACTACAAAGACTTTACCTGATAGACGTTAAAGGAGAAAGCTGCCCTCCTCACAGCACACTTGGTGCACAGCCAGTGAATTGCAGCCTCTGAAGGGAGCTGTAGTCAAGGACTGCAACTCTCTGGCCCCTCATGCTCCTGGCACATTTTCATGCCTAGCCCTGGAAGCTTCATCTCTTTATCTGCAGCCTTGAATCGAGGTCCTCTTTGGATGTTTCTGCCAAAGTCTCCTTATGAGGAGAGGAGGAGAAAACCTCCAATATACTTTTCCCCACTCTGACTCAGTACCCAGTACTTTTCTACTCCTAGCCCACCCCCTCATGCTTCCCCTGATCCTAGACTCGATAAAACTGTGGGGACCTTTTGTTTGAAGTTCTCTCAACAGTGAGGCATCCTCCATGCCTCTGCTGATCCCCCAGCCCCTTGGCTGGTGCACATTCCTTAAGGGAAAATGAAACGGAGAGTCAGCCTTTCCTTTGGTTTTAGCCTCTTACTTTTGCAATTTCACTACCGATTAAAGGATTCTTTCATTTGTGACTTGTTGCTTTAATTGACTGCTCTCTGACACCCAGCAGTTTAGCTCTGTCTCTCCAGCTCAGTGGAGCTCCTGACAACCTGTCTTTAGCTTTTTTTTTTTTAAGTCTTACTCCAGTTCTTGTCTCAGTAGCTCTTGACTGCAGTTATATATTTTATATTTGTAGCTTACTGGAACTTTACAGGAATTTTCCGCACAGATGCTATTCTACTACTTTCTAAGCTCTCCTAGCCAGGAGTATAATTCTCATTCACTGCCTTACAATTAAACACCCTGAAAATATGCAGAACATTACTGATGACATTTCATAAACACAATTTAGGTTTGGTTTGGTTTTGTTTGAGACAGGGTCTCACTCTGTTACCCAAACTGGAGTTCAGTGGTACGAACACGACTCACTGTAGCCTCAAACTTCTCGGCCTAGATGATTCTCCTGCCTCAGCTTCCCACGTAGCTGGGACCACAGGTGCATGCTACCATGCCTGGCTAATTTTTTAAAATGTCTTTTAGAGGCAGGGTATTGCCATGTTGCCCAGGTTGATCTCGAACTCCTGTTGAACCTAGCTTCAAGTGTATCTAAGAAATATATACTCATACTCCTGAGAACATTGTCATCTTTGATGCTGTCAGCAAGAATAAGGGGGAAATGTTTATTAAGGAAGGCAACTAACAGTCTCTTCTGCGTATGCACATTTGTGCCAGAGTTCCATGCCTGCCCCTTTTCACGCCGTCTGGCATGGCTAACACCGACTGAATTGATTATACAATATATGTTTAGTTTCTATTCACGGGGTAGGTTCCTGACGTTGATGGCATGGCCAGGGATTAGACAGTTAATGAATTATCAACACTGGTGACTTGGGGTGACTAAGGACAAAGAATTATAGGATGAAGAGGCTGTAAGGATCTAACATTATCATGTTAATTATAGTTACCAATACTGTATTGTTTACACAAAATTTACCAAGAGAGCAGATCTTAACTGTCCTCACTGGACACATATACACACAAATAGTAACTATGTTTGGTGCGGGATGTGTTAATTATAATAATTTGATTGTGGTGATCCTTGTACAATGTATATATACATAAATCATCATCATACACCATGAATATATATAATTTTTGTCAATTATATCTCAGTAAAGCTGAAAAAATAACTGTTTAAAAAAAGCTTAAAAAAAGAACAACATGGTCATGGTGAGGAAAGGCATAGACCTTGCAAATTAGAAATACACTAGATTATGTCAATGTATTTTTTACATTTTATAAATACTATGTGGTTGAAAGGTTGAATGGTTAATATGTCCCTGAAATGAAGTAATTTTGATTTTTTAAATTAATTTTTTCCTTGTTATGTAGGCCTCTCCACAAAAAGCAAAAAATTGCTTGAAAATAAAGTTATTCCAATTTCAGATAGTTATTTGTATCATTGGATAATTTAATATTTATTAATTTGTATGCCTTGCTTGCTCATAGAAAAAAAGAACTAATATGTATATGACTAATGCTTCTCAATGTTTATGACTAAAATGTACAGAATAATTTGTAGGCTTTACAACTGTATGTTTTAATGTGATTTTTATTTCTGATGGATAATTAAATCAATTGATGAGTTGGTTAGTAAACTAATTGTAACTGCAATACTCTTTTCAATTTTAACTAATACTCTCAAAAGATATACTGGAAATAACTTCCAAATAATTTATCTAACAGTCTGTGTCAAAAAGCTCACTCCCTTAAAGGAAATAAAATATCTGCTGACAGGTTATATGTAGTAGTTACAATATCCCCTCCCATTAAATGGTAGAGGTTCTGATTATTAGAACAAAATGCATTATGTCAGTGTCCAGCCAGGAGACAGAAAGTACACCATTTAAATTGCTAGAGATGGCCAGGAGCGGTGGCTTACACCTGTATTCCCAGCACTTTGGGAGGCCGAAGCAGGTGGATCATCTGAGGTCAGGAGTTTAAGACCAGCCTGCCCAACATGGTGAAACCCTGTCTCTACTAAAAATACAAAAATTAGCCAGGGGTGGTGGTGCACCCCTGTAATCCCAGCTACTCAGGAGGCTGAGGCAGGAGAATTGCTGGAACCCGGGAGGCGGAGGCTGCAGTGAGCCAAGATTGCCGCCACTGCACTCCAGCCTGGGAACAGAGTGAGACTCTGTCTCAAAAAAAAAAATTGCTAAAGATAATCTAATATAAAGAGTTATTAATCAGATATTGAGGAGCAGAGACGGAAATAAGGGGAACATTAAGGTATCACAGAGGAAGCAACACCAGCTGCTATCACTAGGGCTGGAAAACAAAGGGAAGAAGTGGGAAACTTAGAAATATGGGGAAGGGGCTGGGCGAGGTGGCTCACGCCTGTAATCCCAGCACTTTGGGAGGCAGAGGTGGGCAGATCACCTGAGGTCAGGAGTTCAAGACCAGCCTTCTCAACATGGCAAAACCTCATTTCTACTAAAAATACAAAAAATTAGCTGGGCATGGTCTTGGGTGCCTGTAATCCCAGCTACTCAGGAGGCTGAGGCAGGAGAATGTCTTGAACCCAGGAGGCGGTGGCTGCAGTGAGGCAAGATTTTGCCAGTGTACTCCAGCCTGGGTGACAAGAGTGAAACTCCGTCTGAAAGAAAGAAAGAAAGAAAAAGAAAGAAAGGAAGGAAGGAAGGAAGGAAAGGGAAGGAAAGAAAAGAAAAGAAAAGAAAAGAAAAGAAAAGAAAAGAAAAGAAAAGAAAAGAAAAGAAAAAAGATGGGGGAGCTCTACAGAGCTGATTCAGATCCCAAGGGAGAGAACCTGCTGGACTAATACTGGTCCCTCAGAAGCTTAGAGAAGTAGCCCCGTGGAGCTGGGATTGAGCTGTAAGAGGAAGGAGAGCCCACCAACTGAAGCATATTCAGGTTGATTCTCAAAATGTGGCAGGGATGGGGGATGGGGGAATTGCCATGTTGCCACTGCCAGTGGAATGAACAGCCTGAAGGGTGACTGATAAGACAGAAAGCAATCAGAAATCAACAGTTCCTTTTGTTCTTCTTCAGCCTACTACTACCGTCTCTACCACCCCCTACTGGCAGGGCTGGAGCTATCTGGCAAAATAAAAAAATGTTATTGGTAGAGTGTCGACCACAACATCCCAAAACAATATATAGAAGGCAAGATTTGAAACTGAGGAAAAGTAGCTTGCTGACTACCACAAGGATCTTACATATGTTACCAAATGAGTCACTGGATGATGCATTTTCTAATTTACAGTTTTATAGAATCTATAGGATCCTATTTTAATGGGGAATATTATTAACATAATTAAATGTGAACAAAATAAAATCAATTTGAAATCATATCCCCTAAACTAAAGATGGTGTGTATTCTCATTATGAAAAACTGAGATTAAAAACAGGAAAAGCCAAAGTAGGTTTAAACTGTAATAACTGCTTGTGAATACATATATCTTAGATTTTCTGGATAGTCTTGATTTCAAAAATTAAGCTTTAATGTTGAAATTGTTGAAAATGCTTGAAAAATGTTTCCTTGTAAATATGTGTGTGTCCACAGGTTGGTGTGTGTGTGTGTGTAAGTGTTTTTAATGCGTATGTAGAAAAGTGATTGATACTTTGGATTGAGTAAAAATAAATTATTTTAACTGAAGTCTAGCTTAAATATTCTCTGGTCTCTGGCATGGATCCTTAAAAAGTCAACTACAGTTTTTAATGGAGAGAAGTGAAGATGACATCTGGCTGATGCAGGCATATATTTTGGTTACATTCCACTTCACACTGGAAGAAAAAGGAATATTTGGGCAAATAATATAAATGAACTAAAAATATAACTTTAGTTGTCATAGGCAACCTTTTTCTTCCAAGGAGAAGAAAGGATAAGGATAAGAAACACATGGAAAACAAGATACATGTTCTGAAAGTACACACAAGAGAAATCTAAGAATAACATGAACACATATGCTGTTTGCAACTAATCAAGCAAATTACCATCCAAAAACGCTTAATGTTCCTCAATGAATTCTCATTTACTTCTAAGAGTCGTTTTTGTAGACCCATTTTCCTTCCAGCTGGCAATGAAAAAGTAAAGTAAAAACTGTTAGGAACAAAGGATAAGAAGAGTAATTTTCAGCAATTCCATTGAGGCACAGCAGCACAAATCACCCTTCTTCAGTTCCACTTAAAACACTATCTTGTTCAAAGGAAACTATTTTGTTAAGTAAGTCATAGAATATGTGTTAGCATATATCATGGAAATCATGTATCATGCCCCCACAATTTTCTTGTTTTAATTTGTCATTCACTTCAGAATCTGAGACTAAAAAGTATGTAAGTATAGATTTTAAATTTGTATTTTTGTAAATGTTCCAATTTCCTCATTATTGGTTTCAGTTATAAATAAATATCTACTAATGCTTTATTTATGTTGCTACCTAACTCAGGTAACTGCTTTAACTCAACAAGCTTTTGCTTTGTTTTGTTTGATTTTTTTGTTTGTTTGTTTGGCTTTGTTTTGAAGTTAGAAACATAGGAACGCTAAACTTAGAAGTTTATATTATATAATGCTATAAACTCCTAAATACTTATTCTATTATTTAAAATGAAAAGCCGTATGAGATTTAAGAGGGGGGGCTTTGGGAGGGAAAATGCATGGTAAAGTAACAAAGTTAGAAATACACAAACAATAGAAGGATTAAAAAAAATTCTCATCATATATGAAACAATGTGATAACACAACAACAAAACAAACAGAAAACAAAGGGAAGCAGTTGATTCTGGTGCTATACTTTCCTTGAGTTATGAGTGCTGAAAAAGCAATGCTATCTTTCTTCCTGTTTATTATTACTTCTACTTCTCTAAATCACATATTGTATAATAATCTATTCACTGAAATTTAGACCTTTTATGGCCTAGTATTGATCAATTTTGTGAATATTCTGAGAATAAGATGGGGGAGAACCTTTATTTTTATCTGTATAGCTAGTGGGTCACACTTGTTACCTCTTATTTCATATTTTCTATTTTTTTGTTCTGTTTTATCTGTCAATAACAGGAGCAAAATATTTCCATTATGGTCAGTTTGGGACTTACTCCTTTAGTTATACCTACCTTCTTTGCCTTATATTTTTAGGCTATTTTAGAAACTCGAACTTTAAAATTTCTGCATCCTTTCGGTTAACAGAACCTATGAAAATAGCAGGTTCTATTAACTATCAAATAGAAGGTAATGAACCTTCCTACCTCAATAATGTTTTGTGTTTGTTTTTGTTTATTTTATTTGGCTTTAATATTATAGTGGTTTTATTTCGGTTAGTATCTGCCTGGTGTATGATTTTACATTCTTTAAATTCAATTTTTTATTATCCTTATGCTTTAGGTGTACTCTGAAAAACAAGAACCTATCTCTGGTCTGGAACTTTTAAAATCCAAACTCTCAATCTTTGTCTTTTAACTAGTGAGTTTAGTCCACATAATGTTATTATAAGTATGCATATATTTGGCACTATACATACCACCTTAAATCTTGAAATATTTCCTTGATAATTTTCCCCTTATTTAAGTTACTTCATCCAAAACTGTTTCTATTGTGAGTCTTGGCATGGCAAAATTTCTGAAGCATTAATGCCTAGAAGTAATTATTACATTGTTTAATCATAATAAAGGGTAGCTTTCACAAATCTAGGATTCCAAGTTGTAAATTATTTTTCTTTAATACTTTGGAAATACTAATGCAGACTGATCTTCCATCTAGAGTTGGAAGATCATTTGAAAACATGTTGTTAACCTAATATAGATGCTTCTCAACTGACAACAGGTTTATGTCCTGATAAATCCATTGCAAGTAGAAAATATTTGTAAGTTGAAAATGCATTTAATACCACTAACTTACTGAACATTATAGCCTAGCCTACCTTAAAAATTCTCAGAACACTTACATTAGCCTACAGTTGAGCAAAATCATCTAACACAAAGCCCACTGACACAAAGCCCACTGCATAATAAAAATCTAACACACAGCCCACTGCACAAAGCCCACTGCATCTAACACAAAGCCCACTGCATAATAAAGTATAGAATATCTCATTAATTTATTGAATACTGTACTGAGAGTAAACAACTGAGTGGTTGCATGGGTACTTGATGTGTGGTTTCTACTGAATGCATATCGCTTTCACACCATTGTCAAGTCAAGAAATTGTAAATCAGGTATCATCTGTACTTGTGTAAATAATTGAGTCTCTCTGTGTCTATGCATTTAGATTTTCATCTAACCTGATGTTAAATTTTACTAGAATTTGACTACGTATTTGTTTTTTTTTCTTTATTTCTCCCCTTTGGTGCTCTAAGGGTCTTCCAGTCTGAATTGTTTAAATTATTGTTTTTAATTCTAAAAAGTTAATCTCCATTATTACTGTATCCATTTCTTCTGAAATTTCATTTCTCTCTCTTTTGGAACTCACATCTAGATATTAGCATTCTGTTTAAATTCTGCCTCTCAACTTTTCTATTATATGTTCTATTTCTTTTATCTTTTCCTTCTTCCCTCTAGTAGGTTTTCTGAGTATTAGATTAATACTCTAATTTGTTCTTTTGTTATCTATATTCTGCTGTTTATATTGTGCTGTTTACTTAAGCTATTATTATTTTTAGTGTATATCTCTACTCTTTATTTTTCTTCCATATTGCTCTATTCCTGTTTCACATTGTTAATACCTTTCTCTATTTCTTTTGATCTGTTTATTAAGCTAATTTTAATTTCTTGGGCATTTTCTTGTACTATTTCTGGTTCAAATAAGATCTAAAAGGGAAACTAAGATGTTTATCTCTTTAAATAGTTGTGTTCCTCAAACTTTTTATTATTTTGGCCTATGAGCTCATTTTTCCTCTGAGAGGTATTGACTGCTCTATCAGGCAATGTGTGTAGAGAAAAGCCAGACACCAGTTTCATTCAGCATTAATGAGCTCCGGTAATGAGTGGTAGATGAACCTCAGGTCTTAAGCTCCAAGCACCGTACGTGATCAATAACTCCCAATTCCACAAAACAACTTATTGGTCAAGAATCAGGCAGCACTCAAAACCAGTAGTATGAGAAGAAGGCTTGTAAAGGCAGAACGGAGAGCCAAAATAAGGAAATTACTTGAGAGACTACAAGTAGCTGTTTGCCTTATTTGGGTGGAAAGTCTCTAGTTAGAGGTTAGTTGGTGGTTTCCGATTGGTTAAGCTTAAGTTTCATTTTACTGTTTGCATTGAATTGAGTTTTGTGTTGCTTACGTAGGAAACCAAGGCACTGGAGCAGTCTCAGCCCAGTGGCCCCCATTAGTTACTTTAATATCTTCTAGGAAATTTGTTTGCTTTTTTCTAATATACTCATAAATTTTATTATAAAAGTTAAGTAATACTATTGTATGAATATTTTTGTAATTTGCTTTTATTGTTATAATTATTAATGTGCTGTGCAAATGTTTAAATTTCATTACATATTCTTGTCTAGAATGATATAATTTTACAGCTGCTTAGTATCTCACTGTGTGAATAAAAAATAAGTAACGTCAAAATGGTCATTTGACATGTTGCTAATAATAGTTTGTCATTGCATATGTCACTGATAAAACCACTATTTTTACACTAAATTATTCGTGTGCATATATTTGTTTATTGCACATGTATTTCTACATGTTGCATTGCTAATTTTTTTAAACTATTTTCTCCTTGATATATTACATATATAGTCAAATGCATAAATCTTAAATGCATGGCACAAGAAATTTTTACATATGTGTGCTCCTGTGTAACCACCACACATTGCAATTTATATGTTGGATCAGTTCTTAATAACTATCCATATATTTTGAGAAAAAATAATCATTTCAAATTTGTCTTTTATTTTTCTCTGCATCCTCTCCAATATTATTTTTCTGCTTAAAATCTTACAATTTTGATACGCAAATTATTACCATTATTTGTGTAAATATATTCCTCAAATTTACCTATTTTTAGAGAAAATAAGAGTAACTTTATGCTTTATCACAGTGTTACCTGTCTTCTGGTGACAGCTTATGAATTTGTGGAGATTTTCTTTTGATAGGTTATGTTAGAATCAGTGCCATAGGACCCAGTGTACAGGCAAAAAGACTAAGACTTCTGGGAATGTCTTACCAAAAAAAAAAAAAAAAAAAATCAAATGAACTGGTTTGTTAGCATCTAAATTTTTGAGTATAAAAACAAACAGCAAACTCTTATACTTTCTAACACAACTCTTTAAAAATTCTACCAATTTGGCATATTATTTAAAATTATTTGTCACAAACATTCTGTCACCTTTAAAACTGGTGAAAGAAGTCAAAGAATATAAACCATAGGAAAAGAGAGCAGCAGGAAAGCCGATCCTTTGAAAGTACAAGACTACGAGGCTTAATACCCGGGCGATGAAATAATCTGTACAACAAACCCCCATGACACAAGTTTACCTTGTAACAAACCTGCACAGATTCCCTGAACTTAAAATGAAGGGTTTTTTTTTTTAAAAACCCACCATTTTCATATCATCCGTTTAAATTACAACTTAATCTGGCAGCATGATAGGATGATAGGGGAAATGTGTGACTTTATAAAACAGTTAAGCTCAGGTCTTAATGTAAACATCCCTCAGAGGAAGAAATCTGTAAGACCCACTGACATTGAATACTGCTTTTTTCCTAATCTAGGATTCTATTAGTTGTAAGATGTATCTCAACTGTACAGATGTTTAAAATGTAAGAAAAAATATATGGAACTTGGAATAAATAAAATGCCTTACTAAAGACAAAAGAAAGAAAATACAGGACTAAGTCACTACCACAAATTCAATAAAATTATCTCTGTAAGGCAGCATTAATTTATATAATACAAGTATTAAGTTATAAAAAGTCATTTGAATGATTGCTGGAAAAAAATCATTTCTACTTGACTCTATAGTTGAAAAGTATACGCATACAAAAGTTTAAAACCAAGTAAATTTTTTGCAGCCCAGGGAAATGATGAGATCAAATCAGAAATACATATACTCAGTCGTATAAAAATTCCAAAGAACACTCAGTAATGAAAAAGTTTGTCTAAATAGCAATTCACGGAAGAATACTCATTAATATTTTAATAGGAAGATGAGATGAGAATGTCTGGAAAAGCAAATTGGAGGTTTAAAGAGGTTATCCATCAAATTCAATCTAGGCTCATAGTTTTGATTTCTCGATTCTATTTACATAAGAAAAGAAATGGAAAAATAGTGTTTTTGAGTAATGTGTATTCAGACACTTTTATCCCAAATTGTTTTGTTTGCTGATGTGAGCAGGAAGCTGTCCTTGTATTGTTTCTTCACTGTGTAAGAGCTGATGTCTATAGAAGTTAAAGGTTGAAGACAATGTCTCCGCACATGAGACTGTAAATACAGAAACAATTGAGCTGTTCTTTGAATGAAGGTTAGCTTACTGAAAGCAAAAAGAAGTCACTCTCTGAAACCTCAGATGCATTGGAAACTGCTCTAACTCACTGTGAAATGAATCTAGCTAAGGTTATTTTAAAACTGGCTATCCATGCCTTCGTTTCCACATGAAAACATTGTTTGTGCTTTTTCATACAAAAAGCAGACTTGGTGCTACAGGCTTCCAGTAAAAACTCTACTTTCTAATTGTTAAAAAGACAGGTTTAACTTTAGAAATACACTTCAGATGTGTCTGCAAAGAGCAGGATTGCAAGTATTCTAAACCCTTAGAAACCTCATGAAACTAGAGTGGTTTCTTTTACTTGATAGTCAAGCTGTAAAGGGAAGTCTGGTTTTTGCTGTAGGCTTTAGTGCCATCAGCAGTAACAATTGGTATTTGGGGCTATTTATTTCAAAGGTGTGGCTAACACTCTCCAGAGGGCGGCCAGCTGTGGGTGGGGAATGTTCAGTTAAAACCAGGGATGAGAAAGACTTTAGTGACAAGAGTTAATTGTGTATTTGTCAGAACTTTAAAAAGTAGCTGTAATATTATTTCCCCACATAACTCCAACTATTCTTCCAACATTACTGTAACTTGGGCATTGTATAATCATTCTTTGTCTCTGTTTCATGTTATTTTACTATAAGTATGCTGAGACTATTGCCGGAGGGCTAGAAATCACCAAAAGGCAGAAAGTCATGAGAAAATTAAACCATATTTAGAGAAATACTGATGGAACGTTACTAATACATATTATTGTTTTATTCCAGTGACCCTTGAAATATATGTGAAACTCATAGCTAAACAGAAAGGCCAGGGAGGGAATATCGTTTAAGGAATGAATCCTAGGTTATGCTTAGATGTCCTAGCTCTGAATACATAATAGCCAAACTAGTTATTCATTGCTGAAGTTAATTTTTTTCACTTAAATTTTGGAAACACCAATGAATAAAACAATTGTTTATCCTTTAAAAAAAAGCTAGCATTGTACTCGAATTTGGGATATTGTAGATATCAATTTAAATCTACTTCTGAATCTCATGAAGAAACTATAGACACATATGCTCAGGTATCATATTTTAAGCAATCTTATTTTAAATATGCTAAACAAATATCATTATTTTACAAGTAGTGTATATAATTCAATGTTCATTAAATAATTTCATTGATTTTCTTAGATTTAAATAATAAGAAATAGCATAAGAAGATATTTGCACTCCCATGTGATATGGTTTGGCTATGTCCCCACCAAAAATCTCATCTTAAATTATAATCCCCATAATCCCCACATGTCAAAGGGTGGACCAGGTGGAGGTAATTGGATCATGGGGGTGGTTTCCCCCATGCTCTTCTTGTGATAGTGAGTGAGTCTTATGAGATCTGATAGTTTTATAAACATCTGGCATTTCCCTTCCTGGTATTCACTCTGTCCTGCTGCCCTGTGAAGAAGGTGCTTGCTTCTCCTTTGCCTTCAGCCATGATTGTAAGTTTCCTGAGGCTTCCCCAGCCATGTGGAACTGTGAGTCAATTAAATCTCTTTCTTTTATAAATTACCCGGTCTTGGATATTTCTTCATAGCAGTGTGAGAACAGACTAATACAATAAATTAGTAATGAGGTAGTGGGCACTGCTATAAGAATACCCAAAAATGTGGAAGTGACTTTGGAACAGGGTAACAGGCAGAGGTTGGAACCATTTGGAGGGCTCAGAAGAAGACAAGAAAATGAGGGAAAGTTTTGAACTTCCTAGAGACTTGTTGAATGGTTTTAACCAAAACGCTGATAGTGATATGGACAATAAAGTCCAGTCTGAGGGGGTCTCAGATGGAGATGAGGAACTTGTTGGGAACTGGAGTAAAGGTGACTCTTGCTATATTTTAGCAAAGAGACTGGCAGCATTTTGCCCCTGCCCTGGAGATCTGTGGAGCTTTGAACTTGAGGGAGATGATTTAGGGTATCTTGTAGAAGAAATTTCTAAGCAGCAAAGTGTTCAGGAGGAAGCAGAGCATAAAAGTTTGGAAAATTTGTAGCCTGACAATGCGATAGAAAAGAAAAACTCATTTTCTGGGGAGGAATCCATACAGACTGCAGAAATTTGCATAATTAACAAGGAGCCGAATGTTAAGCATCAAGACAATGGGGAAAATGTCAACAGGGCATTTCAGAGACCTTCAAGACAGCCCCTCCCATTATAGGCCTAGAAGGGAAAAATGGTTTTATGGGCAGCTCCCAGGGCCCCCTGCTCTGTGCAGCCTGAAGACATAGACCCTGTGTCCCAGCTGCTTCAGCTGTAGTCATGGCTAAAAGGGGTCAAGATACAGCTCATGCAGTTGTTTCAGAGGGTGCAAGCTCCAAGCCTTGACAGCTTCCATGTGGTGTTGAGCCTGCGGGTGCACAGAAGTCAAGAACTGAGCTTTGGGAACCTCTGCCTAGATTTCAGAGGATGTATGGAAACTCCTGGATGTCCAGGCAGAAGTTTGCTACAGGGGTGGAGCCCTCATGGAGACACTCTGCTAGGGCAGTGTAGAAAGAAAATGTGGGGTTGGAGCCCCCAGAAAGAGTCTCCACTGGGCCACTGCCTAGTGGAGCTGTGAGAAGAGGGCCACTATCCTCCAGAACCCAGAATGGTAGAACCACCAGCAGTTTGCACCATGCACCTGGAAAAGCCACAGACACTCAATGCCAGCCCATGAAAGCAGCCAGGATAGGGGCTATACCCTGCAAAGCCACAGAGGTGGAGCTGTGCAAGGTCTTGGGGGCTCACCTCTTGCATCAGTGTGACCTGGATGCAAGACATGGAACCAAAGGAGATCATTTTGGAACTTTTAGGTTTAAAATCTAAACTCTTAGATTTTAACTATTAGATTTTGAACTTGCATGGGGTCTGCAGCCCCTTTGTTTTGGACAATTTTTCCCATTTGGAACGGGTATATTTACCCAATGCCTGTACCCCCATTGTATCCAGGAAGTAACTAACTTGCTTTTGATTTTACAGGCTCTTAGGCAGAAGGGATTGCCTTGTCTCAGATGAGACTTTGGACTTGGACTTTTGGGTTAATGCTGGAATGAGTTAAGACTTTGGGGGACTGTTGGAAAGGCATGATTGGGTTTTAAAATGTGAGGATGTGAGATTTGGGTGAGAGCAGGGATGGAATGATATGGTTTGGCTGTGTCCTCACCAAAAATCTCATCTTGTATTATAATCCCCATAATCCCCATATATCAAGGGCAGGACCAAGTGGAGGTAATTGGATCACGGGGGCAGTTTTCCTCATGCTGTTCTTCTGAGTAAATCTCATGAGATCTGATGGTTTTATAAACATCTGGCATTTCTCCTGCTGGCATTCACTTAGTCCTGCTGCCCTGTGAACAAGGTGCCTGCTTCTCCTTTGCCTTCCATCATGACTGTAAGTTTCTTGAGGCCTCCCCAGCGATGTGGAACTGTGAGTCAATTAAACCTCTTTCTTTCATAAATTACCCAGTCTTGGGTATTTCTTCATAACAGTGTGAGAATGGAGTAATACTAATAGTGCAGCAGTATTCATAATAGCCAATATTTGGAAGCAACCTAAGTGTCCATCAACAGACCAATGGATAAAGAAAATGTGGTATTAATATTTAATAGACAACAGAGTACTATTTAACCATAAAAAAGAATGAGATCCTGTCATTTGCAACAACATGGATGGAATTAGAGGACATTATATTAAGTGAAATAAGCCAGGTATGGAAAGACAAATTTAGCATGTTCTCTTTTATTTGTGAGAGCTAAAAGCTATAACAATTGAACTCATAAAGATAGAAAGCAAAATGATGGTTACCAGAGTCTGGGAAGGGTAGTGGGGAGTGGTAGAAGAAGTAGGGATGTTTAATGGTTACAAAAATATAGTTAGATAGAATGAATATGATCTAGTATCTGATAGCACAACAGGGTGGCTACAGTTAACAATAATTTATTATACATTTAAAAATAAAGAAGTATATATAATTGGATTGTTTGTAATATAAAGAAAGGATAAATGCTTGAGGTGATGAATACCCCATTTACCCTGATATGACTATTACACATTGCAGGCCTGTATCAAAATAGCTCATGTACCCCATAAACATATATACCTACTATATTCCTACAAAAAATAAAAAAAACTGATTTATCATCAACAATAACCAAAAAATACCATAAGACAAGAGTAGCCTTGTATTTAGAACATTGAAATGTGAAACATGTTTCAGAAATTTAAATTAATCAGTACAGTGGAGTGTGGTTTTTTTGTTTTTGTTTTTGTTTTTTGCTATGGGAAACCGAGTAAACACATCCTTCAGACTAATGTGTAGTGACAAGGTTGACTGCGATTACCACTGTAAACATGTTATCGTCCAAATGATAAAAGTGACAAACTATTTATCTGAGAGCACTTACTTGCTTTTTTTGCTTTTTAAAACTATGTGAATGAATATAATACAAATGCTGAAAACAATGAAAGTAGAATACCAGAGTGAGTATTCTGGCATTCAAATTCAAATACAAATGTTGCTTAGTATAAGGGCAATGCTAGAATTCAGGAACTCCTATTAGGATTCCTGAATCACATAATTGGCCTCCTTTTTAAAAAATTTCCATTTAGTAATAAGAATTTACAAACAAGATTACCAGTAAAAATGTTACTCCACAATATATTGGTTAGAAAGCAATTGTTTGCAGACGTTATTTTAATATGTAACACATGTTTAAGTAGCCATGAAACAGGTTGGCAGCTTTAGCAATGGTGCTTTACTGGGGATGGATGCAGTATGACAAGAAAATACCACACACAGCAGCACAAAATATAAGTGACTCTTATTGTAGAAGAAATTCCAGCACAGGATAGGGGGTCAGCATGAGGATATGACACGCCTACCAAAGAGAGCTGACAGACTAAGAGGAAAGAAAATATGTTCACCTGGAGTGAAAAATATTGTGTTTCTTTCATTTTCTCTTGGTTCAGGAAATGGCTATGTCAGTGGCAAATTGTAGGAACATGCAAGGAGCCCTATTTACAGCTAAAAACATTCATGGTAGAGGTGTACATCGTGGTGAATGAGGGCAGGATGAAGACAATCTAGGTTTGGAAGTGTGTCTTATTGGTGTATTCCTTCTTCTTGTGTTCTGATTCCATCCTTGACAGAACCTATCCTTCTTAGATTTAATATTTATTCTCTTTGTTCTAGGAATTTTATCTTCTATCTCAATGTTTCAGCCTCTTTAGCCTGTATTTTTATGCTGGATGGTATTTCTATGGTTTATTCTATTATAATCTATTGTGGGTTTTGTTTGTTTGTTTATCTGGTTGGTTGGTATTTTAAAAATTATGCTAAGAACAATTAACATGATATCTACCCTGAACAGATGATTAAGTGTGCAGTACACTATTGCCAACGTTGATCTCTAGAACTTACTCATCTGACATAATTGAAACTATATCAGTTGAACAACAACTCCTCATTTCTCCCTTCCTCTAGCCGCTGCCAACTCCCATTTGACTCCATTCAAATGTCTGTGGCGGAAGGCCCCCACAAGCGAAAACAGGGCCACAGGCTGGCGTGGGCAGGCCCCAGGGACTCAGGGGAATGTTGAACTCCATTCGACTATGAGTTTATCTATATTAGATAGTTCATTAGATACCTCACTGAAGTGGAATCATGCAGTATCTGTCCTTCTGTGCCTGGCTTATTTCACTTAGCATAATGTCTTCCAGGTTCATCCATGTTATTACAAATGGCAGGATTTTCTTTATCTGAGATACAGTAATATTCCATTGTATGTATACATCACATTTTCTTTATCTATTCAGCCATCAGTGGGCATTTAGGTTGTCACTATATCTCAGCTGTTGTGAATAATGCTTCAATGGACATAGAAGAAGTACTGTATCTCTTTGAGATCCTAATTTCAATTCTTTTAGATATATACCTAGAAGTGGAATTACTGGGTCGTCTGATAGTTCTGTTTTTAATTTTTGAGGACTCTCCATATTGTTTTCCATAGAGGCTGCATCATTTTGAGACAGCCAAGTGAAAAGTGCTCCCTGGAGAATCTCTGACTTGGCCTGTGCACTGGGAGGTTGGGGTGAAGCTGTGGGAAGTTTGCACCATTTGCAGGGGGGGGAGCCTGGTCTCTCCTGTTCCTGGGTGGTAACCTGGGACTCAATCTGTGAGATGGGGGCTTGTTAACAGGAATCCCTCTCACTTTGCTGAGAGTCTTTTTCCTTTTCACCCAGTAAGTGTTGTTATTCTCACCCTTCTGTGTGTCCACAAGCCTAATCTTTCCTTGTTGTGTGACAAGAACCTGGTTTATAGCTGAACTGAGTAGAAAGTCCTGCAACATTTTTACATGAATAGTGTACTAAGGTTTCCATTTCTCCATATCCTCGCCAACACTTGTTATCTCTTTTGTGTTTGTTATTGATAATCGCTGTCCTAACAGGTGTGAGGTGATATCTCACTGTGGTTTTATTTACATTTACTTGATAATTAGTGATATTGATCATCTTTTCATTTATCTGTTGGTCATTTGTATGCAATCTTTTGAGAAATGTTTATTTAGGTTCTTTGCTCATTTTTTAATCAAGTTATTTGATTTTTGCTGTTGAGTTATGGGAATTTCTCATGCAGTTTGGAAATGAACCCCTTGTCAAATATATAGTTTGCAAATATTTTCTCGCATTTCATAGGTTGCTTTTATTTTGTTGATTGTTTCTTTTGCTGTGCAGAAGCTTTTTAGTTTGATGTAATCTTACTTGTTTATGTTTGCACTTGTTGTTCATAATCTATTTCTTTAAGTTTTCTCTAGTGGAGCTTTTACTCTTTAATTTCCTGCAATATGAATGTTGATTGTTGTTGTATTTTACTCTTTCTTGATTGCTTTTTGTTTTAGTTGTCCAGCCTTTATTCCAGGATGGATATTTCTAATTATGATACCTTGCTCCTGTATTTTAGAACATATGTAACCTTGCATCTTTTTTTTTTTTTAAGGCTCAAATGTTTTCTAAAATGTTATTTGAACTTCGGGTCAAAATGACATTGTAGATTAGCTTTTAACTCCATGCAGTCATTCATCTGTGAAAGGCTGCTGGACTACAGACAAATAACCAGGTTTTCAGGTAGCTCCTCCAATCAAGGCACCACATTTTCCATACACAGTACAATACCAGAAAGGACAGATCCAGACCATGCCCTGCTTCTACAGCCTTGCTGCTTCTGTCAACACTTTGTCTAACACTTTTCATTAATTGACTGAAATATAAATGTGCCATGTAATTCCGCCCATCCTCTTTTCCTTCCATTTATGCCAGGTACTGAGATTTAACTCTGAATGGATTTAGAAGTTTACGTAAGCACACACGCATTCTTTGACAAAGGGTGAAGGATTAATTTCATTCTGTTCTTGTTCGAATCAAAGGCAGCTGCCTGCTTTTTTGGCAAGCGCTGTCCCTGTTTCACAAAAGTAGGGGCACACGAAGAGTGAGTTAAAATTTGTCCCACCTTCTTGGGGGCACCCTGTAACGTTCAATTTGAGAGGGTGGAGAATGAAAAGTGGTTATTCTAAAAATACTACTCTCAAAGCATGCAGTTTTATCAAGAGTCCAGTCAATAAAGATTAAAATATAAAGTTTCTTACTAGTATTTTTAGCTTTTATCCGTTTGTCATTATTCAGACACATTTCCTTGTAACATTGCAAACAAAAGATCAGGTATTCCTAGCCTAATATCATATTTACCAGAGAGTTTTTAATAATTTTTCCAAAACGACTGCATCACATTTTTACTTATGGCCTTTAGGACTGTGTCCTCTAGATTTACCAACATTTGTTTAATTATTTGAGACAGTAACCATAATTGATACTATATTCTCTGCTGCCCTGTAGAGGACAGCAGTTTACACATAGTATAATAGATGATAAATTAATTGTTAATTTTTCAATTTAACAAAATATTTTCTGTAGTAATTTGAAGACTATTTATACAGACTTCTGTATAACGATTAAAATATAGAAATAAAAAGCCAAAATTACTATAACATTAAATATATATAAGCTTTTATATACACATATATTTGAATATACATACTTCTGTTAAAATACAATTTGCTAAAGTGACTAAAGATTATTAATGTTTGCTAAAGTGTCCAAGTGTTACTGAGGTAGACACATGTCTCCTAGCAAAAGCCATCACCTTTTGGATGGTACTCACCAGTTTCACTTAGTGTCAAGGTAAAAAGTGGCTCTTTGGTTTATTGACAGCTAAGATAAGGCCAATTAATTGCATGTACTCCACGAAGACAAATGGATGTATAGAGTCTCCTAGAACAGACAAGGTATCCAAAATAAGCGTATGTATGTGCTTGTTTGAGGCTCCCTGTGGAGTAATACGTTTATGGAAGACAATGATTCACTGAGGACATCATCTGATAAAACTGAAGAGTTAAAGTAGAAAATGCAAATGCTAGCTGTGTTAGTTTCCTTTGGTTGCCCGAACAAATGACCACAAATATAATGGCTTAAAACAATGCAAATGTTTCATAGTTCTGAAGATCAGAAGTCTGAAATGAGTTCCACTGGGCTAAAATGAAGCTGTGGGCAGGGCTGGGTTCCTTCCAGATGCTCTACAGGAGGAGATGTTCCTGAGCCTTCCCAGCTGCTGTTGCGGCTGAGTTACGTGGCTCATGTTCCTGCAACACTTTCACATCTGCCAGCGTTGCCACATGTCCTTCTCTCCCTCAGCTTCTGTCATCACGTCACCTGCTCTGACTCTGACCCTCCAGCCTGTTTCTTGTAAGAACCCTTATGATGATATTGGGCCCACCTGGAAAATCTCAGATAATCTCTTGATTTCAAGATCCTTAACTTACATTTTCAATTTCTTTTTTGCCATATAAGATGACATATTCACAGGTTCTGGGGATTACAATGTGGATATCTTTGGGGAGGCATTATTCAGGCTACCACACTAGGGAAATCAAAAAACTCTTGAAGAGACAAAAACTCCACTATAATAGTAAAATTTCAAATTTTCAGAAACATCCTTATCATTTCATACTTTGGTCTGACCAGAAAGTCCTGTAGGCATTGTATTCTAATAGTTAAAATCCATGAGTGTGTCTGCGTGCCTGTGTGTGTGACTACTTATACACACAAGAGAGCACATGTGGGGTAGAAATAACTATTTGCGGTGAGCTTTAAATGAGCATTTATAGTTTCTTGGAATCAATAAATATTTCAATCATTAAAGATGTACCAAGTTTCTTTTGATAAAAAAATAGAACTCCTTTTCTACCCTTAGGAAGACTATGTTCGCTGATCCTTCTTGGTTACTTTAGTAACATGATGACAATAAGAGGAGACTTGCTATCCACAAAATTATCAGAGACCTTCACTGTTAATCCTGTTCTTTTTTTTTTTTTTTTTTTTTTTGAGACGGAGTCTCGCTCTGTCGCCCAGGCTGGAGTGCAGTGGCGGGATCTCGGCTCACTGCAAGCTCCGCCTCCCGGGTTCACGCCATTCTCCTGCCTCAGCCTCCCAAGTAGCTGGGACTACAGGCGCCCGCCACTACGCCCGGCTAATTTTTTTGTATTTTTAGTAGAGACGGGGTTTCACCGTTTTAGCCGGGATGGTCTCGATCTCCTGACCTCGTGATCCGCCCGCCTCGGCCTCCCAAAGTGCTGGGATTACAGGCGTGAGCCACCGCGCCCGGCCTAATCCTGTTCTTTAGAGAAAGAATCCGTATGCCAGTTACCATATAGTAAGCTGCAAATACCAGGAGCTAAATCTCCAGTTTCAAATTGAGTATTTCATTATTAAAGACAAGACTGACTTTACCTGTCTCCCAAATCTAAACTAAATTTTTCTAGCAAACATCTAAGCAGGTGCTAAGATGCGTAATTTTATTTGACTTCTTAGTTTCGTGGTATATGTTGAAAGTTTAATTGAGAGTGAATTATGTTCCTAAGGATTCTATTTTGCCAAATGTAAGTACTGGTATAACATACATTACACTTTAGAGTTACAGTTACCCCAGCTCATATGAAGTAATAACCTTGTTGAGGGTAAAGGAAACAAAAATAACCATTGTTGCCACTAAAGGGGACAAAAAAGGGGCTATTTTAAAGAAAGAGGATGTCAGGAAAATTAAATGAATTACAACTAAGAAGGGCAGAGATTGTTACTTTATGCCTTTAAAAAGCAGATGTTCTATGTTGGGGCATCACCATTTAAAAAAAGAAATTCAAGATTTCTAAAGTTTTAAGAACTTCCAGTGATCATTTATTATTGTAATGTTAAAATCTCCTCTAATTTTGTTGCAATATTGGATATAGTAAGCATAGAAAGTGCATATAGCTGGATTCAGTGGCTCACACCTGTAATCCCAGTGCTTTGGGAGGCCAAGGTGAGAGGATCACTTGAGGCCAGGAGTTCAAAACCAGCCTTGTCAACATAGTGAGACCTCAACTCTACAAAAAATTCAAAAATTATTGAGGTGTGGTGTCATGCAACTGTACTCCAAGCTACTTTGGAGGCTGAGGCAGGAGGATCGCTGGAGCCCAGGAGTTTAAAGTTTCTGTGAGCTATGATGGTGCCATTGCACTCCAAACTTGGTAACACAGTGAAACCCTGTGAAAGAAAAGAAAAGAAAGGAAAAGAACAGAAAAGAAAGGAAGGAAAGAGAGAAAGAAAGAGAAGAGAAAAGAATGAGAGAGAGAAATAGACAAAGAGAGAAAGAGAGGGAGAGAAAGACCTTTGTGTCCTGGATGGTAGCAATAGAGGATGTTTTTCTTTGTATTTTTAAGAGTTTCATACTTTTATGCTTTATATTATTTTGCTTTTTAAAGTAAAAGTAATATTTAAAAGTTAAAGTAGACTGTAAGGACTGAATAAGTATTCCAAAAAAACTTTAAAAAATAACCACATGTAAAACCCCCTAATACCGGGAATTGCAGTTTATTATAGTTTATAGGCAGATTATGAAATGTCTGCATTTAATATATTAGTTTTGATAACCAGAAACCAGCTGATGCTTCACTGTAGAATCAGCAGATTAAAAAAAAACCCTAAAATGAGACAAAGACACAATTTGAATCATTAAGATTATTCCTAAAATCTTAATAAAATGTGATGGTAATTAATTTCACAGCTTATGGCATAGATACAAAATAAATTATACATATATATATACACACACATATAGAGATAGATGCTATGTATCTAGTTGGTAAACTGTATTTTTTGTTTATTTAATACAGTGGGCACTTTCACTTTCAGAGAAAACATTTTTGTCTGAATTAAGACCACATTTTAAAGAAATACTTCAGGCATTATTAGGGAGAGGCAGAGACACCAGTATTGCCGCCAAAGCTGAGAGAAAAGAGACTCTGTATGCAGCCCATCCTGAGTGTCCAAATAAAAATTTTACTTTGTGTTCTTCCCAAAAATGGAAAAATAAATGGGAAAAAGTAGGATTTTAAATTAACCAGTACACTTTGATGTCACCAATTGTTTTGATGTTACCATTGTCAATCAGGCACAACAGAGTCAAATATGTGCAAAACTACTTTTCTTTATTACCATATAATGTTTACATAAAACATTCTTTACCTTTCTCACATATCGGATTCCTCCCTTCCTCTCACTGTATCCAAGCTTCGTTTTTTTCCTCACTCTTTTTGTTGCTGTTGTTGAACTGAGATTTATAGAAATAGCATTTGACTAGAATAAAATGGACATCAATAAACTAAATGCAAATCTACTCTTTGTTCTTCAGGAGATATTTTATTTTTTAAAAGTAAATAACATTTATTAAGGATATCAGAAGAAATAAACTATATTTCTAATTTAATTGTGCAACAATTATGAAATATTCTTCTTGTTTATTCAAGGATGGTGTTATTTTCTTTTAATTTTTTTGACAGTCTTTGAAATTTTTCACTAAATTATCACCTCTTTAACCTCCATTATGGCTTTTCCTCACTTACTTACATTTAAAATTCTAATCTCTATCGAATTTTACCCAGTGAATACCAACAGTGGATTTCTAAATGTTTAGATAATCCACTCTAAATTTCATTTGCAAACAATGAAGAACCGCTTTATCTAAGCAGCTCTGTCAGACAATCACAGTCCTCTTATAAACTAAACAAAAAATGTTTATAATGATGTGTGCTTGTTACTCCACATATACTCTTCAAACTCATTTAAATTAATTACAGTTTTCTAGGACTATTTTTGCAAAGACAAAAAAATGTGAATATTGCTTGGTATTTTAAGTGTTTTTACATTTCCTCAAGCCAAAGACCCTTACACAATGGGTCAGGGGTGGAATGAGGATTTGGAACGGAGCCAGGGCAGTGATGGGGAGATTCTGGTCAAGGATGGGGCAAGTTTGGAAAGGAGGATCTGAAGCTGAAGCCTGTCTACACAATAAGAAGCAGTGAGACTCTTAAGGAGAAATAAGTCTGGGATAGGATACAGGTCAGGGATTGTACAGAGACAGCAGCCATTTAATTACCAGTTAATGTTTTGACAGATGAAGCTGCAGTTTATTTGTTCCCTATGACAAATTGTCGGTGGCACCAATATGGCAGTAGCAGAATGTTGTGTGACACATATTAAAATTACTTTTTAAAAATAGAATAAGATTTCATGTGGTTTTAATGTCATGACTGAATTATGTAATTGGCGAATAAAGTGTAGAAATTTTCTTTTAAGAAAAATGAAAAAAATGCTGTACATGTTGGTAATCAGGGAATTCTTTGGGATGAACAAAAAGTGGAGGTGGGAAAAAAATAATCAAGGGATTTTAACATAAATTTCATGCACTTCTTGAGGACCTATAACTAGGTTCTAGATCAATAAGATGGAAGTAGGTACAGGCACGATGGCTCATGCCTGTAATCGCAGCAATTTGGGAGGCAGAGGCAGGTGGATCACTTGAGGACAGGAGTTCAAGACCAGCCTGGCCAACATGTTGAAATCCTGTCTTTACTAAAAATACAAAAATTAGCCAGGCGTGGTGGTGGCGCCTGTAGTCTCAGCTACTCGGAAGGCTGAGGCAAGGGAATAGCTTGAATCTGGGAGGCGGAGGTTGCAGTGAGCCAAGATTGTGCCATTGCACTCCAGCCTGGGCGACAGAGTGAGACTCCCATCTCAAATAAATAAATAAGTAAATAAGTAAATAAATAAATAAATAATGGAGGTAGCATGATCTTCCCCCCAAAAAAGATGTGCATGCCCCAATCCTGGGAACCTGTGACTATGTGATGTTATGTGAGGCAAAATGGACTTTGTAGATGTGATTAAGCATAGAGACATTACACTGGTGAGACTATCCTGGATTATTCAAATGGGTCCAGTCTCATCACATGTGCTGTTGAGAGCATGACAGAAAAGCAGGTAAGTGTGTCAGAAAGAGGGAGCATGAGAAAGGTTTGAGGCCTTGTTGCTGGTTTGGGGATGTAAAGGAAACTATGTGCATGGACCAAAAAGATGCCTGTGGGAGCTGAGAGTGGTCCATCTGACAGCCAGCAAGGGCACAGACTCAGTCCTACCACTGCATGGATTTTGCTAACACCTGAATGAGCAAGGAGATGGATTCTCCCCAAGGGCCTATAGCAGGGAACACAGCCCTGCTCCCACTGAGGTTTATGTCTGGTGAGACCTTTCCTCTTCTCCCCGCAGAACTGTAACATCATAAATTTGTGTTGTTGTAAGCCACTAAGTGTGTGGTCATTTCTTATGGCAGAAATAGAAAAACAGCACACAATGGTTTCCTAAAATTGCATGCAATATTTTAGAAATTTGTATATCACCATTTTTCTGATGAAAGAGGCTATTTTATGAGTCTTAAGAGTCAATCACACACAAACTCAAGAACTACTGAACTCTTTTATCCTTTCCCATATCATAGCGACAAAAACACCCTCATGCATGGTGAATGCAGAACATTTTTCATGTCTTACATTCAAGTGAGGAAAGTGTTTTGTGACAAACAACGAGATGCAAGAGCACTCAGAATAGTGATCTCCTTTCTGCTGCCTTGCCCTCTGTACCTCTGAGCGAGGTCATCTTGGCTTTCATTTACTCTTTCCTCGGGACTGTGGGGTATTTTGGTTAGTCAGGATGGACTGTAAGTTCCTAGAGGACAGGATCTTTTTTTTTTTAACTCTCAAGAGGCACAGTACTTTGTGATGGTAAGTTTTGAAAATAATATTCACATGATTGAATCAAAAAGGTAAGTTTCTATCTGAAGATAGTGAGCTGGTCTGCATACCATTTGAGATTCTGTCCAGAACTATGATACCGTTTATATATGAAGGTATTCTTTATATGTCTACGTCTTATTTTCTCTACAAAAGGGGAGTTCCCTGGTTTCTGTGGGAAAAAAAAATCTTAGTGCTCTCAGATTAATTTACAAAATGAGAGTGTGGATCATGGGAAAATCATTGGTATAGAAGCTTTGACATTTCTCACTGAACACCTTGGCTCTCTAAGGAATGTTTTCTATTTCAGTATGGCCGAAATCCCTGCAGGCTCCAGTGGAGCATGGCTGAATATTCAGAAATGTAATCAGAAGCTTAGCGATATTTATTAACAAATCATCATGGACCCAACTTTATTTGGATAAGCCCCAAGATTCACAGATAGAAAGAAATCCTAGGGGCTAAAGGACTACATTAAAAATTAAAGAGGAGAAAAAGGAGGAGGGTGAGAACTTAATAGTCTCATGTTTGTTATTGTTTTAGAATGACTTGAAATTGTAGAGTGATTGAATGCTGGCAAACAACACATCAGGAGAAGAGGATGCTAACTGAGAATGACTGCACATGATAACTTGCCTCATGTTTGGTCTTTTAAAAATATCTTCATAGAATATCAGGAATTAATGAAGCTTTGATAAAATGTGCAAAGGTTTCTCAATATAGAGGGACACTGAGCACCCAGACAGATGGAAAATTAGAAAAAAAAAAAGCCTAAAGAAGTTTGAAGCATGGTGAAAAAATAAGAAAATGAGATTCAACTTGAAATAATGTGAAGGAACATCTCTGTAGAAAAATAATCAGAAACAGACATTCAATGGAAGAGAAACAATTGGAAAGCACTCAAATCACAGTAAATTAGATGAAACTGAAATGTTATGAGGATTCAGGGGGAAAAACTAAAAATCATCTGGGTGGCCCATCATATTACGAAGCAAGAAAGTGTACCTGAACTGGAAATCACTTTGAGATAGAGCTCTTTTTCTCTTTTTCTATTTACAAACTCTGAGGAACTGGAAGGAGTTCAAAAAAGAACAGCAAATACAATTAAGAGTCTGGAGGGATTGATTTATATAGTGAGAGGAAAGAAATAAAGTATGCAGTCCTTGGCTAAAGACTTCTAGGAGAACATAATTGTCAAAAGTCTTTAAAGGATTTACGTACTGAGTCAATAGAGGGTGATTTAGTTCAATAAAAGGGAATCCAGGCAGAAACACAGTGAGATGAATGTAAACTCTAATGCTGAAAATATTTTTCTAATTTTGTTAATATGAAAATCTAGGCTGGGTGTGGTGGCCCATGCCTGTAATTTCAACGCTTTGGGAGGCCGAGGCAGGCAGATCACCTGAGGTCAGGAGTTCAAGACCATCCTGGCCAACATGGTGAAACATGTCTCTACTAAAAATACAAAACTTAGTCGGGCATGTTGGCCGGCACCTGTAATTCAGCTACTTGGGAGGCTGAGGCAGGACAATTGCTTGAACCCGGGAGGCAGAGGTTGCAGTGAGCCAAGATCACACCATTGCACTCCAGCCTGAGCAACAGAGCAAGACTGCGCCTCAAAAAAGACAAAAAATAAAAACAAAAGCAAACAAACAAACCAAAAAACACTAAAGTTCTGCCTGGGTTTCTTGGCTTTTTTTGGGTGTTTTCAACCCATTTTGAGACTTCTGTTAAGTGACCCAGGGACTTGTTTGTACCCCTGTCATGTAGTGTCTGCGATGTAGTGTCATTTAAGTCACTATTTTTAAAAGGGAAAGAAGTAATATAAGAAAAAAAAACGTGTATGCAAGAATCTGGGAGACTTTCCCATTGATTACAGCACTAGTAATATTAGTGTCTTGTATTTCCTGAAACAAAGCAGCATGACTAAGAAGTAAAGAAGGGAAGGACTCCACCAGTGACTGCTACTGATAGATACCAAACCAGGACACCAAGAGAAAAGAATTAGAGGTGTATCGGGCATTTCTTTTTCTATGGATTCTTCTTTAACCTGTTCTAGTGCCATAAAAACAAAAGCAAAAAAAACCAAGAAGGTACCAGCATCACTGCAGGACAGGCAATGCTGGCTCTGGTTCAGGGAGTTCTACCAGCAAGAACAGCCAATGTGTCGAGAGAGGAAAGACCCAATTCAAGGGCCAAATCAGGCCAGGTTAGGAGGTAGGAAAAGTAGCCCAGAAAAAAGACTTGTTTACTGATCCTGTCTGAGTGTGTCAACCTGTGTTCTTAGATTATGTCCACTACTGTGCATGGAATCCAAAGCAATGTAAGTTTGGAACTTCTTCCCCCAAGCTTCTTGTTCTTTGAACTGTAATTCTTTTACAAGAGGTTCTCCCTCCTTTACACATACACACACACACACACACACACTTATGCACACTCATAGCTGCAAGCAGAAAAGCATTTAGTGACTGCCTCCTGAATATTATAAACCCAGGTAAAATTTGTCTGCCTTTATCTTTCCTCCAGCTATTAATCAGAACTGGAGATGACTCCGCTAGCTTCTAGCTACACTTGGAAAGCATAAGTTCTCTCCTTTCTGATCTCCAGCACTGGACATACGTGTGCCTCCCTTCCTTCAAAGATGGCCAAACAAAATATCAAACAATAATGTCCCAAGGGCTCTGAAATAGAAGACTGTGAAAACACAGAAGCTATCAGCTTCACAAGTTTGGACAAGGGAAAGAAGGGAATACATAGAAATTAGAAAACCTGGCTGGGCGCGGTGGCTCACGCCTGCAATCCCAGCACTTTGGGCGGCCGAGGCGGGTGGATCACGAGGTCAGGAGATTGAGACCATCCAGGCTAACACGGTGAAACCCCGTCTCTACTAAAAATACAAAAAATTAGCCAGGTGTGGTGGTGGGCACCTGTAGTCCCAGCTACTCAGGAGGCTGAGGCAGGAGAATGGCGGAGGTTGCAGTGAGCCGAGATCGCGCCACTGCGCTCCAGCCCGGGCAACAGAACGAGACTCCATCTCAAAAAAAAAAAAGAAAGAAAGCCTGACTTCAAAATTATATTGGACCCATGAGACACACAAAATAAACACAAGTGGTTAAAATATATATAGCAAAGAGCTAATATTTATCATATGTAAAGATTATTTATAAATCAAAAATAAAAGCCAGAAAACCTCATTAAAAGGGTAGAGAAAGCGCACAAATAGGCAATTCTCAGGATAAGAAACAACTGGCCACTAAGCATTTGAACGCAACTTTAGTCTCACTGATAATATAATAAAAAATAAATTAAAATGAAAATGAGGTATTTTCCATCTATTTGTCAGACACTTTGGGGGATATAATACATTGGTATAATTTTTGCTGGAAATTTAGGATTATGCATTATTTAAAATAAAAAATCATATTTTTACCCAATTTTAATTCCACAAAGTTTCCAATGTAGGAAATCACAGGTGAAAAAATGCTGAAAGATACATGTAAAGGAAGAAGGAAGGTTTATAATAATAGAACATTTAGAAACCATATAAATGCCCACCAAGAATCAATTCATTAAGTAAATTAAGATATACCAGCATGAAGAAATGTTATTCTGCCATTAAGATGAAGGTAGAATAAACAATGTCACAGAAATAAAGCATGTTGTAGAACTTTATGAACAGACGATCCTATTTTGGCAAAATAAAAGTTATTGTCTACAGACCAAAATATGAATAGTAAGCACTGGGAAGTTGTATTAGTCAGGGTCCAACCAGGAAAACAGAAACCTTATGAAATATTTAAAACGGAAGAGATTTCTATAATTATTTACACACAGGTGATAAACATACCATGAAGTCAAAAAAAAAAAAAAAAAAAAAAAGACTTACGAGGCAACCCACAGAATACTAACAGCAAGAAGCCAGTACCACCCACAAGCTGAAGACATTGCTACTGGGATTTAGAGTCTGGGGTTAGTCTGCTGGCAAAAATGGAACCGCAGCATAACTATCTAACACTGTGCTGGAAAAGCCATCCAGGTCAGAGAGAAGAGCAGTATGCTGGCAGAAAATCAAATTCAGGAAGTAGAGGACTAACTTGAGAAAAATGTCAGATGAACTTCACTAAAGGGAGAGGAAATAAAATACGTTACAGACTATAGAGAGGTCCAACTGACAAGTGTTAGTTTTGGCATGAAGATTTCGTTTCATTAGATTGCTGTCAGAATTCATTAAGATGACCCAGAGACATAACTTCAACAATTATTTAAATTTCAAACAAAACTTCTGTATGCATATACAAAGAAGTTATCTGCAAAGATCAAAATTAAGATTTTTTTTTTACAATTTTCCTCCTACAAACCAGCAAATCTCACAAAACAGTGAGTTGAAAAAAGGGGAAACTAAGAAATCGTACCCTAGTTAAATTCATATACCTATGTAAAGAAAAAGATATTCTCATATATGTAAGGTTTTGGGGAAAATACTACAAAAATATGCTTTCTGAAACTAAAACTGCTTGAAAAGATGTACAAAATCATACTGAAGAATCAAATATTAGAACTCACAACAGAAAAATCATTGCAATGAGCTTTGGAACCAGTTACACACAAAGGGATATGTCTTAGAAAAGGTTCAAATAAATTTACCAATCTTTATGCAAAATAGAGAAGAAAAGACAGCAAGAGACAGAGAGAGAAGAAAGAGAAAATTAAGACTTATACATTCCAAAAAGAGATGTGTCTAAAAGGTTAAACGCTAGGTAGATTAACAAAGACGGTTGAAAAGAAAGAGGTCAGTGTAGGTATGGAAATTAAAAGCACAAGTATGGATTCCCTTTACTTTCATAAAGTCTACTCAACATTTGTTTTAGAATTTATTTACATAGTGACGTATTACAACCTTAATTATACTTCAATAAGTCAAATGTAGAGTTTAAAAAATCATATTACTGGAAAGTAGAATAGGAAGAAAACTACACAAACAAAAGTAAATTGTAGAAATCTGTAAGGAAACATCACCAAAATAAAACACTACAGCAGTGCTTGAACTTACCTCCTATGGAAGCCCTTCTGTAATTATAGGAGATTTGGCAGGTATGCAACCCTCAGAGCAAGTTCACAGGATGGAAGTTTCTACCGTGAAGGTGTTTGGAGACCATATACTTATGGTTCCAGAATGTTCTCATGGTTCAGAAGGCTTATGATCACAAAGAAAATAAATGAATTGGTAAAAGAAAAATTGTTTGACACAGGTTGTTCCAACAAATACTTATGAAACTGTCTCCAGCTAGAGAATATTTTTATATTGTAAACTTTATGCACCATAAGGGGAGATGATTTAGATAATTTTATAAGCCTCTGATTAATTTTGTTTAATCCCTTGAATTTTCATAGATTTGGCACAAAGCTTTATGTAGTATGAGACAACTTTGCATCATTATATATGTACATATCCTTTTTAGATTTTAGTGGCCTTTCCAAGATTTTTAAAATGTTGAATAAATCTTCAGTAAACTATGCCTTTTAATATTCTCTATTTTCATATATGTATATTTCATATCTGTAATATATTTACTTGGTTTTGATGAAGCTTTATACTCTTATAAATATCTCAAGAGCAAATAAATGCAAAAGCTAGCAGAAGACAAGAAATAATGAAGATCAGAGAGCAGAACTGAAGGAGATAGAGACACAAAAAACCCTTCAAAAAATCAATGAATCCAGGAGCTGATTTTTTGAAGAGATCAGCAAAATTGACAGACCACTAGCAAGAATAATAAAGAAGAAGAGAGAGAAGAATCAAATAGATGCAATACAAAATGATAAAGGGGATATCACCACCGATACCACAGGAATACAAACTACCATCAGAGAATACTATAAACACCTCTATGCAAATAAACTAGAAAATCTAGAAGAAAAGGATAAATTCCTGGACACATACACCATCCCAATACTAAACCAGGAAGAAGTTGAATCCCTGAATAGACCAATAATAGGCTCTGAAATTGAGGCAATAATTACCAACCAAAAAAAGTCCAGGACTGGACGGATTCACAGCCGAATTCAAACAGAGGTACAAAGAGGAGCTGGTACCATTCCTTCTGAAACTATTCCAATCAATAGAAAAAGAGGGAATCCTCCCTAACTCATTTTAAGAGGCCAGCATCATCCTGATACCAAAGCCTGGTACTGACACAACAACAAAAAAAGAGAATTTTAGACCGATATCCCTGATGAACATTGATGTGAACATCCTCAATAAAATACTGGCAAAATGAATCCAGCAGCACATCAAAATCTTATCCGCCAAGATCAAGTTGGCGTCATCCCTGGGATGCAAGGCTGGTTCAACATACGCAAATCAGTAAACAATATCCATCACATAAACAGAACCAAAGACAAAAAACCACATGATTATCTCAATATATGCAGAAAAGGCCTCCAACAAAATTCAACAGCCCTTCATGCTAAAAACTCTCAATAAACTATGTATTGATGGAATGTATCTCAAAATAATAAGAGCTATTTATGACAAACCCACAGCCAATATCATACTGAATGGGCAAAAACTGGAAGCATTCCTTTTGAAAAAAAAGACAGGGATGCCCTCTCTCACCATTCCTATTCAACATAGTATTGGAAGTTCTGGCCAGGGCAATCAGGCAAGAGAAAGAAATAAAGGGCATTCAATTAGGAAAAGAGGAAGTCAAATTGTCCCTGTTTGCAGATGACATGATTGTATATTTAGAAAGCCCCATTGTCTGAGCCCAAAATATCCTTAAGCTGATAAGCAACTTCAGCAAAGTCTCTGGATACAAAACCAACGTGCAAAAATCACAAGCATTCTTATACACTAATAACAGACAAACAGAGAGCCAAATCATGAGTGAACTCTCATTCACAATTGCTTCAAAGAGAATAAAATACCTAGGAATCCAACTTACAAAGGATGTGAAGGACCACTTCAAGGAGAACTACAAACCACTGCTCAACAAAATAAAAGAGGACACAAACAAATGGAAGAACATTCCATGCTCATGGATAGGAAGAATCAATATCATGAAAATGGCCATACTGCCCAAGGTAATTTATAGATTCAATGCCATCCTCATCAAGCTACCAATGACTTTCTTCACAGAATTGGAAAAAACTACTTTAAAGTTCATATGGGACCAAAAAAGAGCCTGCATTGCCAAGACAATCCTAAGTCAAAAGAACAAAGCTGGATGCATCATGCTACCTGACTTCAAACTATACTACAAGGCTACAGTAACCAAAACAGCATGGTACTGGTACCAAAACAGAGATATAGACCAATGGAACAGAACGGAGACCTCAGAAATAACACCACACATCTACAACCATCTGATCTTTGACAAACCTGACAAAAACAAGAAATGGGGAAAGGATTCCCTATTTAATAAATGGTGCTGGGAAAACTGGCTAGCCATATGTAGAAAGCTGAAACTGGATCCCTTCCTTACACCTTATACAAAAATCAATTCAAGATGGATTAAGGACTTAAATGGTAGACCTAAAACCATAAAAACCCTAGAAGAAAACCTAGGCAATACCATTCAGGACATAGGCATGGGCAAGGACTTCATGACTAAAACACGAAAAGCAATGGCAAAAAAAGCCCAAATAGACAAATAGGATCTAATTAAACTAAAGAGTTTCTGCACAGCAAAAGAAACTACCATCAGAGTGAACAAGCAACCTACAGAATGGGAGAAAATTTTTGCAATCTACTCATCTGACAAAGGGCTAATATCCAGAATCTACAAAAAACTTAAATTTACAAGAAAAAAATCAAACAACCCCATCAAAAAGTGGGCAAAGGACATGAACAGACACTTCTCAAAAGAAGACATTTATGCAGCCAAAAAACACCTGAAAAAATGCTCACCATCACTGGCCATCAGGGAAATGCAAATCAAAACCACAGTGAGATACCATTTCACACCAGTTAGAATGGCAATCATTAAAAAGTCAGGAAACAACAGGTGCTGGAGAGGATGTGGAGAAATAGGAATACTTTTACACTGTTGGTGGGACTGTAAACTAGTTCAACCATTGTGGAAGTCAGTGTGGCGATTTCTCAGGGATCTAGAACTAGAAATACCATTTGACCCAGCCATCCCATTACTGGGTATATACCCAAAGGACTATAAATCATGCTGCTATAAAGACACATGCACACGTATGTTTATTGCGGCACTATTCACAATAGCAAAGACTTGGAAGCAACCCAAATGTCCAACAATGATAGACTGGATTAAGAAAATGTGGCACATATACACCATGGAATACTATGCAGCCATAAAAAATGATGAGTTCATGTCCTTTGTAGGGACATGGATGAAATTGGAAATCATCATTCTCAGTAAACTATTGCAAGAACAAAAAACCAAACACCGCATATTCTCACTCATAGGTGGGAATTGAACAATGAGAACACATGGACACAGGAAGGGGAACATCACACTCTGGGGACTGTTGTGGGGTGGGGGAAGGGGGGAGGGATAGCATTGGGAGATATACCTAATGCTAGATGACGAGTTAGTGGGTGCAGCGCACCAGCATGGCACATGTATACATATGTAACTAACCTGCACATTGCGCACATGTACCCTAAAACTTAAAGTATAATAATAATAAAAAAAATTAAAAAATAAATAAATAAATAAAACAAACAAACAAACAAAAAAACCCCTGCACATTGTGCACGTGTACCCTGGAACTTAAAGTATAATAAAAAAAAAACCTCCACAAATTATATGCAAAGACACACTTATTTTTGTTGACACGCCATGGAGTGAATATTTCTGTCCTTCCAATCTTCATATGTTGAAACTCTAATTTCAATGTGATGGTGTTTGGAGGTGGGCCTGTAGGAGGTAATCAGTTCATGAGGGTAGAGCCCTTATGAATGGAATTAGCGTCACGATTAGAAGAGGCCCAAGAGCTAGTTCAATGTCTTTCTGCCCTGGAACCTGGTTCTCCATAGAATCAGAAGCCTGCAGCCTGCAACCCAGAAGACAGCCCTCACCAGAAGCTGACCTTACTGACACCCTGCTTTCAAACTCCAGCTTCCAAATGGTGAGAAACAAATTTCATTATCAGCCACCCAGTTTATGGCACTTTGTTAGAGTAACTGGAACTAAGACATTGGATATTCCTGAGAAATACTGTTCACTTCTAAATGCTGTTTTAACAATGGAAAGTAAAAGATAAAGATAAATACATTAATTTTGCATCCTAGTTGCTGTAGACATTGTTATATTATTGATTCTTGAGATACTAATGTGCAATTAGTCTCATTTTCTTAGTAATATGTCACTGTTTTTAAAGTAAAAATAAGCATACTGTATGAAATTAAATTTAATATTTTTAAAAGATAAAATGATTTCAATGGCAGCCAAAATTTATTTTATAATATAATAATATTATTTATAATACTGTTTTATAATATTGTTTATAATACTCTAAGATCATATCAAAATCATAGAGAATCCACATGAAATAACATTTGAAATCGCACATTTTGGATAAAATTGCTCCCTAACAAGACAAATCTGGAGTAGAAAACATAAAATATAAAAAAATCATCTAACATAATTGTCTAGCCAATACATTGGCTGAAACAAATAAAATATTTGCTACTAAAATAATAACAAAACTCATTTTGTATCACCTATATTATTTAATATTTGTTTAGAATTTCTGGGCACACATGGTGGCTTATGTCTGCAATCCTAGCACTTTGGGAGGCCAAGGCAGGTGGATCATTAGGTCAGGAGTTTGAGACCAGCATGGCCAACATAATGAAACCCCACCTCTACTAAAAATACAATACTTAGCCGGGCGTGGTGGCAAGTGCCTGTAATCCCAGCTACTCGGGAGGCTAAGGCAGGAGAATTGCTTGAACCTGGGAGGCGGAGGTTGCAGTGAGCCGAGATCACACCACTGCACTCCAGCCCAGGCGACAGAGTGACACTCCATCTCAAAATAAATAAATAAACAAATATTTTAAAATAAAGAATTTTGGTTAATGCCACATGATCACACAAATACACAAACACACACACTTCCAGAAAATATACCAAGTCATGGAATAAAAAAATAGGCACAAACATTGAAAGGAGACAACATCTTTATTATATGTAGTTTAAAAATTTGCATAACATATAGATTCAAGTATTAAATATAGAAAAACCATAAAAATTTAGGCAACATAAAATTGAATATCAATCCTCTGAAGGATAAAATGACTTTTTAGATTTACAAGTTATAAAGAAATAAAAAAGCTATGGTACATTAAATGTAAAAACATATTCTACATTATGCACCCCCATAATAATGTAAAAAACGGGAACACCTAGACTCTCACTATATTTATTTATAGAGGTCATATGAAGGACTAGTAAATACAGGATCCTAATAAACGAGAAAAAGGGAAGCTGATAATTGACAAGTAATTATAACTAGTTTAAAAGCATGAAAAGTTGTTCACCTCTCCTAATCAAAAATGCATATGAAAACAAAATTTTTTGCCTAAGAACTTCGCCTTTTCCCCAACAAAGAGCCATTCTGGTAAAAATAACTTGCAATGAACATTTTAATATGTCATTGGTAAAAGTGCAGATGGATAAACATACATATAGAAAGCAATTTTTATAGAGATACGTAGACTGGATACTTCCGCATTCCGTAAGCACACACATAACCTGAACATATGCCAAAAGTGTAATTGTGGTTATCACTACTTGATGGCCTTCCACAAGGATTATGTCAATTGCCATCTTTATGGTTTTCTGTATTTGCAAATGTGAAAAATTATCGTAGAAAGGACTTTTGAAAATTCAGTTGGGTAACAATACTTTACAGATCTGGGATGCTTTTACCAGAATATGATATATACTCTGAATCAGCAATCAATATACTGGTGCTATTTTGGGATTATGGGTCCAAGAATCAAAAGGTAGAAGCCAGAGTGACTCCTCTCATCATTATCTGTATGATTCACTAACAAGATTTTGTTTGTTTTACCCTCAGTTTTGGGCTTTGCTTCTATAGAGGTCTTGGTTCCCAAAGAAGGAATGTGTTCACCAATGGGTACATCAATGATTCTATTTAAGTAGAAACTGAAATTGCCACCTGGCTACTTGGGGTCCTCACACCACTCAATCAATAACAAAGAAGTTTGGCCGGGGGCGGTGGCTCACGCCTGTAATCCCAGCATTTTGGGAGGCCGAGGCGGGCGGATCACAAGGTCAGGAGATTGAGACCATCCTGGCTAACACAGTGAAACCCCGTCTCTATTAAAAATACAAAAAAAAAAATAGCTGGGCATGGTGGCGGGCGCCTGTAGTCCCAGCTACTCAGGAGGGTGAGGCAGGAGAATGGCGCGAACCCAGGAGGTGGAGCTTGCAGTGAGCTGAGATCGTGCCACTGCACTCCAGCCTGGGTGACAGAGCAAGACTCTGTCTCAAAAACAAAAACAAAAACAAAACAAAAAACAAACAAACAAAATGAAGTTCGACTACTGGCAGAGGTAACGAAATCTGATTATGAAGGAGAAACTGGTTTCTATCATACAATGAGATCAGGGAGAAATTTAGAAGATCCTTTAAGTTCTCACTTAATAGTCCCCATGTCTTAAGGGCCATGAAAAAATATAACAATCCATATTGGTGAATAAGAAATGAAGATATGTTTCACCCTACCAGGTAAGGAACCTAACCACCGGAGGTGTTCGCTAGGGCAAAAGGAATATGGAGTTGGTATGGAAAAAGAAACATAATAGTCAGTTACAACCAACTGACTAGTTGGAAACAAGGGCTGTAGTAGTTGAGTATTTCTTTCTTACTGTGTTTTAAATATGTGTGTATATGAAAGAGTGAATATATTTATCGATTCTTTCTCTAATTTTATCACATTTCCCTCTTCTACTATATAAGATATGTTAATAGTGGTTAAACTTCTCTCTCACTATGTATGTTACCGGATAGCAAAGAGGAATATGACTCAGCTAGAAGAGAAATGTGTATCACACAAAGGTGGATAATGCGACATAGGACTGTGTGCAATCTTTTTTTTTTTCTTTTCTTTCTTTCTTTTTTTTTTTTTTTTGAGACAGAGTCTCGCTCTGTCGCCCAGGCTGGAGTGCAGTGGCACGATCTCGGCTCACTGTAACCTCTGCCTCACAGGTTCAAGCGATTCTCCTGCCTCAGCCTGCTGAGTAGCTGGGATTACAGGCGTGCGCCAGCCACCACGCCCGGCTAATTGTTGTATTTTTAGTAGAGACGGGGTTTCACCATGTTGGTCAGGCTAGTCTCAAACTCCTGATCTTGTGATCCGCCCACCTCGGCATCCCAAAGTGCTGGGATTACAGGCATGAGCCACTGCGCCCAACCTGTGTGCAATCTTTTCTGGAGAGAATGCTATTGTGTTGTTTCGTTGTATAGGTATAATTGCATCATATTAGGCAAAAGCATGATTTTGTTGCTGCCTTTATTTGGAAGTTAAATATGATTGAAAAAGCTCTATGCTAATGTCATACTGAAGAGTTAGACTATGCTGAGTGCCAACTTGATTTAGTTGGAAGGAATGTTCCTCAGCATCCCCTTCTTTATACTGTTCTTTGTTAGAATTGGCCAAAAGAAGAATTTTTGTGATATTTGGTAGGTGCAAGTGAAGCAATGGCCATTATTGTTTGAAGATCATCATGGTTACATGAGGTAAAGGAGAGGCACAGGGTTACCTGGAAAGTTCCAGCTTGTCTTCACTCTCTTCTGCTCTGCGTGGAGGTCTTCATCTTCACTGCTGGCCCTGCTGGCCAACAGTCACTGCAGGCCCATCACCAGACATTTGGCTGCAGGAGCTCAGAGAGAACAGCTGTCTGTAGACTTCTCCAGTCTACCCTTTCTGGTTCCCTTTCAGCAACTAAATGTGCTGGGCTACTCATATTAACAGGTTGGTGATGCCTCTGATCTCCCAACTCCCTAGTTCAACTTTCAGTTCCCCTCCATCCAGCTTCCCCCAACACTGTGTAAAGTCTAATTCCTATAATAACTTTTTTACCCCTTAATTCATACTGGTCTTTCTCTCCTGATGGAAACTTGACAGATACAAGATGGTTTAAAGTTTTATTTTCTTGTGTTGTCTTTCACAAGGTCTATTATAAATGGTGGCTTGACTTTGTAAAAAGAATTTGGAAGATTGAATTCTATTTCATGATCTGGTATTATGAAAATAAAATTGGCATTGTCTTTTGAAGGTTTGACAGAATTCATCATGGTACTGTCTTTAGCAATGTGAGACATTTAAACTTTCAATTTGGTTATTTATATTTTATTTGGTCCTCAGCTTCACCAAGGTTTTCAAATTTTTTTCATAGAATTATATAAAGTAGTATGTCATAATTGACTTTACTCTGTACTTTATTTCTTCGTTACAGTATTTCTACTTTTTTCTTGATTAGGTCGACCTCTCCTATGTTAAATTATCATTGCTTTTCTAATAGAGCCAACTCTTTTTTTTTTTCTTTTGGCAGTACTGTTATCCAGTGCTTGCTGATAAGGCCAACTACTGATTTCGCTTATTAGTCTGTAGAATTTTATTTTATTAGTTTTTTTCTGATTTTATTTATAAATTTATATTTTATTTTTAATAATATAGTCTTTCATAATTGTTTAAGTTGGGTTTTTTCTCTTTTCTAAATCTCTCTTTTAAATTTTTATTCATTTGTATTGTTTTGTTCTTAATGTATATTTAAGATTCTGAATGAGTTCTTCTACTTTTGGATACTTCTTCTACCCATGGGTTACTATATATTGTTATTGCTATTGTTATTTTCTAAATATTTTACATTTGAATTTATTTTTATTCTAAAAATTGTTTTAAGGATTTTTTAAAATTTGAAGTAACAGTGTAGCAATGTTGTTGTTTTCTACATTTGTTATTAATTTCTAATTTCTTTACATCATAAGTTTAAAAGAGTTGAAAAATGTATAGCTGTATTAGGAAAAGAAGATCTAAAGTATACATAATTGAGAAAAAAGAAACGAAATGTATTTATATGTATTCTAGAAGAAAAATTTCTAAACTTAAATGAATTAAATCTGTATGTGAAAGGACACACATATTCTTGGGGAAAATTGTTATGGAGCAATCAATACGCACTGGCAAAATTATTGTATTTTTAAATATGAAGAAAAATACTATCATTAATGAAGAAAAAAATCAGGTAACTTGTAAGGTGTATTCTTTACAACCATAGTCAATGTAAGAAAAAAATCTACAAATTGCTCAGGGAAGGTATTTTGGCTCATATTTTATACAGCTAAGCTGTGGAAACACAGTGACATTATATCCAAAAGTCATGCTTTGGACACAAGTAACAGAAAAATCTAATTTAAATTGTCTGAACTAATAGAGAATATAACTAAAATGTTCACTGATTGGGAACGATCAATCATGATTTAGTCAAAGTTCCAACTCCATTTCTCTAGATTTTCTTCTCTGCTCTTTCTGTGTGTTGACAACATCAACACGCTGGTAGAAGATAGCTAAAAAAAATTCCAGGTCTTATTTCTATACATAAAAAAAAAGTATGGAAAGAAAGATTGCAGGCCAGGTGCGGTGGCTCACGCCTGTAATTCCAACACTTTGAGAGGCCGAAGCGGGCAGATCATGAGGTCAGGAGTTCGAGACCAGCCTGGCCAGCAAGGTGAAACCCCGTCTCTACTAAAAATGAGGAAATTAGCTGGGAATGATGGCGCATGCCTGTAATCCCAGCTACTCGGGACGCTGAGGCAGGAGAATGGCATGAACCCGGGAGGTGGAGGTTGCAGTGATCCAGATTGGGCCACTGCACTCCAGCCTGGGTAACAGAGTGAGACTCCATCTCAAAAAAAAAAAATAAAAATATAAGAAACTATAACTATTACTGCTTCTTCCCTTCCAAGAACTCTTTGAAGCATTTAAACCAATTCACATGTCCAGGTGACGCTATGCACCAATTGGCTCAGCCCTAAGGCTCCTGGACCAATCAGTGGCAGACAGAGGGAATCACAATTTAGACAAATCAAGATAACACCCTCGATCCAGGATTTTGCAGTAGTAAGCACCGAATTCATCAACACGACTCTTCGCTCAGCACAACCTCTAGTACTGAATTTCTTAACTTCTAGCTACTTAATATTCTTAGCTTTTCTATCTCAGAGGAGGGTAGATAAAGATTTCTGAAACATTCTGAAGAAATTTGGAAAAATCGCATTTGGAAAAAAACAAGAAAGGTTTTCTCTTTATTTTTTACAATTTTTTATTTTTTATTTATCTCTCATACCTTTCTGCTGAAGAAATTTTTCTCTTAATTTGAACAATTTCAAACACTTTCAGTGTACCATTTTTGCCTTTGATACTCAACTCTGGACTGAGAACCCTTTTATGAGAGAAAAATTATTTACAGCACATTTATTCTATGGTCTAAAGAAATATATGCCCCCCAATTTAAGTCATTCTTAAAATCAGAAATAGCCAATTGACCATTATTTTAAACCAAAATCCAATTATTTGAAATATGTGGTTCGTGTATTTTTCTAGAATTACACTTTTATTGTTTTCCAAGAGATTTTATAATCTAAGTAAAACTTTTATGAAGATGCAAAGTTATAAACTCAATGTAACACATGAATCATCCCATTATGCTAAACTGTGATAGCTAATCCTCCACTGGAAACGTTCCAGGAAGAGCTTGATCTTCCCTTCTTAAATCATGATCCTCAGATTTAGAGAATTTAAGGGCACTGGAGTTGAGTAACAACAGTGGAATAGAAGATACTTTGATGGCAGTCGAACTAAATGTTTTTTAGCTGTTTCATAAAAAAGAAACTCTGGGGATTTCCTACTAGTGAGAGAATAACCAGAAGGTCAACTCTGTTGTTATAAGAGGTCAAAAATTATTCCTAAAGTTGTCTAAAGCTATGATTGTTTCTCAGAAATAGAAGATATGAATATGGGAAGACATTCTAATAGATATTTAAATGCCCAAGGCCGTTTGGCAGAAAAATTTGAACTTTTACTTAAAAATAAGGAAAATTACCCTTATAATAAGATTTCTACGCTATGGGTCACTTTTTCACAAACACCTCCAAATTCTTTAAAATGCGAATTAAATCATGCCTTATTTGGCAATGCTGTAATTTAATATTACTTTACATGCATTTTGAGAGAAGGTTAAATTGAATATGGGGAAAGTTCCAGGTACTTTATGAAAAAAAAATATTCAAAATCCTAGATTCCTAACCTGTGAAGCATTGAGCTATGCTGTTAGGTGAATTAACTTATGGAAGTAACCAGTGAAACTTGGTTTTAAATTACTTCTCTGTCAGTCACTAGTTGTGCATATTTGGAAAGTGACTTGATCTCTCTCAGCCTCAATTTTCTTAACTATAAAATGGGCATATTAAGACCTACTATTTGAATTTGATAAAAGTTAATTCATTGATAAGGCAGCAATTATATTTTAGTTAGCCATATAATTAATTATAATTTAATTAGCCATATAAAATACCTTAAATCCATTCCAAAACAAGATGTGAAACACATTTAAAATTTTAAAAATCAAAACCTAGTAGAAGTATGTCCTATGCTTGTAGAGGCACCCACTAAAGATATTATGCTGATAAGATTACATTTAAAGTGTTCATGTGAGTGGTCAGAAAGTGCATGCTCTCTTCGGAAGAAGTATATCCTATACTTCTACTAATTTCAATTCACCTACAGTGGTTTTTCTGAACCTTGGATGCACATTGGATTCACATAAGGAAATTTTAAAGTTACTAATGTGTGGGTTACAGCCCTGAAATTTTAAATTTAGTTGCCTGCGTATGATGTAGACGCCAGGATTTTTAAGGATTGACTTAAAAGATAGAGATTAATATTAATCTGTGACTTCAATTTAGGTTGAAGTTAAGTCAAGCACAAGAAAAAACAAAAAATTATCAAGAATAAAGCCCACATTAAAAAGGGAGGAGTGAATAATATAGAGGTAGATTTCAGCTGATGCAATGGACCCGGCCCTCTTTTCCTCTCACTGTGTGTACCCCCTGGGTAATCTCATCTTCACCAGGCCCTTGATTCTACCTGTATGCTGATGAATCCAAGCTGCCACCTGCCCAGACATCACTCCCAATCTCCCACTGTATTTGTGACAACTGATTATACATACCCAAATCGCTTCAGAACCATTACCACCAAAACTAGATTCACCCTTTTCTCCTTAAAATCATTTCTTCCCCCTCTAATTACTCTACCTGCTGTGGTCACTTCAAAAATACTGGGGGACTCCCCACCCAAAATTTTTGCAGATGATGCCACACTTGCAAATAGTTTCCTTTGCAAATTATTGTCATTTGCAAACAGACAATAAACTGCAGGATACAACACAATGAATTTCAACTAAGCCAAGCGAGTATTATTACTCACATAATGAGGTTTTATGAGGAGGGCAGAGAAACTCCCAGTCAGGTCCAACAATGGCTTGAAAGAACACGGAAAGGAGACTGCTTTGATTTTTAATGAGATTAAAAGGTGGGGTTTGGGTGCAGGTTGTCTCATACTGGTGGGGTCTTGAAAGATTTGAACTTTCTGGCATCCTAAAGGAGGAAGGGAGCACCTAGGTTTCTTACCAGCTTTCAAGTGTTGGCAGAAGGGTAAGGAGAGTGTGGGGCTTGAAAGCTCTCAGCACTCAATCAGGGTGAATTGTAATGAAGATTCTGACTCCCCTTTTGATGTGAATTTAGAAGAGAGCATGCACTTTCTGACCACTCACATTAACACTTTAAATGTAATCTTGTCAGCATAATATCTTTAGTGGATGCCGCTGTTATTCTATACATTATAAATTAACTTGTGTTATTCCTAAGAATAAATGCAGTGTAATAGTTCTATTGAATATGTGGACATTGGGGATCATTTGCAGGCATAAATAAATAAATACTGGGCCTATAGTAAAAGGTCCACACAGTAAAAGAAAATAAGTTAAACTAACATAAACTTTTACCTTTAACAGTGGTAGAAGTTCTGTCCCAATGTAGATATAAGAAATATCCTCAATGGATTCCATATTCAGCAAGATGCCAAGCTTGGCTAACAGGAAACCCTCCAACTGCAAACACCTAGCAATTCTACATAAAATGTTACATGTTTCATGAATAGCTTTGCTAGAGGAAGAAGAGAGTAATCTCCAGATACCATGAAGAGGCAAGCAAAAGAAACCCAGTCTGGGGGAGGTAAGAACTTAGTGATGATAGCCGACTCTCCATGCCACAGGTCCTTTCAGGTCTTCTGCTCTTACTTAAAAACTATTTTAATCCTTAAAACAACTCTGTGAGCTAAGCATTATTGTTATTCCAGTTTTCGAATGTGAAACTGAGGTGCAGAGATGTTACATAACTTGCTCAAGATCACACAAGCTGTAAATGGCAGACATGGAATTAAAACCTAGACAATCTGGCACTTGAGTGAATAAGCTTAGCCAGTTCATAGACTAGAATTCCATGAGTTTGAGATAATATAACAATGATCTGAAAGGTTAACAGTGTTTAAGGAGACTAAAAAAAAAAAAAAGAGCAAAATAGTAAAATAAGCATATAGAATATAAAATATATAAACATAAATCAACTATATAAAGGATATAGAAATAAATAAAGTAGTATAATATATGAATGTATATATATAATTATATATTTTATATATAATCATATATAAAATCATACACTTATATAAATATATATTATTTATATGTAATATAAAATATGTATAAAATATATAAATAAGTTTATAAAGTATATAAAAACATAAAATAGTGTATTTATATTACACTGTAAATATTTTACTAATATATTTTTATTATTTCCCTGAGCTTTTCTGTTATTGTCAATTTTTTTTTCATTTTACTGTGCTATCACTGAATTTTCAAAAGCTTACTTCTCTTATAATTTGAAAAAAATTCTCACTAACAAAAGACTTCGTTTTACTAAAAGTCACTGTGTGGAGGGGTTTATATATATATGTATACACACACACCATATATATATAAACCATATAGATATATAATCATATATATAAACCATATAGATATATAAGCCATATATATACATACACACATTAGATAGATAGATTGATTAGATAGATAGATCAATCGATCGATCGATCAATCGATAATACTACACTGTACAGTCATCATCATGAACTTGGTTGCTTTTCCTGGTCTGAAATAGTCATTTCCCTTCTTAATGGTCACAAACAGAAAAATAATCAGCATTCCTAATCCCTGTGGGAGTATTTTCACAAAAGGTCATACATACATATTGAAATAATTTTAAAAATGAAAATCAGAGTGATCATTGAAAACACTGAAGACTCCAAAGTTTGACATTTTTCTCATCATAGATTACACATACAGTACTAACATTTTTTAGGTCACTAAACATGACTAATATGTTTTGAATAATCCTTATTATTTTCTCCAATTTACTGTTTCTTTTAATAAATTCAACTGAATTATTTTCATCTGAGCAAATTCTCTCTGATTTTTCAGGACTTCTTTTCTCCTAACACCCCCAAACAGCATTCAATCAGCCTCATATTCTATTAAAATGGGCCTTTTAATGAGAAATCGATATGCATGGATTACTGATTTTGTACCAGACATTTTATATATATTGCTATAAGAAGTCAGGTCTCGAAGAGATCAATTAGCTTGCTGAAGGATTCTTTATGAGTGGACCTAAGGACCTAAGGGTCTGTGTAACCATAAACTCAAGCTCTTCAGCAGGTAAGCGACCTTCTGAGATAATAATGGAGGAAGGAGGGAGGCATTCCAGTGACATTTGGAAGAAAGAATCTCTTCCTCCTTTGAATGCCCAGAGCACTTTACCGATAGATATTTATTTATTTTTTCATTTTTTTAAATAATGTCAACTTTTATTTTAGATTCAGGGGGGTACATGTGCAGGTTTGTTACATGGGTATATTTCATGATGGTGGGGTTGGGGCGGGATTAATCCCATCACCCAGGTAGTGAGCATAGTACCTAATAGTTAGCTTTTCAAGCCTTTCCTCACCCCACCACCCCTTCTAGAAGTCCCCAGTGTTTATTGTCCTATCATTATTTAAATCCTCTTGTTTCTCCTAACAAATATTAATTTTAATCATAATAAAAATCTCTACCATTATTGAGTTCTTACTTTGCTCCTGAGCTCTTTTGAAAGGGCATTGCATGCATTCATACATTTAATTTGTATAACACATTTATGAGGTTGCTCCTATTATAAGCTTTAGTTTATCAATTTATCAACGGAGAAGAAAAAGATTAAGTGACTTGCCATGATCATACCTGGCACATAGCAACAATGTTACCACGATTTCCTAAAGATATCTATGAACAAATAAACACTTTTATACATATCAATATTACTTTATTAGAAAGTAGAAAAGTCTCCTCTAAATTGCAAGTGTGTGATGCCAGGAGTTTGAGACCAGCCTTGTCAACATGGCAAAAACCCCGTTTCTACTAAAAATACAAAAATTAGCCGGGCATGGTGGCACGTGCCACCGGCTACTCAGGAGACTGAGGCAGCAGAATCGCTTCCACCCGGGAGGTGGAGGATGCAATGATCAGAGATCTTACCACTGCACTCCAGCCTCGGTGACAGGAGGAGACTCTGCCTCAAAAATAATAAATAAATAAATAGCAAGTGTGTTATCTGATATATTTTATATCCTCATAGTTTCCTGATTTTTTTCAAAGTTGATAGCAATAAGGTTATTGAGGGAAAGAACTTTTTGGTAATGATTCTAAAATGTGAGGTAGTGAAGAGCTGAGAAGAGTCGTGTCAATTCTTATTAGCAGCAAATAACACTTTTCATTTACCCATTTGTTTCTTACCCCCTTTCAATTTCTTTATAGTATGACTCTAATCAGTTTCATTTTCAAGTCTCTAGGAATGTTTTGAGTATTTTCTTGGCCTCCCATGATGCTGCATCCTTGTCCTTAAAATTGTCAGATTGATTATTGAAGGGTAGGGAGGACGGCTCACCAGCCTGAGATGGCAATCTGAACTAGGGACTTATTTAAGATTAGAGTTTGAGGCTCCTGGAACCCTGCATTTCCTACTATTAACATAAATTAGCCTCAAAAAAGTAAAACGATCCCCAAACCTATGAATTACTTTATTTTTTCCCGTGGCTGAGGAATTGAGTCGAGGATTATTTTATGAAATAATTTTTATAAAGTAAAATAATCAGACTTCAAGGATCACAATTTAGTAATTAAAGGACTGAAAGCAGAATGAGCAAGTCCAGAGATCTAAGGTACAACATGAGGACTATAGGGAATAACATTTTACTGTATTTGGGGTTCATGTTAAATTAGTAGATTTTAGCTGCTCTTGCCACAAAAACAAAAAAAAAGTGGGTAATTATGTGAGATGATGGATATCTTAATTCGTTTCACTATAATAACCTTTTTATTGTCTATTTGTATCTTATAAGTATACCTTGGCCGGGCACGGTGGCTCACGCCTGTAATCCCAGCACTTTGGGAGGCCGAGGTGGGTGGATCACGAGGTCAGGTGTTCCAGACCAGCCTGGCCAACATGGCAAAACCCCGTCTCTACTAAAAATACAAAAATTAGCTGGGCGTGGTGGCGGGTGCTTGTAATCCCAGCCACTCAGGAGGCTGAGGCAGGAGATCCCTTGAACTCGGGAGGCGGAGGTTGCAGTGAGCCGAGATCATGCCATTGCACTCCAACCTGGGCGACAAGAGCAAGACTCCATCTCAACATAATAATAATAATAATAATAATAATTATTATTATTATTATTATTATACCTTAAATATATACAACAAAATTTATTTGGAAAAAAAAGAAAAGAAATACAGGCTTAAATGGGAAAATCAGAGATTGCTAAGAAGGCACCAATGAATTACCTTAGCACAGCTTTTATTCTTTCCATCCTGTTTTTCAGATTCCAGTGACTTCTCTTCCTTCTGTACGTTTCCTCAAACTCGGTGTCCTTTAAACAAACAAAAAATAAGTGTGCTCTGGTGTGTTCCTTTTAAGTTATTCTAACTTTATTTGATGCAATCCAAATGCACATGTTATTGAGCACGCAGGAAGCTATTCTTTAAATAAGCAATAATGAAGTTCAAAAATATTAAGAACACCCACAAAAGTGTCTCACATCCACTTCCTGGCAAAAAGTAAGATAATTAAGCCAACTAGTGTTTACTCAATGAAGTACACTGATAAGAAAGACATGCGTGTACAAGATAATAAAAGAGAAAGTATAATTTTAAATTGTGTGATTACTAAAGATCATATTTAATATTGTTACAGGAGAATTTCAGTCATTTGTATATAATTAATTAATAGGTGGTCTACAAATATTGTATAAATGTTCAATTATGACACATTGATATTGTTCCAGGGACCCTGATATTTTTCCATTTAGCTTGGAACAGAAATTTATAATGACATTGATATATATGTATTACAGTAACTTTACATTTGAGTGCACATTTATAGACGAAGTCTGTAATTCATTAGGAAATAATTTGAGAGTACAAAAACTCTGAAACGTTTATTTTTATGAAGTGAAATGACTGTAATTAACATTTCTATTTCTTGCAAGCAGGCCACAGTTTACCATAAATGTGAGATGTTCTCTGGTGAGCATGATTCATATCCTACATCATGGCAAACTTTTTTTCAGACAGTCATTAAGGATGTGAATCAGGGCTATTAGCAGTTACGTCATTCTGTCCTCTCAAAATTGGGTTGAGAGATAGTGGGGGCAGGTTAAGAATGTTATCAAATGTATTAGTCTGAAGGAAAAGACCAAAGGAACCTAAATATTTTTATCATTCATAATTTTCCTGCTTAGCATTACGATACATCTTAATTTGCCTTTCTCCTCTCCCCCCTATTTTCTTTCCTATTTTCTTCTTGTGTGTTTTATCTTTTCCAAGTTGAAACTAGAATTGTATTGGGAGAACCCAAATTTCAAAAAATTAGTGATTGACATAATTGAAAGTACGTAATGAAGTACTGTTTATTTGTATTTTAGAAAACCTATTTAAACTAATTGTTTAAAGAGGTTGAAATATATTGTTACCAGTTTTTCATTACATCCCATTACCTTAAATACTTTATCACTTTTTCTTCTATATCAAAATATCTGCCTTCTCCTCCCTTCCCACAAATAGAAAATCGGGAAATAAAAATCCAAAGTTCCCAGTATCATGTGTAACTTTTCTTTCATAACAAAGCTTTTAAATATGGTGATAAATTAGTCAAATAATAAATTATTAACTCTAATTTTAAAATAAAAATATTATAAGATAAATTTATGTTGCTTAAATACATAGCAGATGATTAATATATAATGCTTCCAATTTAATGTGATATTATGCTTGTAATACAAAATTTTCATTTCATTTTAAAAGATAAACTGTGGGATTTACATTTCTACAGTAAAAACAATTGATAAGTTTACATTTTAGTTTTTAAAATATAGGTATGTGTAAGCTTTATACTGATTTAAACTTTTAAAGTGTACATTTTTAAAAAGTATATTATAATCTTTTTTTATAAAACCATGAAAATAACTTTTCTCCTGCCCTATGTATTTTATTATCATTATTATTAGTGTTAAGAATACTTACATAAGACCTATCCACTTAGCAAATTTTTAATTATACATTACAGTATTATTAACTATAGGCACTCACTATGCTGTACAGTAGATCTCTAGGACTTAGTCATCTCTGCAACTGAAGTTTTGAAGTCTTTGACTAATACCTCTCATTTCTTACCTCCCCTCATCACCGGCCCTTAACAAGCACCATTCTACTATTTGCCTCTTTGAGTTTGACTCTTTTAAATTCCTCATCTCAGTGGTATCACGTAGTATTTGTTCTCCTATGTCTGGCTTATTTCACTTAGCATATTGTCCTCCAAGTTCATGTATGTTCTGGCAAATGTCAGGATTTCCTTTTATTTTTAAGGCTGAATAATATTCTATTGTGTATATCTACATATCACATTTTCTTTATCCGTTCATTCACTGATGGACATTTAGGTTACTTCCATGTCTTGGTTGTTGTGAATAATGCTGCAATGAACATGGGGTTGCAAACATCTCTTTAGGATCTTGAATGTAATATTTTTAAATATATACTCAGCAGTAGGATTGCCGAATCAGACAATCAACCACAATTGTCTAGTTTTATTTTAGTTGCCTTTGTTTTTAGTATTATATTCAACAAATCATTGCCAAGAACAATGTCAAGAAGATTTTCCACTATGTTTTCTTCTACAAATTTTATGGTTTCAGGTTTTACATATAGGTATTTAAACCATTTGAGTTAATTTTTGTGTATAGTGTAAGATAAGGGTCTGATTTCATTTTAACTATATAACTTTAAATGTGTATGTGTGTGTGTTTCTGAGATTTCTATTCTGCTCATTGGTTTATATGTCTGTTTTTATGCTAGTATTTTTAATTTTTTGAGGAACTTTCATACTACTTTCCATAGAGGCTGTACAAGTTTACATTTCCACCAACAGTGTACGAGGGTTCCCTTTTCTCCGTATTCTCGCCAATATTTATTGTTTGATTTTTGATAATAGCCATGCTAACTGGTGCAAGGTGATATGCCACTGTGGCTTTAATTTGCATTTCCCTGATGACGAGTGATGTTGAGCACTTTTTCATATATCTGTTTGCCATTTCAATGTCTTCTTTGGAGTAATGTTTATTCAGGTCCCTTGCCTATTTTTTCACAGGATTATTATTATAATTTGCTATTTAGTTGTAGGAGTTTTCTATGTATTTTGGATATTAACCCTTAATCAGATACACAGTTTGCAAATACTTCTTACATGCCACAGATTGCCTTTTCATTTTGTTGGTGGTTTCCCTTGCCATGCAGAAGCCGTAAGTTTGATATAGTCACAATTATCTAGTTTTATTTTAGTTGCTTTTGATTTTAGTATTATACTTAAGAAATCATTGCCAAGAACAATGTCAAGAAGATTTTCCACTATGTTTTCTTCTATAAATTTTATGGTTTCAGGTTTTACATATAGGCATTTAAACCATTTGAGTTAATTTTTGTGTATGGTGTAAGATAAAGGTCTGATTTCATTTAACCATATAACTTTAAAAGTGTATGAGGGTGTGTTTCTGATATTTCTATTCTGCTTATTGGGTTATATGTCTGTTTTTATACCAGTACCATTTTGTTTGGATTACTGTAGCTTTGTAATATATTTTACATTTTATATTATTTTGAAATCAAGAAGTAGGATGCCTCCAGTTTTATTTCTCTTGTTCAAGATTACCTTGGCTGCTGTTCAGGATCTTTTGTGATTCAGTATGAATCTTAGAATTGTTATTTCAATTTCTGTAAAAAATGCCATTGGGATTTTGAGAGACACTGCATTCAATCTGTAGATCAGATTGGGTACTATGGACATTTTACCAATATTAATTCTTCCAATCTATGAACATGGGAAGTCTTTCTAGCTTTAATTTCTTTCATTAGTGTTTTATAGTTTTCAGTATACAAACCTCTACCTCATTGGTTAAGTTTATTCCTAGATATTTTATTTTATTTTATTTTGTGCTAAGAAAATGAGATTTTTTTTTTTTTTCTAAAAAGACAAGGTCTCGTTCTGTTGCTCAGGCTGGAGTGCAGTGGCATGATCATGGCTCACTGCAGCCTTGACATCCCAGATTCAAGTGATCCTCTCACTTCAGCCTCCTGAGTAGCTGGGACTACAGGAGCACGACTACACCTAGTTAATTTTTGTTTTTTAATAGAGATAAAGTTTCACTGTATTGCCCAGACTGGCTTCGAATTTCTTAGCTCGAGGGATTTTCCTGGATCCACCTCTGCCTCCGCCTCCTAAAGTGCTGAGATTATAGTCATGAGCCACTACACCCAGCCAAGATTATTATTTTCTTAATTTCCTTTTTGGATAGTTTGTTGTTTATATATATATATATATATATATATATATATATATATATATATATATATATATATATGCATATGAATCAAGAAGAAATAGAAAGCATGAATCTAGCAGTAAAAGGAATTAGTAATCTAAATTTTCTTTTTTACATTTATTTTATTATTTTTTATTTTATTTTTATTTATTTCTTCTAATAAAAAAATGGGATACATGTGCAGAGAATGCAGGTTTGTTGCATAGGTATATGTGTGGCATGGTGGTTTGCTGACCTATTGACCCGTCCTCTAAGTTTCTTCCCCTCACCCGCTGACCCCCAAACAGGCCCTGGTGTGTGTTATTCCCATCTCTATGTCCATGTGTTCTTAATGTTCAACTCCCACTTATGAGTGAGAAAATGTGGTATTTGGTTTTCTGTTCCTGTGTTAGTTTACTGAGGATGATGGTTTCCTTCTTCATCCATGGCCCTGCAAAGGACATGATCTCATTCCTTTTTATGGCTGCATAAGTATTCCATGGTGTATATGTACCACATTTCCTTTATCCAATCTATCATTGATGGCATTTGGGTTGGTTCCAAGTCTTTGTTATTGTAAATAGTGCTGCAGTAAACATGTGTATTTACAGTAGAATGACTTATAATCATTTGGGTAATGGGATTGCTGGGTCAAATGGTATTTCTGGTTCTAGATCCTTGAAGAACTGCTATACTGTCTTCCACAATGGTTGAACTAATTTACATTCCCACCAACAATATAAAAGCATTTCTATTTCTCCACAGATTCACCAACATCTGTTGTTTCCTGACTTTTTACTAATCGTCATTCTGATTGGTGTGAGATGGTATCTCATTGTGGTTTTGATTTGCGTTTCTCTGATGATCAGTGATGTTGAGCTTTTTTTCATGTTTGTTAGCCACGTAAAAGTCTTCTTTTGAGAAGTGTCTGTTCATATCCTTTGCCCACTTTTTGATGGAGTTGGTTTTTTTTGAAAATATGTTTGGCCAAGTGCGGTGGCTCATGCCTGTAATCCCAGCACTTTGGGAGGCCGAGGCAGGCGGATCACGAGGTCAGGAGATCAAGACCATCCTGGCTAACACAGTGAAACTCTGTCTCTACTAAAAATACAAAAAATTAGCCGGGCGTGGTGGTGGGCACCTGTAGTCCCAGCTACTCAGGAGGTTGAGGCAGGAGAATGGCGTGAACCCAGGAGGCGGAGCTTGCAGTGAGCTGAGATTGTGCCACTGCACTCCAGCCTGGGTGACAGAGTGAGACTCCATCTCAAAAAAAAAGAAAGAAAAGAAAAAAGAAAAAAAAATATTTAAGTTCCTTGTAAATTCTGGATATTAGACCTTTGGATAGATTGCAAAAATTTTCTCCTGTTCTGTAGGTTTCCTGTTCACTCTGATGATAGTTTCTTTTGCTATGCAGAAGACCTTTAGTTTAATTAGATCCTATTAGTCAATTTTGACTTTTGCTGCAATTGCTTTTGGCATTTTTGTCATGAAAGTCTTTGCCCATGACTATGTCCTGAGTGATATTGCCTAGGTTTTCCTTGAGGGATTTTATGGCTTTAGGTTTTACGTTTAAGTCTTTAATCCATCTTGAGTTAATTTTTGTATAAGGTGTAAGGAAGGGGTTCCATTTCTGTTTTCTGCATATGACTAGCCATTTTTCCCAGCATCATTTACTGAATAGGAGATTCTTTCCCCATTGCTTGTTTTTGTCAGGTTTGTCAAAGATCAGTTGATTCTAGATGTGTTGTATTATTTCTGAGGTCTCTGTTCTGCTCCATTGGTCTATATGTCTGTTTTCGTACCAGTGCCATGCTGTTTTGGTTCCTGTAGCCTTGTAATATAGTTTCATATCAGGTAACGTGATGCCTCCAGCTTTGTTCTTTTTGTGTAGGATTGTCTTGGATATACAGGGTCTTCTTTGATTCCATATGAAATTTAAAATAGCTTTTTCTAATTCTGAGAAGAATGTCAATGCTTCAATGCTTGATGGAAATAACATTGAACCTAAATTACTTTGGGCAATATGGCCATTTTCATGATATTGATTCTTCCTATCCATGAGGATGGAGTGCTTTTCCATTTGTTCGTGTCCTCTCTTATTTCCTTGAGCAGTGGTTTGTTGTTCTCCTTGAAGAGGTCCTTCACATCCTTTGTTAGCTGTATTCCTAGGTATTTTATCCTCTTTGTAGTGATTTTGAATGGGAGTTCATTCATGACTTGGCTCTCTGCTTGCCTACTACTGGTGTAAAGGAATGCTTGCTATTTTTCTACACTAATTTTGTATCCTGAGACTTTGCTGAAGTTGCTTATAGTTCAAGAAGCTTTTGGGCTGAGATAATGGGGTTTTCTAAATCTAAAACCATGACATCTGCAAACAGAGACAACTTGACTTCCTCTCTTCTTATTTGGTTACCCTTTATTTCTTTCTCTTGCCTGATTGCCCTGGCCAGAATTTCCAGTACAATCTTGAATAAGAGTGGTGAGAGAGGGCAACCTTGTCTTGTACTGGTTCTCAAAGGGAATGCTTCCAGCTTTTGCCCACTCAATAGGCTGTAGGCTTTTCATAAATAGCTCTTATTATTTTGAGATATGTTCCATCAATACCTAGTTTATTGAGAGTTTTTGACATGAAGGGATGTTGAATTTTATCAAAGGCCTTTTCTGCATCTATTGAGATAATCATGTGGTTTTTGTCTTTGGTTCTGTTTCAGTGATGGATTATGTTTATTGATTTGCGTATGTTGGACCAGCCTTGCATCCTAGGGATGAAGCCAACTTGATCGTGGTGGCTAAGTTTTTTGATATGCTGCTGGATTCAGTTTGCCAGTATTTTATTGAGGATTTTTGCATCAATGTTCTTCAGGGATATTGGCCTGAAATTTTATTTTTTTATTGTGTCTCTTCCTGGTTTTGTTATCAGGATGATGCTAGCTTCATATAATGAGTTAGGGAGGAGTCCCTCCTTTTCAGTTGTTTGGAATAGTTTCAGAAGGAATGGTACCAGCTCCTCTTTGTATTTCTGGTAGAATTCAGCTGTGAATCTGTCTGGTCCTGGGCTTTTTTTGGTTGGAAGGGTATTAATTATTGTCTCAATTTCAGAGCTTGTTATTGTCCTATTCAGGGATTCAGCTTATTCCTGATTTGGTCTTGATAGGGTGTATGCATCGAGGAACTTATCCATTTCTTCTAGGTTTTCTACTTTCTTTGTGTAGAGATGTTTACAGTATTCTCTGATGGTAGTTTGTATTTCTGTAGGAGCAGTGGTGATAGCCCCTTTGTCATTTTTTATTGTGTCTATTTCATTCATCTCTCTCTCCTTCTTTATTAGTCTAGTGGTCTATCTATTTTGTTATTTTTTTCAAAAAACCAGCCCCTGGATTTGTTGATTTTTTGGAGTGTTTTGCGTGTGTGTGTGTGTGTGTGTGTGCGCGCCTCTATCTCCTTCAATTCTTCTCTGATCTTTGTTATTTCTTGTCTTCTGCTAGCTTTTGGATAAGTTTGCTCTTGCCTCTCTAGCTCTTTTAATTGTGATGTTTCATTGTGATGTTGATTTCAGATCTTTCCAGCTTTCTGATGTGGGCATTTAGTGCTATAAATTTCCCTCTTACACTGCTTTAGCTGTGTCCCAGAGATTCTGGTAGGTTGTCTCTTTGTTCTCATTGGTTTCAAAGAACTTATTGATTTCTTCCTTACTTTTATTATTTATCCAGGAGTAATTCAGGAGCAGGTTGTTCAATTTCCATGAAATTGTGTGGTTTTGAGTTAGTTTCCTAATCCTGAGTTCTAATTTGATTGCACTGTGGTGTGAGAGACTGTTATTAGTTCAGTTCTTTTCCATTTGCTGAGGAGTGTTTTACTTCCTATTATGTGGTCGATTTTAGAATCAGTGCCATGTGGCACTGAGAAGAATGTGTATTCTGTTGATTTGGGGTAGAGAGTTGTGTAGACATCTACTAGGTCTATTTTATCCAGAGCTGAGTTCAAGTCCTAAATATCCTTGTTAATTTTCTGTCTCATTGATCTGTCTAATACTGACAGTTTGGTGTTAAAGTCTCCCACTATTATTGTGTGGGAGTCTAAGTCTCTTTGTAGGTCTGTCTCTTTTCAGACTGAGTCTCACTCTGTTGCCCAGGCTGGAGTGCAGTGCCCCAGTCTCAGCTCACTCCAACCTCTGCCTCCTGGGTTCAAGCAATTCTCTTGCCCCAGCTTCCTAAGAAGCTGAGATTACAGGTATGTGCCACCACACCTGGCTAATTTTTTGTATTTTTAGTAGAGGCAGGTTTTCACCATGTTTGCTAGGCTGGTCTCGAACTCCTTACCTCGGGTGATTCACCCTCCTCGCCCTCCTAAAGTGCTGGGATTATAGATGTGAGCCACCATGCCCGGCCTCTTTATAGGTCTCTAAGTACTTGTTTTTTGAATCTGGATGCTCCTTTGTTGGGTGCATATATACTTAGAATAGTTAGCTCTTCTTGTTGAATTGTTCTCTTTACTATTCTGTAATGCCCTTCTTTGTCTTTTTTGATCTTTGTTGGTTTAAAGTCTGTTTTGTCAGACACTAGGATTGCAACCCCTGCTATTTTTTGCTTTCCATTTGCTTGGTAAATTTTCCTTCATCCCTCTATTTTGAACCTGTGTGTGCCTTTGCATGTAAGATGGATCTCCTGAATACAGAGCACTGATGGGTCTTGACTTCTTATCCAATTCACCAGTCTGTGTCTTTTAATTGGGGCATTTAGCCCATTTACACTTAAGGTTTGTATTGTTATGTGTGCATTTGATCCTGTCATCATGATGCTATTTGGCTATTTTGCACATTAGTTGATGCAGTTTCTTCGTAGTTTTTATATTTTGGTGTGCTCTTCATGATCTATATTTTGGTGTGTAGTCATTGGTCTTTATATTTTGGTGTGTTTTTGCAGTGGTTGGTACAGGTTTTTCCTTTCCATATTTAGTGCTTCTTTCAGGAGCTCTTGCAGGGGAGGCCTGGTGGTAATGAAATCCTTCAGCATTTGCTTGTCTGGAAAGGATTTTATTTCTCCTTTGCTTATGAAGCTTAGTTTGGCTGGATATGAGATTCTGGGTTGAAAATTTTTTTCTTTAAGAATGTTGAGTATTGGCCCCCACTCTCTTCTTAGACTTTCTGCTAAGAGGTCTGCTGTTAGTCTGATGGGCTTCCCTTTGTAAGTGACCTGGCCTTTCTCTCTGGCTGCCCTTAACAGTTTTTCCTTCATTTCAACCTTGGAGAATCTGATGATTATGTGTCTTGGGGTTGATCTTCTCGTGGAGTATCTTAATGATGTTCTCTGTATTCCCCGAATTTTCATGTTGGCCTGTCTTGCTGGGTTGGGGAAGTTCTCCTGGGTAATATCGTGAAGTGTGTTTTCCAGCTCGTTTCCATTCTCCCCGTCTCCTTCAGGTACTCCAATCAATTGTAGGTTTGGTCTTTTTATGAAGTCCCATATTTCTTGGAGGCTTTGTTCATTCCTTTTCATTCTGTTGTCTCTATTCTTGTCTGCATGTCTTATTTCAGAAAGGTGGTCTTCAAATTCTTAATATCTTTTCTTCCACTTGGTCGATTTGGCAGTTGATACTTCTGCATGCTTTATGAAGTTCTTGTGCTGTATTTTTCAGCTCCATCAGGTTATTATGTTCCTCTCTAAACTGGTTATTCTAGTTAGTAATTCCTCTAACCGTTTATCAAGGTTCTTAGCTTCTTTGCATTGGATTAGAACATGTTCCTTTAGCTCATTGTAGTTTTTTATCACCTGTCTTCTGAAGCCTACTTCTGTTAATTCGTCCATCTGATCCTCCATCCAGTTCTACACCCTTGATGGAGAAATGTTGCAATCATTTGCAGAAGAGGCATTCTGGCCTTTTGGGTTTTCAGCATTGTTTCATTGATTCTCATCTTCCTGAGTTTGTCTAGTTTCAGTCTTTGAGGCTGCTGATCCTTGGATGGGGTTTTTGTGGGGGCCTTTTTGTTGTTGTTGTTGATGCTTTTGTTGTCACTTTCTGCTTGTTTGTTTTTCTTTCAATAGTCAGGTCCCTCTTCTGTGGGGCTGCTGCAGTTTGCTGGGGGTTTACTTCAGGCCCTATTCATCTGATTTGCTGTCATGCCTGGAGATGTCACTCAAGAAGGCTGGAGAGTAGCAAAGATGGGTGCCTGCTTCTTCTTCTGGGATCTCTGACCTGGAGAGGCACCAACCTGATGCCAGTAGGATTATTTCTGTATAGGGTGTCTGACAAATCCTGTTGGAGGGTCTCACCCAGTTGGATGGCATGGGGAGCAGGACTTGTTTACTGAAGCACTTTGTCCCTTGGTGGAGAGGGTGTGTTTCCCTGGGGGGAAACTCACTCAATCTGGGCTGCCTGGATTCCTCAGAACTACCAGAAGGAGAAGCTAAGTCTGCTGGTCTGCAGAAACTGTGGCCATCCCTCCCTCTAGGGGCTCAGGCCCCGGGAGATCCAAATTCTTTCCCTGCACCTCTGGCTGGAGTTATTGGAGATCTTGCAGGGAAGCCCTGACCACTGAGGAAGGATGGGTCAGGGTTAGTCCTGAAGACACACTCTGGCTGCAAACTGCCACAGCTGGTGTGTTGGGTTGTGGGAACAAGTCTTGGGATCAAGCCATCCAGCCTCCTTAGCTCCAGCAGCAGAAAAGCACAGTCTGGAGCTATAGAAATGGGTGCCGCCCTTCCTCTGCCCAGGAGGCTTAATGTGTTAGGCAGTTGCAAGTCCCAGTGCTGGCTGCTGCCCCTCCCCAAAGGAGCTCAAAAGGCTTAGACAGCAGGCAGCTGCAGCCATTGCCAGTCACCTCTCCCCCAGGAGTTCAGTAGGCTTAAGCAGATTCCAGCTAAGAGGCTGTAAGAATATGCACATCTGGGCTTGGTATGATAGTCCCCTGTGGCATGGGTTCAGGAGTGGGATCTTCTGGTCCACGGGTTGCACAGTTCCATAGGAAAAGCAGTTTCCCTGGCTGGATAGCGTGCTCACTCACTGCCTCCCTTGGCTGGGAGAAGGAGGTTCCCCTTCCCAGTGTGGCTCTCAGCTGGGCTGCCACATTGCACTGCTCTTCCTTCTCTCCATGGATCACACCAACCTTCTAGTCAATTTTGATGAGAGAACCTGTACACTTTGGTTGCTGGTGAAGGATTCACATGCTTATTATGTGTTTTTTCATGGGAGCCTCCAAATGCTGTTGCTTCTAGTCTGCCATCTTGGCCCTGTCGCCATAATCAAAATTTTCAAACAAAGAAAAGCCCAGGACCAGATGGCTTTACAGGTGAACTCTACCAAATATTTAAAGAACATTTAAAACAAACTTTTCCAAAAAATAGAAGAAAGAACACTTCTTATGGGCTAAACGTTTGTGTTCTCCCCCAAATTCATATATTGAAATCATAACCCCCAATGTAATGTGTTAATAGGTGGGGCCTTTGGAAAGTAACTAGTTCATGAGGTTAGAGCCTCATCAATAGGATTAATACCCTTGTAAAAGGGACTCCCATGAGGTCTCTAGTTCTTTCTGTAATGTGAGGATACAACAAGAGGTCAGCAGTCTGCATCCCAAAAGGGGATCTTCACCAGAATCTGACCATGGTGGCCTTTCTATCTTGGATTTCCAGCCTCCTGAACTGTGAGAAATACATTTCTGTTTTTTTATAAACCACCCAGTCTATGGTCTTTGTTATAATTGCCTGAACTAAGACAATTCCAAACCCATCTTATGAGGCCAGCATTGCCCTGGTACCAAAGTCAGAAAAGGATACCATTTTAGTCTGTTTAGTGTTGCTATACAGGAATACCTGAGGCTGAGTAATTCATACAGAAAAGAAGTTTGGTTGGCCCAGAGTTCTGCAGGCTGTACAAGAGGCATGATGCCAGCATCTGCTACTGGTGAGGGCCTCAGGCTACTTCCACACAAGACAGAGGGCAAAGCAGAGTCGGCATGTACAGAGATCACATGGCAAGAGACAAAGCAAGAAAGAGGGGAATGTGCCAGGTTCTTTTCAGCTGCCAGCTATGGTGGAAACTAGTAGAGCCAGAACTCACTCGCTATCACAAGAATGGCACAAAGCCATTCATAAGGGATCTGCCCGCAGGACCAAACACCTCCCACTAGGTCCTACCTCAACACCAGGTTTGGTGGGACCAAGTATCAAACTAGAGCAGACACTGCAACAAAAAATAACATACAGGACAATATCCCTGATGAACATGGATGCAAAAATCCTCAACAAAATATTAGAAAATCAAATTAAATAGCATATTGGAAGGACCCAAGTGGGATTTCGCTCTGGGATACAAGGCCAGTTCAACCTATACAAATCAATAACTGTGGTCCATCACATTAACAGACTGAAGGATAAAATCACAAGATTATCTAATAGATGTGAGAAAGCATTTTCCAATTCAATACCATTTTATGGTAAATACTCTCAATGAATTCGGTATGGAACTATTCAACACAATAAAGGCCATGTATGAAAAGTCCATAGCTAACATCATACTCACTGAGGAAAACAAAGTTTTTCCTCTAAGATCTGTCAAAAGGCAAGGATTCACACATTTGCCACTTCTGTTCAATATGATACTAGAAGTCCTAGCCAGAGCTATTAAGAGGAAAAAGGAATAAAAGGCATCTAAATAAGAGAGGAAGAAAAAAATTGTTTGCCAATGACATGATCTTATATGTAAAAAGCCCTAAAGACACCCCCCCAAAAAAAACCTATTAGAACTAATTAATGAACTCAGTAAAGTTGCAGGCTACAAAATCCACGTATGGAAATAACTTTCTTTGCAGTATCCAAAAAAAGATGTTGGCATTTAGCATCTGTTTTTATTTCAGATTGACTCTGATTCTTTTTGTTTCTCTAATTTATTTCTTCTTTTTCTTAAATAATATGTACCTTTAAACAAAATTGTAAGATTGTAATTAATAATCAGTTAGTAGATTGAAAAAAATAAAGTATATTTTGACCATTGCATATATTTTTAAATATAGTATTATTTCACTTACCTTTTAAAAACCTACACTTTTATTATGTCTAACATATACATTTCCTCTTTTGATTGCCCTTAAAAATTCCCATGTCTTTCTTTTATATTTTAGCCTTTTCAAAACAGGAATTATGCCTGGATCTTCTCAGCTTCTCCAGAAATATCTAACTCAGACCTTGTGTTCAATAATTGTTTTGTAATTGTTGAATAAATTGAATCCAAATGGTTCAGTATGTACATAAAACTATGTTGTTATTATCATTCCTAATTATTTCTTTCAGAACATATTTAATCATGTCTTTAAAGTTGTTTATGTATTAATTCATTCTATAAATATTTTAATAGTATTTGAATAAGGAATTGACTCTTCTCAATGAAGTAGCAACAGCTATCTAGTCCTCTGTGTCTGCATGAGTCTTCCTAAACATGGCTAAGGGCCTCCATTCCTAAATTTTAAGCATATGTCAGATCCATGGGCTGGGATCTGAGATTGTGCTATTATTTTGTCTTCATGCTCTTGTATGACAAATTTCAGAATGAGGTAGAAAGAAAGTTTTTATTAATTTAAAAAATACACATTTTGATTTTCAGAGTAGTTTACTTCATTAGACATAGATATTGGAAGCATCTGTTGTAGAGTCTGGAGGCTTGGATCTCACTTGTTTTGCTTCGTATGTGCAAATCAACTCTGAATTCTTGTTTCCTCATCTGCAAAAGTGAATGTCCATGCCTAGGCAACACAAGATAGCTATGTTACTTTGTTTGTGAAAATATAAAAACACTACAGAACTATGAAATGCCACTGATCTAGAGGTTGATAATCTATCACTTGTGGTCCAGCTGTTTGTTTTTGTAAACAAAATTTTGTTGGATCACAGCCACACTCATTGATTTATGTCTTTTCCATGATAGCCTGAAAGCTATCATGGCAGAACTGAGTATTTGTGGTAAAGACCTCTGGCCTGCAATGCCTAAAATACCACCATCTGGTCCTTTAAGAAATAATGTGCTGCCTCCTCCTAATAATATTAATACTAAAAATTACTACGACTACTAATAGCCACAAAAGTCAATTTCTGCAACTGTAATGCAAAACATTTGAAATATCCACTAAGTGGTGATGAACTGTTTATTTCTTTAGAAAATGTATAAAGTTGATTTTGCTAACTGATCAATAAAGTCAAACAGCAAGTTTTTCTTTCAATATAATCAATTTTAAATTTAACTTTGACATCATCGTGTTTGCTTGTTAGGCTCTCAATTTCATGCTCATATACTTAATGTTTATACTATAGGGTTTGATACTGATTACAAAGGTTAGAAAGCATGCTGACATTAGTGCACAATAAAAAATTGTTTTAATATATTTATAAGATTCAAATTGTGGCACTGAACAGTGTCATTTACATTTACTTGGTTTAAGTAAAAGACAATTTATTAGTGTTTCCAAGTTTTAAAATATCAGAAATGAAAATTAACTGGATTATTTGTTGTAAGGTCATTAGAGAAATATATTTATCTTATTAGAATCTTTGGATTCAATGCAGTTTGAAACTGGCAATGGCCAAGCAAGAAACCATACCAGAAATGATCTATTGGACACCAATAGTGCTGCACAGTCATCCCCGATCAAATGAAGAGCTCGAAGAAGTTTTATTGCATGTAAAATTACTCATAAAACTGGAAAGTACCGGAAGTGCAGTAGACTTATGTGACGTCCCAGTGACAGGGAAGAATGCAGGACCGATCACAGCTTGATTTACGTAGTTCTTGACACCGTGTTTGCTACTTGAGGAAATTTATTTTTTAAAGGTGTTTCATTTGCTGATATATCAACTATTATACATTGCATTTTCATTTGTTTCTGAAGAAATCAAAATAATATTTCCTTTTGGAACATATGACAAAAATAATGACTAACAGTAACTACAGCTTACAGTTACTTGTATAAATATTTAGAACTATTATTACAAAACTTAAAAAAATAAAACACAATCTGTAAAACAGATACCCAAATGACATATGACTAGTTGCAGGCACGTTTCTTAGTTTTAGAAGGTTATGTGTAAATCATCTCGATGGTTTGACACAACTCAAATTTGTCTCACCTAGAATCTGCATTCAGTGAATGGATCTATTGTATATTGAGTCTGTCTTCATGAACTTGACATATTGGTAGCCATCAGAAAAAAAAAAAATCTCACATGGGAAAACTATCAACGTATTTTATTTAGAAATTCAATTATTTGTTAAGATGTCTTATGACAATACTTTTTGGGACTCTAACCTCTAAATTGATGTCCTATAGATATAGCCTTATTGAAGATCCATTCTCTGTGAGGTTTACATTTATGAAAATGTTGCACACTTATTTTTTTCTTACTGTACATTGGAAGCAAATCAACTAATGAGATAAATTTAAAGAAGAATTCTTAGCATTTCTCTTAACATTCTTGCAATATGTCAAAATATTCTTTCTTTCTTTCAACTTGACAAGGTTTCAGGCTTTTAGGGACAGATTATAAATGTACTTTTCTCTAATATATAATACTTAATTATCAACTACAGCCAAATGAGAAATATTAACATTAATGGTTGTCTTAGTCCATTCCTGCTGTTATGACAACATATCACAGACTGCATAATTTATAAATAATATACAATTTTTTCTTACAGTTCTGGAAGGTGAGAAATTGATCGATTTTCATTGATCAATGCACCAGCAGATTCAGTGTCTGCCAAGGGCCCAGTGTCTGCTTCTGAGATAGCACCTTGTTCTCACAGGGAGGAAGGGATGGATGCTGTGCCCTCACTTGGTGGAAGGGTCAAAGTGATAGAGTTTGATGAGCGTGGAATTCTCAGGGCCTAATCACCTCCCAACAGTCCCCACCTCTTAGTGCTATCACCTTGGGGATTAAATTCCAGCATATGTCAAATTGTAGCAATGGTTCAAAAGTTAAAGTTTAGTACATCCATAGTTTTCTTTATTTTTTCATGTGTAACAAAGAGGTGTATGAATGGTACACTGGAATAAAAGACATACTAATTAAAATTCATCATTCTATCCATATTTTTGCTCAAGTAACATTAAAGCAATACAAGAAAAAAGAAAAAATATAATGAAAAGAAAACTGAAAAACTAAAACCAGAAAAAGTAATGCATATTAATTAATAACAATATTAATGCATATTAAAACTGCAATAACCAGTGAGTGCCAGAACTTTTGTAATCAGCAAAAACTATGGTTCTGAAAACAAATAAAGCAGTATATTTGTCTTTTAAAGCTTCTTCATTACCCTAATTTTTTCCCCTAAGGCAAAGAATCATCAAATACGATGTTTGAGTAATTTGAAATTGTGAAAAAAATGTGTGTATATTTCTCTATGTGTGTGTGAGCATATATATATATATATATATATATATATATATATATATATATATATTTAGCTAGACAAAGAGCAGTGTTTCAGAAAGCCCCCAGTATACTCAGTTTAACACTTTTCTGTTTGGCTATTTGGCCAGTGCTCTTCGTAGCTGAAACAGAGTTTATTACAATTTAGTCTTGTGATATTATAACAAAATATTAATGGGTGGAACAGAATAGCTAGCTTTTAAAATGTCCTTCCTTTTCTTGTCTCTGTCCTTTTAACAATGGGAATTTATAACTTGTACAAGGTGAAATTTCCTAGTTTATGAAAAACAAGGTGTCATAGAAAAGTATGTGTATGAGAAATCTGTGCACTTAGCCACATTCGATCAGCAAATCTTGACTGTACACCTACAATGTGCACTCTTCAGCACTGGGTGCTGTAGTGGAGAAGGTAGAGAGAGCTGCTGATCTCAGAACTTTTGGCTATAGGTGAATGTTACCATATTTCCCCATGCCCTGTGTATTCCAATCACAAATACAGACTCTGTTTCTCAGAGGCTACAGATAGACATTGGTTTCTGACAGCTTATTAGTGTTTTCTTCCGCATTGTTAAACCTAATTGTTATTCTTTGGTTGATTACCTGTAAGACCAAGAGCAAGGATATGTTGCATCTGAAAGCAAAAACAAATTAACCTGAAAGCTAAATGTGGTAAAAACAATTTTTATTGAAGCTTTTCCAATGACTTGGTCTTATGGGCAAAACACAAGCCACACATCTTTGGACTAGTTGTATCACCTCCTGAGTTGTGGCCCTTGGAGACAGTGTTTGTTACTAGTCCACTGTACACACACATTTTCCATTGCTACCACACTTTCCTACCTCCGAGAGCAAATGTGTATCACAGAGGACCAATGGAAGAGCTTCTGAGATTTCACAGTCTGTCCATATAAAATGGCCAATATAGGCTTGTTCAACTATTGCTGTATGAGAAAATTGGCAAATATTTGACTAATTGGATAAAGGAGTGTAGGAAATTTGGATCATTTCAAGTTCTATGTATCATAATCTGAATGTTCTAGAATGATTGTTTACATTTGATTAAATGAACAAAACGGTTTCAACATATCCTTTCTTCTCAGTGTTAACATAAATCTTACCTTGAAAGTATTTGCAGTATTTATTTAAATGCTGAAGAAAGCTCTTTGTGTAACATGAGGAATAAGCCTAAGATAGTATAGTATTCTCCATTTTTCTATTAGTTTTTAATTTTATGTAAAAATATTTACCAATCTTCGGCACCAAAACTTTATATATATGAAAAATGTACCATGACATACTATTGGAAATGAAAACATTTGAGCCATCACATCTCAACAGACATTTTCAGAGTGAAAATCTATGCCAGAGCAAGCACAGCAGCATTCCCAAATAAAGTCCTTTGTGGCCAGTACGTTTAATACATAAAGCTCCCCAAATGATTGCTTTGTGAGGGGAATAAGAAACACACATGGTACAGACAGGTCCTTGCTGTATATTTTAGCTATAACTGATAGTGCATATGAGTCAATGATTACAGCTATGTATTATTTTATATGTCTCCTGTAATTTTGCCATATATTTAATTATTGCTTTAAATGAAGCAACTCAAATGCCTTTCTCTGTTTTGCAAAGAAAGGGCCTAAAGCTAGATCATAGAATTGTAATCCAGAGAGAATTGTAGTGCATCAAGCCTGGATAAATAGGCATTGTTTAGAAATTGAGCTCCAGCATTACACACAAAAATCATAAATAACTTAGGAATCATAAATAATCATAAATAATCTTAGAAATCACAAATAATCTTATAAATAATCAGAAATTATAAATAATTTTAGGAATATACTGTATATATGAGACTCCAAAACCAGTACTGCAAATCTGTTAAGTTGTAATTTTCCACTTTCTAAGCTATACAGTGGCTTCAGGAAAATGTAGTCCACCATCTTCGCTTTCATTTTCCTTTTAGATATGAGTAAGTGTGACAAATACATTTATGTTTCATTTCATTTTAATGATGTGATCTTCAAAACCACAGATTCACCCAAAGAGGAAATGACTATACTACTAATTCTAGCTGTTTTCATAGACAGTTCTGGAAATAGGAGTCACTGATGGGCAAGTCAGAGTCTGTATTTAAGCCACAGGCATGCTTTGTTTAACCATCACAATATTTTAGAAATTGAGAAATTTCATGAAACAGTCCTAATTCTTGACTTCTCTTGAAAATCAGAAAAACGTATCAACACGATCCACATTCCTATATGGCGACAAGCCGCTGGATGCAATGCATATCTGCCACAACCTTCACCATTTCTTTTGCCTTAAATCCAGCACCCTTTACTGATCCAAATTACCTGTAGATGTCTGAATCTGAGACTCCTGCAGTAGAGAACATTTTCTGGCTTGACCCATTTTTCCATGACTCTGTCTCTAACACTATTAGAACTTGGTAAGTAAATGTTTCACCACACATTTAATTGATATTTGCCATTTTCTTATTGATTAATTTTATATTGACTACCTAGAATCATGCAGCATGTGATATTGAAGAGAAGTCTAACATCTATAAGACTAAAATCTCCTTTTACCAATGAGAAACACTGAAACAGGGCTAGAAGTTGAGGCAGTATGTTGCTGGAGCCTAAAATATTCACACCAGCGCTGTCTGCATGCCTGTGGTTCAGTCCACTGCACAACGTGACCTATGTAAACTGTTCCTTGAACAAAATTGTGATATGGAATTTCTTTGGAATCTTAAATTGTGGAAACCAACCCCCTTCTGAGCCCATTCAATGCCAAGAATTTTAATTAAAATATAATAATAGTAATAATAAATTATAATTGTCAAAATTCCTTAGTAGTCTATTTCAATGAAGACGGAAATTTTATTTTTAGGCTTTTATTTTTATTTTTATGTTTTTGAGAGGGAGTCTCGCTCTGTCACCCAGGCTGGAGTGCAGTGGTGATCCCAGGTTCAAGCGATTCTCCTGCCTCAGCCACCCAAGTAGCTGGGACTACAGTCACACACTACCAGACCCAGCTAACTTTTTGTATTTTTGGTAGAGACGGGGTTTCACCATGTTGCCCAGGCTGATCTCAAACTCCTGACCTCAGGAGATCTGCCCGCCTTGGCCTCCCAAAGTGCTGGGATTACAGGCTTGAGCCACAGTGCTCTGCCTTGGTTTTTTTTTTTTTTAACAAAAGTGTGTATAGTGCAAAAAGTCATTTATCTGAAGGTAGCAAGCCTCTCTATATTTTTTTCTATATAGATATATATATATATAGAGAGAGAGAGAGAGAGAGATGTGTATATATATATACAAGATGTGAAAAAAATGCCTGATTTTCTTACCCCTATCTTCCCTAATGTTCTCACTTTCTATATTTTTAAAAGTTTAAAATGATAACGTGGAGGAGTGCTGAAAGATAATTGTTTAAATTTGTCAAAACCAAAGAACTGTAATGGGCTCGATTCTACTATCATTAGCTCCAGTGTATTTTATTATATGGCATGGCTGTTAAATGCATGAAAACTTTGATTTTTGATCTGTGCTTTTTAATTTATCACTTTAGTTTCTTAGTATAGATGAGTTTTATTTCCTTTTTAATTTCTTTTTTTTACAATTCAAGCATGTTGCTACCAGATGGAAATCATTTTAATAATATGTAGCTGCAATTCTTTTCTTTTCTTTCTTTTTTATTTTTTTTGAGACGGAGTCTCGCTCTGTCGCCCAGGCTGGAGTGCAGCGGCGGCTCATTGCAAGCTTCGCCTCCTGGGTTCACGCCATTCTGCCTCAGCCTCCCGAGTAGCTGAGACTACAGGCGCCTGCCAGCACGCCCGGCTAATTTTTTTTTTCTTTAGTAGAGACGGGGTTTCCCCTTGTTAGCCACGGTCTCCAGACCTCGTGATCCACCCGCCTCGGCCTCCCAAAGTGCTGGGATTACAAGCGTGAGTCACCGCGCCCGGCTGTTAGTTGCAATTCTTAAAGAAAAATTCAAATACTTAAAAGAACTATTGGAAATGTAAATGTAGAAATCCAAACCATGCCCAATCATATATAATATGACGCATCTCCCAAAATACACACACATAAACACACGCACACATTCACCTCCAAGCCCATGCACAATTATATATAATATGGTGCCTCTCCCAAAATACATACACATAAACACACACACACACACACACACACACACACACACACACATTCACCTCCAAGCCCCATTTCTCAAAGTTAATCCCTGTTAACAATTGGTATAATTTTCTATATTCTCTCTATAGATTTTAAAGATTTTTTTCACTCTATGATACATCTTAGCCATCTTTGAATATGTAGATATAGTTCATTTTCTCATGGCTATGTAGCATTTAATTGTGTGATAAACCTTAATTTATAAAAATGCTTCTGGTAAAAGATGAGTTCTTTTTATTTTTTATGGCAGGAGGTAGCTATTACAAAACATTAAGTGAATATGCTTGTATATACTATCTTTCACACCTGTATGAAAAAAAATTAGGATAACATTTTAGAAGTGCAATGGCTAGGTCAAACCTTCACCACATAGGTAGAACAGTTTCTAAATGACCCTGAAAATACCGTATTACTTTACACTCTCATGATCTCAACATCAATAATGGAGGATATTAATCTCTCCTTACTTTTGTGGACATTGAGTATTATCACTTAAATAAAACTTTGGGGCTTTAATCAATCAGTTTATGACATTTGTATTTTTTACCTGAGAGAAAGATTTTAGTTTATTTTTCTTTCTCACAATAAAATAGAACTAAAGCAACCAAATTTGAGCTTCGTTACTAAATGTTACATCTTAAAAATAATAGATAAGTATCAATCAATAAAAAACTACCACTAACTAATTCAACCACTCTGACCAAATCACTGAATATTCTAACTCATTTCATAACTAATTTCTCACCATCTTAGATATGATGGTGCTTCTTTTGAAGCACATGTCATTTCTGTTAGTATTTGCAAGGTCATTTTAAATATACATAAAGCTTTAAGCAGTGTCAAAGACTTGGAAAAATTTCTTTGTTTCCTCTGACTTAATCAAATAAATGTTTTCATTTTTCTTTTTAGTTACTCTCTTTTGAATCAAACACAATAAAAGACTGAACAAATATGACAATGAAATTGTAAAAAGAATATATAGAGATATCGATATATAATGTTGCTATTTATATAAGTAATGTGAGAACATAATTGTGTATATATCTGAAGTTTTAAAGAATGAAAGGATAAATAATAACTTTTTAAAATGTTTAGCTAAAGCAAGAGACAAGGAATAGGGTCGATACAACACGGTGACAAGCTAGACTAGAGCATATCTAGTTTTGTAGATTGTACTTTGGAACTACATGGAAATTTTTTACATAATTATAAACTTTTTTTTCAAAAAAAGCAATCTCTAAAAAAACTAATATAAAATAAAGCAAAGAAATAAAATATGTATTTAGTTGATGGAAGAATGACTACAAATGATATTAAAACACAATAATTTGACTAGGCATTGTCAAAGGGATGTAACTTATTAACTGAAAAAAACCCTACTTTCAGCAGCCAATTTTTGCAAGTAGTTTCGGTGCTATTATTAGAGTTTGTATGTATATAATTAAATAAAGTAGATGAGTAATTATGTGATATGTTAAGGATATTATTTCAGGTATTATTGAGAACTAGAATTCTAAGTTTGGGAAAAAGAAGAAACAAATGCAAAATAGAAGGTTTTAAACAAAACTCCCATAGTCATGGTCTTTAATTCAAAGTATCAATATACTACTGATGTATTTTATCTTAACATTATATTTCCTAGCTCCATCTATTTCACAAGTCTAGAAACAGTGACCCACCACATAACAATAAGCCTCAATATCACCCAGAGTTGATATCAAGACTAAGATTTGTTTCTATTAAAAGGAACTAGGGATCCTTGAAAAAAAAAATGGCTGATTCCAGGTCTTAGTCAAGAAATGGTCAAGAAAATCCTAGACCATCTTTCAGGCCAGTTATCAAGAAAATAACGAAAGTCTAAAAGTTGTGCCCAACGGGTTCAGCAGTCATCTTGAAGTGGCTCCCATAGCCTGATATGGGAAATTTGAGTATAAATAGTTCAATACATTAAATGTTTATATTCAAATAGCTATAGTGAGTGATACTAACATAACTTAGCCAACTGGTCACCTCTGGATAGTAGAGAACTGACTCACTCTTTTGAATAGCTGGTGCATATAGGTAAAGACTCAAACATTTACCCAACCTCTCCTGTGCACTGTGCCACTGAATAGCCAAATCAATAAATGAGTTTCTTCTTTTATAAATATTTCAGTTAATAAAGAAGAAATAATAGAATAAAAATAGTCCCACCATACAGCATTAAGATATTTATTGAAAGATCATCACATTAAGCATAGCTACTGCTAACCTCACAAAATTAGGAACATGCAGATATCATGGGCTTCTGGTTGAAATAACACATTATCACCCATAAACAAATCTTACCAAAAAATGGAAAAAGCAAATCTAAGTGTAATCACATATTTAGATAAGAGGACAGGGAAACAAGTTAAAATATACCACAGGGATACAATAAGTGATGTTCAGACTGGGAGAAAATAACTTCCCAGCTTCTTCAACAGTAAATTGTATGAGGTTTAAAAAAAGGAGAGAGAGAGAGAAGAAGAAGAAGATGAACCCATAGATTAAAGGAGATTTAAGAGAAATGGAACCATCACAAAACATTGAGATTGTTTCAGTCATATTGAAATACATATAATTAGGATATTCATGAGATCATTGGAAATTTGAATATTGACCTGATATTTAATGAGTAATTATTATAGATTTTAGGTAAATGAACTTCACTATAATTGTGTGAGTAAAGACTTCTTATCTTTTTGGGTAATGTAAACATTTTATGGATGGACTTATACAATCTGGGATTTGCTTCAAATAATATGGTTATGGGGAAGTGGTTGGTGGAACAGATAAAACAGAATTGACTGTGAGTTGATAACTGTTGAACTGGATCGAGAATACATGTGGGTTTATTATGCTATTCTGTCTGTTTTTGTTTATGTTCAGCATTTTTCGTAATTACAGTTGAAAAAATAAATATAAATGTTATGGGGCTTTCAGAGTTATCACTAATAAAGTAAGCATGCTTATTTATTACAAAGCAAGAATAAGTAAATTATATATCATTATCTACATAGAAAATTTAGATTTTAGATATTTTTAAGATATATTGATATGAATAAAAATGTTAAATATTTAAATAATCACTTATTTTGAATTCATGATTATAGCTATCATTCTTAGTATCACCTATTTCACATGAAATAACTAGAATGTTTTTATACATTCAAATTTTTATAGTAAATTTTCAGCATTCCTCTTGTTCTTTTTGACTTTTTATTCCAAGATGTTTTAAGCCATTTAAGGCATTCCTGATCATTTGCAGCCTTCAACTGTGGTGGTACACCTTAGCATGCAATGAGGCTTTGTAGCAACCCAGTAGACACTTTGGTACTACTCCTGTTTCCTTCATCTCTCCTTGTCTTCTCTCATATCAAAAATTTTTATCCATAAGCAATTTTTTCAAGGCAGAACAAGCTATAACATGACATCTAAAAAAATTCTACAATAATTCATAACTTCCACAACTGTTAATGGTACACATGATGGTTACTCAGTCTAGTGGTTACTCTATCTAGTGTAGATAACATGGTTTCAACACAATGCACAATTCCCAGCACACTTGCACCAACTGGACCCTTCTCTCTCCCAGTTAAAACACACTCTGGAATGCTTTTGAAAACGTCTGCCGTCATTAAAGATCTGAAATGAATTCACAAAATGCTATACAGTATTATTAGTAACAAATTACTTGCTTTTCCCCTCACAACTGATGGCAATACACTGTTGTGTCAATAATATGATTGAAAACCTGTGTTTCAAAACGTAATTTGGTTCGGAGATGGTTTTAAAAATAAAAATAAGTTCCTTAAGCCAAATTCTTTTAATTTAATTTTAATTAAAAAAATTATTTGTAAATTCAGGGGTACATGTGCAGATTTGTTATATAGGTAAATTGTGTGTCATTGTATAGGTAAATTGCATGTCACAGGGGGATGGTGTACAGATTATTTAATTTGTAAGCTCTGTTTCCCTTGTCAAAGGCTGTATTTCTGAAGAGTAATGCAAAAAACTAAAGGGAGTGATCTTCTGACAATATTTAGGAAAGGGTGAGAATTTGTAAATTGCTCTGTTCCAAAACCATTTCAAAGAGCCTCATGTGAATTCTTTGAGAAAAATTCTTTGAGAGTGTTGCTGCCGAAAGAAGTAGGAAACAGGGAATTAAATACATTGTATTCATTCAAAGGGAGAAGAATAAAAGGAAACTTTCAAAGAGGCAAAGAAATATGGTGATAAAATTAAGGCCATTGTGCCAAAGAACAAAAATCCAAAATGTGCTTTAATGTTTACTCCGCAAAATAAGATAATGTCTCTTTGGTTAAAAAAAAAAATTAGAGAGTCTTTAATAAAATTTACTCCTAAAAATAGTTATAGATTGTTTTAGTCACTTTGCGTTGCTTCCTGCTGCTAAATCTAAGCGCCACTGAGTTTTTCAAATCAGTTTGCCTCTGAGATGTTTCCATGAACACTGATGTGCATAGGCACGGGTACCTAATAAAGCCCCAGGAAAGCAGGGCTTTGTCATTGTGAACTGCTGACTAATCTGACAGTTGAAGAGTTTGATTTTATTAGTGCTTCATTAATAACTCGGGAGTAGTAATGAGTGTGTGAAGGAGGCAGAATCAACTGGCAACTGTTTCTGGGAAGATGCCAGACAGTGCTGCCTCCCGGTGTCTAATTTTAGAGAATTTGATTCTGTATTACAAGGCTGCTTTAAGGGGTAAAAATATATAGTGCATTTTACAAAATATATACAAATTATGTCAGCATGTTTTTGGTGCATCTATGTGTTTGCTGTACAACAGCATGTTAAATTAAATATGTCGGCGGGGCACGGTGGCTCACACCTGTCATCTCAGCACTTTGGAAAGCCAAGGCGGGTGGATCACGAGGTTAGGAGTTCAAGACCAGCCTGGCCAAGATGGTGAAACCCCATCTCTACTAAAATTACAAAGATTAGCCAGGCGTGGTGGCGCTTGCCTATGATCCCAGCTACTCGGGAGGCTGAGGCAGAGAATTGCTTGAACCTGGGAGGCAGAAGTTGCAGTGAGCCGAGATCGCGCCACTGCACTCCAGCCTGGGTGACGGAGTGAAACTCCATCTCAAAAAACAAAAAAGAAAAAAAAAAAACTAAATATGTCAAATATGGTAACTCAGGTTTTCATTGATAGCACACAGAATCAATATAAGTACCAATTATCAAACCTCATCACTCCCCAAATAATAAAATAACTTGTTGGTTTAATTGAAGATGGTCTAACTCACAGTTGATAAATAGAAAACAAATCACTTGCACAAAGGAGAAAACAATTTAACACAAGTAAGATATATTAAAATTATGTCCCAGCAATATGTTTAATAGAGTGTCCTAAAGTGTCCTAAACCTTTAGACACTGGTTCTAATCTTAATTTTCCCGTTTAAAATTAATTTGGAAAGTGACTTTTTTGACTAAGTGTGGATGTAGTCTTAAAGCTTGAAACTTGCTCCCTGACTATAGGAAGTTGTCAATCTAATTTAAACTGGAAGATGTGCTTTTACAGCTGGGGCCATGTTGGGATCTTTAAGTTTGAACCTTCGGGAGAAAAACAATACATAAAACAGCAAGCACCTTTGTGAAGCTGCTTTGCGGCACAGACAGAAGTTAAAATGTTGTTTTCTTAAAACGCTTCTAGAATTCACTGTAGCTTTCCCTTCACTCCAGTAAACGTTGTTCATTTTATGAGTGATTAAATCTCTAAACTTCACAAGGAGGAAATAAAACTTCTCAGATTACCTACCTCATGCCCCGTGAATTTTTTAAAATTTGCTTTGCAAGTTGTCTTCTAAAATGAATTATCATTATAAAAATGTTCAATGACAGTGAATTGTTTGCAATTTTAAGATAGCCATATTAATACATCTTCTCAACTGAAAACACTGATTGTTCCACAACTTTTGTTTTTCTGGAATAGCTATCTAAAGAATATATTGATCATTGAATTTCAATATAAGAAGTGTATAGATTTAATTAGGACTTTAACACTTTAGCCTTATAAACTTCTGTTTGATATTTTTGGTTTTTTAAATAGATTTCTTTTGCTAAATGTGGAATTTTTAAAAAGTCTTCAAGAATCTTTGAACATTTTCCGTACGATGCATATATTTCCTTCCCTATGAATGTCATTCACGGAAAGCTAAAAAGTGATAAAACATGCTACTGTTGATCTCTATGGGTTAGCAGTGCAGTCTTCTGAGCCAACACACAGATAACATCTGAAGGTTTGTTTGGAGAAGAGCTGAACTCAGGTCACTTTCCAAACCAACAAACTGCTGCTCTCTATGACCCTGAAAGGTTAGAGTTTAGGAATTTCCTGGAGAGAATGTATTTTGTCTAGCATTTCTTTTAAAAGTATCAAGCAACTCAGTAAGCAATGGTAGGGTTATCTTAATAAAAGATGTAATGAGGTCTGAATTTAACAAAATTCATTGAGGATTAGAGGTAAAGGGAAAAAAAGACAGCAAATAAGAATCATAAATAAAAGAAAAATGCTTAGTTTTAGATGAAACAAAAATCAAGCCAGTTATATGGTTCTGTTTGTTGAACTGCTTCTTATTCATTTGCAATAACTAGTTTTTTAATTGGAATAGAATGGCTTTGGGTAAATATTGGCATAAGTGATACTCCTGCCATTAGATAACCTTTTTTTTTCTGAACTCTGTGTAACTCACTTGATAATATTTGTGCATATCATGCAACATATAAGTAAAGTAAAGCTCAAGTTCAACAAATCCATTATAATACCATAGCAATATCATAGAGAAATCCCACACTAGGTACTTTTTATTTTTTACTAATTTCTGTATGTTGAACTGACCTTTTAATCTTATACTTTGATCAATAACTAAAATCTGCACATGTGTTCTATTAAAAATAGTTTGATTACTAATCTTTATGTCAAATATAAGTACCTTGAAGAAACAGTGGCTTCAAAATACGTATTTAAATTAATTCCATGTACTTGGTGAACATACATTAGCAAATATCCGGAACTGTTTACTGTTCTATTCTGACCATGTTCCAAAATTTGCAGGTTACAGGTCAAACTCAGCATTCAACGGAACCATTTGCGTAAGTAGAGCTTTGTCCCAATTCATCCTCATATTCAAGTTACCTTAGAATCTATACTGTGAAATGTATGGTGATGCGTACTACCAATTTTGGGGGTGGGTTATGTATAATTTTGGCAAGGAATACCATTATGTGCCGTTAAGCACTGAGCTGTATGGCGAAGTTAAAATGCTTGGTGACATAGATGCTTTAAATGGGTGGTGTTCATCATAGTAACAAAGGTCAAGGAATGTCAAGTGGACTAAGTAGAATCATCTCCATTATGGCTTTTGAAAGAAGTTAGTTACGTTTTCTTTTTTTTAATGCTGCATGTACAAAAGTGTATTTTTCTATATAATAGCTGATTTGTTTTAATTTGTAAAAGCACTAGCCAAACACTTAAAATATAAATTATAACAACGTAGTCTTTAAAAATAAAATTAAAACTCCAGTCCTAAATAAAAGTGTTTTTGACAACTTATACAAGTCATATGGTCAAATAACTTGTGCCTAGCTCAGTTTTATAGTACCTCTTTTATGGACTGCCACACAAGGGAAAAGTTCTGGAAAAGTTCCTTTTTCCAGACTTAGTGACAAAGAAATAGGCCAGCACAAAGGAAAACATTTCCAGGGCCTACCTGGGGCAAATCCTGTCAGGCTCTATTATTTGGACCAAAAGCTTTTTGTACATGTATGCTGAAAAAGAATTGTAGGTGTAAAGTGAATGAATATTTTCTGGCAAGCATTTCATTTATGTTAGGTGTTGTATAAAATATATCTGAGAGTAAATATCAATATTTAATAACATTGGGTTCTGATCAAGAACTGAGAGTACTTAGATTAGGTAAAAATAGAAGTACAATAAACAAATGAAAATGCTTGTGACTAAATGACCATGTTGTTTCTATTAATGTTTTTAAGATCTGAGAGATATTTTAAAATCAGAAACAGCATGGCATTCAGGAACTTGCCAGAAACTTAAACTATATCTCTTATCATATTTTGAAGTAAGTTATGAAAATATGTTACTATGTTATCAGTAGATAAAATATTGGTAGGTATTATGTTATTCTTGATAGATATTGTCTAAATCTTTACAGTAAGAAGAGATGATTAAAACTTAGATTTAACTAAATTTATAATCGTGTGTCAATATAGCCACATATCTTAATGACTAACTAGAGGTCATAAGAAAACAGTTCTAAATTGGAATTTTGAAACAATCACGTTTAGAAATTTCTAAATTCTAGGTTTTTGTCTGTTATTATCACTTAATCTAAGTATGTAAGTTTATTCCATATAATTTTGCATTGATGGCCCATTAGAACTTCACTGACATTGACAAAAAGCTAGTACCAAAAATCCTTCTGTCACGTGGCCTTGTCAGTTTGATGTTACAATACCATTGGTTTCCAGTGTCCTTAGGCCCACCTCTTACCAGCTATGTGAACTAGCTGAGCCTTGGGATCTTCTCTTCTAAGACAGGTAGCAATTTCTACTTCAGGGATTAGGAACATATTAAATGAAAACATGTATGTAAGACATAGGACCTAGACAGTGGAAACTGTGGATACTGGGTAGCTATTATAATTATTATGATAATTTCATTATCATTATTATGAAGACCACTAGTAATAGCCATGAATTCAAGAAAGTCCAAGTCTTAACTTTGGGATAAGTAAATAATTGTACTGAATTATGTGTTTAATCACACAGGCATTAATATACACATATAATATGACATTTAAGAGGAAGAAAATAATAGCTATCAAATCTCCCTTGATCTATAACTTTCAATTTAATTTATAAGTTTTCTTACATACTTACCATGACCAATAACTTCTGGGACATATAGGTTCTCCTTATTTCTGAGATATGTAAGATATACTCCGTTTTTTCTGTCAACTCTTTATTTTTCTTCGTCAGCTATTACACATGCATATATAGAAACACACTTCTATTTTACACATACTGTAGAATTTTCATGTAAGTGTGGTAAGAAGCAAAATTAACTTTCTGATGAAAAAATTATTTAAAAAACTAGTCTACAAACCTATCACAATAAAATCGTCAACAACTTTTTCACAATACACATACACACACACACACACACACACACAATCTTTGTCCATTTCATCTGTCATAATCTGTGCCCCTCCTTTCTCTCACCACCAGTTGCCAGACAATTCAGAATCTGATTTATTTCTGGTAATGTAATTTAGATGGAAAAGACACAAGAGACATTGGCCATGTGTGGCTACCTTATCATTTTGTTTATTTCAATGAAACCAAGTCATGCTTTTGTTTAAATATATATAATTCCTTTATTACACATTTGGAAATATTTTTTCCTATAATTTACTAAACATTTACTAAAACAAATTCCAATTAAAATTATGATTGAACCAGGTGGAAGGATTTCATGAATATGCTGCAGAATCAATAGCCTTGAGGAGGGAAACATAAAATCGTAACAATTAAAATTCCAAGTGCTTGCAAAATCCTGAAGATTTTGCCTCCAGCCTAGAGTACTCTATGATAAGGAAATGATGGCAAATAAACTTTAAAAATTTGTTGCCTAAACTTTAAAAAATAAATTACATGACATTTTTGTGTAATCCTGGATTTCGTGTTTATCTAACATTACTAGAAAATCATTTTTCTTCCAAAACTATATTTTTTAAGAATAAAACCTTAACTTCATATATAAACCCTGTCATGAGATAAACTTTTTAATCACTCATTTATGGATAGGAAAATGACCACATTACTTTTTAAAAATTATAAGCCTTTGATTTTAATGCTGCATAGATTGTGAAGTCTATGGGCAAAGACTGAATAAAAACACAAAAATTGTTCAAATCGGTTGATTTATTGGTGACTCAGGATAGTAGTGATTTTTTTCTTTTAATTTCTATTGGCATTATTATTATAAAGTCATCATATTATAGTATTATGTACTTCTACAATACTACTACTATTTTAATAGTTTAAAAATCTTAAATTTAGTTTTATTTTTTAAAGTAATTGCATCATAAATCATAAAGAAGTATCACCCTGCATAATTTGAGTCTGTCTATGAACAAAAAGAATAGATGAAATAAATTTTGGAATAATTCATTGAAAATTTTACTTATTGCTATGACAAAGATAATCTAGAATATTTCTGTTGAGCACAATGTTTACAGTAAAATATCTGAATAACAAATATATCTTTTCTCCATTTGGTTTTTGAAAAAGCTATGGGGAAAGCCAGAAAGAGAAACGATAACTGATCATTTATTTCTCCTCTAGTCTTTTTGTCTTTATTTTTCAGTTAATTCTACAGGGACTTCATCATTTCTGTGTTTCAGGGGGGCGAAAAGTAGTATGTATTGATGCAGACAATGAAGAGGTTGAATTTGTTTTATTTCTCTTGTTTCTGTGTTTGTTTCTTTGGGGGAGATACTGAGGTACGTAGGTGTTTGGGAAAGCTATATTCTTAAAAGACGCTTTTGCACTCTAAAATGCTCTCATTTTATCTATCATATGGTATTTTAAAACATCACATAATTGAAAGACAAAACATGAAATCTTAAAGTGTTAATTACTTGAATGTTAAAATTTCCTCTGGTTATATGTTAGCTTTCAGATAAGATATAGACAGTATCATTTCCCTGTATAGGTGGAACAAATATCTAGTTCCAACCTGTGATTTTAGAAATATGTCTGTCCTCTCCTGACCATCATCATGGCACTAGGCACAAGGTTCTTTCTTGATCCAAATTGCCGGCAGCGTGACTGTATGGATTGAAGTTATAGAGTCTTGTTTGGACCAGAAAGAAAAGAGATTAGGTGGTGAAGTGAGAGAATCAATGTTAGGCAACAAGAAATTGGGATGAGAGTAGCTGGTATAAGAGTAGTAAGGCAAAGCATGGAACAGATGCCTGAGAAGACAAATAGTAATGAATTCTCTGCATGAGAAAGAACAGGACTGGACTGGAGTTTCAGTGCAAGTGTTTATGGAAAGGAGCATGAGTCCCTGGGAAGAGATTGTGGGGACAGAGCAGGGGACGGGACAAGCCCCTCACCCCTGCCAGTTTTCTCACTAACAACTGGAATGCCTCTTGGGAGTGTAAATAGGTAGCATTTTTTTAAACTTAAATTATCATTCCCCTCAGCTTATTTCCCCAGTCAACTTTTTCCTTTAACTCAATTTCCTAACCTTTCTCATTTTAATTTTGTTGTATAATTTTTCATATGCTGTCTCAAGTTGCCTTTTTAAAAAGGTGGTAGATACAAAGACGAATGAGAGATAGATATAGAGAGCAGGTTGATGTCTATATATAGTATCAGATAGACTGTGTAGAATAAAGTGTATTTAAAGACCGAAGAGTCAGATCCACAAGGACAGAGCATGCAACGGGGATCTTATGGTGATAGAAAGGAATGTTTCCTCCCGACCCTTCTCTCTTCCTCCTCCTCTGTGCCATCGCCAAATCCAATACTGCACAGCACAATATAGAGCAAAGGATTCTACCCTATGTCTTAGTGAGAATACGTTTGTCAACATTGCCATTTATCTTGTGTGAAAGAACAAGCTGATCATTTTATATTTCTGTGCCACATACATTTTCTTTCCTTTCCTCTGGAGGTGAAGAAACATGAACACACAAATACTGAGAGGCTAGGAGACAAATATTTAATAACAGTAGTAAAAGTTGAGTGAAACCTGATCATATATGTCGAGAGTTGTATGCATGTTAGTGTGTATATGTGTGTTTGTGCACAAATTTGTGTTGATTATATATATATACACATATATATGATATATAATATATACTGATTATATATTATGTATAACACATACATATGTAAAATCTATAGAGAAAGAAAAAGAGGTTCGTGATGCTGAGGGGGAAAGTGCAGCTCAAAAACTGCTTTTTGGCAATCTTTTATAACCTAATCATGATTAGTTGGCATGTATGATATAAAGTTTTCTTCCCTCCCCAAAGCATTTGAGTCTGAAATTAATTCTGTGCCTTGTGGCTACAAATTAGACACATTTGATAACCCTCGCTTTCACTCTGAAGCTCAGATTCTAGTTTGGATAGTTTTAATATAGGAAAATTAAAACTTTATGAAGCATGTCAAAAAAAGAATTATTGGTAGGAAATATTATATCTTAGCATCATTCTGGGATTTGGTACGTTATAGACAAACAAGTCTGCCAGATTTCCATACGAAATAATTTAGAAATGCAATTTTTAGAAATATAGCTTGAATTTAATGCTGTAAATGTTCAAATACAAATTATTATCAAATATCACAATTAAAATGATTAAGATTTAATAATTTATCTTAAAAACAAATATCTTATTATTTTATAAATCAAGATTGAGATCATTGATCTTAGAGACTATTTTATTTGAATCTGTTTGATAAATCATGCCACAGAAAAGGGTATGAGAACTCAGGTTACTTAACACCAATTCTCAAAATTTTAAAATTATTGACAATAAAACTACAGTTTTCCCTAAGATTATTTATTTTTATAACATTTTCCCAGAATTCTCTAGTATTTTCAGATTTAATTTCATGATGTTACCAATTAGTGAAATTATTAGTCTGATACTTCAGTAAGAGTCTCCTAAAAATTTCCAGTTTGTGTTGAAAATTAGAGGAATACAAAAGAAGTTGAGGACAGCCTCATTAGTCTATTTTCATACTCTATAAAGAACTGCCCAAGACTGGGTAATTTATAAAGGAAAGAGGTTTAATTGACTCACTGTTCAGCATGGCTGGGGAGGCCTCAGGAAACTTACAATCATAGCCGAAGGCAAAAGGGAAGCAAGGCCCCTTCTTCACAAGGCAGTGGGAAGGAGAAATGCCAAGCAAAGCGGGGAAGAGCCCCTTATAAAACCGTCAGCTGTTGTGAGAACTAACTCACTATCATGAGAACAGCATGGGGGAAACTACCCCCATGATTCAATTTCCTCCACCTGGTCCCACCCTTAACATGTGGGGATTATGAGGGTTATGGGGATTATGGGGGTTACAGTTTAAGATGAGATTTGGGTGGGGACACAAAGCCCAACCATATTACAGCCTCTGCCCTCTTTATTGTTAGTAACAATTATGATGTTTTGAGTACATAAATTTAGTATAGTTTGTAATTAAAATGATTTGTTAACACCTGTTTTTCAGCTTCTCCTTGCCAACATTCTGTAGTTAAATATTTAGTTAACACAAGAAACATTATTAGACTCTCTTCAAATATAAGATAAATGAAACTCAGGGTGCTAATTTCCATAGGATCACATACAGAGTAAGAGGAAGAACTTCAAGTCCAGTGTCTTACTAAGTTATATTGCATCCAAGAGTGGAAAAGAGGATAAACTTATGAGGCTTGGAGTAAGAAAATCAAATCTGTCCCACTGAGTTCTATGAGTCAGAACTCATTCTTTAAACCATTTCTTTAAGGTTAATTTCTTTGGAAATAGAGAAAGAAAGAAGAAAGAAAAGAAAGAAAGAGAGAGAGAGAGAAAGACAGAAAGAAAGGAAGGAAGGAGAAAGAAAGAGAAAGAAAGGAAGGAAAGGAGGGAGGGAGGAAGGGGAAAGAAAGAGGAAAGGAAGAAAGAAAGGGAAAGGAAAGGAAAAGAAAGAAGAAAGAAAGAAAATTAATAAAAATTAATTCATGTGGGATAATTAATGTTTTCTTAATAAAACTGAGGAATCACTTAGCAAATGCAGAAAGAGAGAGAGAAAGAAAGGGAGGGAGGGAGGGAAAGAAGAAAGAAAGAAGGAAGGAAGAAAGAGAAAAAGAAAGAAAAGAAAGAAAGAAAATGTATGTGGCACAGAAATATAAAATAATCTGCTTATTCTTTCACACAGGATAAATGGCAATGTTGACAAACATATTCTCACTAAGACATAGGGTAGAATCCTTTGCTGAAAATTGTCTTGGTAGGAGCAGGTACAGATATCCAGGATGAACTGGGTACAAGGAGAGCCAACAGTTACTGTGGTGAAACTTTCCAACATGATGATTTTACGGGGAGCCTCACTGTACCTTAAATTTTCCTAACTTAAAAAACCCTCTCTGCACATATTGGCTTTTTATGGAATTTATTTATAAATTTATAAACTCCATAGTTAATGGAGTAAATATAAATAAGTAGTTGGTAGCATAAGCCCAAATAATTTCAAAATTTGTATAAACTCATTGATTTATTTTAAAATACAAATTTTGTATTACAAGTAATTTTTAATAAAACAAATATAATATGAAGAAAAACCATACTCAACCAACAAACAAGCTAAGTGTTTTCTTTGAAATAGTAAAAATTAATTCATGTAGGATAATTAATGTTTTCTTAATAAAACTGAGGAATCACTTAGCAAATGCAGGATTTTAAAGGCCATTCACAGAGTTGAGACATTTCCTCACCCGACAGCTCTTTTTGGTTGCACCCCGGTTGTTTTTGCAGTTTAGCTCTATTCTCTGAGTCTGTCAGTCAAAGCGAATATGAAAGATGTTCTGGTTTGTTTTACATGTAAAAAGAGAAAAGCCAGGGGACTGACTGGATCCTATTCCATTCATCATTAATCAGATAAGGGATCTGTCTACACAGAACAAGAATTTGGGGTAATCATAGTAAAACTAATCTTTTTTCACAAATTGCAGAAAATTATACTTTCTCTTAGAACAAGGATCCAAAAATTTCTTACTTCAGGGAATTGAACTAAATGAAATAATTTGTTTTCATTAGGGCATCTTTCATCATGAATACTACTCAGATATGAAAGCAGAAATCTTAATACCCTCTTGCACACAAAGGTCCTGAAGCACATGGGAGTTAAACTTTCTAAAAGTCTTTATTAGGTAGACTTCACAAATGAGAATTACAATTAGTGGGATCAGAAAGCAAGAAATAGAAACTATTGGTCTTACAAAATTGAAACATCTTAAATCTCAAGTGAGTAGATTTGATATAGGAGGCTCCTGTCATTGACAGCGTCTTTGCTTAAGTAACTCCAAAATGTTAGTGTCCTGGAACCCATTATCTCTGTGGGCTTCTATAGTAGTAATGGGCTTATAATAAGGGCTTTTGACAGTTAACCTGGGGTAGATCTTGAATGTTTATTGGTGTAAACTAAATGAAAGAGGTACAAATCTAAACAATTTAATATAAAATGTAAGGAAATAAATCTCCCTTTTAAATAGCATTTGTGATTTTTATCTGATTACCTGTTTAATATCAATCTCCATTATTTTAATATCCAATTTTTTTATATCCAAGTTTTCAGCACAGATTCTATAATCTAGAAAGTACAAAAACCATTTTTGAAAAATGGAAAATGAGTACAACTCGATCTTGTCTTGTTGTACTCAATTCTCCCTGAGTTTTATCTTGAGACAATGCCTAAACATTGTGGCATCACATAATAATGATAAAAGCTTTGACTGAGAACCTATGAGTCAGATATTGAGTAGGACTCTCCATTCACTATCTTACTTAGTCTTCCAACAGCCCCATTAGAACATTATTATCATTGCCAAATAAATGAATCAATTTAAGAAGCCAAAGTATGGAGAAGCCAAAAGACTTCTCCAGCTCACACATGACAGTGTAGCGTAGCCCATACTCAAACCTAGACCAGGATTTTATTGAATCTCACTCTTGCTTTCCTAGAGAGCAGCCTTTCTAGCATCAGAAGAAAGCTTATGTTTGATGTGTGAGGACCAATTTTGCTACCAGTCATGCAAGAGTATTCAGAGTGGGCAAACCGGACATTCAGTCTTAGAAATTCATTGACTTCACACACAAATTAATTAAATTATTTCATTATAAAACAGTTTTCATTTGTTTTAAATATTATAAATTCTCATAAATTATGATAGTTTAAAGGAGACTTTGGCATCTGGAACACATAGCCCAAAATTATAAATTCCTATTAAAGGTAGAGATTTGAGTTATCTTATTATAATCTGTACCTGAAGTAGTCTGTGAAATATAAGAGTATTATTATTGTTATTGTTAACATATTGTAATTAAATAATAATGATTACAAAAAGCCATCATAATTATTATTTTATATATGAGAGCATGTATTATACACTAGAGCAGACACAATTACAAATTTCATTTTAGCTAAAGTATACATAAGTGTATTAAAGTATATATAAGTGTATAGCCATTTTCATGAAACAATAGTTTCTGCTTCTAGTTAAGATGTGTTTAAAGAATGACTACGAAATGGGAATTGGAGAGCAAATTTGTTTATTCAGATACTATGTATAGACCCTAGGTTGTAGGGAATGTCAGATTGATTTCCATATCACATGACTAACCAAGTCTAAATAACTAACACACAGCTAAAAAAAACTAAGCCTCCTACTTCAAATCCCCATTATATCCTAAACATCATGCTGCACTTGCAAATGGTGGGCATATTGGCTTGAGTACCATGGTATGGTTAAGGCTTACAAGGAGCTCTGTCTCCACAACATCAGAGAGGTAGCTCTGAGCACCGCAGAGGGTGATGCTGCAGTGGCTGGCCCTTCCTGCGATGTCCTGGCCTGGTCCCAAGACACAGAAGCAGGTCTGAACATCATCAGAACCACTCCTCTTGACGACAATTCAAGGGAAGTAATTTCCCCCTGAGTGGAAATAACAATAACTGCTGTTCTATTTACTCAAGGTTCTGCTGGTGAAATTGCTATCTTGGCCTCTTCCAGGTCAGAAGACTGTTAACTGTCTCTGAATCACGAAATTCTTTTTTAAAACCTCCATTCCATTCTTCAAATGTAGACACATTTTAGTTTTTGCTAAACATTATAAATCCATTTATAGCAATTGTGGTATTGTGGTTTTGAGGAGAGAGACACTCAACCTGGAAGAACAGTTATTCCAAGTGCATGACTGACTTGTTAACAGACTTAGCGTTCTAGTGTCATAAATGTACATGATTTCAGTAAGGTTAAGCCTTTCCTAAATGCTCTTTTAATGGCTTAGCACAGAAAACATTGACCTAAAGAGTCAGAGCTTATGCACTTCCTTCATTATGGGTGTTTAGGGTGACTTTTTAAATGGGGGTAACAATATATTTATATAATATTACTGAGCAAATAAACTCATTTCCTGGGAATGTGTGCATCTCGCAAGTTCCTGCCACTGAGCCCACACAGGGCACAACTCATAATGAATTTATCTACATTAAAGAAAGGATAAAGATCGGGAAAAATTTGTTCTCCGTTTACATACACGCTTAATAGAATCTACGGCTGCCTCTTGAAATACACATTTTAATACCGAAGGAGCATCCCACAAAACATCTACAGGAACATGAAACCTATGTTAGGAAGCAAAATTTGGCTGGACATGCTAAAGTGCCTAAATGTAGGGCTATGTGCAGACAGAAGAAAAACAACAATATATTATTGCTCTCTCAGCCCAAACAGAATATGCTCTACCTTATTTTCATGTTGATTTTGGCATGAACCGCAATATTCCCAAGTCATTTTGAAAGACAGTAATAGGAGAATTTGTGTTGACATTAGACCAGATAAAAAGTAAGGATAAAAAGCAGTAGCCAGAACTAATGTTTACTCTTGGCTATCGAAGCTTTGCTAATCTCAGCTAGCAACAGGCAATTCGCCTCGGAAACACATACTCTCTCTTAGTAAGTGGCAGAAGCTGGACAAATCTAGGGAAAGCAATAGGACACGTGAAGTGTTAACACAACTCCACACCGCGACATTTTAAGGAAGAGTGCAAATAAGTCCTATTGGGCAGTTCCTTCTTCAGCTTCTGGGATACCTGCAGTGTAGAATCTGCCCAGCCTTTGGAACAAGCTTTGGGAAGTAAAACACTTTTAAGGAATGTTTTTCCGGCTGGGCACGGTGGCTCACTCCTGTAATCTCAGCACTTTGGGAGGCCGAGGTGGGTGGATCACCTGAGGTCAGAAGTTCGAGACCAGCCTTGCCAACATGGTGAAAAACTGTCTCTACTAAAAATACAAAAAATTAGCAAGGTGTGGTGGCGGGAGCCTGCAATCCCAGCTACTGGGGAGGCTGAGGCAGGAGAATCGCTTGAACCTGAGAGGCGGAAGTTGCACTGAGTCGAGGTTGCACCATTGCACTCCAGCCTGGGCAACAAGAGTGAAACTCCATCTCGAGAAAAAAAAAAAAAAGAATGTTTTCCAAGGGAATCAACAAATGTGGCTTTAAGAGTAGAATTTTCTCCAAGCTGAGACTATGCTGTCTAAATTAGTTTCTTTGGTTGCTATTCAGAGATCTAAATTCAGGAGCCTAATGACATCTAGATTTTTCTTAGTAATTCAGAAGCCCTAAAGATAATATCAAGAATAAATAGGCATAATCACACATAGCTATGTCTACAACATCCCAGTCTAAATATATCAATGTATTGTACTGACAGTACCTAAAGGAAACTGCCAATTGCCTCCAAAACTCACCCAGACAGACATTGTTTCAAGTGACCTGGCTTTATGAGGATGTGGTCGGCTGAATAGCAGTATAATTGCACTGAGGTAATCATGGCCGATCCAAGAAACATTGCTATTCCCAGTGAAATTTCCATTGTCTGTCAATGTATGTGAAAAATAGAAACAATTATAGCAAGTTTTCTTAAAACTATATTTGTTCAATGTAATAAACAATTTTTAAATTTGAGATTATGCTATTCTATTTCTTGTATTAAAAAATCCTCTTCTTTAAAAAAAGATGGTTTGAAAAAGTTTTTATTGGTTTGCATTTTACATCTTTATTTGGCAAAATAATGATGTCTTATTTGACAATCTTGTGTCAGTTCTATTTTTATCTTTATAGTTTATTGGTTGATAAAATTTAAAAGCTCAGAAACTATTTCAAATGGTAGCTCTAATGACAAAAATTTGGCCTTTCACACTTTCCAAATTAAGCACAGGAAACAGTTTACAGAGCAGAAGAATGAACCTTTGTAAACTAGAGAGTTGCATACATATGTGTAAGAAAGTTTTGAAAAGTAAGCACTGTGCACATTAAAATAGTGAGATGACATTTTCCTTGTAAAAAAAAATTGGTAAAATTAAAAAGGAATAATAACACTGGTGCCAAAGTGGGTGAGAGGAACAGGGAGAGGAATAGGGATTCTCACACACCACAGATGGCAATAAAAACTGGAATGAGCGTACCAAACTTCTGTTTGTTATTGGTTATCAAGACATGTAATTCTGCAGTAGCTCCATAGATGTCTATAGGTAGGAACTGATTTCAAATAATTGTTATGGATATATCCAGTGACTGAGCTACTAAGAAGTTCTACTCAGAACTGTTCATATTATTAAAAAGATCAGAAAATATCCCAGTGTACTGCAACAGAGACCTACTTTAAAAAGTATGGTGTCCCTAAAATGGAATATTACACAGCATTAATATAATACAAAAATGTGTAATAATTTTGAAAAACTCTTACAATGTATTGTTAAATTTAAAAAATCATCATCAAAGCATTGAGTATAGTATGATCTATGAATAGATACGAAGAGAGAGAGGGAGATAGAAAGAGAGAGAGAGAAAGCTGAAAGTATATATTGCAAGATTGACAGCCAGGAGGTTAGACTAAAGCTTTTTTTTTTCCTACTTTTTTGTTGAGGAGTGCTATGGGTTGAATTGTGTCCCCAAAACAGATATGTTGAAGTCATAATCCCAAATATCTCAGAATGTGAGCTTATTTGGAAATAGGGTCATTAAGATGACATCATATTAGTGTAGGGAGGGCCCTTAGTCCAATATGACTGTTGTCCTTATTAAAAAAAAAAAGATGCGAAGACAGAAATATAAAGAAAAAAACCATGTGACAACAGAGGCATAGATTGGAGTGACACAGTTGCAAGCCGAGGGACGTCAAGGAACAATGGTCACCAACAGAAGTTAAGGAGAAGCATGGAAGGGTTTCAGAGGAAGCATGGCTGCTGGCTGCTTGATTTTGGACTCCAGCCTCCAACACTGAGAGAATAAATTGGTGTTGTTTTAAGCCACTCAGTTGGTGGTACTTTGTCACAGATGCCCTAGGAAACTAATGCAATGGCTTGCACATTTAGAAAAAACACAAAGGCACTATTTGATGAATTAGTGAAAAGGAGGGACCCATGTGACTACCACTGGAAGCCTCCCTTGTGACTCCTCCAAGCCCCCACATCTTCTTGCTTTCCCAAAGGTAATGACAATTACGGCTCCTTAGTTGTGTTTGTTAAAAAAACAGAAGAATTTCTTGACTTGAATCATATAGTATACACCTTTGTGTATGGCTTCTTTCACCCAATGTTATGCATCCATTTATTTCTGATGGATATTTAGGGCATTTGCAGTCTAGTGTTATTTTAAATAATTCTGAGTGTGAGTGGCTCTATGCCTTCTGAGGAGCTTAATCGGAAATGGCCAGCAGAGCCTGGCCTGGCCCTGGTAGGAAAACAAAAAAGGAAAGAAGAAGGTGCTGGCAGAGTTTTTGGATGCTTTCACAGAGGAAACCTTGACAACATAGGTGGCTGAGGCTCGGAGCTGCAGGACATCATTCAATCATGGTAACCAGGAGCTGCAAGGGAGGGGCCTCCATGCAGGGGTCTGGCGGCCTCTGAATATGTCCTGGGACTCCAGTCGAGCCCTTGGCAGCGGAGCTTCCAGAAAAGAGGCTTTTGGAGGGCCACCTCCGACCTTCCTACCTCAGCAGCTGCTCCCTTTCATTCCAAAGTCAGTTTGAGTTTAGAAACCGAAGAAGAGGAAGAAATGTAGGCTGGAGAGTTTCGGGAAGTAGAGGACCAGCAAGTTGATAGTTGAATTCTGGAATCAGAGATTGCTGAGTTAGATTCCACCACACTGTTTGTGCGTTGTTGGGCTGTGGATCTGTTTTAAACATCAGTTCCTTCTTAAGTTTAGGTTGGTGCAAAAGTTATTGCAGTTTTTGCCATTAATGACAGAAACCGCAATAACTTTTGCACCAACCTAATAAAATGGGATAGTTAATAGTATTTACCTTGGAAAGATGCTGTGTGGGATTAATAAGCTAATGCTAATAGGCATCAACAGATATTTCCCTAAGTAAGGACCAATAAATCTTAGGATTAAAAAAAAATTATATCAGAAACTTTCTTGTGCATATCTTTGGGTGCACATATGGATGCATTTCTATTGGTTATTCAATTGGGAATTGAATTAAACAGAATTCTCTGTTCTTATCCATTGTTTTATTTATCCCTGCACCAACACAACATATGCTAAATACTGTAGTTTAAATATTAGTCTGTGTATCTTGTAGAACAACGCTCTGTTTCTCAACAGTGACTCAGCAGTTTTTTGCCATTTCCATTTATATGCATTTTAGAGTCCCCTTGTCAAATTCTATTTTTAAAAAAGTCTTTTGTGCTTTTGGTTGGGATTGCATTAAATCTCCATATTCCTTGGAGAGAATTGACATTTTAATAATATTGAAAACTGCAATTAATTAATGTGTTAGATTATATTTTTAAAATTTTTGCTTACCTATTTTTTAAAATAGCAATTACTATCAAAGATTCAAAGCAACTGGAACTCTCACACATTGCTGTGAGGAATGCAAAGTGATAAAACTACACTGGAAGAGAGTGTAGCAGAGTAAGCAATTTGACAGTAATAAGAAAAATATTAAATAGTAATAGTTATTAGAAAATGGTATCATCAGCAACACATATTAGTATATAGTTTTAGTAATCTTTATTGGCATTAATAGCATTTATTATTTGATATAAGAAAAGCAAACATTTAGAAATGGGGTGATAGTTGCACTAGCTCGTTCTTTGGTAAGGGTTAGTTTTATGAAGCACGTTACCTACAACTTCAAGCTATATAAAGCCCATTGAAAGCAGTCTAAAAAATAAGGACAGTTATTGCCTCACATAACAACAATTTCAAAGTAGCATGGTTCTAGTGCTCACTAATTTAGTGTTTACCTCAGTGAAAACCACTGAGGCTATCTATTCACCATTTCAGCTCTACAGTGAAAGACCTGGGCAGGGCTATGGGACTAGCCTTCCATGGGTACATACAGTGAAGATGTCACCTTCAAATCTATGGGCTAAAGTTGGTATGTTATCATTGATTATTTTGTCAATGACTATTAAGTTCATTAATTTGTTATTTGATTATAAAATTTTTATAGTTGGGGCAAAAGGCTAATTTCCTATACCATATTTCAAACATGTTGTATATTAGAGGGGTATATTAGTCTATATTAGTTCATTCTTTCATTGCTATAAAGAATGACCTGAGACTGGGTAATTTGTAAAGAAAAGAGATTTAATTGGCTCATGGTTCTGCAGGCTGTCCAGGAAGCATGGCTGGGGAGGCCTCAGGAAACTTACAATTATGGCGGAAGGTGAAGAGGAAGAAGGTACATCTTACATGGCCAGAGCAGTAGGAAGAGAGAGAGTAGGGAGGTGCCATAGACTTTTGAACAACCAGATCTCATGAGAACTCACTTACTATCAGGAGAACATCAAGGGGGACATCCATCCCCAGGATCCAGTTGCCTCCCACCAGGCCCCACCACCAACATTGGAGATTACAATTCGACATGAGATTCGGGTGAGGACACAGATCCAAACCATATCAAGTGGGGAGAAACACTCTAAATATTAATAACTTGAATTCATGCCCAATTAAATGAAAATTTCAAGTTTAATTTCTGGATGTAGTGTTGAGCAAATTTTCCTCCAACCTGAGTGGCTTGTCACAAAACTGGAGTCCAAAGACTAGGCTTAAAATAATATTTAACACCTTAATAAATGGCACTGATTCATGCTGTAGTCACAGAGGGATAATCTTATTTCAAGTTAGAAGTCTTCCTTGAAATAAGTAGTCTATTCACTATGAGAAAAATCCCAAGATGACAGAAAGAGTTTCATTAATATATTTTTGGTGAAAGCTATTAGAGATATATCTAGAAAGTTTTTGCACTAGCATTTAACATTTCTGTGTGAAAATTAAAAATAAAATATTTTCTTATAAAGATTTTTGTGCTAGAATTGTGTTTTTAAAAGTTCCCCCTGAGCTCACAAATGTTAAATACCTGTTACCGACACCAATATTATAAACCCACACAAACAACCTCGCAGACACACTAAGTAGAAAACGGATAAAGGCGTGTATAACTCTCCATCTCTGTTTCTCTCTCTCTCCCTGCCTGTCTCTTTCTCTCTCACACACATATACACATACACACACACATGCATTTTCCTTATTTGTCATACTTCCTCAGAGATGTACTGTCACATTTCCCAGGAATTAGCAGAGAGTTTTACCTCTGATATGGTTTGGCTGCGTCCTCACCCAAATCTCATCTTGAATTGTAGCTCCCATAATCTCCACGTGTTGTGGGAGGGATCCGATGGGAGGTAATTGAATCATGGGGGTGGGTTTTCCTGTGTTGTTCTGGTGATAGTGAATAAGTCTCATGAGATCTGATGGTTTTATAAAGGGCAGTTCCCCTGCACACACTCGCTTGCTTGCTGCCATGGAAGACGTGCCTTTGCACCTCCTTCACTTTCTGCCATGATTGTGAGGCCTCCCCAGCTATGTGGAACTGTGAGTCCATTAAACCTCTTTTTCTTGATAAATTACCCAGTCTCGGGTATTTCTTCATAGCAGTATGAAAATGGACTAATACAACCTCCAACTTTCTTCAATGTAGCCCAATGGATGCTACATTCCCCTGACTCCCTCTCTTGCTTTCCTTAATTCTACTTTTTCCTCTCCTTTTGGACATTTCATGGAACTCCCATCTCACTAAGAACATTTTCCCTCTACTTTGTTATTCTTGGGTCTTAGGCTTTAGGATCTCCCACATTCCCCACTTAGGAAGACAAGGAGATATGCAAAGTCTGACAGAAGTCATAGGACTTCAGACCCAGAGGACAAGAAAGAATTTCCCATGCCTTTCACTGCTTCTTTAGGTGCTTTCCTTTCTCCCAGGAATAGGAAGGGAATTCTATCCACCCTGATGGATATTGTTGGTCCATCATCTATCTGGTCATGATGCTGGATGTGGCTGTGTCACTCACTCTGGTCCTACACTAGGTCATAGATGAAGACATGTTCAGTTAACTCCAGGTTATGACTGTGCATCAGTTAACATTCTTTCTGCAGCTCAGAAGTGATCCATCCACTCTCAGTCAAGTCAGCTTCACCTTCTTCTATATATAATTTCAATCAAATGTCACAAGGCAACAAGAATCAGCATTAAACCCATGAAAAGCAAGATTGATCATTGCTCATGGTTGGAGAAGAAGACACTAAATGCTCTAAACACTAAGCTGAACACTCCACATCTACCATTATACCTAAGGAGCCAATACTATTATTGATTGTCCATATTTTAAAGATGATGAAGAATAAAACTATAGAAGGTGTTTGCTTAAGCTTATGAAGCTGTTTAAGTAGTTTAGAATTCAAATGCTCTTCTGCTTGCAGGATCTGCCTCCAACATTTTTTAGGGATCAGGGCAAAATTATAGGTGGAGACTCATATTCCATAGGTCTGAATACTTAGCAAATCAAACAAAAAAATTTTGAGCAAAATATCTCATATACTCTATGTTAGTCTGTTTTTGCATTGCTGTAAAGAAATACCTGAGACTGGGTAATTTATAAGGAAAGGGTTGTTTTGGTTCATGATTCCGCAGGCTGTACACAAAGCATAGTGCCAGCATCTGCTTCTGGTGAGGCCTCAGGAGGGTTGCAATCGTGGCAGAAGGCTAAGGGGAGCCAGCATGTCACATAGCAAGAGTGGGAGCAAGAGAGAGAGAAGGGGGCGTTCCCAGACTCTTTTAAGCAACCAGATTTCACATGAACTAACTGAGGTGAGAACTCACTTACATCCAAGGAGATGGTGCTAAACCATTCATGAGGGATCTACTCCCATGATTCAATGCCTCCAACCAAACCCCACCTCCAACATTGGGAATCACATTTCAACATGAGATTTGGAGGGGACAAACATCCAAACCATATCATACTCTTACCTTGACAAATATTGCTTCATAAAAACCTGGCCTTCTTAATTGGAAACTGACCTAAATTGGAAGGCCATCTTCCAATTTAGATCTCTTGGACTCCTGGATATTCTCAGGAACGAAGCCCACCTCTCGTCTTCTCAGTCCTGCCTCTGTCTTGCATCACAAGTGGCCACATGCACACAGATGGAAGTGCTTCTCAATCTCTAATTGCATTTGAGTCACAAAGGCCTGAGGCCCTGAGCAGGGGCCAGTGTTACTGAGGTCAGAGGGAGGTGATCTCTGTCAGATTCTAAAGCCTATGTTTGCAGCAAGCATCATTGCTCTCTTACTGCCCCAGAAGGTTCAGAAGAAAAATAATACAGAGAATATAAACTTGTCAGGGCTTTATGAACCTGGTCAAGAAAATTAGTACATGTAGAAAAGTTTCCTGGAAAGAAGCTCAAACAATGAGGTCAGTTTTTAAGAGATTTTGTTTCTTTCTCCAAAACTATCCAAGCCCTGCTGTCTCTGTAGAATACATTATTTTATCGCCTTATGTAAATCATTATTTGTTGGCTTAAATGACATGGAGCGAGTGGAAATACTAAAAATACTTTGTAACTTAGCTCTAAGGAATTGCGGATAAAATACTGGCTTCTCAGCTTGGGTTCTGGCTCTAGCCCTATTGTCAACAAGCCACCGTGGGTAAGTCACTTAACCTCACTATGCCTGATTTTACTCATCTAGAAAACCACAGTAATAGTACAGGCCCTGCAGGCCCGGAAAAAAAAAATGAGGTATGGATCAAATATAAAAATATATCAGAAAGATGTATTTTGAAAATCATACAATGGATTTATCTAGGAATCTGTGTATATGTAAGGTGATAAAACTTACCACTAATTTAAAGGAAAATATTCTTTTAATCTCAAGGGAATTAAATACTGCAAATCTTACGTGATGTTTTCGGCCATTATTTACAAAAACGTTTCGCTATTGGGAACAAGAAAACAAAGAGAAATACTTTTAGAAAACTACTTTTCTCAGGGGAACTTCCATAATGTGAGTTTCTGCCTTGCCTAATTTTACACTAAAGCTAAAAGAAGAAACGGTAAAGTTATGTAAGAAGCAAGTTTACAATTGAATTATATGCAACCTCTGTTAAATATAATTTTAAATAATTTAAAACAAAATTTCCACCATTCAGTAGTTAAGCGCCATGTCTGTATGAGAGCACTGAAAATAACTTGCTTATTATGTATATGTCCAGAGATATAATCTTAAAATTGCCATACATAATAGCATATAGTGTGGTTTTAATTATACAGTTTCCTAGTAGAAAGGCAGGATAAAATATTGCCCCTTTTTACAAAGTTAATTATTAATCAGATAGTGTCTTATCTCTGCTTAATAATTTTATTTTTTAAAGATTACCTTTTACTGCTCCCTTGAAATTGAAGTTTCCAAAAAAGAAAATTAAACCATCTAGCGACCTTCTGAATATTACTCCAAATATTCACCTCCTCTGTCAGTTTCTCATGTACATTCACACATCTTTTTCAGTATCACCTGACATTTATTTTATCCATTAAGATCTTATTAATCAGGTCTCACTGGGCAATGTATCCCAGGTAAATGAATTTTATTTAAATCTAAAACTCATTTTCTTAACATTTTTTAATGATTTTGTATGAAAATATTTATTCCTTATTCATTGAGTCATGAGTATATGATAGACTCTTTTTAAATATTATGTCTAACTATTCAAAACCTTGACTCTTTGGTTTTGCTATCCCATTTTTACTGGGGCTGTAGAATCTTGTCCAAAGACATCCACACAGGACAGCACCATCAAAGACTGCAGTGCTAGCCACATGTGGCTATTGGGTACTGGAAATGTGGCTAGTGCAACCCAAGAACTGAATTTTTGATATTATTTAAGTTTACTTGCCTTAAATTTTATTTAAAAACTAATGCTTGCATCAGTTATTAGAAAATTTTAAGCGTGTTTGGATGAATTTGGGCACATAGTTACATTTTCAACAGTAAATTTTATATAGTCTAAGAACAGATCAAACATTTCAGGTGATAATTTAGTACCAAAATTGAGATACTTTTGTTGTAAGTGTAAACATACATTAGATTCAAAGATTCAATACCAAAATATTGTAAAACACTTCATAAATATTTTAAAATATTGATTATATATTCATATAAAATTTGGCATATATTAAATTAAAGAAAATATATTATTCAAAGTAATTTCACTTACTTCATTTTACTTAATGTGTCTATTATAAATTACGTATATGGCCAGGCATGGTGGCTCACACCTGTAATCCTGGCACTTTGGGAGGCCGATGTGGGAAGATCACTTAGGCCGGGAGTCCAAGACTAGCCTAGGCAATATGGTGAAACCCTGTCTCTACTAAAAATACAAAAATTAGCCCAGCATGGTGGCAGGTGCCTATAATCCCAGCTGCTTGGGAGGCTGACACGTGAGAATTGCTTGAACCCTGGAGCTGGAGGTTGCAGTGAGCTGAGATTGTGCCACTGCAGTCCAGGCTGGGTGACAGAAAGAGACCCAGTTGAAAGAAAGAAAAAGAAAGAAAGAGAAGGAAGGAAGGAAGAAAGAAAGAAAGGAAGGAAGGAAGGAAGGAAGGAAGGAAGGAAGGAAGGAAGGAAGGAAGGAAGGGGAGAGAGAAAGAAAGAGAAAGAAAGAAAGAAAAAGAAAAGAAAAAGAAGGAAAGAAAGAAAAGGAAGAAAGGGAAGGCAGGGAAGGCAGAGAAGGCGGGGAAGGCAGGGAAAAGAAAAATAAATTATTTATTGGAGGGCACTGATATAAAATATAGCTGACTTTAAAGTAAAATCTAGTCTGTCTCTCTCCCAAGTTGGCTATTTCCATCAATAGGTGACTGATTCTCAGGGTATGAATCATTAGCATTGACCGTTTCTCTCGTGGTTAAACAGAAATATTAAATATGGTCAAATTTTAGAATAAACCAGGAACATCATTATAACATAAATTGTATTCTGTGCTACTTTCAATACCACTAGGGTATTTTTAACTTGTATTAAGGAGCTCCAAACTGTTTTGGGTTTGTGGTTCTTAAATCCAATTATAAAATTAAATTTGTTTCTAATTTTTTCCCCTTGTTCTCAGACTATGAATTGCCTCCCCTCCCCTAGCCACACTACAGTCATACATTCCCTAACACCTCCTACTTCCCTGCTTTCGTTATGTGACTGTGGGACTTACTTTCTGTGGACCAGGAAGTCAACTAAAGTCTGCACTATTATCCAACCATTTGTCTGATAGATTCTCGGAGAAGAGCAGAAAGACATAGCATAATGGCCTTTCGATAAATATTTCAGCTGCTTAGAGAGCTTTTATTCTCTTTTTTTTTTTCTCTCAACATTCACTTTTGGCATGGTTCTAGATACTCCATTTGGCAAAGTAAGAGAATTTAGGGGTTATCATTTCTGTTTTTCATATTTTGGCTCAGAAGTAAGTACACATTAATTAATTCTACAGCTGCTACTATCTACTAAAAATGGCAAAAGGCATCACACAACAAAAATTCTGACATATAGTTTATTAAATTAAGAATGAAAATATTCCATCTGCCAAATCTTTTATTTCTGAATGGAAGTCCAGTAGAGAACATTCAGAAAAACATCGTGAAGGGCTCATCGTTGTAGATGACTTCAAGACAACAGCCAAGATGGTGGACTCTGTTGTTCATACATTTCTATTTTATAATAGGACTCCTGTTGACTTTATAAAACTAATTTTCATTAGATTACAGAGTGTCTTCTGAGGTCTGCTTAGAAGGTTTAAGTAGGTATTTTCCCGGTGGTATCAGTAATCAAAGTTAACGTACCATTTTTAGTCTAATTACTTCTTTTGTGCTTTAATATTTTGTTTTGCATTGTTTGGAGTCTTTTTTGTTTGTTTTCGTGTAAGAATATCTATGAATCATGACGATCGACAAAAATTTAGAATTTCAATAGATAAATTTAATTATAGAGTTTTGAGTTTTAGAAACCTTAGAGTGGATTACAAAGAAACAAAATAAAAGTCCTATTAACATTTTGACCTTTATCAAAAGTCTAACTCCATTCTACCACAAGCTCACAGTCCAACGTGTGCATCATTAAGAGGACAAGCAGAATTTCTGAGACCATAAGCATTTTTTATGGTTTATTACATTTAAAAATAGCCTTTCACATTCTACCATATTTAGTGGGGATGTTCAACTAAAATCAGCTGAAGAAAAATTTAAGTCCTTTTTCAAACAGAAAACTGAGAACTGAAATGGTAACACAGAATACCGAGAATTGACATTGCCCAGTTATTTGTGCAATCTAATCACTACTGCCCTAATAACAACTCTAACCCTGTTTCTTTCAAATGTACCTGTTGAAAATCAGTAACAATTTGGCTCTTATTCCTTTTGTTCCCCTATCCCCAGTGTCTTTTGAGTATAAATTTGAGTTTTTAATGTTACCAGTGAGCTCTACTTGGAAGAAATGTGAAATTTATTTGAAAGCTGTATATTTAGAGTGGTTCACGATGTTTTAGGGGTATAGTCAAGACAATCCTAAACAAAAAGAACAAAGCTGGAGGCATCATGCTACCTGACTTCAAACTATACTACAAGGCTACAGTAACTAAAACAGCATGGTGCTGGTACCAAAACAGATATATACACCAATGGAACAGAACAGAGGCCTCAGAAATAACACCACACATCTACAATCATCTGATCTTCGACAAACCTAACAAAAACAAGCAATGGGGAAAGGATTCCCTACTTAATAAATGGTGGTGGGAAAACTGGCTAGCCATATGCAGAAATCATATACTGGACCTGTTCCATACACTTATACAAAAATTAACTCAAGATTCATTTGAGACTTAAACATAAAACCTAAAGCCACAAAAACCCTAGAAGAAAACCTAGGCAATACCATTCAGGACATAGGCATGGGCAAAGACTTCATGACTAAAACACCAAAAGCAATTGCAACAAAAGCCAAAATTGACAAATGGGATCTAATTAAACTAGAGAGCTTCTGCAGAGCAAAAGAAACTATCATCAGCATGAACAGGCAACATAGAGAATGGGAGAAAATTTTTGCAATCTATCCATCTGACAAAGGTCTAATATCCGGACTCTACAGGGAACTTAAACAAATTTACAAGAAAACAAACAACCCCATCAAAAAGTGGGTGAAGGACATGAACAGACATTTCTTAAAAGAAGACATTTATGTGGCCAATAAACATGAAAAAAAGCTCTTCATCACTGGTCATTAGAGAAATGCAAATCAAAACTGCAATGAGGTACCATCTCATGCCAGTTAGAATGGCAGTCATTAAAAAGTTAGGAAACAACAGATGCTGGCAAGGATGTGGAGAAATAGGAACACTTTTACACTGTTGGTGGGAATGTATATTATTAGTTCAACCATTGTAGAAGACAGAGTAGCAATTCATCAAGGATCTAGAACCAGAAATTCCATTTGACCTAGCAATCCCATTGCTGGTATATACCCAAAGGATTATAAATCATTCTACTATCAAGACACATGCACATGTATGTTTATTGCAGTACTGTTTACAATCGCAAAGACTTGGAACCAACCCAAATGCCCATCAATGATAGACTGGATAAAGAAAATGTGGCACATATATACCATGGAATACTATGCAGCCATAAAAAAGAATGAGATCATGTCCTTTGCAGGGACATGGATGAAGCTGAAAACCATCATCCTCAGCAAACTAACAGAGGAACCGAAAACCAAACACCACATGTTCTCACTCATAAGTGGGAGTTGAACAATGAGAACACATGGACACAGGGAGGGGAACATCACACAACGGGTCCTGTCAGAGGGTGGTGGGGAAGGGGATGGAGAGCATTAGGACAAATACCTCATGCATGTGGGGCTTAAAACCTAGATGGTAAGTTGGTAGGTATAGCAGACCACCATGGCACATGTATAACTAGGTAACAAACCTGCACATTCTGCACGTGTCCCAGAACTTAAAGTAAAATTAAAAAAAGAAAAGAAAATGTGAATAAAGCTATGCACCCCTCTCTCTTCTGAAAAAATGCTCTTAAATGCAAAAATAATGCATACCATTTCAATAAATTGGTGGATTTATTGAAAGGGACTTCCCGATGGTAAGATCTCAGGTCAAAAACTCGTGAGTTGTATAATTCTTATGAACATACATTGCTAGTACTCTACAATTTTTGCCTATTGTTGAGTATATGAATATGGAACTTGACTATCAGTGGATGTATAGAAACATAACTTCCTTTATACTATTTTTCCCCACTATTGAATATTTTTGATTTGTCTCTCTGTCTTACTTATTTTAAATGCCTCAATCATGTTTGTGTTTTTTACCTTATAAATAATATTTATTTTAAAGGGATTTTAAAAAATATGTTATCATAAATAGAAGGCAGTAAATCCCTATATAAATTTAATGATGATTCATTTTAATTATTAATCAGGAAGTAGAAGAAAAGGGAAAACAGGGATAAGACCTAGACATTCACAACCTATAACAAAATATAAATAAAGTGTATCAATCAATAAGTAGAGATTTAACAAATAATGTCTTTGTAGACTACTCCTCCTCTTTTCATCTTCGAGATATTAGAGTGCCCCGGAATTCATTTCTCCTTCACCCATCTATATTTAGATTCTAAGTAATTTTATCCAAGTTAAATTTTAAATGCCATCTGTACATTGGCATCTCATAAATTATTATCTGCAGTCCCCAGCTCTCTTCTGAAGTTCATACTGACTTACATAAATATCTACTAGAATTCACTTAAAGGTCTAACAGACATTTCCTGTCTGAAATCCAAATTCTATTTTCTCTTTCAAAACCCACTCCGTCCATGGTTTTCCCCATCTCATTAATAAGAGCATTTTCAGTTGCTCAGGTCAAGAGCCTTGGTGTCTCACTACAATTCACCAGAAGAAAGCTGTAGTCTTTACCTACAAAATGTACATAGACTCTGACCAGTTGTCCCTCCCACAGCCCTGGCAACCTGGTTTAAACTACCATTATGTCATCTGGATAACGGTGATGCAAAACTTCTCACCTAGATTATGATGATGCAAACTTCTCAGCTGGCCTGCCTGCCTGCTTTACCCTTCCCACTCATTCTCCACATAGTGGCCAGAGTAATGTATTTAAATGGTAAAAACGTTGTTTTGTAGCTCAAAAATTTTTCATTGGCTTAATGTTAAATGAAAAGGCATAATGGTTTATAGGAGAGCCTGCATGATATGACCTACTGATAATTATCTGATTTGTCTTCTGCTACTTCCACTACAATGCCTTCCTGCCCACTCTGTCCAACTGGCCTCCTTCGTGTTCCCTGAAAACACCGAGGTGACTCTGCTGTGAGGCCCCTTCTCCTAATGCTGGTTCTACCTAAATGGCTCTTTCCCCAGATACATGACTTATTCCCACTTTTCTTCAGGTTCTGTATAAAATATAACCTTATCAGCAAATCCTTTCTTCATAACCCTATATAAAATAATAGCTTTCCACTCACCCTGCACTCTACTTTCTCTATCTTGCTTTATTTTTAAATCACTGTCTCAAATATACTATTTATCTATATATACAAACACATATGTACACACACACACACATATATATAAACTGAGTGTCCCCTGGAAATACAAATGGAAAGAAAGAAGAGATTTCTGGTTGAATTTGTTTTGCTATTTTATTTGCAATGCTTAGGACAGTACCTAATTCCTGGTGCATTCTCAATAAGTAGTTGTTTAATGATGTGGTGACTGAGTTTGGTGTGGAGAACATAGTTTAGGGGAGTGAAAGCACAAGGAAAGTGCTAGAAAGCTATTGTTGTGATGCAGGTGATCGATGATGGCAGCTTAGACTGGTATGGCAGCAAGGAAGATGGGTTAACTAGCCAAGTTTAAGATGTCTATTTAAGTACAGCCAATAATATTTGCTGGTATATTAAATTTAGAAGTAGAAAGAAGAGAAGCAGTATCAGGTAATGATCAGATCTATGACTAGAGGGAGTGTGTCATAAATGAAGATGGGCATAGTAGAGGAAAATGAGGTTGTCAGGAGTTGGGGGAATCACATGTCCTGTCTTGGATATTTTAGATAACTATTAAACATCAATGTGAAAACGTCAGGTATGCAGTTTGATATCTGTCTGAGCTTAAGGGAGGGCTAAGGGATTGAAGATAACATCAGGTATAATCCACCTAAGTGGATTTCCAAGCTGTGGGACTAGATGGGCTTTTCCAAGGAATGAGTGTGTTTAGAGAAAGAGACCAAAGAACAGGCCTCGGGACAGTCCAACACTTACTGATACGGCAGTGTAGTCGGAAGCAGCAAAAGAGACAAAGAAAGAATGACCAGTGAGGCAGGAGGCAATTTCACAAAAGCTAAAAGAAAAAAAAAATTCTCAAGAAAAAAATGTAAAACTATGTTAAAAAGATTGATAGACCTGGCTGGGCATGGTGGCTTATGCCTGTAAACCCAGAACTCTGGGAGGCTGAGGCAGGTGGATCACCTGAGCTCAGGAGTTTGAGACCAGCCTGGACAACGTGGCAAAACTCTGTCTCCACCAAAACAAAACAAAACAAAACAAAACAAAATAGTCACATGTGGTGATGCACACCTATGGTCCCAACTACTCAGGAGGCTGAGGCAGGAGGATCATTTGGGCTCAGGAGGCAGACGTTGCAGTGAGCTGAGATTGTGCCACTGCAGGCCAGCCTGGGCAACAGAGTGAGACCCAGTCTCAAAAAAAAAAAAAAAAAAATAGAATGATAGAATTAATTCATCTATCTTCATAAAGTTCATGATAGATTTAACTTGACCAGTGGATTTGGTAGTGGGGACATTAGATTAACAATTATCTGATAACTTCTATTTTCCAGGAGAATATGAAGTGAGATCATCAGCTAAGAGTTGAGGTTCCACAGATGCTACTGGGGGAGATGAAGAAGATATTTCTCTTATTGCAAGAAATGAGAAAAATTTACTAGCAAAATATGATATGTGATACCCCTTCCAATTCTAGAATTCAATACACTTATCTCATTTTTCAAAGAATTCCACAAACACTAAATCATATAAAAGATTAAACAAAGGGAGATAACAGTTGCAGACAACTAGGAAACACTTTACGATAGAGTGAAGATTTGTCAGTTAATAAATATGTGACCTTGGATAATTCATTTTATCTCTCTAAGCCTCAGTTTGGATATTGGATATCTCAGTGAGGATTGTAAAGATTAGTGAAATATAGCAAAGGTAAAGTTTCAATGCACGTAACCAACATATGTTGAAGAACTTCTGAGTAAATCATTGTCAATACATAAAATGAAATATTCGTGTATAGGAGACGGAAGACTCAGAATGTGCTTGTTTTTCAAAAATCTGGGAAGCAATTTAATTTAATTTATTTTAATTTATTTATTTATTTGAGATAGAGTCTCACTCTGTCGCAACTTCCGCCTTCTGGATTCAAGCGATTCTCGTGCCTCAGCCTCCTAAATTAGCTGGGATTACAGGCATGTGCTACCACACTTGGCTAATTTTTGTATTTTAGTAGAGATGGGGTTTCACCACATTGGCCAGTCTGGTTTGAACTCCTGTCCTCAAGTGATCTGCTCGCCTTGGCCTCCCAAAGTGCTGGGATTACAAGTGTGAGCCACCGTGCCTGGCCTGGAAAGCAATTTTAAAACATGCAGTTCAGCAGTTTAAAGTCTTTAATGAGTAAGAACAGCAAGAAAAGGCATATCATTATCAACCTAATGCATTTTTATTAAGCTTCTACAATGTGTTAAGCTCTTTGTAAACACAAAGTTAGAAGAAATGAATACACTACAAGCAAACAATTATATATCTAAAGAAATGCTGTGAGAGCTACAGCATTGTTTAAAAATGCTTTTGTTGCAGCAAAAACAGACATTGCACATGTTTTGATATAAATATGATCTCCAACATTTTGACTTAAAAAGAAAAAGTTCTATGAACAAATTATTTTGTTTTCATGACATGAACAAATTCATCAGAGTGATTCTTTAATGGATCGACCAGTTGGTTGGCAATGTGAAAACAGAGCCTTGCCCAGACCATAAAATAAATTGCCAAATCAATCAACTCAGCAAAAACAAAATGAAACAAACTAGTAAAAATTTCCAAATAGATGGGTGGAACTCCCCACTTTTCATTCTGTTGCTTTGGAACCACAGGCATATGCTGTATGTATCTTTTTGATATTTTAAACTATGTCTTACTTCCATTTAATTAGGGATGCTTTATAGAAGACAGGTTTTATTTTTGATGAAAATTTCTCTGATGCGTTAAACAGAGAAAATAAGTTGCAGAAGCTACAAGGATGACTGAAAAGATATAAAAACAGAAAAAAAGTTGAAAGAAATCATCATCTTTTTCTCTAAAATTTACTTGGTTGGGGTTCAGTGGGTGCAGAGGAAAGAGGCCAAAATAATAAAAGTAAATTGAATAGGAAAAGAATTCTGGAGATGAGATTCTGGGGCTTACTGTATAGGATTGACAGGGATCACAGCAAAGTTCTGAGGCGAGAGAATTAGTAAGATTTTTTTGATAATGATTCAATCTACTAAACAGCAGTAGCTAAAATAAGCCCAGTTTTTATACTTAGAAGTTGTTTTATTATTTTTTCCTAGTTTATTACCTAAAAAGTGCTACTTCTAAAGTTACAACTATTATTGACAACACTGTTGATAGCTTTACAAAGAAAAATAAGTTTGGTTAAAATGGATTTATTGTAGTTTAAGATCCAATTATTTAGATGGAAAAATTAAAGTAGAGACTAGGGAAGAGAGTGTAAGGAAAACGGACCTGAACTGACAATCAGTAATTCTAGAAAAACTCATGAGAAGAGACTGAACAGGAGAGATTAAAGGAAATTAGATCTGCCTGTGAAAATGTCTTTCCCTTTTAGCTAATAAAAATAGCCTTTAAAATGATTTTATTTAAAACTTGAGCTTCCCCAGTTGAGCAGCTTGCCTTTACATCATCTTACATTCATTAACTTTATAAAATCTGGGGAAAGGCATGCCCCGGAAACAGTTAGTTTAACTCCACTAAACAGAAGGTAACTGAGCTAATGAAACCTTGTCACTGAGAACAGATTCTGAACTAAGGTTGTTTGCTGTGGTTGTTTTGTTTTTCTCTAATAAAATAACTTTTATGAAAAAATAATAAAAAGTATAATTTAAAAATATATCTTAAATATACAGACTTGACATGTTGATTAAGGGAACTGAAAATTTGTCTCCCTGTTAAAACTAACAGTAAGTGGTGATTTCACAATCTCAGCAAATTAGGATCTTTCTCTAACCAACTGAATGAATTTACCCAAAAAGATTGCAAATGCAAGTCAATTTCGTTTTCTTTTCTGCCTCAGACAAGTTTCCACTCATCCTTCTATAGTTACAAAGCACTGCTGGTTTTATACTAGATGCCAGTTACTGACAATATTTGAGATTTACAAGAAATGGTCTGGGAACTGTGTCATCATATGGAATCCCCTTTCAAAACTATATTTGTGAAAACAAGCTGTGATTCCTTAATCAGAAGATCCCTTAATTTAAAACAAAGTAAGACCCTGGCCTTCCACATCTGCTCAATCTTATTCACCAATACATGTCTTAGAGCTAAACTACTGAGCACCAGACTTATTGACAACACAGCTCGAGGATAGGTGTTCTTGAAAAGGATCAACCGTGATCCATTCCATGATCCAATGTGGGATCAATGTGACTGGCATCTAACTGGCAGGGCTTAAAGGTAGACTTTGTGATATGAAAAAAGCACATAAATTATAAAGCACAAATGATGCTTATTGGACAATAGTTACTTCTCCTGGAAGAAAGTATAAAAGCAGAAACCATAACTTGGGTTTCCATAATTGGTTCTATTCTTTGTTACTTCCAAAACATTTTTGCAACCTGCTATCATATTAGGGTACTCACAGAAAAGCTTTCATGTTACTTTCTTTTCCCCCAAAACATACAATGGCTTCCTCCTGCTTTCCATGTTGATTAAATTCTACTGCTCGATCACTAATTTGGATAGTAAGCTCCAACACCTGAGATCGCAAATTCAAACTCTTACTTCCTGACCACACCACTATCCCATCTACCTCTCTCATTTAGTAAATCTCACAACTACTGTTCTTCCATGGTTTTTTAACTTTGAAGTTTAGGGGTACATGTGCAGATTTGTTACATAGGTAAACTTGTGTCATGGGGGTTTGTTGTACAGATTATTTCATTGCCCAGGTATTAAGACTAATACCTATTAGTTATATTTCCTTATCGTCTCCCTCATCCCACCCTTCACACTTTGATAGGCCCCAGTGTCTCTTGTTGGCCTCTATGTGTCCATGTGTTCTCATCTTTTAGCTCCCACTTATAAGTGAGAACATGTGGTATTTGGTTTTCTGTTCCTGCACTAGTTTGCTAAAGAAGATGGCCTTCAGCTCCATCTGTGTTCCTGCAAAGGACATGATCTTGTTCGTTTTTATGGCTGCATAGTATTCCATGTTGTATATGTACCACATTTCTTTTATCCAGTCTACCATTGATGGGCATTTAGGTTGATTTCATTTATTTGCTATTGTGAATAGTGCTGCAGTGAACATATGCGTGCATGTATCTTTATGATAGAGTAATTTATATTACATTGGGTATATACCCAGTAATGGGATTGCTGGGTTGAATGGTAATTCTGTTTTCAGGTCTTTGAGAAATCACCTCACTGTTTTCCATGATAGCTGAACTAATTCACACTTCTACCAACAGTGTATAAACATTCCTTTTTCCCTACAACCTTGACAGTACCTGTTATTTTTTGACTTTTTAGCAATAGCCATTCTGACAGGTGTGAGATAATATCTCACTGTCGTTTTGATTTGCATTTCTCTAATGGACAGTGATGTTGAGCTTTTCTTCATATACTTCTTGGCCACATGTATGTGGCCACATGTATGTATGAAAAGTGTCTGTTCATGTCCTTTGCCCAATTTTTGGTAGGGTCATTTTTTCTTATAAATTTGTTTAAGTTTGTTATAGATGTTAGATATTAGACCTTTCTCAGATGCATAGTTTGCAAAAATTTTCTCCTATTTTGTAGGTTGTCTGTTTACTCTGTTGATGGCTTCTTTTGCTGTGCAGAAGCTCTTTAGTTTATGTATATTCCATTTATCAATTTTTGTTTTGTTGCAATTGGTTTTTGGCATCTTTGTCATGACATTTTTGCCTGTTCCCATGTCTAGAATGATATTGCTTAGGTTGTTTTCCAGGGTTTTTACAGTTTCAGGTTTTACATTTCAATCTTTAATCCATCTCAACTTAATTTTTGTATACGGAGTAAGGTAGGGGTCCAGTTTCAGTCTTCTGCATTTGGCTAGCCAGTTGTCCCAGCACCACTTACTGAATAGAGAGTCCTTTCTCCATTGCTTTTTTTGTCAGCTTTGTTCTTCCACATATTTAAAAAATCTAGATGCTTTATTGTTTCCCTATACATGAATCCTCTTCTGGGATTCCCTTAACTTCTATGAATTATCAATTCAAGCACTTTCTTGACTAGTTCCTTAATATTTTTGTTCTATTTGTCTTTTGTGGGATCACCTGAAAAACCCATATCTGGACCTATACATATATCTGTGTTCCCTACCTTTACAACTGATGTGGATGGCCCTATGGGTTGGGCTTATTCAATGCCTATTTCTAAGTCTTTTTTCCCTTTTCTACCTCTGATATCAAAACTGAAGTTTTTAAATGTTCACTTCCCTAGATTCTCTCACATCTATGAGTTTCACATGACACAACTCTGGCCAGTTAAATATAATAGGAAATTTCTGTGAAAGCTTTTGCTTTTTGTTTGTTAGTTTGTTTGGGTTTGTTGTTGTTTTCACTTTCTGAGGTCTGGCAGAAAGCTTTTGCTTTTTTTGATTTAAAAAATGGTCTATACCTCCTTTCCTTCTTCTTTATTTAAATGCATATATGAAACTTGGAGTTGCAGCAGCGCTTTTTTGTTTGTTTGTTTGTTTTGTTTTTTTGAGACGGAGTTTCACTCTTGTTGCCCAGGCTGGAGGGCAATGGCGCAATCTCCAGCTCACCGTAACCTCTGCCTCTCAGGTTCAAGCGATTCTCCTGCCTCAGCCTCCCGAGTAGCTGGGATTACAGGCATGTGCCACCACACCTGGCTAATTTTTGTATTTTTAGTAGAGATGGGGTTTCTCCATGTTAGTCTGGGATTACAGGCATGAGCCACTGCGCCCAGCTCATCTTTTTAACTATGAGGAAATGGCCCAAGAAATCACCAAGACATCATCCCGACTTCAATGAGATATGGAACCTGCTCCTGCAGCCACCACAGATAGAATTCTTAGTATATAAGGAAAAATAAACTATTCTTTAAGCCACAGTAATTTATGTTTCTGTTACCTGAAGAAGAAAGCGTCTAACTGATATTTCTGGGCTGTTGAACTATATTGTAAAAAATAAATAAATAAATTCCTATGCTCTTTCTACCCATACCCTTTCCATGCCCTGTTAACTATCTTTCTACTCTCTATTTCTATGAGATCAACTCTTTTAGATTCCACATATGAATGAGGTCATGTGGTATTTGTCTTTCTGTGTCTGGCTTATTTCACTTAACATATTGCTCTTCAGGTTTATCCGTTTCACCACATGGGACAGGATTTCATTCAATTTTTAATGGCTAAATGATGTTCAATTGTGTATCTACCACATTTTCTTTACGTATTCATCAACCTAGGTATTGTTGAACACCTAGGTTGGTTCCATATCTTGGCTATTGTGACTACTGCTGCAATAAACATGAGAGTACAGATATCTCTTTGACAAAATGATTTTTGGATCATTTTGGGTCCAGTAGTAGAATTGCAGAATTTTATGGTAGTTCTGTTTTTAGTTTTTTGAGGGACATCCATAATCAGACTCCATAATGGCTAATATTTAATTTACATTCCCACCAACAATGTTTAAGTGTTCCCCTTTCTCCATATCTATGCCATTATTTGTTATTTTTTGTATTTTTGGTAGTAGCCATTTGATATGGTTTGGCTCTGTGTTCCCACCCAAATCTCATCTCTAATTGTAATTCCTAGATGTCCAGAAAGGGACATGTAATCCCCATGTGTTGAAGGAGGGAAGTGATTGGATTATGGAGGCAGTTTCCCCCATGCTGTTGTTCTCATGATAGTGAGTGAATTCTAACAAGATCTGATGGTTTTATAAACGGTAGTTTTTCCTGCGCTCACACACACTTCCTCTTGCCTGCCCCATGTAAGATATGCCTGCTTCCCCTTCTGCCATGATTGTAAGTTTCCTGAGGCTTCCACAGCCATGCAAAACTGCGAGTCAATTAAACCTCTTTCGTTTATAAATTACCCAGTATTGGGTAGTATCTTTATGGCAGAATGGGCTAATATACCATTCTAACTGGGGTGAAGTGATATTTCATTGTGGTTTTGATTTGCATTTATCTAATGGTTTGAGATGTTGAGCATTTTTTCATATACCTGTTGACCACTTATCTTCTATACCTAATTTGTTGAGAGTTCTTATCAGGAAGGGATGTTGAATTTTGTCAAATGCTTTTTCTGCATCTATTAAAATGATCATATGGTTTTTCCCCTTCGTTCCATTAATGTGACATATTATATTTATTGATTTGTGTATGTTGAACCATCCTTGCATCCATGGGATGAATCCTACCCCATCACAATGAATGATCATTTTAATGTGCTGTTGAATTCAGTTGCCTGGCATCTTGTTGCAGATCTGGCATCTATATTCATTAGGGATACTGGTCTATAGTTTTCTTTTTTTGTTTGGGCCTTGTATGGTTTTGGTATTAGAGTAATGCTGGCCTCATTGAAGAAACTTGGAAGTATTCCCAAGTCATTAATTTTGGGGAATTGTTTGAGTAGATTGGTATTAGTTCTTCTTTAAATGTTTAGTAAAATTCAAAAGTGATGCCATAGGGTCCTGAACTCTTCTTTGATTGGGGATTTTTATTACTGATTTCATGTTGTTACTCATTATTGGTCTGCTCAGATTTTATATTTCTTCATGATGTCAAATTTAAGATAATATTCATGATTATGTGATATCAAAAACTATTTTTAGAAAAATATAACTTTACACCCAATCTATGTTTTGCAATAATTTTATTAGTAAATAATAAAAATTTTCTTTGGCTACATTTTATTATTTTAAAATAATAATCACTTTGACAGGAATTTTTAGGTGCTATGTAGTAAGATTTATGACCACATTCAGATATCAAGCGTAATGAAAAAGATTCAGCATTAGAAATAAAGTATTGAGAAAATGAGAAAAAAATGGAACTATTGGTACAAGATTAAAGGAAATATATCTGGAACCTACCATTACCCCTAGCCTCTTGGACTCCTCCACTCCCCTGGTCTGAAACAATGAAAGCATCATTCTATATATCAGTAAGATTCGTTATTTATCTCTTGTATTTCATTTTTATTTTTAGCTTAGGAAGAGAGGATGTTGGGAAATGAGAGCTAAGATACCATTTATCAAAAACACCAACCTCAGTCACTTTTGAAATGAGAAATTTCTACCCAAGCTTGAGTAGAATAAAATTATATAACATCATTTAAGCTGGGAGTTTGAAGCCTTGGAGACTATGCTGTAATGTATTAAGCTGCATTCTATTATCTCCTGCTGCAGGCTCAGCCCCATAGACTCCTTCATTATACTCTTCATTAAAATCTATCACTAAGACCTTGAAAAGAAGTACTCTTGCTGTGCTTTTAAGTGAATACATTAAATATGTTCAATGACCCAAGGAAAGTGTTCAAGTGTCTAGAACACAATGAAATGAATCTTTCACTTATATAGCACTAATGACACTTCAAAGTATTTGTACCTTTCAGTAGATGCTGATTCACTGTGTATGGATTTATAATACTGAACAAGCCAATGGGTACTTATTGACAAGTGCATGCTCAGCATTGCTTGGCATGGTAAACTATACATGAGAAACCCGCAATATAGTGCCTGCCTTTGGGAAAGATATGAGATTCTCATTACTAGAGAATGAACCCAGGCCACATATATTTCAGTGCTAAATGGCTCAAGGTAACACAGATTTAAAGGGCTTCTCTGAAAGTTAAGAGAAAGAAGAAATCGTTCTAAGTGTAAGTATAGAATGAGAAAATTTTAGAGCTGAAAGATAATCTAATTTGACTTTTTGACTTTACAGAAAATTTAAATGAAGACTATTGAGGTAAAAGGAAGAGGAGGCAAAAAGGAAATAGTATTTTTCTACAACCTTATGCTCTGTACAATTCTATGCATTATTTCATTGAATTCTGGCAACAAGTCTATGAATTTGATGTTACTATGCCCATCTATAGGAAGTTCATGAGGCTGAGATATTAACTTTTTGATGTGTAAGTTCTCAAAATACAGAAATTCAGACTTATGGTTATCTGATTCTAAATCCTTTCTTCCATAACATGAAAACATCGTATTGGCATATATTACGTGCCAAGTATATTCCTGTATGTTATCCTAAGTAATTTTAAAATAAAAGAATACTTGCCCCTTATAATTTAAAAGCCTCCCCTGCCCTTCTGCACTGATTTCTGGATAGCATTACATACAATCAAAAAGAGCTAATACACATTAATTAGCTACACATAATGTAATAGTCAACACTTTTTATTATTTCCACTGTTCTAGTTGCTTTATACATTTTCTTTCATTTAATTAAGCATCACAGCAATGCTTTGAAATAATCAGCATTGTGATAAAAGTCAACACTACGTGCCAGGCTCTGTTCTGAGATCTTTACCTACGTTAACTTATTTGATTCTCATATCAACCCTCCACCATCATGATTTTGCGGAAAGTGAAGCGTGGAGTATCTAAGTAACTTTGCCCAAGGCTACACAGAACACACAGTGGGGAAATCTGTCACTTGAGCCCACGTATGAACCATTGTATTCTGCTGTATCTCACTGAGTAAGAAAGCAATGAAAGAGAGTGAAAGAATTAGCAATAACATAAAGTGTTCTCCACTAAGAAATGACTAAGAAAGTTTGCCTGCTTGGCAAAGGGGTGGAGGTAGTGGAGAGAAGTGACAACAAATGGAAAGTAGAGATAATAGATGCCCACCTTTGATTAGAAAGCACCCCAAGATAGGTTGGGTGTGGTGGCTCACAGCTGTAATCTCAGCACTTTGGGAGGCCGAGGTGGGTGGATCACCTAAGGTCAGGAGTTCGAGACCAGTGTGGCCAATATGGTGAAATCCCGTCTCTACTAAAAATACAAAAATTAGCCAGGCATGGTGGCAGGCGCCTATAATCCCAGCTACTTGGAAGGCTGAGACAGGAAAATTGCTTGAACCCAGGCGGTGGAGGTTGCAGTGAGCCAAGATCGTAGCATTGCACTCCAGCCTGGGCAACAACGAGTGAAACTCCATCTAAAAAAAAAAAAAAAAGAAAGCACCCCTACACAAACCATGAACACATATCCAATTTTCTTCCATCACGATGAATTGGTCATGAGAACTGAAGCCACCAATATCCATTTGGTTGAACTGTCAGGACTGAGGACTTAGGCCAACTGTGTCAACATAACTTTACAATGTATTGTAGGAAATATTATATAAATAGTTTTACAGTTTGCTTCAGAAAATTCTTGAAAGTCAGTTTATTTTAACTATATAAATTATTCTCTGACTTATTTGAACTACAGAACTATAAATGGTCCTATTCTCACAATAGTTTGCTCATCTGAGCTAACAGCTTACTATCAAGCAGCTGTTTACCTATCAAGACATACTTCAAGATCACCTCATTATGTCCACCAATTCTAAACAACTATATGATTGATGAATTTGCCCTGTCTCAATCAGATCCTTACATGGAAAGTCCTCCTTAAACTACTTGATCTTTAATCTCCAAATCCTATTGTTAACTCATCTCTAATCTCCCTATTGAGAAACAAACTAGACTGTATAGGTGATGCTTTCCCTACTGCAGAAGGCTAATAAGCATAGCTGTGCTTACCCGTAGGCTATTACAGTGGTCTTTTTGAAGAGTGAGCAGTTGACATTATAAACAGAAGAACTGTAACCATCTGGCCACCCACATCTGACACATAGCAGACCTCATGTAGTCAGGATACATTCATTCAGTTTAGGCACACTGAATCAAGGGCCCCAAAATGGTCAAGGACATCTGCCAGGCATATTTCTTTCGACTGTTAGTATGTGTGTGAGCACACATGTGCCTACCATACCCCAAGCCAGAAGGGGTGGGAGAGAAGAGTATTTTGAAGAATTGTCAGAGAGAACCTTTCCTGGAATTCTGGCTTCCTATTTCAGGAACTTTGAAACTTAATGCTCCAACCTTTGAAGCAATAGCAACTCTTCCTTCCCCAGATCCTCATGAACTCTAGAAATACTCTATTGCAGGTGTGCTTCTGTCTAACTTGATGTGGTGAGGGAGGCAACCAAGATAAAATTTTTATCTAAACATGTGGCAGGCTCGCAGAAGGTCCCCCATGCAAGAAAAGATCAGTTGTACTTTGAGTTAGATGTAGCTCAGGGACAAAAGTAAGTATTAGTCATATGTCAAATAATATTTGCCTCTATGCTATTATCTACTTCTTCATGATAGTTGGAGACAGAATCTTATGTTATAGATGTCTATAATTTTTCTCAGGGGAGATGTGTACCAGGGGAAAATGTTATTTAAAATCTATTACTGCTAATTGGAATATTGACTGAGAGAATGTTGAGAAACGTATCAAATGGCAATTCATAAAATTGTGAGATATGAAACAAGAAATGAAGAAATTTTTGGCATAACATTAAATTCATCGTTAAAACAAATCTACATTATTGGCCTGTGGTTTTGCAGAACGTAAACCAGTAATTTTCCAAAGGTCATGAATCTTCAAGCAGAGTACATTTCTTGATGTTTTTATAAAAATGCTATATTCCTTTCCTCTATGCAAAAGTAGAGACTGATGTAAACTTGTTTCTCTTCTAATTCTGAGAGATAAAAATTGTTGGGTTGATGATAATGACGCAATTTCTTTGTAGCAATCCCACACATTGAAGCTTTCTGCCTTGTTGATGTACATGCGTTTGAAGTATTTTCGGAAGGAAATTTAAAGTTATTGCCCTCACTCAGATTACTATCTTCTTGAATTTACTGTTTCACACACATTTTGGAAGAAATTGCCAATAGATCTTGAATATAGCAATGTTCCAAAGTACGATTAAATTGAATTTCATGATAACAAGAACTGAATTTTCATCTATGTTACTTTTCATTATATACCAATTAACTGCCACTGTATTTATTTGACTACCTGAAAGTTCTCAAGAATTGATTTGTACATAAAATGAATAGCTTTCATAATTATCATTAATTATTATCAATTTTACCCTTAAGATGATATTTATATATTCTTCAACTGACTGATAAAATTCCAATACATGAAACACATTTCAAGGTGCATCTATCTAGAATGTGTACCTAAATTTGAAAGTGAGTAGTCAGATATTAACAATAAATCTTCATGACACATCTTGTTCTTGTTCCTGAGATTCAATTTGATGGCAACCTAAAAGATTGCAAGGATTTTACAATCATTCAACATGCAGTATAAGTTCAGGTAAATAAATAAGACAGGCATTCAGCTTATGAGTTCCCAAGGCTAAGCCAAAGGCCAAAAGCAAATAGTAGCTTTTCACCAATGAACAAGGTCAAGGCTAATTTTGATATAGGTCAAGTTATTGTACTTGTATTATGTCTTTGCAGAGTTCAAGAATCTATTCCCGAAACAGGAAAACAGACAGTTCAGGGATTGAAACAAAAAGGCTTTATTTGTTTATAAACAGTTTTATAAACTCAAAGTTGTAATACAGTTGGCTGCATATATTTAAGTATACAAATTGAAACATTTTGACATGTGTATATTTCATGAAACCATCACCAGAATCAGAAAAAGAACATATCTGTCCACCAGGCATGGTGCCACATGCCTGTAATCCCAACACTTTGGGAGGCCGAAGCGAGGGGATCACTGGAGGTCAAGAGATTGAGACCATCCTGGTCAACATGGTTAAATCCTGTCTCTACTAAAAATACAAAAATTAGGTGGGCATGGTGGCGCGCACCTGTAGTCCCAGCTACTAGAAAGGCTGAGGCAGGAGAATCACTTGAACCAGGGAGTCAGAGGTTGCAGTGAGCCGAGATCTCGCCACTGCACTCCAGCCTGGTGACAGAGTGAGACTCCATCTAAAAAAAAATGAAAGAACATATCTGTCAATCCCCAACGCTTCCTTGCCCCCGCTTCTTAATTCCTACCTCCTGCCCACTTCATTCTACCACAGCCTTCCCTGTCTCTAGAAAACTTCTGATCTGTATTTGGTCACTATACCTTGCATTTCCTAGAATTTTATATTAATCCATTAATAAAATAATTTTTTTATGTGGCCTGAGTTCCTACACTTAGCATAATGATTTTGAGACTAATTTATATTATAATGTATATTGATAGTCCATTCTTCTGTATTGCTAAGAAGTGTTCTTTTATGTGGGGATATAACAATGGGTTTAACCATGGAGATGCCGATGGACACTTGGATTGTATCGACTTTTTTATTATTACAATAAAGTTGCTATGACTATTCACGTACAGTTCTTAGTAGGAGCATATATTTTCCTTTATCTTGAGAAAATACTTGGGAGTGGAATGACTGAATCATTTGATAGCTGTTTTATTGTCAAACTGGTTTACAAATATGTTGTACCATTTACATTCTCACCAGCAGTACTTATGAATACCAATTACTGTTTGAAGTATTCAGTTCCTTGCAGCTATAGGACTTGCAGATTGAATCAAGAAAAATATAGGGAAACGATATGAAAGTACAAATATCAGGAATGAGAGCAATGACATAATTATAGACTTTACATATAATATTATGTAAGTATAGTAAGGGGATATTACGGATAATAGGTCTAGCTTTTTATTCAACCTGACAAACTCTGACTTTGATTTATGGTATTTAGAACATTTACATTTAATATGATTATTAATATGGTTAGGTTTAAATCTATCATCTTGCTATTTATTTTCTATTTTTCTATGTGTTCTTTATTTCCTTTTTCCCATTTTTCCTGCCTTCTTTTGGATTAAGTACTTTTTATAATGCCATTTTATCTCCTTTGTTTGGTTATTTCAGGTGTTGTTTGGGGTATTTAAAATACAGCCATTATAACTATTATAGTCTACCTTCATGAGCTATTATTTCACATCATATTTAACTTAAAAATGTTACACTCATATTTCCTCTTCCAGCTTTTGTGCTATTTGTCACAAATTTTGACTTCATGTATTTTAGAACATCTAGAATAGATTGTTATTATTTTTATTTGGATACCCATTACCTTTGAAAGATCTAAATAATAAAAACCTACATATTGATCCATGTAATTAGCATCTTCTCTTCATTCCTGTGAGTGAAAAAAATCCATGTTTTAATTCAGTATCATCTTTTTGCTTGACTTTCAAAATTTCTTAAAATGTGGGTATGCTGATCATTAATTCTTTCAGCTTTTGCATATCTAAAAAATCTTTATTTCATCTTAGGTTTTTAAAGATACTGTTGCTAGGTATACAGAATTCTAGGTTGACAGATTTTCTTTTGCTGCTTTAAGGATATTGCTCCACTGACCTCTTGGTTGCATTGGTTCCTATGCAAAATATGTTGTCAATCTTATCTTTGATTCTCTGAATTTGACATCTCTTTTTCCCTTCTACTTTTAATTTTTTTCCTTATCACTGTTATAAACAATTTTATTATGATCTTCTTTGGTTAATTTTGTTATTGTTGTTTTACTTGAAGATTATTGATATTCTCAGATATTTGACTTTATATTTTTATCAAACTTTTAAAAATTTTCAAACATTAATTCTTCAGATATATTTCCTCCTCACTCCTTTCTCTTCCTCAGGCACTCCAGTCACAATGTATTTTAGACCACTTGAAACTGTGCCACTGCTACAGGTTACTATGCTGTGTGCATTTTCATTTTTTTTTTTTTTTGGAGATGGTGTCTTGTTCTGTCACCCAGGCTGGAGTGCAATGGCACGATCTCAGCTCACTGCAACCTCTGCCTCCCAGGTTCAAGCAATTCTCCTGCCTCAGCCTCCCAAGTAGCTGGGATTACAGATTACAGGCACTCACCACCACACCTAATTTTTTTTTGTACTTTTTAGTAGAGATGGGGTTTCGCCATGTTGGCCAGGCTGGTCTCAAACTCCTGACCTCAAGTTATCTGCTCGCCTTGGCCTCCCAAAATGCTGGGATTATAGGCATGAGCTACTGTGCCCAGCCACTGTGTGCATTTTCAAAAATTCTTATTCTGTAAGTTTTATTCTTGATATTTTTTATTGCTATGTCTTTCAGTTTACTAACCTTTTCCTCTGAAAAATTTAATCTATTCTTTTCTTTTTCTTTCCTTTTTTTTTTTTTTGTTTGAGACAGAGTTTCATTCTTGTTGCCCAGGCTGGAGTGCAATGGCGCCATCTTGGCTCACTGCAACCTCCACCTCCCGGGTTCAAGTGATTCTCCTACCTCAGCCTCCCAAGTGGCTGGGATTACAGGCACGTGCCACCACGCCCAGCTAATTTTTGTATTTTTAGTAGAAACAGGTTTCACCATGTTGACCAGGATGGTCTCAATCTCTTGACCTCCTGATCCGCCTGCCTTGACCTCCCAAAGTTCTGGGATTATAATTTTAATCTATTCTTAATCCTATCCAGTAAAAGTTTTCATCTCAGAATATGTAGTTTTTATAATTTGTTCTATTTATCTCTACTTAAATTTCTTTTTTTTCTTTTTTTAACATAGAATGTAAGTAGCATAACTGTTTTTAATATCCTTGTGCTCACTATCACATCTGTGCCATTTCTGGATCATTTTTGATTGATTCTTCTTCTCATCATATTTCACATTTTCCTACTTTTTTACAAGCCTGATTGTTTTTAATTGGGTGCCAAACATTGTGGTTTTCTCTTTGGAGAACTTTATGTTTTTATAATCCTATACATATATTTGTGCTTTGTTGGGGGATATAGTTATGTTACTTAAAAACAGTTTGATCCTTTTATGTTTTCAGTTTTTTAGGTAGAACCAGGGCTGTGATTAGTCCAGAACTCTCCAGAGGCAAGGCCTATTTGAGTACTGTACCCAATGTCCCATTAATTTGAGGATTTTCAATTTGGTTAGTTCTGCAGACACTATTCCTGCTCTTTAATTCTTGTTTATGACTCTTTCCCCAGCCTTAGGAAGTTTCCTCACATGCACACATTTTTTGATCAATACTCTGCTGAATACATAAAGACATTTCCATGTGTTTCTACAGTCCTCTATTCGCTTAGTTTTCTTCTATTACTTTGGCTTGGAAACTCCAGCTGCCTTGGTTTCTATGGACTCTTAGCTCTGTCTCCTCAACTCAGGGACTCCACAGCACTTTGTCTGGGTTTATCTGCATTGCACTACAGCTGAAAACTAAATTATGCAGTAACCTGAGTTAATTGCTTAGTTTGCCTTGTTTGTTTGTTTTTTTTGTTTGTTTGTTTTTTGTTTTTTTGCCTCTCAGAGATCAGTGTTCTTTCTCTGATGTCCAGTACTGTAAATAGCATGTTTTTATTAATTGTATTCATTTACGTGTTGTTTTACTCAGGAGAGCAAATTCAGTCTTTCTTACTCCATCTTGGCCAAATGTTGAAGTCTCCAGATTTATTGGTATTATTATTTTAGTGACATTAGTGTACCAATAAGGGTAACCCATTTAAAATGGTCCATCATCAGCCATTTTCTTCCAACAGAAAAGGGAGTGCCTCATGTCTAATTTAGTTTTCGTTTATACAGACTGCACTGCATCTGGAAGGAATGAGGAGCAACTGTTTTGTTATATATATATCCGATGTTCCAGTGTTATACATGTTCTACATATTCTAATTCCTGGGGAAACATCTAAGGAAAGAAATAATTGGCAGGATACAATATTCTGTCATATAGATGTACCACAGTTTATTTATCCATTCATGTATTATGAATAAAGCTGCTATAAACATTTGTATGCAGGTTTTTGTGTGAACATATGTTTTTTATTTATTTGGACAAATACCAAGGAGCACAATTGCTGGCTCATGTAATAAGGCTATGTTAGTTTTGTAAGAAACTGCAAAACTGTCTTCCAAAGTGGCTGGATTATTTTGCATTCCCAATGAATAGAGTGCCTGTTTCTCCACATCCTCACCAGCATTCAGTGTTATCTGAATTTTGGATTTAAGGCATAGGTGTATAGTGGTATCCCGTTTGAAACTGGGACTGTAGTCTAGCATTGGAGTCTGTTGTTTTTAACCACTATCTGCCACTGCTTCTTCAGGTTAAGATCAAATCTCTGACTTGTGGACGGAACCCCATACCTTCTAAACTCAAAAAGGGGCTTTGCTTTATTCTGCAATATTATTTCCTCCCTTTTTAATGGATAATTCCCTTCAGCATATAAGCATGCTTTAATCCTTTTTAATTTAAAAAAATAAATAAATCGTTAGGTTCACCATTGTTTCCTTAATCTTTGCCTCCCTTCCTGGCAAAATTTTTCCAAAGATTTCTCTTTACTTGCTGTCTATATTCTTCAACCTAATTATCTTGATACTGTGCTTTCTTTCTCATCGTTTGATTGTTAATGTGATCAATAATTTCCATTTAACTTTCAGCATTGGTTGACATACTAGATTCCTTATTTATTCTTGAAATATTTTTCTGCTTGGTTTCTAGGATACCATACCTTTTAAATTTATCTCCTTACTACATTGGTCCATTGCATATATATTTATTTTATTAATTCTTCTCATGCCCTAACTTTTATGTGTTTAAGTGTCCTCTTGACTCACCCTTCATTTAAATACTCCATGCCCTAGATGATAACATTTATTTCCACAACTTTAAATACTATCTTCTATCTGATAATTCACAAATTTACCACTCCAACCCTTCCATATGCCCTCAGATCAGAGACATGTCAAACTGGACACTTGACACTTAGGTATGAATCTAACACTTATAAAGTCCAAAATGGAATTCTATTTCCCTCCAAGCCAAAACTCGCTTCTCTCATGGATGACCATTCACTTTATGCTTCTGCCAAAACATATAGATCATCCTTTATTCCTCTTTGGCTCACATCCAAAATCCAAGCTAAAACAAATTCTATTAGCTTAGCTTTCAACATACACCTTACATCCAGCAACTTCTCACCACCTTTACAACTATTGCCCTCAGGTCCTCCATGTTCCACAACTTCAGGGTACAACTTTCATTTGAAATACAATGAGAATGTTGCCCTAGAGTTTCCCAGTTCAATGGACTTGATAAGATCATGATACACCCTCATCTCTTGCATTGATGTTGCAATAGCCTCCTTGCAGTGCTTTGCTTTTTGAGGAAGGCAAAACTTGCAGAGTGAGAAGAATTGATAGCTCACACATTCTACATCCTTTTCATCACTGAGGTTAGTTCTCATTTGTAATCAGTGTTTCCTGAACTGAATCTCTTGGTTCACTACTCCTGAGAGATATTAATAAAGAGTTTCATGGCCAAATATGTTTGAACATGATCCTTAATATAACCCTCCTCATGAAGATTCATAAAGTAATTTAGCGTATGATAGTCTATGAGAAGGCCTGCAGGAAAGAAAATTTAACTTTAAGCAATTTTTTCCTAATCTTATTCATAACAATATTTTCCCTCACTTTTTGGGTAAAGAAGAATGTTAATATCTTCTTCTTCATCTGGTCTCTTAAGAATAAGCTCTGTGTTCCTATCTATGAGAGGAACACATTGAAGTGAATACATTAACTCTGTTCATTATCTCATTTTCCCTTTAACATGCATGTTGGAGTCTCAGCTGTATAAAATCTGGTTTATATTTGCACTGTGGTTATTTTACCTCAAAATTAGGAAATAGGCTCCATGCTGACTATGTTAATTCCTAACTAATTTATCAGTAAGAAGGACAATGACCCCTTCTCTGATTCCTGTTTCCAGCCATTAAGTCTGTCTAAGTCAAATCTTCTAACATGATGGTAGTGGGGAGAAGGAGAGTGTTCTCCCTGTCTCTCAATTCTAGGTTCTTCATGGATCCCATGACTTGTGAATCAAATTAGGGTAGTGCATAACCTCATATCTCTTGAACAATGAGAAAGGAGAAGGAATCCTTATCTAGACTTCAGGTTGAAATCATATCTTCTAGCACATTTTAGCCTAAACTCTGAACTTTGGGATGGTTTTGTGCTGCTAGACATTACTCTCTAAATTGCATTGATCTCTAAATTTTTATCACATCTAAGAATGTGTGCTCTGAGTTAAACCCAACTGTATGTGAATCTTAGGGCCCCTGACCTCCAAAATATTTCATGGGCTGAGCATAGAAAACACTTGTTATTAGAAAATTCCAATATCAGATGTTACAGCTCAGAATAAATTTAATTCACTATTTGTTGTTTTTCCCTGAGATGTTAACATTTAAACTCTATCTCTGTGCAAAGAATGAGATGATTTGTTTCTTATTAAAAGAGTCTCAAGTGCTTTGGTATGATAGTGGACAAGAGTCTGAAGGCCAGAAAATGAACATGGCATTTAAGCAACATTAACCAAAACACAAATATGCAGCTTTTGTGCTAACTCTGACTTCAAACCCTTCTCAGTGCTCAGGAACTAGTGATACTTGTGTAACATCTTGGGGAAGAAAAGATAATATAATAAATTTTACATACCCCAAAAGATTGTCATTTACAAAAAAGTGCTTCCTTTACTTAAATAAGATCAGACAAGTTCATATACATACCTATATTTGCATAGCTGCTAAATTTATTAGATTAGATTTTTATCTATGTGTGGAAAATTATGGTCAATTAAATTTTTGTTTGGAAGTTTTCAACTATGCCTTTAGACATGAAGTATATACTGAAGAATCATTTTCTTCCTTCTTAACACCTGAGACCTATTTCCACTTAAAATGTTCCTTTCTCTTCTGCTCTGAGGAAAGAAACTTAGTTATTTGCAGTATATCACAAGTGAACCATGTTGTATAAATAATTTTCTCCTTAAAACACCTGTACTTATCCATAAATTAGTTAATGAGTATAAATCATCCGTTTTCCTTCTGTTATGTTAATTGTGGTATCTTACTAGTGATTTCTTGTATGACCAAATAATCTACTTCTCATGTAATGTTCTCATACTTTTAAACAAAATAATCTTTCCAGATTTTTCTGGGACCCTAAAAGAGAACTTGTTCCAGTCGCTCTATTTCTCCTATTAATTCACTGTAAAACTTTTAGTAAACCATTTTAAATCTGTCTCAGTTAGCTCATAAATGAAATTGAGCATCTCTTATCCAAAATGCTTAAGAACGAAAGTATTTCATAGTTTAGAACTTTTCAGATTTTGGAATATTTGCATACACATATACTCACAATGAGATATCTTGGGGATGGGGCCCAAGTCTAAACACAAAATGTATTCATGTTTTATATATACCTTATATGCATAACCTGAAGGTAATTTCATGCAATATTTTAAATAATTGTGTGCATAAAACAAAGTCTGTGTACATTGAAAGTACACAAAGGTGAAAGTAAAGGTGTCCCTATCTCTGTCACCCATGTGGACAATCTGTGGTTGTTTGGCATCACCATTATTCCTGACTCTGAATTTATATGCTACCAACAAGCAATCATTTTCTCACACTTACTCACACATAGGTACTTAACAGTAAAAAAAAAAAATGGACATGTCATAAATACAGTAAAACAATAACGTGTTCAGGGTAACTGAGCAGCATAGCAGCTGCACCAGATACCTGTATCAGCTGTTAAACAACAGCAACAATAAACACCAGCAGGCTCTCAGTCTCCACCTAGGATGTTCTGTTCCATTAAAATGCACTGTACACTGTGTTTTACTTTCTTAGGTGAGAAGAAATATCAGAAGCAGTCGAGAAACCAGGAAGTGGGTGAGTCCTCTAGAGATGAAGAGACATTCTGCTGGATGACTTTTTAAAATGTTTTCTTCAAAGTCGTCTGCTTCACTAACAATGGTTTTTGTCTTAGAAGTCTCCCTTTGATTTTATAAACTGACACATCTGCTTCTTCCAGCTTACAGAACTCTGAAGGTATATTTTTTGCATATGTAATGAGGTCAGACATCATTTTTTTGTGCACTTGACAAATGGAATCCTTCAAAGCCATGACCTTGTTCATCATTAGTGAACATAGTCTCAGGCCCGAGGCTGTACCAGGAATAAACCGGAATAAGTGTCTTTAGTCACTGAGTTCTAAGCATTGGTAACAGCATATATTGCATCCTTCATGCTAAACACCTTTTGAAAACCTTCTGCATCCATGCCTTTGTTCACTGCTGTTAGCCTGCTGTTCAAGAAAGTACTTGTATATTTACTCTTCATTGATATAAGGATACCAGGTTGCATGGCTGAATTCATGAAGTCAAATTTGGGGGAAATTTCATGGCATCAATATTATTTTTATGAGACTTTCAGCTGGAAGATGAGAAGAATAGTTGTGAAAGAATAGCACAACCTTGCAGTTGTCATCCAGTTCTGCTTCCCTACATTGAGCATGAGCCACTAGTACAAAGCATTTGTGAAAACAATCAGTAAAGATAGCTCTGGGGATCCATTCCTTTTTGTTAGCATAATAAACTAGTAAGCAATTTATTTCTTGAAAACAGTGAGAGTGCAAGCTTTTGCCTATCATAACAAGTTTATGGTTATGCATGCCTGCCGCATTAGCACATCCCAGTTTTACTGTCCTTGGTATCCTTAATTCCTGTAAAGGCTGTCTCATCAGCTGTAACACCAAATTAGTGATGTTTCATCAGTATTACAGACTTCTTCTGGCATCAGATTTTCATCAGCAGTGACCCCGGCAAACTCTTCAAGGAATTTCTCCACTGCTTCATTATCAGCAGTGCTTTATTACCAAAAATCTTTAAAAATTTGATGCTGTGTCTTCACTTAAATTTCTGCAATGAAACTGTTGAATCACAGTTCCATCCAATGTATAGATCTTTGCTTGTTTCATCATCAGCATACCATTAAGTGGCATGTATTACTGTGATGCTGATGGATCTCCTCTTTCAATGCACAATCAGGATCTTCACTTTCAGCTTTATGCAGTATTTTTCTATTTTTCTGGCATTGCTTTCAGCATAGAATTTCAACAGTCTATCCTTCTGTTTCTTCAGGTCAATATAGGGTGGTCATTCTAACACCATACTCTTCCGTAAGATGTTTCATACCTACATTACTTTCCAGTTTCTCCAATAGGTTGACTTCCTGTGCTATAGATAAACATAAATGTTCCCTGTTTTTCTTATCAGTGTTACCTGTAGGGTATCTGTAAGTGTTTTTAGCTTTTTTTTTTTTTGGAGATGGAGTCTTGCTCTGTCGCCCAGGCTGGAGTGCAGTGGTGCGATCTTGGCTCACTGCAAGCTCTGCCTCCTGGGTTCATGCCATTCTCCTGCCTCAGCCTCCCGAGTAGCTGGGACTACAGGCGCCCACCACCTCGCCCAGCTAATTCTTTTTGTATTTTTAGTAGAGACGGGCTTTCACTGTGTTCGCCAGGATGGCCTCGATCTCCTGACCTCGTGATCCACCTGCATCGGCCTCCCAAAGTGCTGGGATTACAGGCATGAGCCACTGCCCTCGGCCATTTTTGGTGTTTTCAACAGTGCCTTTACACTGCAGAACGAATACGCAAAAAACACAATGAGAAATGCACATAGAGCTTAGCGCTACTTGGGGCATTACAGAGAACCTGCCATTGACATGTATGGTCTGCACGTGTGCCATTCTATTACCCTTTGTAGGCGTGCTTGCATCGGGGAATCTGGGTGTGTGAAGACAAGATATATTGCAGCTGAAAAAGGCTGGGAGGGTCTTTATTCACTTAGGGATGCTGAATAAACTGTGTTGTGTGCCTGTGTTTTGACTGTGACTCATCACATAAGGTCAGGTGTGGAATTTTCCACTTGTGTGTGGCATCATGTTGGTGCTCAAAAAGCTTTATATTTTGAAGCTTTTGGGGTTAGAAATACTCGACCTATACTATTTCTTCATAATCACTTGTGGGATGTTTACTTGACATAGATTGAGTGGAGGAAGGTTAATGAGACCTTGAAATAATTGTTTCTTTTTCTTTTCTTTCTTCTCCATCCCCTAAATGGTACATTAAAGTATACTTTTCTCCTGATTGTTCCTGTATTCACTTATCCTGTCTTTACCTGCATTAAAGACTTCTCTTACAAAGCACATAAGCTATAAGATTACTGCTCAAGCATTATTGGAACTGGTGAATTAGGCTTTCCTAAGAAACTCATTCCCATTCAGATCAAACCCACAGCCATGTCACTCCACTCCACTTGTGTGCCTGGTGGGACCCTCAAAGCTTCTGTTGATTGTGGAGTCTCCATTGTAAGTTGCCTCAGGAAGTTGCCTTAAGGTCAAAGGCCTTGATGGTACTTAACCCAGAAAAAAGAAATGTTATCTTATTGTAGGATATAGAAATGTGACCTCTTCAATGAATTTTAATAATCAAATATTTATTGCAGCTTTATTACTATGATTTATTTTACTTTCAATATTTTCATTTCCCTTTGAAAAAATCTTCTGTTTATTTTTTCTGTTAAATCTTTCCAGCATTAAATCTATTATTTTTGGCTTAAGAATCAAAATCCCCTCGTCAAAGGAAAACTTTACTTATCTGACTAATTTTGGCTAGTGTACATAAGAATATGAGGAAGAGGTGACTGGGAATGTCTTAATCGAATTAGGACTGAATTTACAATAACTCCTGGCAGAATATGTGAGGGAAAAATCAAGCAGAAAATGATGAAGCGGTTTCATAAACCTCTTGGCTTTGGCATATCTTGAAACAAATACATGATTTATTAATATTATTTTAGCCATACTAAGCAAAATGCTCACCATTAAAAGGACATTTTCTAGGAAGAAGATAAATACTGTCATTATTGAATGACTAGCAGCATTGTTTTGTAACTGTTAATAAGAATAATGTTTTTGATATAGATTCGTATGCCTTAAACATTATATATTAGAACATCTGTGAATACTAATAGGTGATCAATGCATTGATTACCTAGAGTGTATTCTACTCATTAGTATACATGCATGATTTTTGTTTAGCTCATGTAGATTTATTTCAAATATTAAATGTGGAGGGCTTTTTCATAGTAAATTATAAGGCAAGAATATGCTATGAGTATTAAATTTTAATGTAATAATCTTGAACGAAAATTTACCTAAAACTGTTTTGCATCTGGAGCTGCATTTTAGCCACATTGCATCAGGAAAAACAATGAATGAATAAAATAAACAGAGGACAGCAAAAAATTCAACACAAAAGAGCTTGAAGTTCAGTTGCCAAAGGTTATTAGGGGGAAACAAAAGTAGAACTGAGGACGAACTTGTATCAGAAAGAAATTACATCCAGAGAAACCAAAGTCAGGGAAAAGTAAAGCAGAAGACAAAAACAAGGGACCCAAGACACTTCAGCAGTTTAGCTTGGAGAAGATGTAGACTTGCTTGTGTTCCTGCAACAGGTGTCCCAGTGGCGTTGCTTCTACTGATCTTAACTACAGATGCTGTAAAACTTAGAAGTTACAAATACTTAGAGTAAAAAAACTTGAGTGAAAACAATCATTATTAAGTGCTTATGACATATATTATCTCATTAGTCTTCTCAACTACACCTTGAGGTAGGTGCTCTTATGTCCGTTTGCTAGATGAGGAAAATGAGACTTCACATGGCTGGTTAACTCAACCCAACTTATCCAGATGGAAAGTAGCAAACTAGAATCCAACCTGAGGCCTGCTTAGTTTCAAAACTTTCTCTTATGTTGATATACAGAGCAATGCCAACAAAGGTATTAGCCTGTGTACTCTAAAGAACAGTGAAATTAAATAAAATAACTTTTTAAAATTACTTGACTTTTTTAAAAAAGTATTTTTGTTTTATTTGCCTTAAACCTATGATAGCAAATGTTTACATTATTTGGATGCTGGACCAATGCAATGCTATGTACATACAGTTGTCCCTCGGTATCTTCAGGGGATTGGTTCCAGGATTCCCTTTGGATACCAAAATCCATGGATGTGAATAAATTTGCTAACCATATAAATATACATGTATAGGAACTTGTTTGAATCTAATTTAAATAAAAGAAGTACTTTTTTTTTACATATAACCTGTGCATATCCTCCCGTATACTTTAAAACATCTCTAGATTACTTATGATATCTAATACAATAAAAATACTATGTAAATAATTGTTCACTGTATTGTATTTTTATTTGTACTATTTTTATTGTTGTATTGTTATTTTTTACCTTTTTTTCAAATATTTTCAATCTATAATTGGTTGAAATCTGAGAATACATAACCCACGGATACCAAGAGCCTACTGTGCTTGCATTGACTGTTTTTATTTCTTTGCATATGGAGGAAATAATGAGATTCAGGGATTAGTGGGGATTCCTGACTTACAGCCAGTTGGCTATATACAGATAACCAGGGACTTGAGTTCTCAACTTTTGTCTCCATGAAAAAAATAACCTATAAAAGGCCATATGTAGTTAAAGGAAATTTTTGGCATATTCTAAAGATAAATTTAAGTTGATTAAGTCCTCAATAATCCTATTTAGTGATGAGTCAGAATGACTAACACACTCAACTTCTTTTCACATAGGTTCCTGCCTTCTTGGTACAAATTTAAGATATTAATCTACAATTGTAAAAGATTAAGAATGGCTTTCCTGCCAGATGTTTAAAAATTTCTGTGCAAAAGAGTAAGATTGACAGCTGTTTGTGGGGATTTTTGGCCTTGTGCAATAAGGGAATGGAAGTCACTCTCGTGGGAGTAAAACCAATGCAAGAAGGAAAATAGAGGACATCATTATATCTGAAAAGAGTTTGTACCAAAAAATAATTATCATTAATATCCAGCTAGAGTGAGACAGTAAGGTTTCCCTGACATTTTGTAAAGAAAAAATAGGAAGGTCATGAAATCCTATCTCCCTGGTGTATAATAATTTGCCAATTTTCGCTACATTAGAAGTTGGTAATAGGCCTCTGATATGTTGTTGAATTATTTTTTTCCAAATTAGCTGATGTTGGGAGGGAGATATTTTTAACATTGAAAAATAGTCTTCCATAAAAAAACTCATGTGTGAAATGTAACATTGCATTCTTTCTACTGGGAGAGATAATAAATCTAGATGCTCCCCCTCCCCATTCCTTCACAGTATAAATTTTTCTCTGTTGATTTTCTGGTTCTCTTTTTGAAGTGTTAATTAGTCAAACACGAATAGTACTTATATGATTTCTCCATGCTATAGTTGATCTGGATATAATGGGTTTTCAGAAAATAGTTTTTTAAAATTCCTTAAAATACAGTAGTTTCCCCTTGTCCATGTGGGATGTCATGCAAGACTCTTTATGGATGCTTGAAACCTCAGATAATACTGAATCTTGTATATACTATGAACAAGTTTCTCTCTCCTTTACAATTTCAGAAGCTGGTACTACATTTCTTTTTTGAGATGGAGTCTCGTTCTGTTGCCCAGGCTGGAGTGCAATGGTGCGATCTCGGCTCACTGCAACCTCCACTTCCTGGGTTCAAGCGATTCTCATGCCTCAGCCTCTGGAGTAGCTGAGATTACAGGCGTATGCCACCATGCCCAGCTAATTTTTGTATTTTTAGCAGTGATGAGTTTTTGCCATCTCTGGCCAGGCTGGTCTCAAACTCCTGACCTCAAGTGATCTGCCCGCACTGGCCTCCCAAAGTGCTGGGATTACAGGCGTGAGCCACCGTGCCCGGCTAGTACTGTTTCTTGTACAGTGTGCAGAAGGATGACACAATTAAACCTCTTTTCTAATAAGTTACCCAGTCTCAGATATTTCTTTTTAGCAATGCAAAAATGGACTAAAACAAGGACTTTCACCTTTTCACTTAAAGGAAGCACTTTACAGCTTCTTTTGGCAAATCCAAACTCACTAGCCTTGAATTTTGGGACCACTGTTAAGTAAAAAAGGGTTACTTTAACACAAGCACTGCGATGATACTGCCGACAGTTGATCTGACAGTCAAAGCAGTCACTAAGTGACTAACAGACAGGCAGTATATAGAGCATGGGTACTCTGGACAAAGGGATGATTCTGGTTCTGGGTGGGCTGGAGAGGGACAGTGTAATATTTCATCACACTATTCAAAGATGTCCAATTTAAAACTTAAAGTTAATTATTTCTGTAATTTTCCATTTACTATTTTTAAACTGTGGTTGACCACAAGCAGCTGAAACCATGGAAAGTAAAACCACAGATAAGGGGCAGGGGGAACTACTGTAGTGTAATAAGAAATATATTTGTCGGGGGATGGGGGAGGGATAGCATTAGGAGATATACCTAATGTTAAATGACGAGTTAATGGGTGCAGCACACCAACACGGTACATGTATACATATGTAACTAACCTGCATGTTGTGCACATGTACCCTAAAACTTAAAGTGTAATAAAAAAAAGAAAAAAAAAAGAAGAAATATATTTGTTCTTTGTCCCAGTGCCTAGCACAGAGCTCCTAAAACTCTTGAAATTTCCCTGATCAGAGAGTCTTCTTTTATGCATAAAGAGCTCCTTTCCACAGCAGAATGTATGCTAATTAGTTGACTTTGGATGGGATCCCTACATAGCCTCAGGTTGGGGCTGGTTACCAGAAAGACCAAGTGATTAGAGGGTGGAAACTTTCAGCCCCACCCTTGACTTTTAGGGAGGGAAGAAGGGCTGGAGACTGAGCTCTATAAAAACTCTTGAATAACAGGAATCAATGAGCTTTAGAATTAGTGAACTTGTCCACCCATGGAGGATGGAGATGGAAGCGCCTCTGCTTGGAAACCCTTCTGAACCTCACGTTATGTATCTTTTTATATGGACGTTCATTTGTGTCCTTTATAATAAACCAGTAAACATAAGAGAAGCATCTTCTTGAGTTCTGTGAGGCATTCGAGCAAATTACCAAACCTTAGGAAGGGATCAGGAGAATCCTGAATTTATAGCCAGTTGGTCAGAAGTACCGGAGGCCCAGGATTTATGACAGACACCTGAAGTGGGGGTAGTCCTGTGGGACCAAGCCTTTAAGCTGTGGGATCTGAGCTAACTCTGGGTGTCAGAATTGAACTGAGTTGTTATACACCCAGCTGGTGTCCAGAGAATCAGAGAATTGGTTGTTGGAGTTGGAAAATCCCTCAGACTTCCCAAGTTTCCCTTTGCATATTTTTAACCTATTAGTCATACTTATGGAAAGAGCAGTAGCTTCATTGATGAAACAAACATTGCTAACCAGTATTACTGCTTCACTATGTGCCTTCAGACAATTAATTTGGGCTTAGTGAACGGTATTTAGAGACTCATGAGAACGAGGCAATAGCCAAGATACACTTGGAAAACAGTAAATCTTGAAATCGAAATGATGAACTAGTCCTATCATCACCTTGAATTGATAAATGAGAATAACATTCCTTTAAGGTTATTCACTCTAGTGTCATGTTAAGTAGTTCTCTCACTGACTTTGGTTTAGATACTTTCTGAATATGCCATTCTCTTTACCCATTTTCATAGTCAAACACTGAGTTAAAATATTTAGGCTTTCCTTCTAAATCATTTTCTCCATTGTCTAACTTTTTACTGCTGGTGTTTATTTTTTATTTTTGAGTTATTTCTAGCATTTCAGGATCCTAGTGGCCTTCCTGTCTGTGCAAGTCACAATACACGGCCAGCACTGGGCGTGCCCAGTGAGGTAAGACAATAAGAAACTGTCCATGGCATGGCCTTTAAAAAAAACTGTAATACTGTGTTGGAATCATTCCAAACATCACAATTGCGGTTTGTCACATCTTATAGATCTGAACCAAAATTATTCTTTTTTAAAAGATGTCATCACACATTTATTGGGGAGGTAAGGCAATAAATGGATCATTTAACACGAATATAATTTTGCACAGAACACTTGTCTGTGAAGGAACAGGAAACAATGTGTTTGTTGAAAAAAATCTACTTTGGGTCAAGCATTACTAATTAATATTGATTGCTTTTTTACTCTGCATATGAATCCTCATCATTGGTATTACAGGTCCATAATCCCTTATATGAAATCCTTCCGGCTAAATATGTGTCAGGATTCCGAAATCTTTGGGTTTTAGGCCTGGGGTGTCTTTCTTCGGTAAACAACATTAATCCTTCCTCAGTGAAATGTATGCATATCTATATAGGATAGAATAAGTAAAGGCTGTAAGTAGCCCCACATCAGTGCTAGTCAGGTTTTCACATAATGGATTCGGGTCACATCAGGTTTTTCTGCAAAGTAAGAAAAAAATGGTTTCTAGTGGTTTAGGGGTTTCAGAATTGTGAATAAGGGATAGTGAGCCTGTACTACCCTAGTTTTATGAAGGGAAACTTGGCATCTAGAACGGTTACTACAAGTTAAAAATACAGAATTTAAACCTAGACTTGTCTTGATCCAACGATTGTTGTTGCTCTATTGAACCTAAATTAAGGATTATGAAGTTGTGTTCCTTCTGTAAGAGTAATTAAAGAATTGGGTTCTTCAAGGGACACTAAAAATAAAAGCTGTAAAAGATTATCCATTATTGAATCAATATTTTTAATACTTTTGAACAATTTTCCAGTGTGATCACCAATCACAAAATCACAGGAAAGGTTATTTTTCCATGGTTTAGAAGTTAATTTTTATTCAATAAAAGGAAAGCTTCTCTGCTTTCTCCACTTATCTAATTTCAAATTAACTCAAGTGGCTGTCAAAGAGATTGCTTTGACTCTGAAAGTTTGATGGTAGATTAGATTTGAAGGACCCAGGAAGCTATTATTTTCATGGCAATCCTTGTGGCCTGTTAATTAATTATGATTTATGTTCATCTGTGTCCCCACCCTACAAAGACCTTTTTTTTAAAGCCTACTAGAGGGTATAGGCTATTAACAAGGTATTAACTGGATATCACGGACACAATGACAATGCAGTTTTGCCTGGGCAAAAAAAAAAAAAAAAAAAAAAAAAAAAGCTAGTATGCTATTTGACCAGAACTTTGACCAGGATTTTAAGAAAAAACATGATGTTTTATCCTGAATACTAGATGCTGCATGCTAAAACTTTAGAGCAAGTAATCCTTTCGAAGGCCAAATATAGTCCCCATGTGTTGCAATAAACCAGGATTTTCTACACTTACCACTCTGCCCTTAGGTGAACTTCCCATGATTATACCACAAACAAAGAAACAGAGTAATTCTCGTGGAATACTTGAAGCTGGAAATAATGAGTACAATTCATGCCATACATTTTAAGAAATGGGTTCTTAAAAATAACTAAAATTTTACTCCTACGCTGCTGTCCTCAGTGAGCAAAGAATCATCAGATCATCCACTTTAAGAAGATTTCACACTATAGTCAAATTAGTTAAATATTTGGCAAGCAAATTTCTATTGCATCTACAAATTTTATGTAATAACTATTTGTAGCCTAATAATTGTAAAAACAGCTTTTAACCTCCATACCTAGGTCTTCACTAACAAAGTTTGATGATTCAACAAATGAAGTTCTTAGGAATGTAACATTTGACCAATATTCAGAAAGGTGGAGTCATTATGCATTTTCAACGATGTTAAGTATATCATGCCCATTTTCCTGTATTTTTTTCCCATGGAAAGTTACAGTTGGAAACCATGCAAAGTAGCCTAAAATTAAATTTTCCTAAGTGAGGGAATTGCTACATAATTTTCTAAAAAGCAAACCAGTCAATAATTTAGATTCTACTTGTGATCTGCTTTGGAGTCATTTTTAATATGCTTATCATGTTGGCCTAGAAATATAAACACTATGGTATATTTAGCATGAATAATTCCATAATAGGTTTGAAATCGATTTAAAGGTGGTTTATTCTGGGACCCCTCTCCTAGGATTGCAGATGGCCATCTTCTCGCTGTGTCCTCAGACGGCCTTTTCTCTGTGCGTGCATTGCTGTTGTCTTTTCCTCTTCTTATAAGGACATCTGTCATATTGGATTAGGGCCCCACCCTTATGACCCAAATTTCAATACTTACTGTTGCAGTTAGAGGGATAGGACAGTAGGTAATTGTGTGTAAACCCAAAGAGAGCAAGATGTATATGTGGTGCATGCTATTGTAACTAATATTCTACTGGCTCTTTATTAACTACCATACACTCAATTATTTACACGTTAATTGTCTCTTTAAGGGCCCTATCTCAAAATATAGTCATGTTGGGTGTTAAGGCTTCAACATATGAATTCTGGTGGACATGATTCTGTTCACAACAAGAACTTATACAAATACAGTGGCAATAGAAATAAAGAGAAGTAAAATTTGAGAGACATTTTTGAGAGAGAATGATTAACTGAATGTAGAAAGTGGAAAGAATGAGAAAGGATTTAAAAAGCCTTCACTGGGCATTTGGTATATGCCAGACATTTTGCTATGTGCTGAAGATTGACAGGTGAACAAAGAAGACACAACCTCTATGTTCAAAGAACAGCTGCTACTTTAAAATAGCAAAATGAAACTCTATATTCTAGAATGACCTAAGTTACTTAACTTCATACCTGAGCCTTAAAAATGTAAAAATTCAAATATTTACCTTTGAAAGAATGTAGGCATTGGGATTTGTCAGCCATGATTTTGAGTCATGAGTTTGCAGTTCATCAGTTTTGTGACTTTGAAGGGTAAATATTTCTGAACCTCAGTTTCTTCATCTGCAACATATGACGAATAATATCCATTTTATATGGTTGATGTCAGAATAAAATGAGTTGATGTGTATAAGGTGTATAGCACATTACCACATCCACAATAGACATTCAATAAATATTGTTAGTAAAAACACATGTAGCTTCCATAAACATCATGAAGTTTTTTAGTTTGTTTGTTTTTCCTGATGGAAGAGGAAAGAGAGACATGTAAGGGGTGAGGATGTGACAGATAGGAATAAAAGCTACAGAAAAGGTGCATAGAAAACCAAAAGAAGCTTTGCTTTCTTCATAGATAAGTTCTTTCCTTCTCCTAGCTTTATTTGTGGCCCAGAGACCCAAATCATAATTAAATACAGCAACCTGAATCATAATTTAGCACAGGGGTTCCCAACATTTTTTGGTATGAAAATCTTTCATTAACATTAAAAAAGAATCCAGACACTATAGTAGTAGTAACTTTATTTTTAATCATTGCCTAAGAAATATATAATAAAAATACACTCTAAATCCAATAAAATTTAAAAGTTAATTTGTATTTTATCATATTGAAAAATACAAAGATATTATTGTAATATTTATTTAGTTTAAAATATATATCTGTAGATATGAATCTCTTTAAAGTAAGTCTATAGAACCCTGAATGTCTATGGCCCATAAATTTAGACCCATTGGCCATTTGTAGGTCAGAAATGAAGACATTAGTAGATTTCTGCTATAAACCTGGTAAACTTAATCAAGTCGTTCATTTAGCCTCTTAGAGCCTCCAATGAAATATCATTGAGATTACCTGTTCTACTTTTATGATGAAGTGTTAAGTGTAAATGGAATAAGTGTAAAACATTCTCACAACGAAAGTTCTGGTTCTCTTTGGATTCCATGTTGGCTGCAATTGAAGCTATGGAGAGGGAAAATACTGTGAAATGTGAAATTGTTACAGTAGTGGTGTTAGGAGTCGTTGTGGTATTAGTAGTCAGAGTATTTCCTGGGGAAATGACCAAGTTATTTTTCTGTACCCTAGTTCTTTGTAGAACCTAAAACTCTATATTTATGTGTTATCTCCAAAATTCAGATATTCTTTGGCTATGAAATGGAAAAAATTCTTAAAGTAGTAAAACTTTTCTATCATGGCTCATGACACTTTTTATTAGTGGAAATTGCCTAATAGTGTTGGCTGGACGAAGTCCAAAACAGACTTTCTTCTCTTCTTATAGGAAAATAACAAAAAACATAAATGCTTTCTGAAGGAAGATTACATGATTAGTGAGGGGGCACTGATGATACTGCTCTTTTGGTAGCATCAGGAAAGCAATTGAAGTTTCAGCGATGGCTAAAGTTGGAAGGGAATGGGCAACATAGACAAATTTAGAGTATGGTTTAGAATCAATAGGGGATGTATTTAAAATGGGAGTTCCACTTGCATTTACAAATAAGTTAATGACCAATAAGCAGTTCATATACTTTCAAGGAGTTGAAGAATTATGAAGACGAGAGATTCAAGAGATTTAGAATTTGATGAGAAACTGCTTTTTTTTTTTTTAAGTCTTGTCACTTGTCTACTGTTAGGCATTTTACCCTAAGTGAATAAGTGAAATAATTTATGTTTTTGATAAAACTATTCTCCAAGTACAAAAATCAATGCTCAGTAAGGCACAGTCCTACAAAACTTTTTGATAATAACGACTATGTTTCAAAAGTTAGTGGCTTTTCAAATGCAAGTATCTAAAGAAGAGATTTGAAACTGTCCACAGAAAGAGCCATTAGATTAAAAGGCTATAAATTATTAGACACCTTATTACCAGAAGAAAAAGAGGAAGAGACAGCCTGGCTGATCTTAAAGAAAGATAACAAGACCAGAAAAGGGTTCCCAGCAGGACAGCAAAGTTGGTGTGAGGAGTGGGAGATGCAATCCTAAAGCTACAAGGGAAGGAGAAAGGGGCAAGATCGGACAGATGCAAAAATTCTGTGTCTTTCCTGGCTCTTTCCAAAGCTCCAGTTGACACATCCAAGCAAATTTTATACCTAATTTGCCTTCTTTTGAGCTTGATATTATAGTTTTTCTTGCACCATGTTACCAAATGTTATCTTTTCAATCAATCTGGAGTGCTTTATTTTCTAAAGATTTGCTCAGTATTTTCCTCAGAGACACATTTCCAGACAGCCTGTTTCTCATTAGCTGGAATAAACAGGAGTGTGTTTACAGCATAGCGCCAGACTTAAAAGAATATCCTTTCCTAGGGAAGCTAGTCAGGGAATTAGCAGTGCTGGACTTAAAGCGGTGAATTGGAGTGTCCAGCTGTGACATAAGACAGAGTATTGGTTCATTCACACAGACTTTAAAAAGCAAACTGTATAAATCTTTTTGACATAAAGATAGTTTTCTTTTGAACACATTTTTAAGCATATGAAACTCTAACACATTAAAAACCCATTTATGCCAAAGAAATATCATATATAGTGATTAAAAAATGTTTAACTTCTGTTCAGCAAATATTGACTACCTACTGTGGGCAACACAGAGACTATAAAGATGTATAAGACATTAAGTAGCTCACAATCTAGTGAGTAATCCAACTTACTGCAAAAATAAAACCCATAGAAGTTGCTCACTAATACTATATGTTTACAAAAACATTGGAGTTAAGTCCATTACAAATGCATGAGAATTTATCAGTGGAGGTCAGTAACCTCATCAAAGGAAGTAATAGAGAATGTAGTCGTCCCTCAGTATCCCTGGGGGATTGGTTTCAGGACCCCTCACAGGTGCTAAAACCCATGGATGCTTAAGTCCCCATAAAAGGATGTAGTATTTGCATAGAAACTATGCACATCTTCCCATATACTTTAAATTATCTCTAGATTACTTATAATACCTAATATGATGTAAACACTATGTAAATAGTTATACTCCATTGTTTAGGGAATTGTTAGTAAAAAAAAGTCTATACTATATATGTTTAGTACAGATGCAACCATCCATTTTTAAAACATATTTTCAAACTACAGTTGGTTGGATCCACAGATGTGGAACCCACAGATATGGAGGGCTGACAATAAATGTGCTGATAAAAGAGAATATTTGCACATATTTTTAGCATTATGAAACAGATATCAAATATCTTAGCTAATGAAATTTATCAATAGCAAGGAAAAATCCACTCACGCTTATGTAATCACATTGTATTAAATTTGACCTATCTTCCTGTCCTGGAGGTAATTGTACTCTGATGGTGATCCCAGTCTACCAAGACAATAAAGTGCAATAAGAGTGAGAAATTCAGACTATTAATAGACACTGCAGATAATTTACACATAAATAATTGGGAACGTGGTATTTAATAAAGAGACAGTAGAATGTTATTTACAATAGCATCTATCTGTCTCTCTATCATCTATCTCTATCTATCTATCTATCTATCTATCTATCTATCTATCTATCTATCTATCTTTCTATCTATCAATCATGTATCTATATATCTTGTTCTCTCTGAAAAGGGTTCCCAGCAGGACAGCAAAATTGGCGTGAGGAGTGGGGAGAGGCAATCTTACAGCTACAGGGGAAGGAGAAAGGCGGAAAGACTGGAAAGCTGCAAAAAAAATCTCAATGTCTTTCCTGGCTCTTTCCAAAGCTCAAGTTAATACATCCAAGCAAATTTTATACCTAATTTGCCTTCTTTTGACCACACAGAAATATTTCCTGTAATATTCCTATAACAGCAGTTTAAAGTATAGAATATTTGAAATAAATATACAACACAGTTCCTTCTTATAAAAAAACAGATAATTTTTAAAAGAATATATTTATATTACAGACATGTTTAATATTGGACAAAAGTCTTGCCCCCAGATGTTTGCAGCAATATTCTGGTACCCCTCTGCTTCAGGTATTAAAAGATAATATTGAATTAGTTCCAAAAGAGAACATTTATTTATCCAAAAGAGAATTATTTATTTCCAAAAGAGCTCATTAGTTGCTTGAAACTACATGCTGTTTCTACATAGTCGTATGACATTTAACATTATTATTCTTATCACTACATTATAAATTAGATTTTAAATCCAGCAGCTATTTCTGTCTTCATGATAGAATTTTTAAAGGGATTTATATTTGCATTACTTTTTTCTTGGTTGGAATCAGTAAAAAAAGTAAGTGCAAGTTCAAAATTTTATAAATTATTACCTGTTTCTTGATGTCTTGATACGTTTATTTGTGGGATCTAAAATACACTTTTTTCGGAAGAGACTACATGTCGGATAATAAAGCAAAATGAAACAAAACAAAACCCTGCTATGGCTGTTTGGTGCAAGGAGAAAATGTTTTAATAGTACATACTCGGTGACTGGAATATTTTACACTACTTATGATTATCACTTTTTCTAAATATTGAGAAAAGTGTATTAGGAATCTATATAATAGTGACTGTTGTGGCTCAAAATAGAAAATAAATATTCTACAGGATATTTTGGCATATGAGATGGTGGAAAGAGAATAGAAACAGTGAGAAAGAAAAGATGAACAGAGTATTTCATTCCATTAGAATGGAGCTAAAGCAGAGTAGTCTCAGTTCACGTGAGCTGTGATGCTCTGGAAGTCATCCAGAAGAAACTGCTTGGAGTATCACGGTAAGCACTGAGGACGGTATCTACTGGCTAAAGCTCAAGCGGACATCTATGTGGAATGTAACTTTTGAATAGAACCACTAGAGGATGACGAGGTCTCACCGACATACCAAAGGTGTTTTGGAGAAGGCACAGGCACACTCATTTTTGAATGTTGTCAAGTGGAGTGCTTTGATCAGAAAATGGAAAAAAAAAATCTTTCACCAGAAGAAAGAAACCTTGTGGAAATTACAGTACATTAATAATAGCTAGTCTGGCAACCTTCACAAGGAAAAGCTAAGTTCATCCAAACGTAATAGTTTATTTTCCCCGCACTTAACCAACAATAAGGTCATTATTTTCCACTAATTTATTCAGAATTATTCAAATTTAGTTTATCTTCACAATATACCTTATACCGATTAAAAGCAAAACATGGAACTCTCACTTTCTTGATTTTTTAGCAGTGTGATGTTTAAAAAAGCAGTTTGTTTCTCAAAAGTTATAATATTCCTGGGAAAATGTAAAAGAAGCTGGTGAGGGCCTTGGACTGAGAAGGTAGATGGATGTCCTGGAGCAAAGATATTTCTTCTGAGCAAGATCTTTTTAAAAAACTGGATATAAAATTCATATAACTGAAATTCACCATTTTAACCATTTTACAGTGTATAATTTCAGTGGCTTACATAATACTCAAAATATAGCACTATCTAATGCCAGATAATTTCCATCACCCCAAAAAGAAGGCACTTATCCATCAAGCAGTCATTCCCCATTCCTCCTCCCCTCACCCCATGAGTAATACTTTCTGCCTCTTTGAATTTACCTATTTTCTGGATTTGCCTATTCCAGATATTTCATATAAACAAAATCATACAATATGTGACCTTTTGCATCTGGTTTCTTTCACTTAGCACAAGTGAATGTTTTTAAGGATCATCCATGTGGTAGCATGTGTCAGTACTTTATTCCTTCTTATGCTTAAATAATAACCCATTGCATATATATATATATATATATATATATATATATATATATATATACACACACACACCACACTTTTTTTTTTTTTTTTTTGAGACCGAGTCTCCTTCTGTTGCCCAGGCTGGAGTGCAGTGGCGCAATCTCGACTCACTGCAAGCTCTGCCTCCCGGGTTCACGCCATTCTCCTGCCTCAGCCTCCAGAGTAGCTGGGACTACAGGTGCCCACCACCACGCCCGGCTAATTTTTTGTATTTTTAGTAGAGACGGGGTTTCACCGTGTTAGCCAGGATGGTCTTGATCTCCTGACCTCGTGATCTGCCCGCCTCGGCCTCCCAAAGTGCTGGGAGTACAGGCGTGAGCCACTGTGCCCGGCCATGCAGGACTTCTTAAGAGAATTATCTGTTCAAGTCCTTTGCTCATTTAAAGAAATTGAGTCATTTGGCCATTCGTTGTTGAGTTGTAGGAGTTCTTTTTATATTCTAGATATTAGACCTTTAGCAGATATATAATTTGCAAATATTTTCTCCCATTCTAAAGGTAGTCATTTCACTTTCTTAATAATGTCATTTGTTTGACAAAAGTTTTTAATGTTTTATGAAGTCAATGTATTTATTATTTTCTTTTGTTGCATGGCTTTTGGTGTCATATTTATGAAACCATGGCCTAATCCAAGGTCACAAAAATTTACACCTATGTTTCCGTCTAAGAATTGTATAGCTTTAATTCCTACATAAGAATTAAAACGTATTATTTGACACTTATAGGGTTAATTTTTGTAAAATGGTGTGAGGTAGGCATCCAAATTCATTCTTTCACATATGGCTAAACAATTGTATATACATTGCATATATTATTGGATTTATTTTTATAAATTTTTGATTGACAAATCATAATTGTGTACATTCATGGGGTACAATGTGATGTTTTAATATATGTATACAGTATGGTAGGATTAAGTCAAACTAGTTAACATGCCCATCACTTCACTTACTTATCATTTTTTATGGTGAGACATTTGAAATTTACTCTCTAAATTATTTTGAAATATATAATACATTATTATTGACTATAGCCACCCTACAGTGGAATAGATCTAGATCTTAAAATTGATTCCTCTTATCAATCTAAAACTTTGAACCCTTTGATCAACAACTCCCTATTCTCTTTATCCCTACCCTAACCCCAGCCTCTGGTAACTATTCTTCTACTCTCCAATTCCATAACTTTGTTAGATCAGATGATCTTTGTCTTTCTGTTTCTGGCTTATTTTATTTAGCATAATGTCCTCTAGATTCATCCATGTTGTTGCAAATGACAGAATTTCTCCCTTTTTAGAGGCTGAATACTACTCCATTGTGTATATTTACCACATTTTCTTTATCCATTCATCCATTAATGGACACTTACATTGTTCCTGTATCTTGGCTATTGTGAATGAGGCTGCAATAAACACGAGAGAACGGACATCCTGTTGATATATTGATTTCAGCTCCTTTGGATAGATACCCAGAAGCGGGATTACTGGGTCATAGAGTAGTTCTATTTTTTGCTTTTTGAGGAACCTCCATACCATTTTCCATAAAAGGTACTAATTTACAATTTCACCAAAAATGTATGAGCTCTCTTCTTCCCATTCTCTGTATCACTTGTTTTATTTCCTCTTTTTAATAAAAGCCATTCCAATGGGTCTGAGGTAATATCTCATTGTGGTTTTATTTTGTATTTCCCTAATAATTACTGATGCTGAGCATTTTTCCATGTACCTATTGACCATTTGTGTGTCTTCTTTTGAGAAGTGTCTGTTCAGGTTCTTTGCCCATTTTTTAAATCAGGTTATATATTTTCTTGCTATTGAGTTGCTTGAATTCCTTACATATTTTGAATATTAACCCATTATAAGATGCATGATTTGCCAGTATTTACTCTCATGCTGTGGATTTTCTCTTCACTTTGTTATTTGTTTTTCTTGATGTGCAGCAGCCTTTAGTTTGATGTAATCCCATTTGCCTATTTTTGCTTTTGGTGACTGTCCTTTTAGGGTCATATCTTTAAAAGAATTATTGCCTAGAAGAATGTCACGAAGCTTTTCTCCTGTGTTTTCTTCTAGTAATTGTACGGTTTCAGATAAGACCTGAATATTTAAGTTTTTCATCATTTTGAGTTGATTTAGTGGAATACTTAGCCAGATCTTAGGCAAAAGAAAGAAATAAATGGCATTTTAACAGGAAAGGAAGAAATGAAATTGTCTCTATTTTTTTGGTAACATGATATTATATATAAAAACCCTAAAGACTCTATCATAAAAATTTTAGACCTGATAATAAATTCGTAAGGTTGCAGGATACAAAATCAACATACAAAAATGGTAGCATTTCTAAATGCTAATAATGGGCTATCTGAAAAGAAAATTAAGAGAAAAATCCCATTTACAATAAATACTTAGATGTAAACTTAACCAAGGGGGCAAAATATCTGTTAACTATAAAATGCTGATGAAAGAAATGGAAGAAAATACAAATAAATGAAAAGATATCAAATGCTCATGGATTGGAAGAATTAATATTGAAAAAAGTCCCTACTACCGAAAGTGATATGCAAAATTCAATGCAATCCCTATCAAAATTGCAATGTTATTTCTTACAAAAATGGGAAAATATCCTTAAATTCATATGGATCTACAAAGGGAACTACAAAAAACCCCAAACAGTCAATACAGCCTTGAGCAAAAAGAATAAAGCTGGAGGCATCACTCTCCCTGATTTTATCTAGTTCAAACAAATACCAATCTAGTTCAAATTTTGACTTCAATCTAGTTTAGATTAATACCAATTTAATTTCAATTTTATAAGAGCTTTGCTCCTATACCACTCAATCTCCCTACTTTATGTTGATATTATCACAAATTACGTATTAATATGCAGTGTGCCTTCAATATAGATTTACAACCATTGTTTTACACAGTTGTCTTTTAAGTTAGATAGGAAAAAAAGTTACTGTATAGCATTCTTTTATTTCAGCCTGAAGGACTCCCTTTAGCATTTTTGCAGAGCAAGAAAGTTACTAGCAATGAATGCTGTCATTTTTACATTTATCTGAAAATATCTTGATTTCCCCCTTTATTTTTGAAGGGTAATTTTACCCAATATAGAATTATTTTTTCTTTCAGCACTTGGAATATGTCATCTCACTGCCTTCTGGCTTCCATAGATTTTGATGCAAAATCAGAAGTTATTTTCATATTAAGCATCCCTTGTAGGTGACAAACTGCTTGTTGGTGACAAACTGCTTTTCTCTTTCTATTTTCAAAATCAAGTTGCTGGGTAAGTCAGGGAGTCAGAGGTATGTATGCATGCTGCATGGACGTTTGGGAAAGTCTCTTCAAATGGAGAAGTCACTACCATCTTCTGATGCAATAAATAGAATGCTAGCTATTCTATTTATAGCTTCACTGTAAATAGCTGTTCTATATAGATGCTGGAGCTAGAACAGCTATATTGGTATGTACAGTGAAGGGCAATGAAAGGTAGAACAGGAGCAGGGGAAGAATATGTTCTCTGTCCGTCATGGACTATCTACCTCTGCACATTTTCTGTGTGAGAAAAGAAACATGTATATATTTAAGCTACTGGTTGTGGTTGGTATTGTCACTGCTTTTTTTTTTTTTTTTTTTTTTTTTTTTTACAGAGTCTCGCTCTGTCGCCCAGGCTGGAGTGCCCTGGCACAATCTTGGCTCACTCAACCTCTGCCTCCAAGGTTCAATCAGTTCTCCTGCCTCAGCCTCCTGAGTAGCTAGGATTATACAAGTGCCCACCACCACATCTGGCTAATTTTTGCATTTTTAGTAGAGACAGGGTTTCACCATGTTGGCTAGGCTGGTCTCGAACTTCTGATCTCAAGTGACCCACCTGCCTTGGCCTCCCAAAATGCTGGGAGTACAGGCGTGAGCCACCGCACCCAGCCTTGCTGTATTTTTATTATCTGATATATGCAGAGAAATCTGATCCCAATAAAGGGGTAGGAATAGTGCTTATCTCATAGAAAGTTTTGTGATCATTTAACTGAGAGACAAGTGTGGAGCACTTAGAGTGACACCTACTGTGCGGTACTTTTCTGTAAGTATCAGCCATTCTATTATCTAGTTCTCTCCTTAGTTTCAGAGCCCAGGAGGAAGGAAGCAAGTTAGACCTCACTACTAAGAAACCTAGAGAAGAATGTAGGGGTCAGAGAGCATTATAGGCCATTATTAATAGAAATAGGACAAGAAAAAAACCATTAAAATATTGAACCCATTTCTTTAGAAACTCAGACACTTTTAGCTAGATAAGGCTGCATGATAAAGAATTTGGCTAATCTTTGTCCCCAGCTCCTGATAGATAGACTTTAAATTCTTGGAATTTCCTAAGAGATAGGAGTGTCTTTCTGAATCATAGTGAGCCCCTCAGATAACACTTGATAATTTATACTAACAAGATGACTCACAGTGGGCTCTTAGTTTAGGCTAATTAGATGAATTAGAATGGGATTACCAGAAGGATCAACTATGTAATTAGAGGGTTGGGCCTTTGAATTGGGTAATAACAGCTTAATCCCTGAGGGAGGTAGGGAGGCTAGAGATTGAGTAGCATGGCCAAAAATTCAATCAATCACATCTATGTAATGAAATCCCAATAAAATCCATGGACACTGAAGCTCAGGAGAACCCCTGGTTGTCAGCTCTTCAGTATTGCCGCACAAGTGTGTGTTGAATAGAATGCCATCTAGGACTCCACAAAGACAGGACAATGGAAGCTTCAGGTAAGGCCCCTGTCAGAGCTCACCCTGTGAGTCTCTCCCTTTGGATGATTCTAATTTCCTTTTGGTGTAATAAAAGCATAATCATAAATACAGCACTTTCCTAAGTTTGGTGAGTTATTTTAGTGAATCAAATGTGAAGAGATTGTGGCAACCTCCAAATTTGTAGCCGGTTGCTCAGTAGTGAAGGTGGCCTGGGGAACCTCAAACTTGCAGCTGGCATCTGGAGTGTGGGCAGTCTCATAGAGGAGTGTGTCCTTAACTTGAGAGGTCTGGCTCAACCCCAGGTGGTTGGTGTAAGAGGGTCAGGGCAGGGGCAAAATAAACTGACTTGTTTCTCTCTTCATTCCTTCTATGACATCAGCTTTGAAAGGCAGTGGTTTAGTTCTGGGCTTGAATTCTTCCTATATTCAGCCCAAACTGCCTAGATGTGCACATACCATATTTACCTTTGCATCTATTAGGCATTATGGAGTATCACTGAACTGCAGAAAATCAGTTCTCAAAAAGGGAACTGTCATGAATATCAAGAATATTGAATTTTAAAACTAAGGAAGTACCATAGCACTAGCTTAATTTGACTCGGGATTATATTACTTCTGTGGCAGACAAAAACCACAAACTCCTTAGTTTTAGGCAAACATCTAAAACAGCAATGTGAACACTCTGCTGAAAGGTCTTAACTTCAGAATAAAAATTGTGCCAGCTTTGAAACAATTTTATCTTCTTGCCAGCATAATTAATAACCCTCAATTTAAGAGCAAAACACCAAATTACTTTTAAACCAAATTTTTCTTTAGGACTACATTTTTTATAAATAAAATTTTTATAAAGAACCTAAATTCTTATAGAGAACTCTACTTGTTTGTGGAGTATAGTCCTGACTTGCTAAGTAAGCTAATTTGTTTTCTTTTCTTTCTTTTTTTTTTTTTTTTGAGACGGAGTCTCACTCTGTCGCCCAGGCTAGAGTGCAGTGGCGCGATCTCAGCCCACTGCAACCTCCGCCTCTGGGGTTCAAGCAATTCTCTGCCTCAGCCTCCCAAGTAGCTGGAATTACAGTCACACACCACCACGTCCGGCTAATTTTTTTGTATTTTTAGTGGAGACGGGGTTACACCATCTTGGCCAGGTTGGTCTCAAACTTCTGACCTTGTGATCTACCCGCCTTGGCCTCCCAAAGTGCTGGGATTACAGATGTGAGCCACCACGCCCGGCTGAGCTAAATTACTTTCATGGATGATTATTTCAATTAGTTATATTTTCTATTTCTATGTATCCATTTTTCTCCTATAAAAAAACGAGAGCTTTCTGTGACCCTCAGAAAACCATTTTTTTTGTACAGAACTTATGCAAATAATTATTAAGCTGATTGCCAAAATTAGTGAGTTTTCCAGCATATAAACATTTATATACTCAATTCCAGACATCCTTCTCATCAAGCACTCTTATTTTATATACAAGTATTCCCAAACATCATTAACACAAAATTCATTGCTCTAGCAAAGTTTTGGCAAAAGTAAAATAGTGACTTCTTGACAAGTTCCTAGAACTGAGGTGTCATTATTGATGTGAGCAGGCAAGGGCCAAGTCTATACTCCAGGGAATTTAAGGATTCTTCTCAAATGTTACCCCCTACTATGGGTTTCTGCCAGGAAAACCTGATAGTGAGAGTGGTGTCTGATTCGCAGGCTGGGAGGTCCTTTAAGTCTAAATAGGCAAGACAGGAGTGAGGAGCTAGGTTGTGAAGTCTGAGTTGCTGGGGTACATCAGGCCAAAGCAGATTCAGGGATCCCAACATGGTGGTGACTACACAGCTATGACGGGGTTCCACTGGCTCCATTACATCCGGCACAGAGGACTGGTCAGTGGTAGTTTTTCAGTCACAGCTCCAAAACTATCTTATAAACTTACACTCTTCTGCATCCTTGGTTTCAGATGGTGCCACTTTGCATCTTATCCTGATCCCACATTTCTCACTGATTGTTTCATGTGTCCCAAATTGCTGACCCATTTTTTACCCCACACTCACAGATTTGGGTCAACTCACTCTAAACACTATTCTGATCGTAACCACACATCAACTCCGTCAGAATTAGGGCTAAAATCGATTCGGTAAAATTCAAATGTACCACTTTGGTAGTTTCCAGACATCTTGATGTTGAATGTTTTATATTTATCTAACCCTTTCAAACCACTTACTATGTGCTAGGCACCATATTAAGTACTTTACAAATATTAATTCATAACAGCCCACGATTTAGTTTTATGAGAATTATTCCTAATTTACAGATGAAACAAGTGAAGTATAAATAGGTTAAGTAACATGTCCAATATCTGCCGCATGGCAAGTGGTAGAATTGAAACTCAAACCCAGGCAACTGAAACCCAGAATTCAGAATTGCTTTGCTCCGCTATATCATCACCCGGGACTTTGATGGATTTGGCTCTCCCAAGGTAAGACACTGTACTTAATTTGTTATTTCAGCAATAATAACTCATCTTATATATCATTTGACAATTTTTAGAACACTATTACAAACATCATGATGCCAAGTAAATAATGTTTTATTTGATATAATACGATTCAATATTTCTATTTAAAAATTTATAAAAGTACAAACAATCACGGATCAACAGTTTTTGGTGTCTGAGGAATTTTACAGGTGGTCATTTAAATGACCTCAAAGTTTGGTCTCTTCCCTGAGTCCTGCTTTCTAAAGAAGGGGAACAAATATTCCTAAAGCCACAAAATCTATCAGAAGCAGAGGTCGAATTCAAATTTAGGTATCCATAATCCAAAGCCTCTGATCTTTGATAAAAGAGGTCCTAATAATCTTTCAAATGAATTGTTTATTTCACTTTATCATTCAACTTTAAGTAAAGATGGCAATTATCTTTTATAATAGCATTGAACAGGCTCTTCATCTATGTTGTGTAGAGAGACACATGCTTTACAGGAGGAAATGGCCTTCTCTTGTTTGCTGACTTTTAAGAGGTCTGGTGGCACATCTCTGCCACTTAGGAATTGGGGGCCATTAATCTAGAATCTAAGATCCCACACATTGGTAGTGAAATGGCTATCTGATAAGCATACTCATCTGATAAGCAAAGTAAGCCAAATCTAAATTTTCATAGAACAACACTAATGTTGATAAATGTTAAGAAAAGGCTATGTTTTCCATTTCCTTTTTTTTTTTTTTTTTTTTTTTTTTACTTTTTTTGAGATGGAGTCTCGGTCTGTCACCCAGGCTGGAGTGCAGTGGCTTGACCTCGGCTCACTGCAACAACCACCTCCTGGGTTCAAGCGATTCTCCTGCCTCTGCTTCCCGGGTAGCTGGGATTACAGGCATCCACAACCATGCCCAGCTAATTTTTGTATTTTTAGTAGAGACGGGGTTTCACTGTGCTGGCCAGGCTGGTCTCGAACTCCTTACCTCAAGTGATCCACCCATCTCGGCCTCCCAAAGTGCTGGGATTGCAGGCATGAGACACCGCGCCCGGCCCTATTTTTACTTTTGATACATCTTTTCATATTCCCATTTATCGCAGTTGTCTTGTGATCATTTCTGTAGATGAAATAGCAGTGAATTTGCCACTAAAATGGTATGCCTTGTGAGTATTCATGCCACTGGGAAGAAAGGCATTCAGCTTTCTGGTATTCAGCTTGTGTGAACTTCTGAACACGATTACTGTGACACTGATGTATTCGGGACTATTGTGTTTGTATTACTAAAGAGTCACTTTAAAATACAATATTCCCTTTAAGAGGCTCTCAGGCAAAATAAGGACTAAAGATGCCTAAGAAAAAGAGTTAAGTGTCTAGAAAACAAGATTAGCCTTCTTTACTTGATCTTTGGGAAAGAGAATTGAGCTGAAATGTTTCAGTGCAGACAGCTATCAAGAATTTCACTTTTTCTTTGCCTTTACTAACTCAAGGAGCAAAGGCAACAGAGATTTCTTCTTTCCTTGTCTCACTGTTTTATTGTATTGCTACCCTTGTAAGTAACCTAACATAAACGTAATTGGTAGATCCAGTACCCTAACACAGCTTGATAGCAGCTCAGCAGAAAATGCCGTAGATTCTACCATAGAAGTATTCAATAAAATGCATCCTCATGATTAGCTACAGGTGACATTTTATCTACTTCCTCTGTGTACAGAAATGTGGAAAACAGAATAGTCATTTAAAAGGCAGACACATCACATTCACATATTTTGCTGTTTGATTTATCACATAGCATGGATACTGATGGCAGGCGTACTGTGTTTCCAAACAGTTATAGGAAGAATTAAAGGCCAATATTAAAACTATATCCACTTTTGCAATCCAGTGGTTTTCTCTTGAAGACAAGGCATACTTGATGCTTTTGTTTAAAATTCATTTTCTTTGGGATAAGACCCTCATATCTTATTTTAGAATATTTATTTAAAATCAATATGAAAATTCTATAGCAAACTCAATGCCCAATCTTTTTGAATGAAAAAGTCATGGCTATTTATGGATTATATAGTATATTCTACAAGTACAAACTAGCTTCCTATCACAGAATATACAATTTTAAATTAATTGGATATAAAAGGAATACTGATAGGTAAATTAATTTTCTGAATTTTCTGTCATTTTCTAATCACAAATAAACCTGTTCTTAAACTTCATATAGATTTTATTATTATTATATTTCACAACTCAAGTTTGCAAGTTGGATTTAATTTGTCCAGATAAGTGAGAAAGTTGGTATATTTCTTTAGCATGTTCTATTGTGTCAAGTATGTTTTCTCTTCTTGGATAAATTCATAATAAACAGCATGGTCTCATGCAATAATGAAATTCACATTGTAAGAGTATGAACAGAGTTTTGATTTCCTGCTTTACCAGCTTGAGAGGCCAAAAAGATTACAGTTCTTTTACTAATTACATTAATGTGAACCTACATGTCCTGGGATAATCCCATTTACTTGGGAACGTTGATCATATAATTCAGGCATTTCTGCTCCTGAAGTAGAGGTATTGTCAGAATTCAGGAGCATCATCTTGATGCTGGAGGACAGCAAAGTGTCATGAGATGCTGGTTGCTTATTTTTGAACAAGTGTTGCCAAGCTGGAGACTCCAAGGCTGACCAATAAGAAGTCCAGCTTTACGTACCACTACCAACAGCATGGATGCATCAGAGGAATGTCCTGAAAATATCATTGCCATGCAAGCTTGATGTGCAGGCAGTACTGGTTCCAAATACTACAGGAAGGAAGATCTGGAGCAAGAACCACCATTGCACGCAAAGAGTATTGCATGTGGTTCCTGCTCACTGCTCTGCAAGTCTCATCATCTTACTACTGATCTAGCAAGGCCTGTTGAAGATAACTCTGGGAGAAGGGAAAGGTAAGCAAATCTCCTTGATCCTCCTTTTCCAATGTTACATCCAGCTATAGTCATTCCATACTTTTAGATACCTGGATTCCTACTTTTACACTAAAAAAAATTATTTGTGCATGCCTGTTAAGCACAAAGCATTGGGCGAGTGGATTAGAGATTGAACACAGAGAGATTTTTGTCTTCAGGAATATTGATCCCACAAGCAGCCCTTCCCCACAACAACCTAGGCTTTGGCATTGTGCCTGGTTGTCAGTTTCAGGTCTGTATCAGGATGAGATGCCCCATGAGAAAATCTTAAACTTTCCTGCTTACTCATCTCTATTGGTATTACCTCAGAAGGAAGAGGAAATGGGATCTTGATCTTTTCTTTCACAGGGAGACAATTTCTGTGCTTTTTTGCAATGTCTCCCAGCTTTTCCCAGCAAATCTTGAGTTGTTCTGTACACCAGGAAGTAGCTGGAGTGAAGAAATCGCGACCTTTGTCAACTTCCAAAATTTCTTGCTTTGGGCTGGCAGATTACAGATATAACAGCAGCAACAACAACAGCAGCAGCAACAATAACTTTAAATAAAGAGATCTTATTTTAAATTTTTAAAATGAAATACCAGGTGGATAGCAAATATTACTTTCAGAAAGGCTACTCCTGCTCTCTTTCCACCTCAATTTTGTCAAGAACATTCCAGAAGAAATGAAATTGTCTATATTCATACTCCTTCTACATTCACGTGCTTTCATTTTCCTTAAACATAGTGACCATAACTGAAAATGTCAGCAAAAAGTCATGAACTGTATTTAGAAAATTTGCATGAATTTCCAATATAAATGTAAACCTATAAAAAAACTATCTCTTTGGCCCAATTTTGTAATCATATATATAAAATGTTTTCTTTAAATTTTATCTATTTAAGGATATATATTTAAACTCTAGCTTTTTCATTTGAAAATACTTTTTATTGGGACATTTTCTGTTTTTCTGGAAATAGTTCTGTAAATGTAATGCATTCGAAATTGAATTTTGTATACTTTCACAATTGTTGGGGCCATTTTGATAGTTCAGTCAGCAAAAACAAAATCAATCCATACGGGCAAAAAAACTTTGGAAGATTATGCTGACAGATAGAACATATACATTTTTAAGAATCTATGACTTTCTTCTCTATGTAAACTAAAAATAACTGTTTCTCAAAATCTTTGGAAGGAGTAAGCAAAACTTGAAATAATCTCATAGTATGAGACGATAAAATAATTTCAATGTTTACTAAAAGAGAGTTGAAAAACTAAAAATAAATAGTTTGTCATTACAGAAATATGGTTCACAACCCTTGCCAGAGAAGCAGCTGACTTCATGAGGGTGGGGCAGGATTGCACCTCAAGGATCTAGGATACACAGTCCCCTCCAGTTCCCAGCAGTTGATTTAGGAGAGAATCATAGTTTCCATTTAAACCACAGAAGTATAAAAAACCTAACACACATTATCTTCAGGAAAAATAGGTCCATGCACCCTGCACTCATTCTTCTGAGGATTCCAGGGTTCCTAACTCTCCCCTTTTTTTCTAAAGCATCAATGGGATGCTTTCAATTGGTCATAGACATTTTCTGGCATGGTCTGTCTTAAAAATGGATCAAGGGGCTATTCTCACAAATTTAATTTCTGGTGAGGCTCTCTGCTACTTTTGTTATATTTTGTATATTTAAACTCACTGCTAATTTCATTTCTAAAAATCATTCTGCTCTAAAATGATGCATGTGAAAGCCTCTGATATACTCAATAGAAAGTGGATAAAATATTCTAAGCGTAAGGATAAGATAATCAGCTTTACAATTTACAAGAGTATGTTAACAGCACTGTGGCAACTGGTTTGCAACCTGGACTCAGGATGACCAATACCGATGCCATTTGTAATAGTATAAAGGTCAGGGCCTGAACTAAGGTGCTGACTATGAATGGAGAGAACAGGGGAGAAATTCAAGAGTGATTTCTGTAGAAGTACCAGAATTTGGTTGCTTAAATATACGGAATGAAGAGATAAAGCTGGGAGGGGGATAGCTCCCAGTTTTCTGTTTGTTGAACTTGATAGTAAAGACATTAAAAAAGGGAGACAATGTGAGGAGAAGAGCAGGGAGAAGACAATAACAACTGGAAAAATCAAGAAAGAGACAAGAAGTATGCAAGCTAAAGACAGGACTGGAAATGCTGGTACTGGAGCTAACAGGGTACATGCTATTTAAAGCCATGGAGGCTGATAGAATCACCCTGGAAGGGTCCACAGAGGCACGTAGCAGTGTCAAAGCTTGGAACCAAGCTGAGCTGCTCCTATCAGCTCCTATCATGCACATATGTCTGAGCATCTTTGAAGTGAAATGGCGTGGAACAGGTCTATCATGGGCCTACTGGTAACAAGAAACACAAAGAACACCGCAAAGCCCCTGATCTAAGGTAACACCATATCCTAGAGGTGGTTTTCAGCTCTGCTGACATCTGTTCCTTAGACCATCCTCAGACCAGGCTCTGTGGACTTCTGCCATCCGTGTTTAGTACATAAATGTGACTAGGAAGAAGAAAGGGTCTAGAGGGAGTAGACAGAGGATTAGAGGGCTGTGGCCTCAATGTAGTCAAAGAGCGAAAATGAGAGACTGGCCACACTGAAAGTGAAAGTGTGGGAGGCTGTAGTCTGAGTGAACCATATCAAAAACATAAGCATTGAGAGGCATAATGGATGCAATTGAATGCAAAGTCCATAGTCTGGTCTTCAGATGGAATGACTAAAGCTGAAGAGAGAGGAAATGCATTTGATTTGAAGAGATCAGGGAACTGAAAGTCAAAATGTGAGTTGCTTATCTGCATAAACATTTAAATGATGTAGCTAATGCAAGAGTTAAAGATGAAGTAGTGCATTTGGTATGCAAACATCAATTAATTGGGTATGCAAAGCGATCGATTAGTGTGGACTTCCTTAAGAAACAGTATAGGTTAGTGAGAAAAAGAAATGTGGCTAAATAGTGTGGGCTGTACTGCAGGGGAGGGAGAATAATGGTCTAGAACTGTGCTATGCACTGTAGTGGCCACCAGCTTCATGTGGCTATTGAGAACTTGAAACATAGCAAGTCTGAATTGAGATGGGCTGTAACTAAAAATATATCCCAGATATTTAAGACTTAGTACAATTAAAAAGACTTCAAAATAAGTATCCAATTAGTAATGTTATATTGATTTCAGGTTAAAATGAAAATATTTTGGATCTATTGGATAAAATGAAATATACGGTTAAAATTAATTTCACCTGCTGCTTTTTATTTTTCTTTAAGATGGCTACTAGAACATTTAAAATTTCCTCTGTGGCTCATATCTGTGGCTTACATTATATTTCTATGCACAGGGCTGGGCTAGAAGTTTAAATGATTCCAGATAATCACTCTTTGTTCTTTCTTCCTACTGAGCACTGGTACATACAAACCCCAGAGCTATTCATTTTTATAGTTTTGATATGTAGCCTTATGATACAGTAACAAAAATAAAGTTATTAAAAGTACATGAGTGTGGCAGGGCATGGTGGCTCATGCCTGTAATCCCAGCACTTTGGGAGGCCGAGGCAGGTGGGTCACCTGAGGTCGGGAGTTTGAGACCAGCCTGGCCAACATGGAGAAACCCTGTCTCTACCAAAAATACAAAATGAGCCAGGCACGGTGGCACATGCCTGTAATCCCAGCTACTCTGGAGGCTGAAGCAGAAGAATCACTTGAACCCAGGAGGCAGAGGTTGCCACGACCCGAGATTGCGCCATTGCACTCCAGCCTGGGGAACAAGAGCGAAACTCTGTCTCAAAAACAAAACAAAACAAAACAAACAAACAAGCAAAGTACATGGGTGCTAGCTAGGACAAAATACTGAGGATACACTTTGTTCCCACTTCTTGCCTGATTCTGGGCATGGATTGGCGTGGGATTACACAGTTGGACAGTGAAACTATAATCGACACTACTCTAATGACCCCAGTTCCCTGTCTGTCCCTTACCTCCCTGACTATGTTCTCATGCAGATTCTTTCTTACCTGGAAGGAGGATGTCAAGTTGGGTCATAGGTTATGTTACAGGTAATTTTACGTATTAAGATAAAAATTTTAAATGTTAATATTTTAAATAATACATATTACTAAACATATAGCCTGCAATGTAAAGTGATATAATGTATCAGAGATTTAGGATGTCAGCCAATTTTGAGCTGTGACCTCCAATACATCTAGTGTTTTAAAATAACTCTCTTAACTGTTAGGCATGGCTCATAGTCACAAAGAATGAAACAGCACTCTCTTTTTAATCACACAAACTCATTTTTTCTTTACATGTATTTTCCCCCATTAAAAAGAAAAATATGGTGTCTAAAAATAATTTCATGGAATTTTTTCACTGAAGCAGTCACCTTTTTCTTTGTGGTGACAATCTTTACAGACACTTTAATAAAGCACATTGAAAGAAAAAACAAACAAAAAAAACCTGCACAGGAAACAACCAAGAAAATAAAAAGGCAGTCTATGGAATGGGAGAATATATTTGCCAATTATCTGATAAGGAGTCAATCTCCACAATATATATGGAAGTCAGACAACTCAATAGCCAAAAAGAAAAAAAACAAAAATAAAAACCCTCCAAATAACTCAATTAAAAATGGGCAAAGGACCCAAATAGACATTTTTTCAAAGAAGATACATAAATGGCCAACAGGCATATGAAAAAATGCTTAGCATCACTAATCACCAGAATTGCAAATTAAAACCACAATGAGATATCACCTCTCACCTATTAGCATGGCTACTATAAAAAGAAAAAAGGTTACAAGTGTTGGTAAAAATGTGGAGATAAGGAAATCCGTGTACACTATTGTTGGGAATATGAATTAGTCCAACTGTTATAAAAAACAGTAAGAATATTCCTCAAAAAATAAAAAATAGAATCATCGTATAATCCAGTAATTGCATTTCTGGGTATATATCCAAAGGAAATGGAAATTAGTATGTTGAAGAGACACTGCATTCCCGTGCTTGCTGCAGCATTACTCACAAAAGCCAAGATATGGAAGCAACCTAAGTGTGCATCAATGGATGAATGAATAATGAAAATGTGGCACACATACGTAAGGGAATTATTCAGCCTTCTGTGACAACATGAATGAACCTGGAGGCCATTATGCTAAGCGAAATAAGTCGGGGGGCAGAAAGACAAACACCGTATGATCTCACTTACATGTGGAATGTGGAAAAAGTCAAACTTATGGAAACTAAGAGTATTACAATGATTGCAAGGACTGGGGGATGAGAGAAATGGAGAGATGTCCGTCACAGGAGACAAACTTTCAGTTATAAGATGAACAGGATGTGTTCAGTAATCTGATTGTGATAACCATTACACAATATATACTAAATAAAAAAGTCAAAAGAACATTTTTAAAAGGAGGAAATTTAGTTTTTTTAAAAATCTGAAATTCAGTATCTATATCTATATTGATACACATGCATACACATATATAGTCCTCTTAATCAATACTTTTCTTTCCATTTCCCTGGCTTCACAAATAATTATCTGACTGTCCAAGTTTTCTTATTACATATTAAAATTGGGTCAGTTTTATCAAGCCATTAAAAGTAAATGTTCTGGTTTTAATTGTTTAGCACGCTGTTCTCTCAAGTAACCAACCTGATTAATGGATTCTTTCTCGGAAGCAGTACATGATTATGGGTTAATATGTTACCTTTCCTGAGAACCGTATGTAATTTGATGACCTCCTGGTCATATGCCAACCTAGAGATTTTCAATTTTTAATTTTATTTAGCAGAAACTGTTTTTCCAAAGAAAAGTTAAGTGAATCTCTAATATAACACATGGACACAGTAGGGGTTACCCCAGTTGAAGCACTGGGGCTCTAGAGTCCAGCCCTGTTAGCTTTGCCTTTTACCGTACACAGTGGCTGTAGAAGATGCTTAGCAGCACCCTGGCGTTATGCAGAGTATGGTTGCTTTCAACACCCCTGCCTTAAAAGAAATGCCAAGCTTCTGTAGCACAGTGGGAATATTTGAGGGTTTATCAACCCCTCAATTCTCTCCACCTAGAGAGCGTCCTACTCTGCCTTTGACTGGACGCACCCTTAACTTCCATTTTGCATGAATGTCTCATAAATATAATAGTAAATGTGATCATCAGGTGCTACCAAGTTCGTTAGGATATATAAGGATTACTGAGGGGAAACACGATTGCTGCTATAAAATAGAGTCACAGAACTCAGTATCAAAGACTCAAATGATTATCTACACTTGGGAAGTGTTTGACAAGCCATTAATGAGGAATCGCCTGGAGAATCTGTTTAAAATGCAGAGTTAATTAGAATGGGTCAGGGTTGGGGCATCAGATCCAAAATTTCTTTTTTTTTTTTTTTTTTTTTGAGACGTAGTCTTGCTCTGTCGCCCAGGCTGGAGTGCAGCGGCGCGATCTCGGCTCACTGCAAGCTCCGCCTCCCGGGTTCACGCCATTCTCCTGCCTCAGCCTCCCGAGTAGCTGGGACTACAGGCACCCGCCACCACGCCCGGCTAATTTTTTATATTTTTAGTAGAGATGGGGTTTCACCGTGTTAGCCAGGATGGTCTCGATCTCCTGACCTCGTGATCCGCCCGCCTCGGCCTCCCAAAGCGCTGGGATTACAGGCGTGAGCCACCGCGCCCGGCCAGATCCAAAATTTCTAACAAATTCCTAGATGATGCTCAGGCTGTTTGTTGGAGGACTACCCTTTGAGAATTGAGGTTGTACAAGCACCTCTTAGTACTGCCTTATACGTTCACTGATGGGTACTGCAACTCCACACAGATAGGACCAGCAAGCACTCAGAATTTTTGGCAATGAAGGTTTAGGTTATATTACCTGATATTGAATCCTGACCAGTTACAATGTTTTCTGAGAACAAAGCAAATGTGAAATACAGAGAGATGGAGGAAGTTATAAATAATAACCATGACCTCATAATGTTTTGCAGATATCATGTCTCATTAATGTTTTATGATTTCATAATACACCAATTTCTTGTTTTGACTTTATGTCTGCAATTTTATTTGAGGTGAGATTGGTAGATTACAATCAAGTAAGGACTGTGGCTGAAGTATAACATGAATAATTGAAAACCATGAGACATAAACTCTTACATTTTGCAAACTAGAATTATAGTTTCAATTTGAAATCATGTTTAATATAATTACACACAGGCAGCAATCATTATGAATTGTAAGGAACAAGAAAGTATAATCGAATTCACATTTATAATAGAATGTGGCACTCAGAAGGCTTGAGGGATAGTGATACATTTAATAATTCTTGGCATAACCATTCAGAGTTGTTATAGTTTGTACTGTATACTAGTCTACATAAATGGGAAATAAAGTAATAAAAACAGCTTACTCTAGAACTTTCCCAAGGGTCAGATTAGCTTTATAAAATACTGATTGAAGCATAGATGGATTTGTATATAATGTGTATGTGGTCTTTTCTGGAATATCATAACATAATAATTTTGGAGAGTTAATCCTTAGATTATTAATTTCATTATTTTGTTTTATGTTAGATCATACCATAGAAGGTAAACAGAATATAATGAATACCCATTTGTCATTACTTAGCTTCAATATTTATAAACATTCTACTATTTTTTTTTTAAAGACAGGGTTCACTGTGTCACCCAGGCTGGAGTGCAATTGTGCAATCATTGTTCACTACAGCCTCAAATTCCTAGGTTCAAGAGATCCTCCTGCCTTGGCCTCCAGAATAGTAGCTGGGACCACAGGTGTGCACCACCATGCCAGGCTACCTTTTAAAATTTTTTTGTAGAGATGGGGTCTTGCTATGTTGCCCAGGCTGGTCTCAAACTCCTGGGTTTAAGCAATCTTCCTGCTTCAGCCTCCTAAAGCACTGGAATTACAGGCATGACCCACCATGGGCAGCCACGTTCTGCTATGCTTAAATCTATACTTTGATTGATTCCCCACCTGCCACTCAATAATATCAACAACAATAGTATTAATGATAATTATGTTATGGTTAAGAATAATGACAATTACTATTATTATAAGTCTATTTTAGGTGTAAGATACATGCACTGAATGTACTGAAATTTTAGCTGTAAAATTTTCATAAATGTATACAGCTATGTAGACCCAAATCCATTATGGTATAGAACATTTCTACCTTTCCAGACAATGATTATGTTCCCCTTGTCAATTACACCTCTCTCAAGGCAACTGTTCTGATTCTCTCCTTAAATTAGTTTTGTCTGCCTATTCTAGAATTTCAATAAATGGAATTATAAACACAACATCCTAAAATTTATGAGATGCAGCAAAACAAGTTCTAAGGGGAAAATTTATAGGTGTAAATGCATTTATCAAAAAATACAAAAAAAATCTCAAATCAACAACCTAAATTTACAATTTAAAGAACTAGAAAAAGAACAAATTAAACACAATGCTAGAAGAAGGAAGTAAATAATAAAGCTAGGTGCAGAGATCAGTGAAATAGGGAATAGAAAAATAGAGAAGATCAGTGAAACCAAAAGTTGGTTTTTAGAAAAGATAAACAAAATTGATAAAGCTTTTAGCTAGACAGACTAAGAAAAAAGGAGAAGACTTAAATTGCTAAAATCAGAATAAAAGTGGGGACATTACTACTGATTCTACAGAAGTAAGAAGGATTCTAAGAGAATAGTATGAACAACTGTACACCAACAAGTTGGATAACCTAGATGAAATAGACAAATTCCTAGAAATACAAAACCTACGAAGGCTAAAGCATGAAGAAATAGAAAATGTGAATAGATCTGTAACTAGTAAGAAGATTGAATCACTAATCAAAAATCTCCTGAACAAAAAAGTTCTGGACTTGATGGCTTCAACAGTGAATTCTAGCAAACATTTAAATAACTAATAATAATCCTTCCAAAACTTTCTCAATAAATTGCAGATGAGGCAACATTTTCTAACTCCTATGAGGCCAGCATTACTTCATACCAAAGCCTGACAAAGCACTGCAAGAAAGGAATACTATAGACAATATTCCTTATGAAAATTGATGCAATAACTTTAAAGAAACTTTGTTTACCAGCTTGACTTTTGTGCAAACTACTTTATAGACATTCAGAATTATTGATGCCTTCTTAGACATGATTGTCATTTTTAAACACTGCAATATTCTGTGAATTTCTTTCAAAATAAATGTTATTTTTACTAAACATTTCATTATTATAGAGAAAATATAAGATGAAATGTAATTATTCACGTATGCTGTCAACTCTAAATGACCTATTCAGTACAAAAAGCGAGTGATGTTATCTACGGTGTTTTATGGTGTTCTTTCAGAAAAGAGGCATTTCCTGTGATTTCTTTTGCAGCTTATCTGTATTCTAAAACATAATAACTATGGATGAAATCATTCTAATTTTAAACAACAATGTATTTATATGTGTGCCAGTTTGTTATAATGAAATTCCTATAAAAACCTTATTGTTTTCTTTAAAACTGAAGTCTTAAAAATAACCTATTAAAAAACAGATGGCTAAATATACTCTGTCATGAACTTAAGGTTATCTTTAAATGCAAATAACCATTTGGATGACTACACATAAAAATCTCTGATAAACTAATTCACTCAAATATATTTGACATTAATTTCACGTACTTTTAATTACTTCTTCTTTAGTCATTCTTCATCTTATTATCCTAATCTTATTTTATTAATATTAATTGATTTTAGTTTATATACTGTTTACTCAAAATTGATCAAAGACCTAAATATAAGATCTAATACTATAAAACTCTTGGAATTAAACACAGGGAAAAAGCTTCACAATGTTGAACTGGCAATGATTTCTTGATATGGCACCAAAAGCACAGACAACCAAAAAAAAAGACACATTAGACTTCATAAAAATATGAAAAAAAAGTTTGTATATCAAAAAACAATATCAACAGAATAATATAAAGCAACAATAAAACTGTCATATTATAAACTGCCATAAATTCTCTTAGAAAAATAGGGAGAAATAGAAATCATTAATAGATAGAAGAAGGGCTCCACAGTCAGATAAGGGAAAATAGTTATACAAGAAAAAAGGAGGCTGGAAAGGAGGAAAGTGGATGGGTAGAAAAGAAGGAAGGCAGGGAGGAGGGAAGGGAACGAGGAAGGGAAGAAAGAAGGAATAAAGGAATGAAGGAATTTCCATCAATATTTTTGGGTTAAAATCTTTGGCTTGAATTCCAGAAATGGCATTAAGAAAGCTACTGAATTGTGTGTGTGTGGTATACCTTAGTTTATTGATGTTGCTCCCGCCAAAAAAAAAAGCAAACCCAAAACAATGAAAAAGACTTGGACGCTAACCAAAAGTAGTTCTGTGGTCCCCTATATATCCTGCTGCACTCCAATTTCAACAGATCCAAAAGTTATTTCTCCCTACTTCTCTATACTTTGGTTTGACTTTTATGTCTTCACAGGGCTCTATATAATGTGCTGAGTAGAAAAATAAGACAAATTCTGGAGATACACACCTAAGTTTTGCAGAAGAGTATGAACTCAGCCAAATGAATATTAATATTACTCTGTTTCCTCATCCATAGGAAACGTAATAAGCACCCCACTGGATTGCTAGGAGAAACTAAGATGATGATTGTGAAAATTTGATTTCTCCCACTTTCACATAGTAGATCTTCAATAAGGAACAGTACCCTCATTTACTCATAGTCTCTAGCAATCCTTTTTAAGTTCAAACTCACATAATCAACCTAGTTTAGTTCTTTGCCATCTGTCCTGTAAGTTTTCGGGGAAATTATTTTATCCTGTTTCTCTACCTTTAAATTCATTTTCTCTATCTCCTAACATACCTCTGTTCTGGCCTAAATAATGATAAAAATTCATTCTTCAAAAATGCTCTTCTTATCATGTCACTTTACTGTTTAAAATTTATCAGAGGGTGGTCATTACAATCAGAGTAGTAACTAAACTTATGGTCAATATCAAGTGTCTTCTAAATTTCAGCTAACTCTAATTTGGCTTCCTTTCTCCCCACATTTTGCAATGTCATCTTACATGCTTCCACATGCATCTCCACCTTTCTACCCAACTCCACCGTGTTTAATTCCAATCTGTGTACTGCCTCCATTCCAGCACCTTTCCCCAGAACATGTAGATTGCTCTTTTCTCATGGTCTTGCTTTTCCAATTCCCCACTGGTCCTGCGAAGCCTAGTTTTTACTTCCTTCATGGTTATTTCTTCTCATTTCCCTCCAATCTTGATTGCTTCTTGCAAAATTACTATAGTTTTTACTATGCTTATGCTCATTCAGGAATTTATATAAAGCTTTATCTTTAATTAGTGTTCTACATTGTTAAATACAGTGAGTTCCAAGTTTCTCTTCAAAGAATCAGTATGTCAGTATGTGAAGTTTCTTGTCCTTTGTTCTTCATTTTAAAGTTTAAGTTCCTTGTTCTCTTTGTCTCCTTGTCCCTAGTTTCAGTAAAAAACCTTTCCACCAGTTCTAATCAGTAGTTCACATCTGTTTCCCTGGTCACCTGCTCCATCCTGAGTCACCCCTCGTCACCTACTCTGACCTGAGTCACTTTTAGTTACCTGTTCTGTAACCATCCTTCCCGTTGAAACTGCTCACCCCGCCACTCTGGCTCATACCCCACTCTCTTTAAAACAGTCAATCGGAATTAGTTTAGACTGTGCGGTCCAACCCTAGCCAATAAGGGAATGACACAGCAGTAGGGGCTATCTGTGTCAGAATAAGAACCCCTTCCCCTCCCATGTTCAGGTGTGCTCTCACCATTGCTCCATCCATGAGATGCACCCTTCTATAGAAGTAAAATTGCCTTGCTGAGAAAATTCATGTTTCAGTGCTATTTCTTTTGCGGCACTGAAAATTTATTTCTAACATACATGTTAGCAATTTCACACATATTTATTGTCTCAGAGAAAGAATGTTTTTAAAATAAATGTTAAAGCAATATGTACTAATTGTGACTATATATAGGATATGTATATTTATACAGTATATACATACATACCCTTATGTATATATGTATACATATGCTATATATACACACTATATACATATATGTATATCTGTACATATACATATGTATAGAGTATATAGTATATACATATAGCGTACAATATGCTCTATATAGAGTATGTACATATAGAGTATATATATACATACATAAGAGTATATAGTATATACATATATATATCTATATAGAGTATATACATATAATCTACATGTATATACTATATACTCTATACATATGCTATATATACACATTATATATAGTATATATGTGTACTATATATGTATATAGTATGTATATATAGCATGTGTATATAATGTATATATGTATATAGTACATATTCTCTATATAAGTATATAGTGTGTATATATGGCATATGTATACATATACTATATACCTGTATACTATATATAATATACATGTACTGTATATACACAATTAGTATATATTGATTTAGTATTTATTAACTATGTATATATTTTGTGAAATACACAAAGAACAATACAAGAAAAAGTCATTCTCCAACCTACTTTCAAGAGATAAACTGTTAAAAACTTACTGTATTTTCTTAGTCATTTTTTCTTTGCTTGTACAGTTAACAATTAGAATAATATTTATATATGTATATTTGAGTGCATTCCTATTTTATTTCTCACTTTATCCTGCATATCTGCCCATGAAAGTCCATATTCTTTAAAAACATAATTGCAACGCACACATCATATTTAATTAAAGATGAATATATCAACATTTGACATCAGTTCCCACACCAGCTACCACTTAACCCTTCCCCTCGTATTTTCGTTCCAAAAGCATTTTCCATGCTCATTGTCTTTATTTCCTTGTTTTCCTTTCCCTTTTCAACCTACTGCAATCTGCCTTATGCGTCCAACATTACAACAAAATATTTAAATGAGAGCAGCAGAGAAATCCAGAGAGTTTTTGCCAGAGCTCATCTTACTTAATTGGCAGGATTTTACATTGCCAGTGGCTACGTCTATCCTCCTCTACTCTCATCCTTTGACATCTGGGACAACCCAGTTTCTCAGCTTTCCTTCTAACTCCTAGTCCACTTGTCACATGCCTTTGTGGGCTCATCCTCCTCTTCCTGGCTTTTATGATAGTGTTTGCCAAGGATTGGTCTCAGGCTTTTCCATTCTCTTTATTCCTTCTCTCAGGATAATTAGCTTCACTCCCCCAGCTCTAATTAGCATGCATTGATGTCTCTCAAATGTGTGTCTTCAAACCAGGCCCCTCTTCTGGGCTCCAGTCTATTATATCATCGGCTAAGTATCCGATATTCCCATGTGGATGCATCACTGGTAACTGAAACTCCACATATCTAATGTGGAACTTGCAATCTCCCTGCATAACTTGGTCCTATTCAGCTTTCATATCTTGCTGAATGGCGCTCCCATCAATCCAATGGCAAAAGCTTTAAACGTGACATTTAGCCCTACAACTTTCTTCTTGTTCATTCCTATGCCCAATAAAACAGACAATTCTGTAAACTTTAACTCTCCTGAGTCTATCCACCTATTTCCACATCTACTGCCAGTACTCTCATTAAACTTATGATCCTCTCTGGACTGAATTCTCACAATTGTATTCTGACTTTTATTTGCTCAAAAACTCTTCCGGTCTATTTTTGTCACTGTAGTCAGTGTATTCACTTAAAAGTGTAAGTTTGATTATGCCACTCTCCATCCTTGGTCCGTTCTAGGACCAATGTTTGACTTCTCATTAATTTCCCTAAAATTCATATCCTTAACAAGTCCTACACGGCACTATGTGATCTGGCTGAGAAATGGCATAAGCCCTCAGTTGGAAAATTAATGAATCCATGCAGTTCAAGCAAACTGCAGGTGTAATACCTCCAGTGATAAGAGGGTTTTCAGAAAACCAAAATAATCCAAGAGAGTTAGCTCTAAACATCTGCAACCTGAATGAAAATTATTTCCTGACTTTTACTAGCCTAATACTGTGCTTTCAATTAAAGAATACCGAAGGCACAGCATTAGGCTAGTAATAGTAAAAGTGAGGAAGTAATTTTCCTCCTATTTCTTTGCCCCTCTACCTTCCTCTTTTTCTTTCTCTTACAGTGACTTGAAGGCATCAGAAAAGGTAGCTAGCAAAAGGAGGTGGAGGGGTAGCAAAGTAAAACAATGAGAACTACTGCTTTTCTGTTGTTGGTGGTGAGACTTTAATACCATTAGGGAGAGGATAAAAGCTGTGATTTTTAGCAAAGACAGGAATTCTTTTTCAGATATTATTGTTAAACTGAATTAGGATAATAAATTACAAAACTCAGACTGTTTCTATGTCTAGAGGGAACAGGGAGACTTTTTATCACCTAGGAATAATTAAACAACTCATTGGGCTCATCATAATTTTGATTCAATTGGCAAAAGTAAACGTGAGTATGTGGTAGGGAAAAAATACAGTTGTTTTCTAGTTACACACCACAAATCTTCCTTGTTCAATATGCCAGTTTGAAGAAGCAACATATGTGGGATTCAGTGATGGAATGGTAAGTGAGAATGAGAAATCTAGACCCTGCATGTGATGTCTTCTGTCTTGTGAGCATGAGGCAATCCTGAGATAGGAGCCATGTGGCAAAGCAGAAAGCCTTACTAACCCTGTAGCCCTGGGGAAAGCAGAGCCACCACAATCAGCATGTACTTCTTACCCACAGGCCCTATTATGCAAGAGAAAAATATTTCACCACCATTTTCAACATGGATTGAATATATGCTCTCAGGACAATTTGGGTTTATTCCTATTGTTCCAGTGTAATTATCATTATAGCCCTTTTTTATTCTCAAAATATCTTCTTTTCCCAACAGTATGTTACATAGTCACATTTAACAGAGATTAAAGATACATGAAGCAAAAACTGATTCAGTTGCAAGAAGAAATGGATAAATCCAATTCGAGATATCAAAACTCTCTCTCAATAATTGATGGAATATACAGAGAGAACATCAGAAGGTCAGAGGGGTTATAGAAGAATTAACACTATTCATCAACTTGACCTAATTGACAAGTATAGAAAATTCCATCCTACCATAGCATAACATACATTCTTTTCAAGTGCAGATGAAACATTTACCAAGATAGATAATGTTCTGAGCCAAAAAATCAAGGCTAACCAAATTTTAAAAGATTCAAGTCATAAAAACTACGTTTTCTGCTCATAATAAAATTAAGTTAGAAGCAACAGAAGGATTTCCAGGATATTCAAAAATATTTAGAAACTACATGCCACAATTATAAGTAACCCACAAGTCAAAGAAAAAAATCAAAAGGCAAATTAGAAAGTATTTCTTACTGAATGAAAATTAAAGCATAACATATCAGATTTTGTGGTAAGTTACTAAATCAGTACTTAGAAGGAAAGTTACAGCACTAAAAATGAAAAAGGTCTCAAATCAGTGACTTGTTTGTGTTCGGATACTAAAATATATATATATATATGTTTAGGCTGGGGTTAATTATATATATAAGTATATATATTTATATATAAGTATATGTAAATTTACCTTGAAAATTTGTAAAATATGTAAAATTACCTTGAATCTTTTAAACTTTTGTTAGCCTTGATTTTTTTTGGCTCATATAAATATAAGTATATGTAAATATAAATATATAAATACATAAAGTTAATCCCAGCCCAAACGGAAGAAAAAATAATGATGAGGGCCAAAATCAATGGAGTAGGAAAAAAAAGGAAAAAATCAGAAAAAACAATGAAATAAAAAGTAGTTTTTTGAGAAATCAATAAAATTGATAAGCCTCCAGCCAGACTGATAGGGGTTGGGGAGAGAGAAGATACAAGCTATTAAACTACTAATATCAGCAACAAGAGAGGTGACATCATCATAGATTCCACATATATTAAAAATAATAAGGTTATATTATAAAAAACTTTATGCCAATAAATGTGACAACTTAAATAAAATAAAAGCTATCCTTGAAAGGTACAAAACACAAAAGCTCATTCAAGAAGAAATAAATAATCTGAATGGACTTATATTTATTAAATAAACTGAATTTACAGTTAAAAATCTTACCACAAAGAAAACTCCAGGTCCAGACAGCTAATTGAGTTATGCTAAATGTTTAGGAAAAAATAACACCAATTCTACACAAACTCTTGGAGTTATTTCAGCAATAAAAGGTTGGTTTAACACTCAAAAACCAATCAGTATGATTCATCATATTAAGCAACTAAAAAAGAAAAACTATATGATCATCTCAACAGATGCAGACTCTCACAACTTCTATTCAATATTTTATTGATTATATCCAGTGGAATTGGGAAAGAAAAATAAATGCATCCAGACTGGAAAGTAAGAACGAGAACTGTCTTTATTCACAGACTACATAATCAGCTATTTAGAAAATCTTATGGCATCTACAAAAAGTCTACCAGCACTAATAAGTAAATTTAGCCAGGCTGCAGGATACAAGATCTATATACAAAAATCAATTGTAATTAGCAATCAAGAATTGAAATTTTAGGCAGGACGCAGTGGCTCACGTCTGTAATCCCAGCACTTCGGGAAGCAAAGGCGGGTGGATCACTTGAGGTCAGGAGTTTGGAACCAGCCTGGCCAATATAGTGAAACCCTGTCTCTCTCTCAAAAAGAAAAAAAAAAATTGGCCAAACGTGGTGGTGTGTGCCTGTAATCCCAGCTACTCGGGAGGCTGAGGCAGGAGAATCACTTGAACCTGGTAGGCAGAGGTTGCAGTAGTGAGTCCAGATCATGCCACTGCATTCCAGCCTGGGTGACAGAGTGACACTCCATCTCAAAAAAAAAAAAAAAAAAAGGAATTAAAAAAAAAAATCAGTACAATAGCATAAACAATTATAAAAAACTGGGGGACAAATCTGTCAAAGACATATAAGACCTGTAAAAAGAAAACTACAGAATGTTGCAGAGTGAAATTAAAGAGGACCTACATATTTGGCAAGATATACCTTGTTCATGAATCAGAAGACTCAATATTTTTAGGATGCCAATTGTACTCAAATTGACCTCTATCAAGTTTTGATCATTATCAAAATCCCAGCAGACTTTTTTTGGTAGAAACTTATAAGCTGGTTATGAAATTAACATAGAAATACATATTATACATATGTTTGGCTACACTGGTCAAAATATTTTTGGCAAAAATTAACAAATTGGATGACTAACATTAGACAACTTCATGACTGATTTTAAAGCTTAAGTAATCAAGACAATGTGGTGTTGGGCTAAAGACAGACAAACAGATCAATGGAACAAAATAGATATCCAGAATAAACCCATACATATATGGACAATGAATGTTTGACACAGGTCCAAATGCAGTGGGAAAAGAACAGTCTTTACAATATATTTTGCTGGAACAACTGAATCTCCATATGCAATTAGGAAAGGATGGATAGACAGAAGGAATATAAGAAAAGTTAACACATGAGCTTCTCCATAACTCAGTGTCCTTGTTGATATATATATAGAGATTATAGTAATTTCTATATAATAATATTTTGGGGAGTACTAAATATATGAGAATTTGCAACATCCCTAAAAATATAGCCAGACACAGAGTAGGCACAATATGGCTATAAGCTATTATTATAAAGGTAAAAATGTCAATATCTGTATGCAAGAAATTCTAGAGAACTATAACAAGAGAGATACTTTGTATAGATTATTTGACTAATAATTTCTTCGAAATTACACACACATACACACACACACACACACACACTGATTAAAAGGGCCGCAACTGTGCTAAAGAAGTTATGAATAATTCCCTATGGACAAACAATGGTAAAATTCAATATAATAAAAAACAAAGAAAATGTTCTAAAATTTTCCAACAAGAATGGCTAACCATCTAACAAGGAAAAGTATCATGTTTATATTCATAAAGGGGAAGGAGAGGGCAGTGCCTAATCCCCTGAGTTTAGGCTCAGTCAAAAACTAGCTCTGAAACATTAAACAAGATACTTAACTTCTTCATAGCTCAGTTTTCTTGTTGACATAATATAGATTATAATAATTTCTATATCATAAGATTTGGGGGAGTAACAAATACATTAGAATTTGTAGCACCCCTAAAAATACAGTCAGATACATAAGGGACATAAGATGGCTATAAACTATTATTATGCTTAGATTTCTTGGTACAATATTTGATGAGGGAATACAATAGAATGACATTTTCAAGTTGCTTAAAAAAGAAAGTCAATGTTCAAATCTGATACCATTTGAATAGTCACTTAAATACAAGGGTAAAACAACAGAAAAAATGTCGTAAATATAAGGAAGAAATAAAGATTAGTATATCAGACATGATATTAATAACACACAATAACACATCTACAATTATTAATGCTTTATCCAAAGTTTATTGAGAGGTTACTAGATACTAAATATTATTTTAAGTTCCTTACACATATTAACTAATTTAGTATTCACATAAACCCTATGTGACAAAAAGAGGTTCAACAAAGGTCACCCAGGGTATATATGATAGACAACCAAAAGAGTTACTTCCATAGTAAGCCTTCATTGTAAGGTTTGTAAATCTGAGTCAGATCTTAAATACAAACCATCTGTTCCTTGTTCCCTTTCTGAGGCTTTTCTCCATGAAAGTTTGTTTGCAGATGTTATCTTTGAGAAAGGATCCTTGAGTATGATTTCAGTGGAGGCAGAAACCTTTCTTTCCAGGGAGGTTTTGATTTTGGTTACCTGCTCTGTTGTGTTCTCTTTCACATAAAAATTCAGTTAGTGGTTGAGTCCAGTTATGAACGAAATCAAGTATTTCATAACAAACGGTTGGTACTAGCAGGTTGGCACTCATAGGGAAAAGTGTGCTTGATTGTTGGTTTTGGCCACATCATGCATACATTTCTCTTGATATCTGAGTTGTCATATCAAGGAATGACTAAAGATACAGAAAGCAATATTCAAGTTAGAGAACATGAATTTTTACTGGGTAAGAAATAACAACCATTGGTTAACTACCCAGACTTTTGAGCCTTCAATGATGAAAGAAAATATAGAAGGAAAAAAACACCAGCCATTAAAATCTAGTTTTGTAAGTCTTGTAAAACTGTAAATTTTGTTAAGTCTTTTGTAAGTCTGCATATCTTTTTTTTTCTTTTTCTTTTTTTTTTTTTTTGAGACAAGAGTCTCGCTCTGCCGCCCAGGCTGGAGCTCAGTGGTGCATTCTCGGCTCACTGCAAGCTCCACCTCACGCCATTCTCCTGCCTCAGCCTCCCAAATAGCTGGGACTACAGGCGCCCGCCACCACACCCAGCTAACTTTTTGTATTTTTAGTAGAGACGGGGTTTCACTGTTGTGTTAGCCAGGATGGTCTCAATCTCCTGACCTCGTGATACACCTGCCTCGGCCTCCCAAAGTGCTGGGATTAACGGGCCAGGCACAGTGGCTCACGCCTGTAATCCCAGCACTTTGGGAGGCCGAGGCGGGTGTATCACCTGAAGTCGGGAGTTCGAGACTAGTCTGACCAACATGGAGAAACCCCATCTCTACTAAAAAATACAAAATTAGGCGGGCATGGTGGCGCATGCCTGTAATCCCAGCTACTCAGAAGGCTGAGGCAGGAGAATCACTTGAACCCAGGAGGCGGAGGTTGCGGTGAGCCAAGATCGCACCACTGCACTCCAGCCTGGGCAACAAGAGCAAAACTCCGTCTCAAAAAAAAAAAAAAAAAAAAGAAAGAAAGAAAATGCAGTTCGTATTTATTGGTGATAAGACTGAATATATTGCGTGAGTCCCTTATAATGCTTTGTCATGTCTGCCCAAAGTATGGTAGAACCCCAAATTGGGTAAGAAATATCCAAACTTCAAAGACTTTTGTAAGTCTTTGTAAGTCTTGAGTGGAAGCTGTCCACATCCTGCAGTTGCCATCTTGAAACAAAGCTTCGTGGTAGAAGCTGTCTCTATTCCAAGGGCCACTGGCTTCTGAAAAATACTTTAGAATCCCTAATTTTCAATCTTCTAATGGAATGTCAGTCCTTTTGTCAGTGGGCCAAACTTTGTGTCTTTTTAGCTGGGAGACATAAATCCAAGCATCTATACCCTCAAGTTTAACTGCTGTTCTAGTCAAATTTATCTGCTATTTCTTTCCAATGTGGTTTCTAGGAATTTTTTCTATGCTGTCTTTTCCAGATGACAAAGTCTTTGTTTTTCAGGTCGTGCCAAGATTCCTTGGGAGAATATGAAGAAAATGCAAGCCATACTTGTTGGTGATAAGAGTGAGTATATTGTGTGAGTCCCTTGTGGTGCTTTGCCATGTCTGCCCAAAGTATGGTAGAGCCCTAAATTGGGTGAGAAATATCCAAACTTCAAAGGGCGAGCTGTTACTGTCAGAATCTACCTTTCTAACAGACAAAAGTTTCCTCTCACTTTGGAAATTAGCAAACATTGACTAGGATATTCAAAATCCATACCAAGGAGGTGACTGTATGAAACCCATTTGTAAGGGTTCAAAGGTACCCTGACACTTGAGTTCTTGTCCAGCCTCCACCTTTACAGTTTAACTAGATTACGCTGGTGCAGAAGAGACCAGCAACTGGAGACATTCTCAGCAACCTCCATAAAATTACCCTACCAATGTTGACAAAGTACAGTGATCAATTTGTCCTTCTTGAGGTGGAAAATTTAATGAAAAATGTTTGCAAGGTTCCACCTGAGGTCCACTGGTGACAACAAACTGCCATTCTGAAAGTGACAGATTATGAAGAACATTCCTCGGTAAGGTCTGAAGATGACAGGCACAGTATGCAACAGGGAGAATTTGTGGATTATTAGAGATAGCCACCACTGGAGTTGTTTAACTCTGAGAAAGAGGTCATGTGACAGTGGCAAGTCTTTTGGTTGATATGATAGTGCCAGGATCAAACATTCACAAGACCACCTTTTAAGACACAGAAATTCTCCTTGAGCATTTAAGGGCAAATAGGAAACTGAGTCCTTGACCCTCATTTGGAAGAGCGTCACTGATTTCCTACTTCCTTTTTTTCCCCTTTAGTTTCATTCCGTGAGGGCTTGGAGGTCTAGCAACAGGATGATCTTCCTTTCCAGTTTTGCTTGTATGTTAAATTTCCCTATTTCTGACATTAGGCCACTCAGAGAAAGTGAAGCAAGAGCTGGCACTGCACATGTTCCAGGACCTACATCTGAATGTTTTCTATAGGTGTGATGGAGCATCCCCCTGAGGTTTCCAATGCTGTCATTTTTGTTTTGGTGCATAAACTCCAAAAGTTTTGTCTAAAATTTATAGCTTTTTTAAGTTCCTCTGGTTTTACTCTGAAATGTGGAGTCTCTTAAATCATACTCAAGGTATTCACACTGCCTTTTCCAACACATTTTGTTGCATTTGAGGTTGATAATAACCTATAAATCAGTTGATAGAGATCTGGGAACCCTGAATTATGTGTTCCTAGAACTATTGCAAATTTCTCTGTAAATTTATACCTACCTTGCATAGACTTTGGAAGTTTTTGAAAATGACGTTTACCTTAGACCCAACCCAGGGCTTAAAATCTGCCATAATGAGCTTATACTGATTTGGTCAACTTTAAGAGCCAATTGAGCATTTAGTGTTTCTAGCTGGCCAGAAGAAAAGGGACATCAGAAAGAGTGTCAGGGAAGGGGAACTTGGAGGGCAACTGGGTGAGAGAACAGGAATAGTAAAGGTAAAAGCTTTTTGAGTCAAGTGGTGATTTGGGCAGATCTAAAAAAGAGCTTTTCACATTTTTTCATTTGCGCCTTCCGTGGAACAATTACTGAAGCAATTGTGGAATCTGTATTTTTATTGTAAGACTTCTTATATCAATCAGAACATACATATCATTGAATGTTTGGAATTTCACTCTCTTTCCATAAGGCACCTCTCAAATGAACAGTTTTGTTCTTACAAAAGGTTTCTCAAATGGCCTCTGAAATTCTAAATTAATGTTGGTAAAATTAAGCTGTTTAGACAGAGATACATAGTATCAGTTATAGTGCAAAATACATGTAGGAGGCAGGAATATGGCTTGGAGGGGATATGAACTTGGGTTTAATCTGAGACAAAGGCAAAATGATCTGGCAATGGGTGGTCAAATGAGTTGTTTGTGTACCTCATGCCCTTGGCTCCCCAAACTAAAGGTTAGGTAATCTCCAGTGGCAAATCTGATAAATGTGCAGTTTGGGAAGACGGAAAGTTTGACCAAGAGATCTCATTCAAAATCAGTGTCTCACAGACAAAACAAGACTTCAAATCGTTGTATAAGCTTTTGATAAAGTTTATGGCAATATCTGTCTAGTCAATACCAATCCTTCTGGGCATCTAGTCCCAAGGGATGGCTCAGTGAATTGACTTAACAGGACCCGTGCTTATTCTCTTTCTTATGAACTTCCTTTTTTTGACTCCCATGAGAAAATTATGAAGGCAGCAGGGATAAAAAGCAATAGTAATAAGGCAGATATCTATTGAGGATAAATTTGTTCAAGTCTGATCAAATAATCAAAGGGTTCTTGAAAGGAGATCTTTTAGCATTTGGTAGCTTGATAAAAAGAAACTGGGACTGAAATCTAACAGAAGACATAACCCTTCATTGCAGTCAGAGTGATTCCCCCCACCAAGCCAGGAAGCTCAAGAGGCCTCAGTGATTTGCACTATTTTTGAATTTAGGATCTTTGCTTGAGCTACTAGGGAGAAGGATTTCAATGGGACCTCCAAGTTGTTGTACACCCGAAAATATCAGTAGAAAAGTTTTCAATAAACAAAAGTTCCATTTAGCCGAACCTACAGCAGTAAGGGAGAGTGCCACCTGGACAGGGTCTTAGGGTGTCTTGGGTAAGTCAGAAGCAGAATAGTTGTAGAGCTTTGGAGTCTGGACACGAGTAGTTTAAGGTGGGTCTTTCAAAGTGGGGAATTGAGTAAGATTGGGCAACGTTCATGATCTAGTAGTTTAGGATCAGTTAACATCTGTAAGTGAGAGTTTGGGTAAGAAAACTGTCATTAATAAGCAGGCTGTTTACCAGAGTCAGAATATTATTATCTTCGATATATTGTTTTGCCAGCATTTCTTGAAGCAAACACTGAATTTAAATACTGGATTGCAGTCTTATCTTTTCCAGGCTAATGTTTCCTAGAAGAAACAACTAAGTCATGTGTACATAACTGGTTCATAGTTTTACCTAAGTCATGTTCACAGCTGATCTCAATTCTTAAAGCCTATGATTTTAATATCAGAAAAAGTAGAACTTCAAATAAAAATATCAGAAGTTAAAAAAATGACATTGTATACTACCAAGAAGAAAATTAGATCAAAATGATATAGTATCCCATTATGTTAAAAAATAACAGGAAGAACTACTGTCAGAAACAGAAAAACATGTCAACAATTATAACTGGAGATTTTAACGTCATTCCCAAACAAGATTTGAACATTATAATAAGCTCAAAATTAATACCCAACAAAAATAAAGCACACACAGAATTAGTTGCAATGATCAGCCATGTCCAGGACTACAAAGAAAGCCTGAATGCATTTCTAAAAGCAACATCATTTATAGCAAAAATTAAATATAATAAAATTAGAAATTGATAAAAATCATATATCCCTAAACTAAGAAAACACAAATAATTTGGGGGTTAAAAATATAAACAAATTAAGATATATTTGCAACTGTTTGCCAAAGGAAGCACTACGTATCAAAATTGAGAAATACAAGTAAAGCAGAATTTAGACAAAACTTGTATTTTATTGATCGACTGATTGATTGCAGAGATGGGGTCTTGCTGTGTTGCCCAGGCTGGTCTCAAAGTAACTTCAAGTGATCCTCCTTCCTCAGCCTCCCCAAATGCTGGGATTACAGATGTGAGCCACCACACATGGCCCGAAACTTGTATTTTTAAACTAAAAAGAAGAAAAATGAACTAAGCATTCAGCTAAAAAAGCTTGAAATGAAGCAACAAAGTAAAACTAACAAAGCAAGAAGGTAGGGAATAACAAATGAGAAATAAAGTAGATGGTCAGAATGGATATTAGAGAATGTACAATGGATATATTATCATCATTATTTTGCCATCCAAAACTATCATCTCCCATATCTACTTGGGAGGCTGAGGCAGGAGAATAGCTTGAACCCAGGGGTTGCAGTGAGCTGACATGGTGCCACTGTACTCTAACTGCACTCCAGCATGGGAGACAGAGCGAGACTCCATCTCAAACAAACAAACACACACACACACACACACACACACACACACACAGACACAAAACACAAAGAACAAAACCTATCATCAAAGAAAACAAAAACTCAATATGTAAAAGAGGTGTTATTCTGGCTGGGGCCCTGCTACCTCTCTTTCTCCACTGACTGAGCAATGCTTTTTGAATAACCAGATTTAGAAGACCTGTTGTAAAATAGGTCTTGCATGAAGCTAGTGATGAACTCACAAACCAGTGAAAAGGACTTTCTCAACCTTTAAAATCTGCTAGTGGCAAAAAGTGTTTCCAGGGGGTAAGGAAGAAAAAAAACCAAAAAGTCCTGAGCAACTATTCGTTTTTACCTTAAGACATTCTGTGTGTGTGTGTGTGTGTGTGTGTGTGTGTGTGTGTGTGTGTGTGTGTGTGTGTGTGTGTTTTAAGTAGAGACGGGGTTTCACCAACGTTTGAAAATATTTATCATGGTCTCCCTAAGATGGACGGTGTTAGCTAGGATGGTCTCGATCTCCTGACCTCATGATCCACCCGCCTCGGCCTCCCAAAGTGCTGGGATTACAGGCGTGAGCCACCGTGCCCGACCAACCTTAAGACAAACAACTACTGCATGATTGTTTTTGGAGACCTTTTTTTTATTCAAATAAACTTTTTGCCAGCATTTTCTGACTCAAAGTATAGCAGCAGGAAGATAACACTTTTGTGAGAAAAAAGTTTGAATACAGCTTACTGCTGTATTTAAATGAAACAGTAGTTAATATGATATTAATATATTTTGGATATATTTTGAGTTTGTTGATTTTCCAGTCTTCACCCGCTGCTAGGCCTGTGGGTGTTGGAAATGCCTGTGGTTCTCAATTTTGTTTGCCTATTAGAATCCTGATGTCCAAGCCTTACTCCAGTTAGACCAGTTAAGCCAGAAAGGCAGAAGGTGTACTCAAGCATCTGTTTTTTCAAAATCTCCTTTTGTGATGCCAAGTGCAATCAAAGTTTAGAATCATTGTAATAGCAAATGGTTGAATGGAAACTCCACCTTCTATTCAAATCCTACCCCAGTCTGCCCTTAGCTGTTCCCTTTTCACAGATCTATCAATGTCTGAAGATAACTATGGCAGGCTGATCAAATATGCATAGAGCAGGAAGACAGCAAGAGAGTGATACACTGACCATGTTCCAAATCACAAAACATCTCAACAGGCTAGATCATGGACCGAGTCTGATGGGATGGAATTTCATAAAGATACATAAAAAAGCATCTTGGATACAGTAAACTTAACTCCACAAATACAGGGGAATTTAGACGTGACTAAGTAGCAGTACATATGAAAAATTATTGAGGAATTTTGTTGACTTTAAGGGTAGTGTGAGTCAACACTGTGATTTGGCTGCCAGAAAATAAACTCAATCCAAGGCTGTATCAACAAAGGCATACTGTCCATTCTGCATGCTCATTACAGCACTAAGTACCGAGCCATGTTCTCAACCGCATACTTCATGAACATGGAAAGCTAACAGTATGGTTAAGGGGGGAAACTGGAACTGTCATCTTGGGGAATAAAAGGGATATTTAGCCAGGAGTAAAGTTAGCTTAGGGAGACCATGATAAATATTTTCAAAATATTTGAAGGACTCAGTTGTGGAAGTGAGATTAGATTTATTGTGTAAAACTCCAGGAGTCAAAAGCAATAGAGAGATAGAAGGAAATGCTTTTCAGCAGTGTTGCTCATCAATAAAGGGAGTGAACAGCCACACAGAATGGAAGGTTCCCTGTCCTTTGAGATATTTAAGCCTTCAAGTAAATTATGGGTGAGGAGTTTCAAATCTAGAGTTGAACCAGATAAGAAAGTCTCTTCTTCCGGTAAGATATTATGGACCTATAACATCTGTGTACTTAAAAGTAGATTGGGAGTGAAAGGCAGACTTTTGATGTTCTGTACACTGTTGAAACCCCTTAGCGTGGTCCTCTGTAACCTGCTCACCCTGCCCCAAGGAGGCAGCTAGCCAATGCCACCAGCCCAACGGAAACCCCAGTGCTTTTCCAATGGGGAAATGCAGTCACTTTTCTTTGGATGCTACACATCCTTTCTGGAATATGTCTCACACACATCTCTCTTTATCACCCCCTTTTTCAAGTAAACCAACTTCTTGCAGAAGCTGACAATGTGTCTCTTTACTCTCCACGAAGATTCTGGCCCTTCTCTTCACCTGTCAGAAGTTTAGGATTCCAAAGGGATCATTAGCATCCATCCCAACAGCCTGCACTGCATCCTGAGAACTGCGGTTCTTGGATCATCAGGCAACTTTCAACTACACAGACCAAGGGAGAGAGGGGACCCCTCCGAGGTCCCATAGGGTTCTCTGACATAGTGATGACCTTTTCTTGGAACTTTTACAACCCCCAGGACATTTCCAAACTTTGAGCAGGGCTCTGGGGGCCAGGCGTGCGGGAGGGAGGACAAGAACTCGGGAGTGGCCGAGGATAAAGCGGGGGCTCCCTCCACCCCACGGTGCCCAGTTTCTCCCCGCTGCACGTGGTCCAGGGTGGTCGCATCACCTCTAAAGCCGGTCCCGCCAACCGCCAGCCCCGGGACTGAACTTGCCCCTCCGGCCGCCCGCTCCCCGCAGGGGACAGGGGCGGGGAGGGAGAGATCCAGAGGGGGGCCGGGGGAGGTGGGGCCGCCGGGGAGGAGGCGAGGGAAACGGGGAGCTCCAGGGAGACGGCTTCCGAGGGAGAGTGAGAGGGGAGGGCAGCCCGGGCTCGGCACGCTCCCTCCCTCGGCCGCTTTCTCTCACATAAGCGCAGGCAGAGGGCGCGTCAGTCATGCCCTGCCCCTGCGCCCGCCGCCGCCGCCGCCGCCGCTCAGCCCGGCGCGCTCTGGAGGATCCTGCGCCGCGGCGCTCCCGGGCCCCGCCGCCGCCAGCCGCCCCGCCGCCCTCCTCCCGCCCCCGGCACCGCCGCCAGCGCCCCCGCCGCAGCGCCCGCGGCCCGGCTCCTCTCACTTCGGGGAAGGGGAGGGAGGAGGGGGACGAGGGCTCTGGCGGGTTTGGAGGGGCTGAACATCGCGGGGTGTTCTGGTGTCCCCCGCCCCGCCTCTCCAAAAAGCTACACCGACGCGGACCGCGGCGGCGTCCTCCCTCGCCCTCGCTTCACCTCGCGGGCTCCGAATGCGGGGAGCTCGGATGTCCGGTTTCCTGTGAGGCTTTTACCTGACACCCGCCGCCTTTCCCCGGCACTGGCTGGGAGGGCGCCCTGCAAAGTTGGGAACGCGGAGCCCCGGACCCGCTCCCGCCGCCTCCGGCTCGCCCAGGGGGGGTCGCCGGGAGGAGCCCGGGGGAGAGGGACCAGGAGGGGCCCGCGGCCTCGCAGGGGCGCCCGCGCCCCCACCCCTGCCCCCGCCAGCGGACCGGTCCCCCACCCCCGGTCCTTCCACCATGCACTTGCTGGGCTTCTTCTCTGTGGCGTGTTCTCTGCTCGCCGCTGCGCTGCTCCCGGGTCCTCGCGAGGCGCCCGCCGCCGCCGCCGCCTTCGAGTCCGGACTCGACCTCTCGGACGCGGAGCCCGACGCGGGCGAGGCCACGGTAGGTCTGCGTTAGGGTTTGCGGAGAACCCGAGAGTTTGCGTTAGGGTCTGCGGCGGACCCGAGAACCTGCGCGGGGGAAAGTGTGTGTGCTTTAAGCTTGTGTACGTGGGATCCAAAGTTACTGAGCTCAGTGCACGCTGCTTTGGAGAAAAATCTTCTTCTTTTTAAATAGAAAGTTGTTACTAGAGAGGCAAGCAAGTTACACGAGTGAAGGGCCCGGAGAGGTGCCCAGTGAGAGATCCCGAAATCTATTTCAGACTGGTTTCCTCTGGGGCAACCAAGGGGTCTTGAACCCTGCCCAGTCAGCGGGGCTCTGGAGAGTATGAGTTCATTTTGGTCGGGAAATGCTCGTTTCTTTCCCCAGCTGATTCATGGGACTCCAAACAGATTCTGGGACACTGGTGATCAGTCAACCCAGCCTTACTTTCCTGGAGTGTTCATAGTCTGCAGAGCACCAGGCGCTGTGAGCGACTTTAGAAAAAAAGTGTCAGGGACTTTAGTAACCAGGCTCCAGAGCTTTCAGAGTTCACTTGAAGTTGGTCAGACTTGAGATGTAACGGGAGATTAGAGTCAGTTAGATCACAATCAAGCAATGCAAGGCTTGTTTCAACTTTATAAGCTCTTCATTCCTAAAATCTGGTCATGAGATACTGCAAACTAAGTTTTTTTTTTTCTTGTTTGGGTTTTTTGTTTGTTTTGTTTTCTTTTAAATAAGAGGTGTTTAATCCTTTGCCTGAAAATGTTGCCAAAATACTTTTGAGGCATCCTGATTTTGAAAAAGGATTTGTGTGTGTTCCTACTTCTTACTGGCTCTTCCAAAAGAGTATATCTTTATCTAAAAAGTTCATACCTGCCATAACCATATAGAGTATGCTTAAGAGAGTTCCTAAAGAAGTTATATTCGACATTTCAGTTCAAACACTTGCAGTACCCCTTGCTGGAACTATACTGCGGTAGTTTATTTCAACTGGTGGCAAGTGGAGAGGTACCTGTGGTGTGTTACAGTCAACTTTAATTTGACTGTTGATTAACACATACACAATGTGTAGAAAATAGCCTTATATTTTGAAATATTTTATTTATATTTATATTTTGAAATACACTTAAAGATTGAGAAGACTAATTTTTGGAAATCAAACTACCTTTGCATTTAAATTTTGGGAAAACATTAAAATGTTGGAATGTGTAATAATTTAATATAGGGGTTAAAGGAATGCCTCTTGAGTAAAAACAATATACATGAAATAGAACAGACTGCATTCTGTGAATCACAAAAATAATTTTCAGTGCCTATACTTACATTGCCGTAACTATAGTGATGAAAATATCTTTCTGTTCTTAAATACCGCAGAAATGTAATAATCGGCTCAATAACGCTTCTGATAATTTGAGTCCTTGATTTTGCAGTACCTATTTGCTATTTCTGCAAAGTCAAAACTAGTAAAAGTATGATTTAGTAAGGCAACATCTCTGTATTGGTTACGGTCACTTACTTTGGTTTACAGTAAGAAAATGTGCAGTAGAGAGTAAAATGAGAAACATTCCCTGATAAGCCAATAGCCTGTATGAGAGTCACTCACTGCTGGGTGAGTCTAGAATTAATGTACCTTGAGTGTGTGTGTGTGTGTGTTTACGTGTGTTATGTATAGGTATGGGATTGGAGGATTAAAAAAGTTAACTTATTTTTAACTTTCAAAAGTGTCTTCGTTGGTGATGTAAAATTTGCCATTGGTGATATGGCAAATTTTACCATTGCTGTGAAAATCACTATGCATTTTTGTTTGCAAATGTCGCTTTTCATATTTAACCATTTTTATATTCTGTATGGTGAATATGGGTTAGTATTCTGCATGTGATGTGGGTTCCTTTCCTATGTGATGAAACATCATTTCCCATATGAAACATCATCTCTGAGTTCCATAGACCACAAAGCAGTATTTCATTGCTCCATTAAAGTGTCGTTCCCCAGTGGGTGAATAGAGCCTTGACAGGGCATGTGTCATTAATGCATTCAGTGAAACTGCTGTGTCCTTGCTATGAAACATGTCACACAACTGCCAAGAAACTGATATGAAGACTCTATGTCTCTCCCTAGTGGCCTGTACAAGCACCACATTTAGATTTAAGCACTAGAGAAGAACTGGGGAGAAATCAATTGTTAATTTTCTATAACTACATGAACCCCAAGAAAATATTTCAGAAGGTAAACAGAAGATGCTAAATATCTATAATCCCAATAGATGCAATGTTTTCATAACTTTCACCTAGGAACTTTTTTAATATTTAAAAAATCAAAAATAGCACACAAACTATGAACCAAGGTTAGCCATCCAGCCCTTCAGCCCACCCGTAAAGCCATGCAAAAGATTGTAGGTAAAAATCACAAATAGAATGAAGATCTCCTTATTCCTCGACTTATATTTGCATTTACTGGATTCCTATTTCTAGTTATTTGTGGTTGCATGACTTACTGAAAAGTCTTAAAATGTTTCTCTGAAGGATGTTAACACAAACAAGACAGTGTCAAAAAAGTAAGGCAGGCAAAAGTAAAATTAACTGGACATGATGGGAACAAAAGAGAATAGCAAGTCTGAAGCTGTTCTATTTACAATTTTTCTTATAGTATATGATTATGTTTGTCAACATCTACTCTTATAAGAGATTTCTGACATTCCTCTGAGTGATGCTACTTATATGAGGTTTTAGATATAGAAAGTTCAATTCATCTTTCATTTTGATTTCCACTCCATTATAGTCTTCTGAACTATGAATATCTGATTGATAGCTATTTATTCACAAGACAGTTATCAAAATTGCTTCATAGAAAGCAGTTAATTACTGATCTTAGTGGCATATGTCTAAGACCCGTAGATCTCTAATCCTGTCCTTTTCAGTTGAGTTGAGAAAGACGGAGGGTAGTGGATTTAGATTTCATTTTGGACTTCCAGTTCTGGTTCCGGTTCCTCTTGAGAGGAAGGTCCTGGCCTCCTAGTTATCTCCATGTGTCCAACCCAGAATGCTGTTTCTCAGCTCTTGCTGGGGTTTTCACCAACAGAGGAACTGGCGTGAGACTAATGAAGGTTTCCCGAATCCCTGGGACTGTGCTTGCCTGCTTGCCTTTGGCAGTCCTGGGGTTGTTATTGAGAGTAGGAGTTTATAATCATTATCTGTGATGTTCATAACGTGTGTTAAGCACTTCGCAAAGAGCTTTGCAAGTTAGTTTTGTTTTTCACTACACCTCCATAATATGGACATTATTTTATTTCATTAAGGATGATGAACCCAAGATCTGAATGACTTAACCAGGAAAAAGAATAGATGTTTTTTTCCTTTTTTTCTTTTAAAAAAAGTTTTATGGCATATACCAACAGTCCCCGACTTAGAATGGTTCTATTTAGGACTTTTGGACTTTACAATGGTGCAAAGTCGATAGACATTCAGTAGAAACCATACTTCAAGGTTTGAATTTTGATCTTTTCCTGGGCTAATAATATGCAGTAAAATACTTTCTCTGGATGCTGGACAATGGAAGTGAGCTGTGACCAGTCAGCCATGTGATCGTGAGAGTAAACAACAGGTACTCTACTGTATATTAAATATATTTTCAACTCAGGAGGAATTTGTCAGGATGTAGCCCCATCGTAAATCGAGAAGCATGTATGTTTTAGAGAAATGTGGTAATGGGTTTGGGCCTTTGGGCCTGTGATTCAGACTCCTTTCAGCCCCTCTGCTGGTCTCCTTTGGCACACTATAGCAGCGTGCAGGAAGGCAGAGAAAAGCACTGCGTGTGACTTTGCAGTTAGGGGCACCTTGTTGCATTTATTTAGGTCCTAATTCCCCACAACGGGACAAACGGAAATAAACCCAGACTTTCTTCCAGGCTTTACCACATGGTGTTCGTTTGACTAAAGATAAATTATAAATGACCTAATCCATGGTAATATTATAAGAACGACTGCTTAACTGGAGGCTTAACAAGATTTTCTGACAAACGGTTTTTCAAAGTTGTGCTCAAGTAACTTCAGTGAAAGATTGTGATTTTACCTCTGCCAAATGACCTTTCACAAATAAGTGGATTTGGAAAGAACAAATTTAAGTTGGCAGAAGCGTTATACTTCCTCTGACTTCTGAGCATATATTGTTTCACCTTTCACCAGTTACATTATTCCTTGTAGATGTGCATTTTATAAATACTATATGGGTCTACCTTTTGTTACAAACACATATTTGTATGTACAGATTTGTATAAATTGTGGATTAAGTTATCATTGATTTTTCTCATTAGAAAAAACAGATATAGCAGAGAACTTTAAACAAGGAGAGATGCTGATGAGTTTGAGTTATAGTGTAATTATAAAATTTACTATAAATATTTTAGGTTTGTGTAATTGTTTTTCTGAAACTTACTAGTGTAAATTTTTGGGGTGGCTTCTTTCCTCGGTTGATTAATTTTTTTTTTCAGAGTTTATGTTTAACCATGAGAAAGCAGAGACTGTTTTTATTTAATTTGCTTTATTGGGCATCCATCATGGAATTAATCAAATTGTACATTAAATGCTTTGTCAGTGGATTAGTACTGTTTCCTTATACTGCTCGCGCCCTAGTGGCTTTCAGGTGTTAGGAGTTATCCACGATAGTTTTTTTTCCAATTTTGAAATCCAAAAACTCATTTTCTTTTTCTTTCTTTCCTTTTTTTTTTTTTTTTTGAGACAGGGTCATGCTCTATTGCCCAGGCTGGAGTGCAGTGGCATGATGTTGGCTCACTGCAACCTCTGCCTCGTGGGTTCAAGCGATTCTCGTGCCTCAGCCTCCCAAGTAGCTGGAATTACAGGCATGTGCCACTAGAGCAGGCTAATTTTTGTATTTTTCATAGAGAGAGGGTTTTGTCTTGTAGGCGAAGCTGGTTTCAAACTCCTGACTTCAGGTGATCCACTTGATCTCCTAAAGTGCTGGGATTACAGGCATGAGCCACTGCGCCCGGCCCCAAAAGCTAATTTTCTTAAATTATTTGGTGCTATAATCCTGATCTGAACTGACATAAGGCTATTTATAGTCATTATTATCTAATTTAAATATTTCTAATCTTCACTGGGAAAATAGTAATGTATTTATTTACATGATGCTGCCATCAGTCCTGCTTGTTTTTGGGGTGTGAGTATTAATATGTCTATGCACTTGGTTTCCAGAAAAATTCCAGGTTCAGAGACTCTTGCAGTCTCCAGGCATTTTGGATAAGCAGATGGATTGTAGCCCTGTTCCACAGGCCTTCCTCCATTGCTTTATTGCCTTGGGGCTGCCTGGAAGAGGCAGGGAAAGGTAATCCAGGAATTCAAGAAAGAAGCCATGTGGATGCTCCTAATTCCTTTTTACCCATTAGTACCAGGTTTATTTGCTCTTTAATCTACTTCAACTCATGTTAATCAGTTCTTACTAGTGGCAGCTTCAGTTCTAAGCAGGAAATTACAGTTCAGTGTGTGATGCAAAAAATGTAGAGTGAGTGATCTTGTCTATAACAAGCTTATAATCATTTTGGAGAAAATAAATTTACTCATTAAAAATACTACAAGTGAATTAAACTATAAATCCAGACCATGTAAGTGGTTTTGTAAGAGAGTCTTGTGAGTTACCACCAGTTGTTGGCTAGCCTTCTGGGAGTTGCATGGGCAGGCCTGGGAAAGGTGGAATGATATGAGACCCAATGTTAAAAATGAGTAGATGCTAATTACAGAAATGGGGGAGAGAGGGATGTTTTGAATATTGAAGAATGACAGCAAAGTACAGAGGAAGTAAAGGTCAGGGATATTTGGGGAACTAGAAGCAAACCCTTTGGTGCAAAAGTCAAGAGCTTTAAGGGAAACTGAAGGGAGCATGGTGGGAAGTGTGAAAACCAAAGAGAAAGTCTGAGTTTGAGTTGAAAGCAGCAGGAGCCAATGAAGATTCTTTAGTGGTATGCTGAAAGTGAGGTTTTTAAGGAGCTTAACCTGGCATTGTTGCACAGAAGTGTCTAAGAAAGCTGACCAGAAGCTTCTCAGAAGCTTCTCAGAAGCCATTTTCAACTGCAGGGTTTCTTAAAGTGTCTGGCAGTGACTCTGCCTTTCTCATTACAGTGGCCACCCATATATGGTATTCGAACTCCTCTATATGCTCCTGATTGCTGGCGATGATAGTGGTGATTACTTTTGACTTACTGTAGGCACCCATCATTGTGCTATCTGGATACATTTACAAAAGTATAGAAATAGACATCTCTGCCATTATGGTTTGCATTCCAAACGAAGCAAGCAGTGTAAACAGTGGTCATGCTTAGATACACATACACAGAACCCCCCACACACATATTCATGCATACACCGCTTAATAGTTCTTCAGACTGCCAAGTGTGACTTACGTGTTCTTTCTTGCATGGTTAAGAATTTGTAGACAGTTCATTGAAATAGAATATTTAGACAATCAGAAGTGTACAAGATTAGAATCTCTATATTTGCACACACATTTATTTGTAGGTCAGTGGGCAATTGAAAAAAAAGAGAAGGAGAGAACCCTAAAGTGTCCTGGAAATTCCTGCTTTTTAAAATCTGCTAAAAATGAGACCAGAAAGGTGGGAGTGGGGATGTGAGGAGGTGGGTAAACTACCAAATAAACAATATAAATACTTTGGCTGTTCTTATAAAAGGTTTTTTTAAATATGGTGGAATAATTTACTCAAACTCAAGAGATGCCACCTACTAGAGAAAGGACATACTGAAAGAGGAAATATTCAAATGCACAACTTTGTGTAAAAGGTAATACTTACAAGTTTAAAAGACTCACTTCTAAAGAAGTTTGGCTTCAACCTGTCCTCATTTGGACAGGTGGAAAGATGTATATTTTGGGGTAGACCAGAAAGATGTGGTTTGACTTCTATAGTTGAAAGGTTTCTATTTAGACATTTATTTTGTAATTTAATTTACCTAAAACTTCATCCCTAAATTACCATTTTCTCTTACTTTTATGCAATAGTAAAGTATGCAGTCATAAGTGATAAAGGCTGGGATCAAAGCTAGCTATTTTGCTAACTGCAGAACCTATGCACTCTGTTTACACTGCCTGTGATAGCGCCTGGAAGAACTCACTGCCAATATTTCTGCTTGTTTCAGTCACATAACTGTTGCTTGTGTCAGTGACGTAACTTGTTTAGAGATGCAGTGCAGTGGATAAGAGCACAGGGTATGGACATGCCTTTCTGTATTCATGTCCTGAGGATGCCTCTTAGTACCTGTGTGACCTTGGACAAGTTACTTAGTTTCTCTCTGCTTCTTTGTAGCACAATGAGTAGATGCTAATTTTTAATTTTTAATTTTTTCTTTTTCTTTGTGTCTGTTTTGTGTATTTAGTTACTTTATCTTTTTTTTTTTTTTTTTTTTTTTGAGACAGACTCTGGCTCTGTAGCCCAGGCTGGATGGAATGCAGTGGTGCTATCTCAGCTCACTGCAAGCTCCGCCTCCCAGGTTCACGCCATTCTCCTGCCTCAGCCTCCTGAGTAGCTGGAACTACAGGTGCCCACCACCACACCCAGCTAATTTTTTTTTTATATTTTTTTAGTAGAGACGGGGTTTGACCATGTTAGCCAGAATGGTCTCAATCTCCTGACCTCGTGATCTGCCCGCCTCGGCCTCCCAAAGTGCTGGGATTACAGGTGTGAACCACCACGCCCAGCCTAGTTACTTTATCCTTTTAAAAGTCCTCTTCCAAAATGTAGAATATAATTAATGCCTGCTTAATCAGGTTGTTTTGAGGATAAGAATGTGTATATAGGCCAGGTGTGGTGGCTCACGTCTGTAATCCCAGCACTTTGGGAGTCTGAGTCAGGTAGATCACTTGAACCCAGGAGTTTGAGACCAGCCTGAGCAACATGGGGAAAACCCTATCTCTACAAAAAATAGAAAAATTAACTGGGCATGGTGACACGTGCCTGTATTCACAGCTACTCTGGAGGCTGAGGTGAGAAGATGGCTTGAGCCCAGGAGGCGGAGGTTGCAGTGAGTGAGCTGAGATCACCCCACTGCACTCCAGCCTGGGCAACAGAGTGAGACTCTGTTTCAAAAAAAAAAAAAAAAAAACAGCATGTGCATACATATAAAGCCCTTGGAACCATGATTGGCATATAGTAAGCTTTCTGTAAATTTGTGTTAAATAGATAGTCTTCATGATCAGAAAACAAACAAAGAATATAGCATGTAAGTACTATGTCCTAGACATATGACATAACTGTGATTCTTCAGCACCTTGCAACTAATTTATTAAATTTTTAAAATTATAAATTACTGACAATTTTCCCAATTTCTAAAATATAGCAAGAGGATATAATACTGATGTTTGATTTTGAAACAGGTGAAGGAAATGCAGGGTGTTTAATCATTCAGTGTCTGGAGGCTACATACTGTAGTTCTGCCTATAATATGTTCCCACTTCCCCTGGGTGCCGGGGTTTGTTCCTCTCCTGGAGGGCAGCACAGGTGTCCATAGACCACACCAAACCAAAGAATCTGGGATGATGCTGTCTCCTTATGTGCTTCATTCATACTTAGGTCATTTGGCTGTAAAGGATTTTGGTACACATAAGCTTTTTATAATGCCATATAATTTAATATGAACTCATCTTGAATATATTCAGAGCATATACATTTTCAAGTTTAAATGTTTATTAATGAAACATGCTAATGTTGCTACTTTGATGTGTAAATATCTCATCTATATTATTGCCACAAAAAATAAATATGCATTCTAAATTTACAATGAAATCATCACAGAATACCTAAAATATCAACAATTTCACTGAGGAAAATATAAAGAAAACTTAAGGGGAGAATGCTATATGCCAGAGTTAAACTTGTGTGAATTTGTTTAGGAAAATGTGATTGCACTGTTCCTAAGGGACCCTCTTCCAGAATGGTAACTAGTACAGCGTGTGCTGTCTGAGATGTGCGGACACTGGGACACTGGGATGAATTATGGAGTAGATACTTTCCTTCTCTGAGAGTAAGCTGATTTGCTTGAGTACTCTAGTTTATTCCAAATAGTTGATTTTGTTTGGTGGTTCTCTTTGTCAATTTGCCAGTCAGTGCTGTGACTTGCGTGGTTACCCTGTGCTGAAGACTACAGTGCTGGGGGCATTGGAGGCCCGTGAGCAGACAGGAAAAAGGGAGGAAAAATCAGTGGTGGACACACTTCCCAGCTCTTGAACAGCTGACAGCATATTTTTTTGATTCAGTAACATCCAGAAAGTATTCACTTCCCTAGGATTCCAGTGCAGATGTTAGTTGGAGTATTTTAGAACTTTTGACCAGATACCACATTTTTAAACAGAATTTTTTTTCTGACTGGAACTGGAACAAAGCACTAAACACTAAATAGACCCTCAGGTAGTATGTAAGTACATTAAAAATTAGATAATACTATATTATTCATTCACATCTCTATGGAGATACTGTATCATCTTTTTAAAAGCAATTTTCGTATTAATATTTGTATTTCAGAATTAGAATTGTATGTAAGCATATAATAAAATGAAGCTTTATAGTTCAGTGCTATTATGTTTTCCCAATTATAGAATTCAAATTAACATTTTAATGTGATTTTCTTCATAGTAATTTTTCATTGTCACACTAATTTATTTTTCTCTCAACTTTTTTTTATTTAAAAATTTTTTTTTTTTTTAATTTGAGACAGGCCTCACTCTATTTCCCAGGCTGCAGTGCAGTGGCATGAACGTGGCTCGTTGCAGCCTCCGCCTCCTGTACTCAAGTGATCCACCTACCTCAGCTTCCCAAGTAGCTGGGATCACAGGCACGTGCCACCCCACCCAGCTATTTTTTAAAATTTTTTGTAGAAATGAGGTCTCACTAAGTTGCCCAGGCTGCTCTCAAACTCCTGGGCTCAAGTGATCTGCCTTGGCCTCCCAAAGTGCTGGGATTACAGGCATGAGCCGCTGTTCCAGCCTAATTTCTTTTTCTCTTACAAGTGCTTTGCTTACATTTTTATTGTTAGAAACAGGATTCAAATAACTGCTTATTTAATATTCTTTTTATGTAGAAGAAACAGTCTTGAACTTGATAATACTTTTGGTTCCAACTTGTTAAAATATTGGAAAAGGATGAAACATTTGTGAAAATAATCAGACCTTGGCACTGCGGTAGTTGAGGAAGAGTCATGCGTGTGAGTGAGTGCCACTCTGAGACAGGCAGCACTTTCTCCCTTGTGGTAATTGAATAGGGTATGGGAAGCCGACTACTTAATCTGCTTCAGGCAAGCAGTGTTCAAAGTTTAACGCCCTTTTACTGAAATGACAAACATAATCACCTTACCTAAAAGGATGTGTGGGTAATGATTTTACCAAATAGTTCACTTGGTGAACAATAGTGAAAACAGTTCACCTTCCCTTGTCTTTGTTTACAATTAAATGAGCCCCTCCAGGTCCCTCCCTGCCCCAAGAGTGGATGAATTTGGCAAATCAGACTGAAATGTTAAAGAAAATGGTCTTGACTACTCTGTTTTAACTGAAGTGACCACACAGCTGCCATGAATCCTGTGATTGAATTCCTATAACCTGTAAAAGGGATTGTTATTTCCACTCACTCCAAATTTCTTGGAAGTAGCTAGTTGATATCAGATACCAGATGCGAGGCTATTTTAAATCACTGTGATTTAATTTACTATAATATCATTGCCTACATGGAATATTTTTAATTCTTTCTTTTTGTTTGTGTCTGTTTTGTGTATTTAGTTACTTTATCCTTTTAAAAGTCCTCTTCCAAGTTTATGTTTTGAAAAAAGAGAACACTTACTGAGATTCATGTTTGCTTACAGGTCATGACATTTATGACTTCCCTAAAAAACAAACTGATCCCTTTGTCTCAGAGCCAAATTTTAGTTTTAACATAATAGTGATTCATTGTTTGTTCTCTCTGAGTCCTAGATCTCTCTTTTAATTTTGGTGTCTGTCCATGCCAAATTAGAATTTTATTAAGGCCAAAATTATTCATGAGTCATGACCATCACACTTAACAATTGGGTAATTTGAAGCTGCTTCAGATACACATTAAAGCAAATAATGATGTCATAAATTTTAATGCAATATTTTTTTTCCTTTAATATTGGTAGCAGTGAAGCCTGCTCTGTTAGAGACCAATTCTGTTTTACTTTAGAAAAATGTACCTTTGTGCTCATGTCCATGAGAGCACAGTGTAGTTATTTTATTACTATAATATAGCACACAGTGACACATAACTTAGTAAATTAAAGATTGAAAATATTTAAAATTGGTGATTTTTTGTGCCATGTTGATTTGACATTTATTCTTCTATCTGTCTAAAACTAGGAGCAGTGCTAGTGTGACAGCCTCAAGTCATGTTAACACGACACACGTAGAAGACTGACGCTCGGGCTTCCTCTAGTGCAAAACACCTGAAATTCAAATTTTGCTTTTCTGTGCTATTTTCCTAATTAAATGTATCCTTGATGTTGAGTTTAACTTTATTACACCCCTGTTAAATATCTGCAATGTGTTGGGAAGGAGGAGGACACATATGCCTGATTTAAATTTAATATAACTGTATAGATATAATTTCATTTTCCATTCAATCATTGAAATGATATAAATTAATATATGTACAGCTAAAATTAAATCTGTGATGTCGAGATGAACTCCATGCTGTCCTTGGTGCACTGTGTATTACACATGGGTATTAAATGCGTGCTTAGTGCTTAGTGAATGGGTTAGAAGGAGTTTTTTTTTTTTTTTTTTGAGATGGAGTCTCGCTCTGTCGCCCAGGCTGGAGTGCAGTGGGGTAATCTCGGCTCACTGCAACCTCCGCCTCCCGGGTTCAAGCAATTCTCCCTGCTTCAGCCTTCTGAGTAGCTGGGATTACAGGCACGCACCACCATGCCAGGCTAATTTTTGTATTATTTAGTAGAGACTGGGTTTCACCCTGTTGGCCAGGCTGGTCTTGAACACCTGACCTCAGGTGACCTGCCCGCCTCTGCCTCCCAAAGTGTTGGGATTACAGGCGTGAGCCACCACACCTGGCCTAGAAAAGAGTTTTAATAGATACCCCTGTAAAATGCCAAGCAATCAGTTGCCATTACTAAGAACTGCAACAAGTTCCAGTTAAAGATGTACATGTTTAAGAGCTGTCGTTCTTTAATAAAATATGACCAAGATGTCTTAAACATGGGCTTTAATACATGTTACTGTGGGTTTCACTCCAACTTAATAGCACACAAAGTTCTGAAGACACATGATTTCACTGGTGGTACATTCGCACATTGTTTTCTGTCCATGTTTAAGTTCATTCTTGTCCAGAACAGTTTCTGGTTTTCTAAGCCTAACGTATTAACATTTGAGTTAATTAAATCGATAGGGAGCCTTTTATCTTTTTTTTTTTCCTATCTGGGGGCTTTGCTTTCGCACTGACATTAGCAGTTCCCTTCCTATGTGCAATAGGAAAATGTGCAGTCATTCCAGGAGCATGGTCTCCTCAGGAGGTTAAAAGTGATTGTAACTTAGAGGTTAATGTTTCACTCCAGAGGAAAGTGTTTCACCCCACTTGATGATGTGCCCCTGGGTGCTCACAGAAAGAGTAGTACTCTTTTTTAAACCAAAATTTTAGACACGTGTTATGCAAATCTTCTTTATAAATTACACATTCTTTTCTTTCCTTTTATTCTTTTACTCCAGTATACTATTTTGCAATTAAAACATTTTAAACTTCTTCCAGAAAAAAACTTCTTCCAATAACTTCTTACTTCAAACTACTTTTACTAATGACAAAATAACTATGTCCATCACAGTGAGGAATTATTCATTGTTTATACCACCTTGTATTACTTATATAAATATCATCCTATAAAAAATACTATATATTGGGACTAGATTTTCTTAAATTTAAATTTAAATTCTTTTGGAAAATCAGGTTCTATCAGCTCTGTTGTCTTTTCATCTCTAATTGTACATCTTCCCACTATTTTGATTTATACATGATGTTATTATATTAGGATAGCTTTGATTTTAATGTAATATTAGCTAGTTTTATGGCTTGAAAAACTTAGTACATAGACTATATTCATAAATACAGCACTATACATTCTAGCATATGGCGTGTGCACTTAATCTGAAGAATTAGACATTTTTTCCTGTTCTGTGATGATTGATTGATTGGTGGTGGGGGCAGAAGGTGGCCAGTCTTTGGCAACATGTAAAATTTTGTTAAAATTTTGTCAAACTGATTTATTCCATTGCTAAATTTTGAAATCAGCATTTTTTTAGGGGGAATATCTCGAGTTTATGAGGACAGAAAGAAATATTCTTAGAAAATTGAGAAGGTTTTGTCCCTGTACATGCAAACTAGGGGGTGTTTAGATCAGAGCAAATGTCTTGCAGCAGGGGTTGACGCCGGGCCATGTTTAGTCATCAAAGCATGACTTCTATTCTGGGAATGTGGTAATTGAGAGGTAAATATTATTTACAATAGCCCTTATAAATCTTTAGTTGTTCAACAAAATAACTTGCCATCAGAGTTAGATGATTTAGCTAAAATTATTTAATTGGGTTATTCCTACTTGATCCAACATTTGATTATAATATATGTAGTAGCGTTAAATAATTTGGGATTTCTGGCCTCTGGCTGGCTGTTGAAGACTTTTTGTTGGTGGCGGGGGGCATCCTAAGGAACAACTTGCCCTCTACTAGCATTCTTTACTAGAAAAAGCTCCTATTTACTTGTTTTTTTTTTCCTAAATATGTGTTTTATTTCCTTTTGGCATTGTCTTTCTTGCTCCCAATTATAATTGTGAGCAAATAGCAATCGAAATTCTGTGTAACTTCCAGCACAGTTTAGTCATCAGAGCTTGCCAGCAAGTATGTCTATTGTGAGGAAACTGCATTTGCCACAGCTAGACCATCAGCAAGTGAAGTCGTATTGTCCTCTGTTTTGTAGTTGTTTTTTCCTATTTATGCTTTACTCTGATTCAAGTTCAGCATCTCAGTGATCATAATTGTGGGGAAAAAAATTCATTTTGAACTATAAACAGAAAAGATACCAAGTTGTTGTATTTGAAAGATTATTTTAGAATGTGGTTATACCTTCAAGTAAAATAAGCTGTAAAATAAGCTGAAGAACCATATATTTAGGCACATTTTGACTATAAAATAGATCCTCTACATATAACAAGAATAGCTTTTTTTTTTTTTTTTTTTTTTTTTTTTTTTGAGACAAAGTCTTGCTCTGTCGCCCAGGCTGGAGTGCAGTGGCACAATCTTGGCTCACTGCAAGCTCCACCTCCTGGGTTCATGCCATTCTCCTGCCCCAGCCTCCCGAGTAGCAGGGACTACGGGTGCCCACCACCATGCCCAGCTAAGTTTTTGTATTTTTAATAGAGACAGGGTTTCAATGTTAACCAGGATGGTCTCGATCTCCTGACCTTGTGATCCGCCTGCCTCGGCCTCCCAAAGTGCTGGGATTACAGGTGTGAGCCACGGAGCCTGGCCTATATATAACAAGAATTGCTTTTATATGTCTATATGTCACTTCATAATATTTGTTTATTATTTAGCTAGTTATTGCCTATAAGCCAGTATTTAGGTATTATATAAAATCTGAGGAAAACAGTTCTATAAGATTCAGTAAAATTCCAATTCTATAAGATTCCAAGATGTAAAGTGTTTTAGGTATTTAAAAGTTTTATATAGACAATAGTGACTCATTTGTTATGGTATATGAATATAGACAAGAACTTAGACTGAAGCAAAAAATAACAATTAGTTACATAGCTATTTCAAAGCCCATGCAGTAGTTTTTTGTTTGTTTGTTTGAGACGGAGTCTCGCTGTCTCGGCCAGGCTGGAGTGCAGTGGTGCGATCTCGGCTCACTGCAAGCTCCGCCTCCTGGGTTCAAGCCATTGTCCTGCCTCAGCCTCCTGAGTAGCTGGGACTACAGGCGCCCGCCACCACGCCCGGCTAATTTTTTGTATTTTTTTTTAGTAGAGATGGGGTTTCACCATGTTAGCCAGGATGGTCTGGATCTCCTGACCTTGTGATCCACCCACCTCGGCCTCCCAAAGTGCTGGGATTACAGGCGTGAGCTACCGCACCCGGCCAGTAGTTTTTAATGTTCAGTGAAGTTAAAACATCTCCCGTCCAGTTATGCTGTGTAATAAATATTAAAGCAGGAGATATTAGAACAATACAACACTTACTGTGCTATTTATAATTTAAAATATTAAAGATAAATAATGGAATAACTATAAATATTGATACTATGATAAAACTTTTAGCATGTCTAAGTTGTTCATTTTGATAGATACAAAAAACCAAAGCCAAGCAAAATAAAACACACCTAAAACTTTATGAATGTTAACAATTTTCTATTTTTGCCATAAATCTTTGGCCGTTGCACCATATTTTATTGAATAAAGGACAGTTGTTAAGCTAGGGCTTGGTCCACTGTGTGTCAGTATCAGGATGTGATGATTCTTTTCTGACCCATATTCTTCTCTCTCTTTGGCTTTGGTTCTCTTGTACGACTCTTCTGTAGGTGGCCTTGGCCACACCTGTGAAATATAGGGCACAGTTGTGCTGCTTCTACTCATTGTGAACTTGATCATATGTTTTGTATTGTGCCTCTCTTCATTGGCTCCTTTTTATTTTAGTGTAATTCAAAGTGTTAATTGGAGGTTTTAAATGTAGTTTTGACCAAATTGTGTTTGAGGTCACATGTACCCAGTTTAAAAAACGAAGAAAAAAATTCAACTCACTTCCCAGCGTCCTTTGCAGCTAATGTTGCCCTCGAATAGTTCTTGCTCATAAGAGAAAATCTAGCAGGGATTTATGGGAAAACTTTTGCTTTTTTTTGCTAAGGCACTGCTTTTCTTCTTGTTCCCTTATTTCCTTCCATGGAAATCAGAAAATGTTTTATAATTTTAAAACTTTACCTTTGTTTCTCAAAATAACACTTTCAGACTTATGTAAAGCAAGATTTTAATAATTAATATGTTGCCTCGATTATGGAGTAACTTTCCAAAGTTGTACTATCATGATCTTAATTTATTGACCCTTAGGGTTAAGATAATTTGTGTGTTTATAACCTAACATTCTTTGCTTGGCTGATAGATTCCTTTAAAATGTTATGTGTTTATATTTTGTACATACTTTAAGAAGCTTTATTCAATTGCCACATTTCAAATAAATAAAGGTTCTTTTTTTTTTGGTAAGCCTATACCTTTGTTTCTTCTAGCTTTTAAAAGTGTTAATAGCGTGGGAATGACCCTTGACCATCTCTGATTGTTTGGGAAATGGTAACTAGAAAGAACTGAGAGAGGACAAACTTGGATGAGAAGTCTCAGAACTGATAGTAAAAACAAATGCAAACAAGAAAATATATTACGTACTTCATTCAGATTAATAAGTAATTAAACACTTGAACTATTCAAAAATCTAGTTTGAGTCTAGGCTTTTGCAAGCCTGAATTTGTCATCATAATCATCAAAATTAGAAATTACGAAAGAATGTTAATTTAAATTTAAAACAGCTGGAAATACAATACATGGCCTATAAGCTTATCTTCTCATCTGTCAACAACTGCTTGCATATGTCACATGAACTGTTTTAACTGCAATTACAAAAGTCAATGGAATGTTTAGAGGTGATTCAAAAAATGTGATTGGCTGACATATAGAGTTATCCTAAGAAACAGGCTGTCCAACACAATTTTAAATATACTCAAGCTCTTTTATACTGATTAAGAGTTTCAAGTTAAGGTTTTGGGTTAAAAAATCAACATCAAATGATAAATAAGAAATATAATCTTGTTTAAATTATTTATTCTAATAGTTTATTTATGAACACAACATATTTCTCTTTCATTACTTTTTTTTTCTCAGTTGTAAAATTCTAGAGCTGGAGCCCATAGGCCAATCCGTAGTATATCTGAAATGATTAAAGGTTTTATACTTGACAAGCCCTCTGTCTGCAGGTTACTTGCTTCTACTTGGAGCAGTGGATTTATCATCCTCCACTCCAGGGTAAATATCTAAAAGTCACTTCTGCCACGTTATTTCCCATCTGGTAGATTGTTATAATACCTGTGAGTCAGTATTATCTGCACAGTGTATTTCCTCTGCTCAAGGCACTTTGACCATATGAGGTGTTCACATCTGATCAATCGGGCTGAAGCTTGCCCTAGTCTGAGGCTGGACCAATTGATCTCTAACGATATTCTTACCTGACAATCTAGAGGATACAAATCAAGATGTTTCAAGTGCAGAAAGCAACAGTAAAGCATAAGTTCTTTTTTTTTTTTTGCATTCTTTTTTTTTTTATTATTATACTTTAAGTTTTAGGGTACATGTGCACAATGTGCAGGTTAGTTACATATGTATACAAGTGCCATGCTGGTGCGCTGCACCCACTAACAAGCATATGTTCTAATGTGTAATATATCTTCAAGACAGTCTGGACCATGAAGTGTATTTTTACTTATTGAGTGTATATGGGAGGATCATTTTATAGGATTGGTTATATTTTTCCATTTCTTGATTCTTTGATACTTAAATTTTTGGTTTCATATTCTCCTCTTTCACATGTTGTCCCCATTTTACATATGCAAAGATAGTTGTTTGCCACAAAAATAAACATTTAACAGACTCCAAACACATAGACTGTGTAATTAGCATAACGAAATAATAGTGGCTGAGTGACGAGCAGAAGTGATTCACTCATTTGGCTCTGTGGCTTTCAAAGTTATTAATGATGTTACATATTCTTCTCTATTTTATTTAAAAACTAACACTCATAAAGTTAATTCTCATAATTTTTGCTGGGTTTAATAATTCAAAATATGAATCAAAATTTTTATTTATTATGCAGTTTCATTCTATTAAAATTATCTGCTAAATTAATATTAAGTAGTCCTATAGCATATATTATTTAATAATTGCAAGTAGTGACATATCATAAATAAACTGTATAATATGTATTATTGATTCTGTTATTTTTCCTAGCAATGCACAGGGAACCAGTAAATTTCACAAGCAGAGAATACTAACTTGTCATTTATTTAATATTCTAAACAAATGAAGCCGCCTCTATAAGTGAATTTTCTGGACTTCTAAAGATGAGCATTGTTGAGTTTAATAACTCAAATTTTTATTGTGTTAAGTAAAGTATATTAAATATAACCTCACCCTAATGACTCAGCTGTAATTAAAAAAGAGTTCACGACCAGCCTGGGTAACACGGTGAGACCCCATCTCTACAAAAATAAAAAATAAAAATGAAAATTAAAAAAAATTAGCCAGGCATGGTGGCATATACCCAAGTACTCCGAAGGCCGAGGGTGGAGGATCGCTCAAACCTAGGAGTCCAAGGCTGTAGTGACCTGTGATAGTGCCACTGTACTCCAGCCTGGGAAACAGAGCAAGACCCTGTCTCTTAAAAAACAACAACAAACCTACACATGAAAATTATTGCTGCTTCCCATCAATTTTCAGTGCTATCTTTATTTAACCTCTCTACTATTTGCCTTCACTTTTTAAAATTTTGCTTTTATTCTTCTTTCTTTGGTCTCCTTCTCTAAAATTTTTCCCCTGCTTCTGTTTTTTTGTATACTAGGAAGACATTTATTATTTTTATAGGTATGATCAAATTGTAAAATAAGTTTATTTCATTCTCTGGTGATTTCACTAACTATTTTGAGAGTATCAGTTAAAATGGGATTTGTTTGTGTGTAACAAAATCTAACTGTAGTGGCTAAAGCAAATTGGAGTTTATTTTTCTCTAGTAACTAAAAGGCCCCAGTGGGCGTTTAAGGGCTGGTACCACATGGAGCAACATCATATCATCAATGTCCAGACTCCTGTGCTTTTTTCACTTGATCATTTTTAGAGTTTGGCCTTCTGTGCTTCATTCCTCGTGGTCACAACATGGCTGATTGTTGTGCAGCTTTATGTCTGATTTCAAGGAAGAAAGAATAGTGAGAGAGGAGGTTGTTGCCTTAACACATTCAAACCAAAGCAAAAGTTTTCTCTGAAATCCCCAGTAGATTTGCCCTTACATCTTCTCAGGTAGAAGTGCATTTTTGCCATTCCTGGCTGTAAGAGAAGCCGATAAAGAAAATACATGCACTTTCTAACAATATTGAAATTCTTTTCACAAAGAAGGAAAGGAGAATGAATGTACTTTGGGTAGGTATCGTGGTCTGTTTTATGTTGCTGTAAATCACAAACTGGATGATTTATAATAAAAAGAAATTAGTTTTCCTCACAATTCTGAAGACTGGAAAGTCCAGGGTTGCAGGGCTGTGTCTGGTGAGGGCCTTCTTACTGTGTCTTCTCATGGTGGAAGGCATCACATCAGGAGAGATTTCTCCAGAGTGCAAGAACAGGTGGAACTTTATATAACAAACTCATTCCTGTGATAAGGAGCCCACTCCCAAGATAATACCATTAATCCATTCAGGTGGGCAGAGCCTCATGACCTAATCACCTTCTGAAGGTCCCACCTTTCAATGCTTTTGCATTGGGGATTAAATTTCCAACACATGAAGTTTGGGGAACACATTCACGCTGTAGCAGGAGGCAACCACATTTGTGACATTGCGTCATTGTACTTTCTAGATTTGTTTTCTCCAGGTTGTTTGCAACGTTGATGTACTCTTTGTATACCCACCTGAAAGATTAATGTTACTGAAGTATTGTGTTTAAGAAAGAAAGATGAATGCTACCATGTAAGACCTTTTGACTGTCCAAAAGATTAAAATTCCAGTTTGGAGAGGTAGCACTTACATGAAAACCTTATAAAACATGAGAACTTAAACTTGCTAATTTCATTGTGTCAAATCGCATAACAGAGAAAGGAAAAACTTGAAGGCCACTCCTCTTGAAAAAGTATTTGAGTAGTGTCGATTTCAGTGTAAGACCAATTAAATAATGTCAAATTAAGTAAATATAACATTAAAATATTTTCTTTAACATATTGGTGTTGATTTCACTTTTACTCTGTAATTTTTGTGACATTGGAAACAGGAAATATTCAAATTTTGCCTTCTTTTGGATCGTTTCCTCTCCGTTTCTTAATGTGTAAACCGTAATAGGGCTTTCTGCAGCCAACGTGCTCATTCTTTTCTTTCTGTTAGGCTGTGCCTTTTCTGAGAACAGTTGGTACTGATGGAGATTTCTGTTCTTTTTCTTCACACAAGTGTCATATGAAAATTGGGGGATCAGCTATTTTCAGATCACAGGCTCCTCTGATAACAGAATACCATAATTCCAACTTTCCTGTGTTGATTTGTAGATCCCACACTGTGTGATCATGACAAACATCTAAGCATAAGAGGGCGATGAATGATTAAAATTTATTCACTCTTCCCATAAAACACCTGGTACAGATGCAGTGTGTTGTCCTCACAGAGGAAAAACAGTGGTTCCTCCTTCCAAGTGGCGTGTCCACAGCACTGGTACCAGATAACAAGAACCTTAGACTTTTCTTGTTGCTGCAGTGTGTCTACCTGTGCCTCTCTTAAGTGTCTTACACGTTACTCACAGAGAAAGAAATACAAAAATGGAAAACATAAGCTCACAAAAATGCATTTAGTGCATTTATGATGTTAATGGAAACCTTGGATACAGTCCTCTGTTATTTCCTTACTACTCTTGATATTTTACAATATTGCTTTATTATTCAAATTCATAATCATATATGTGTTAAACAATTTTTTTTGGTAAGTAGACTGTGTATCAAACTTAAGAGGGATTTGACATGGAAAGACATTTAAAAGATGGCAGAAAACAGCTATTATAAGGGCATTTGAACTTTAGATATTTTCCGTTGGTCAGTTTCCATAGATCATCATCTGATTCACTAGGGTTTGGCCAGTTTATATTATTTAAATTGTTTCCCCTGCAACTGTAGTATTTTCTTTAATGTTTTGAATTATTCTTAATGTGACTTGAATAAGGGTAATTGTCACATATGCTGATGTTTTCCCATTAGGATGAAAATATTTAGAAAAGCTGTACTAGCAAAAACCAGGTTAACTTGTTTTCAAAGTAGAATTTAATTATTTTATTTCAAGCTTTGATTCCTTTTTTAAAAATTAAGTAAATGTCCTTGAGAGCAATACCTTTGTGTGTGTGTGTGTGTGTGTGTGTGTGTATCAGTTACTTGCACCTTCAATTGAATGAAAGACAGTAGTAGGTTGTATTATGGCAGAGGGGTAGAAGAATGGACATTCTCATGGGTATCTCAAAGGTCAAGTCAGAATTGGATTCCCTGTGGATGGAAGAGAGGAGTGGAGAAGGTGCTTCTCATGTGGAAAAACAAGAAAAGTCTATGACAGGCCTCAGTGTTTGCCAGCTGCAGTGGAATTCTCATAGCTTGTATTGAACTCTGTGTCCTAATCTTCTGAAACCACCTCAAGAGAGTATATATTGCTAAAATAGGAGCTCAGCTATTTTTCAGGGGCAGTGATCCAGAGGACACTATAACAGAAATAGATAATTTCAAAGTCGAAAATATATTAGATACTATTTTTATTCTCTATCTGGAAAGTCTGTATAGAGGCTTTATTCTGGTCTGCTTTCTCAGATAAATATCCTATTCAGGTCACTGGAAATAATATGTCAGGTTTTAAAAGAGACTTCATATGTAGCCAAATAAACCTGCTAAGCATATTTAGAAAATCATGCTAGTGACTAGTGTCTTAAACTGTTTCCACAAAAACAATGCTGTTAATAGTAGGATTTACCCTTTTGCATTGGAAATGAGTTGTCAAGGTTAAAAAGATGAGTAGCCAGATATTCTTGCTAAACATGTTTTGAGAAGAAATTTAATAATATAAAGTTTTTGTTAAATGTGGCCTATTAATTTTAAACAATAATACTGACTGAAGTCATTAGGTAGCTGTGGAAAGAAGTTAGCCTGGTTTTTACTAATGTAGCTTTTCTAAATATTTTCTGCCTAATGAGAAAAGAGGGATAAGATCCAACTACAATTGGAAGCTTAAATATTTAATCAAGTTTGCAGAACTACTATTAAGATCATATGTAACTATCAGATATTTTTTAATCTGAGGACTTCTTTCTAGTAAATAGAAATTTCTTCCCAAGCATTATAGGAATATGTCTTATTGACTTATTTTTTTGGCATGGGTTACTAGGAAATAATATTTTCAGGGAGTTCAGGGACCCAGATTTGATTCCCAGATAATTCAGATTAACCTTCTTTAATCATTCTATTTTATGTTATTACTGGAGAGTACAGGGTAGGTTGAAACAGCATAAACTGCCAAATCAGAACTGGATTTGAATTTAGTGATGGGCCTCAGGAGCTGTATGACCTTAATTCTGTGAGTCAGGCTTTCTGAGTCAGGCTGTGAACTGGGCAAAATAGTGTATACGTTACAACATTGTAACAGAGCTCATTTAAAGCATTGTCTCATGTTAGCTACTGATAAAGCATTAGTTCCCACTCCAGGGCCTGTTAGAATTCTAACTCCATCCCTGTGAGTCATGTTCATGCTTTCGTGGTTCTCATTTGAGGTTTTGTGACCAAAGGCCCCACAGATGGAATAAAATTAATCTAAATAGCCATTTATTAATGTAATATCTGCTAGCTAATTACATATTTATTAAATATAAATAACAAATAGCTCCAAGATACCAGTGACCTCCATGTTGCTAAAGCCAACAGTTATTAGAACTTCTCTGTTCTGTGAGCTTTTCTGTGATGGTCACAGGTGAGACCGCAAGAGGACACACAGGAGAGGCACAATGAAACAAAGTTTATTATACTCATAGGTCTTAGACAGGAGGTCACCGCATGCCACACAGGGTCACAGGGTGTCTTAGTTTGTTCAGCCTGCTATAACAAAGTGTCTTAGACTGGATAATTTATAAAGAACAGAAAATTCATTGTTCATAGTTCTGGAGGTTGGGAAGTCCAAGATCAAGGAGCCAGCAGATTGGGCATCTGCTGAGGGCCCACTCTTCATAGATGGTGCCTTGTTGCACGTCCCCCTCACATGGTGATAGGGGTAAGGAGGAAGCAGGCTCTCCCAAGCCTCTTTTATAAGGGTACCAATTTATTCTTGAGGGCTCCACCCTCATGACCTCATCATCTCCCAAAGGTCTGGCCTCTTAATACCAAAACGCTGGGGTTGATATTTTAACATGTGAATTTTGGAGGGACATTGACATTACAGACCACAGCACGGGGGGTGGGGGGTGGTTCTCCATGTGGCAGAAGACAGGAAAGAGGAGAGAGCTTATGCCACAGCCTTTACTGGAGTTTCAGGGTAAAGGCAAGGCAGAGTAGAGTAGGGTAAACAGTTTAGAACTGGCTGGTTTGAATACTTTCAGTAGGCTCTAAGGTATAGGATTAATCCCTAGTTGCTTGATACCTGACAGTGGGAAATTAAGGCAGAGGAATATTGTCTCCTGGGGTATATAGCCAGATAAAGGAGGTATGGCTCTGGATTGGGTAATTTGCATACCAAAGGTGTTCTCCCTGCTGAGGTTTTTGCTGTCTGTAAGGATTGGCAGCCCCTGGAGGGCCATCTCTCCCAAGCCATAAACTTTTTTTTAAGATGTCGAAATATCATAGTACTCAGAAAAATTTGAAATATATATATATATATATATATGTATAAAACATCCTCTTACTTGGCAGCATTTACAATGTTTGATCATTATTTTTCAGCTTTGTCTTCAATGCACTCATTTTACCTCAGTGGTGGTTACTCCATCCCATTCTCCACTGCTGGCTACTCTCCTTGAACTTTTAATGTCGAAGTGTTCAGGGCTCAGCCCACTGTCCTCTATTATTTTTCATTTCTATTCACTCTCTTAGTGATTTAACCCAGTCCCATGGTTCTAGATATCTTCATATCTGTATCTTTAGTCCAAATCTGTCTTCTTAACTTTAAAATATAACTAGCTGCCTTTGTCATTTCCACTCAGATGGCTAACAGACACTTCAAATTTAAACATTCCCAGTTGAAATTTTTATCTCTCCGTTTCTGATCAAATTTGCTCTAGCTCTACCTATAGCCTTCCCTAACTCAGTCAGTGGCAACAAATTGCTCCGAGTTGGTCAAGTCAAAATTCATGGTATCATCCTTGACTTCTTTCTTTCCTACCCTACATTCAGACTCATCAGGGAATCCAATCCTCTTGGCTGTGTCTTCAAAAATATAACCAGAGTCTAACCACTTGCTACATCTCTGACCTGAGCCACCATCGTCTTCCACTTGGATCAGGGCAGCGTTCTGTTTACCAGTCTCACTGGTTCTTATCTTCACCTCCCTAGAGTGTATTCTCAACTGAGCAGAAAGAAGAATCCTTTTAGGATGTAAGTCACATTATATTCCTCTCCTGTTATATGTAAGGCCCTAGAATAGTTCCCTACTTCACAAAAAGTAAAAACCAAAATCTCTATCAAGTAATAGTAGTCATTGCCCTGGCAGTGTTTCAATTAAAAGAGTTTAACGACTGGTTCATTTTATAGAGGTGTGGACAGTGTCAAGGAAACAGAAAAGAACAAAAGAACATGAAGCATCCAGGTACTATCAACAGTGGGAAGTCCTAACTACCCTAGTCCTGCAGGGGCAAGGTGAGCGAATAGTGCTATCAGCCCTGGAAATTGCTGGGCACTGTAGGAGAGGGGCTGTCAATAGAAGCTCTAACTGTAGAGTGCACACACTTCTCTCACTATGGTGAGGCACCATAAATGTGGTGAGGCAGAGGGAGAGTGAGGAGAATGAATATCCAACCTATTTTTTCTTCACATCCCAGCCAAATACTTGGCATTGTTAGTCTTTTTTATTTTAGCTATTGTGGTGGTGATGTAATAGCATCCCATTGTGGTTTTATTTTGCCTTTTCATGGAAACTGATGAAGTTGGACATCTTTTGACAAGCTTGTTGCCCATTTGGATATCCTCTTTTATAAAATGCCTGTTTAAGTGTTTTGTTCATTTTTCTTTTTGGTTGTTTTTTTTTTTTTTTTTTTTTAGATTTCTACAATTCCTTTACATGATTTGGTTGCCAGGCTTTTTAAAGCTGTGTGTATTGCAGATATCTTCTTCCATCTCTTACTGGTCTTTTTTCTTTCTTTCTTTCTTTTTTTTTACTGGCCAGATTTCTTTAATTTTAATGTAAGGTGATTTTTTCTTGTTTTTCCTCTATGATTAATATTTTTTATGTCTTGTTTAAGAAACATTTGTCTATCCAATGTTATGAAAATAGTCTTGTAGAAGCTTTATTGCTTTTTCACTTTCAGATTTATATTTACGATCAACCTGGAATTGATATTTGTGTAGTGGGGAGGGTAGAAATCAAGACTAGTTATTTTTAATTTGGATAACTAGGTAACCTAGCATATTTCTCTGCTGCTCTGTAGCATTACCCTTGTAAATAAATCATGTCTCTATACGGTTTCTTTCTGGACTCTGTTTTACGATTGTATGCTCTCTGGCATTAGTATCACACTGCCTGAAATTCTGAAGTTCCATAGTATCTTTTCTTTTCCTTGTTTTTTTTTTTTTTTTTGAGACAGAGTGTCATTCTGTCACACAGGCTGAAGTGCAATAGTGCAATAATGGCTCACCACAGCCACAATCTCTCAGGGTCCAGCAGTCCTCCCACCTCAGTCTCCTGAGTACCTGGGACTACAGGTACTCACCACTACACTTGGCTAATTTTTGTGTTCTTCTGTAGAGATAAGGCTTCACTATGTTGCCCAGACTGGCCTTGAACTCCTGGGTTCAATTGATCCTCCTGCATCAGCCTCTGAAAGTGCTGGGATTATAGCTGTGAGCCACCATGCACAGCTTCATTGTACCTTAATATTTGACAGAAATACCTACAGTTTGTTCTTTAATATCACCTTGAATATAGATATTGAGATTCCATTGAATCTAAAAATTGATTTGGGGAAAACTGATATATTAGCAATAATGGGCTTTCTATTTTGGCCTTATAGCATTTATCCTATTATATAATCATTTTTAAGTTTTTCTTTTTGTGTAGAGACCTTGCATATCTTCCTTTTCGGTACCTAGGTATGAGACATTTTGGAAGCTATGGCAAAGGATATTTGTTTTTGCATTTCATTGTCTTTTTTTTTCTGTGTATAGTATTCTAGGTTGGCATTTATTTTCTATATTCTAAAGATTTTTTTCCATATTACCCTCTGTTTTTTATTACATCCACTATCAATCTTATTGTTGCTTCTTTGAACAAGAAATGATTTTCACTGTTAGCATTTAAAATTCTGTCTTTGGGGCCGGGCACGGTGGCTCACTCCTGTAATCCCAGCACTTTGGGAGGCCAAGGCAGGGGGATCACGAGGTCAGGAGATTGAGACCATCCTGGCTAACACGGTGAAACCCCGTCTCTACTAAAAATACAAAAATTAGCCGGGTGTGGTGGCGGGCACCTGTAGTCCAGCTACTCGGGAGGCTGAGGCAGGAGAATGGCGTGAACCCAGGAGGCGGAGGTTACAGTGAGCCGAGATCACGCCACTGCACTCCAGCCTGGGCGACAGAGCGAGACTCTGCCTCAAAAAAAAAAAAAAAAAAAAAAATTCTGTCTTTGGATTTCAGTAGTTCTATTATGGTGTAGTATTTTAGATGTAGCTTTCTTTGTGTTTAATCTGTTTGATGATCATAGCAATTTTTGAATCTACAGCTTGATGCTTTTTGTTATCTTGGAAAATCCTAGAAAACTACTTCTTTAAATATGCCTTTTTCTTTATAGTCTCTATCCTCCAGTTAAATATATATTAAACATTTGCAGTATCTGCTCTATATCTCTATGTCACTTTTCCAATCATCTATGTCTATTATGCTTTTTTTTTTCTAGTTTTCTCTGGATGTTTTCTACTGATCTGTCTTCCAGTTCACTAATCCTTTCTTTAGCTCTAATATTATTAATTCCATATATTGAGACCTATTTTCAGTTATTACATTTTACAGTTCTCAAATTTCTGTTTTGTAAAATAAATTCTATTCTTTGCTCAAATTCTTCATCTTCCTTTCTGTTTTCTCAAACATACTAGTTGTAGTACTTTAACAATACCTATTTCTTTTTTTTGAGGCAGAGTCTTGCTATGTTGCTGAAGGTGGTCTTGAATTTCTGGGCTCAAGAGATCCTCCCAGTTCAGCTTCCTGAGTATACAATACCTATTTTAATATCAAGCACAACTGAAGTTTCATTTTTATTGTCTATTTTTTCTATTTTTTTGTTAGTCTTATTTGTGGATATTTTTCTTATTTGCTGAAAACTTTTGATTGAATGTTTGATGTTTTATTTAAAAATTATAACTGTCTAGACTATGCAGTTTTGCCTTTCTAGAGAGGATTCAGTGTATCCTCTGGTAATCAGCCAAAAGGCAGACAGATCACTCCAGTTCCATTAGAATATGACATGGCTAGAAGCTTTTCTGAAGCCTGTGTGTATCAGTCTGGTATGGCCTACCCACTTTCCTTGGGAGTTGTCTTTCAGGATACCCATTCAGAGCCTATGAATTTATGAGATTTTTTTTCTTTGGTGGGTTCTGAACTTCAATTTTTGTAACCTCTGCACTATGAGACTGTTGCATACATTCTTGTGCTTTTCAGAAGATATTTGCTTGGCTTCTTTGCTTCTTACCATGGATAATTTGAAAACTTAGTGCCTCAAAAGGAAAACCTTAAGTATCAGGGAACCTCATTTCTCTCTTGTTTTGTGTACCCTCTGTCCGTGATCTTAGCCCCTCAAATCTGACTGCCTTTAAAGGCCCAAACTTTAATGTTTTGTCTCTCCAGCTCTGTGAAAATGCTGGCAGTCTCACTTTTGTTAACTCTGTTGTTTTCTGCCTGGATTTTCAGCCTCTTACCTATCCAAGGACTATCATATTATATTACCCAAGGGAAAATGTTGCTCTCATAATGTCTGCTCACCTCTCTTACTTTATGTTTCTGCCCAGGATCTTGGCAACTGAAAGCTTGGCTGTCTCTATGGTTATATCTTCAAATAGGTGTTTGTTGCTTTTCGTTTCATCTCATATTTTCTAGTTGTTCTCAGTGGGAACATTGTTTTGTCACAAGCTATTCCATCATGGTCAGAAGTGGAAGTTGCTAAGTCAACTACCTTGATAATTATTGTGCCGTTAGTATGGCTTAGTGACTAAGGGAACACATTTTTGTTTGGATAGGCCTTTGGTTTAAATTCCTCTTACTATGTTTGAGATACCGTTCCATTGAAAACTTAGTTTTATCACCTGTAATCAGAAAAAAAAAGACCTTTTTTTAGAGGACTCTTAGGAGGATTAATTGGAAAATATTCACCTAAAGTACTGATTACAATAACCATCACATAGTAAATTTAGTAAATATGTCTCAAATGATACAGAAACCTTATGGAACCTGTAAGGTTAAATCATGCATTTCTGAAAGTAGTAATAATATTTACTTTACTTCCAGTGGGTTAATATGAACCAAATTATTTGAAGATATTTCTATTAAATATTGATTACGTGAAAGAATATAACATATACTTAAGATCTATAACAATAAATGAATGCCAGTGTACCGCTACTCAAGTTAAAAATAAAATACTACCAGTCCCATTGAGTTTTATGTATATGTATTCCTTATAAATATTTCATTGAGTTTTTGCTTTTGAAATTTATGTAATTGGAATGATGTTCTATGCACCTCTTTGCAACTTGCATTATTATAACTTGCTTTATCTTAATATCATCTCTGTGATTCATTCATGTTAACTATAGTTTTTTTTCATTTTCTCTTATTTTCAATGTGGTGAGATTATGTTGTATAATATCTCCCAAATATGCATTTATTATTAATAGAAATGGCGTGCTTTTTGATCTTTCACTTTTGGTCCTTTTTCCTTGGAATTGTATTTGGGAATTAGTTGAAGATGAATTTCTCTAGAGCAGCTTTTTGTTTGCTTGTGCTCCGCACCTGTGGACACTATAAATAGAGACCACTTTCAAAGGTATTTTTGGCTTAAGTCTGCTCGAACCACACAGATAGTGTTACTTCAGACCACAACTAGGATGAGAGCTTTCTCCTGATTATATCCCAAGGAGGAGATTTCTTTCTTCCTTTTACCCAGAGCAAATGTTGAGACAGGCAAATTTCCTTGCAGTCTCCTTCTGTAGATCAGAGTTATTTTTCTAGTTTGCCCTTATATTGAGAGGACACTATAGATTTGTTCTAGCTTAACTTAGGGAACTACTATTAGACTCTTTAAGAGAGCTCTGGGCTCTGTTGCCTGTTAAACTGTCAAGTTCAAAGCCCAGGTTCACCAGCTGGAGCAACTGTTCCAGGGTGAATATGACTTAGTGTTGAATACTCTCTGAATTATTTCACTTTATTTTTGCACCCCTAGGAATACTTTACCTTCTTAATAGATCTTTATATGCAGACACACATATGTTTAAACATATGGAAGTACATATGTGTGCATGTATGTAGATAAATAGATAGATGCACTTTTTCAGAAAGAGTCTTCTACCGAACTGTTAGAAACAGAAATGTCTTAAGTCTGATTTGTGCTGCTGTGACAGAATACCTAAAACTGGGTACATGATGAAAAATAGAAATCTAGTTTTCACAGTTCTAGAGATTGAAACGTTCAAGATCAAGTTGCTGGCAGGTCAGGAGCCTGGTGAGGGCCCCGTCTCTGCTTCTAAGGTGGCGCTTTGAAGGCTGCGTCCTCTGGAGGGGAGGAATGTTGCTCCTCACATGGCAGACGGACAGAAGAGCAAAGAGATAGAACCCATGATACATGAAAGCCCTTTTGTAAAGGCATTAAACCCACCAATCTGGGCAAAGGCTTCATGACCTAATCACCTCTTAAAGGCCCCACCTCCCCCCATATTCTTACATTGGCAATTAGAATTCAACATGAGTTTTGGAGGGGACATTCAAACTATACCAAGAAATAACTGATTCAGTTTTTATAAGAAATTTTAGAACTGTCCCTAAGACCTGGTGAGTTTCAGGCCTCATGTTCTGAGCCTACATCTGACATCAGCTACCATAGTATCCGCTGTGCAGGCAGAGCCTCTTCAGTCATAGGTATGGGGTGAAACAGATTTCCACCTCTTCCCTGAGCTTCGCTGGCACAGAATAAATGCATTCTAAAGAAAACTGATACGTCAGAGACATCTGAGCTTACTCTTAATTGCTTTCTTACCTTTCTCTGTCTTGGGCCAGATTTTCTTCCAGGCTGATGGCTTCTTCCAACTCTGAATTCTAGCACTCTCTGCTGTTTCATTTTGTATTCCATGCCTTCGTCTCTTCTCTGATCCCTTCCATCTGCCTGAAAGCACTTCCTTTTTATTATTTCTGTGTCCTATAATAATAAAGTTAACAAAAGTGTTAAGTATATGTTTATTTTTCCAAGGTTACATAGGCACATGTATAATGTAGGGAAACTGGCTGACAATCAGAGACAGAAGACACATACACGTGGGCCCACACACATTCGTTCACTGTTGTCCTTAATGCAGTATTCAACATTACAAATTACTGTAATCTTAATAAAACTGCGACATTGTTTTCCTTGTTTATTTAGGGAGCACCTTTAAAAATCATGTATTTGCTGATTTATTCATTCACTATTGTCCTTAATGTAGTATTCAACATTCCAAATTCCTGTAATCTTAATAAAACTGTGACATAGTTTCCTTGTTTCTTTATTTAGGGAGCATCTATAAAACTCATTATTTACTCCTCAGAAAACTTGCATGGGCATATAGTTATGAACCAGTTTGAATATTATGATTTTATATTCACAATATTTTTATACTTATGATCCTAGGCTAAGGATATTTATATTAGAATGTTCGCTGAGGACTTAAATAAGTTCTCACTGATACTTACACTGAATATTATCTCAATGTACTTGAGAGAAAAGGTATTGCAAGTAAAGGTAAATATATGAGTACATCAATTGTATAATTTAATTTTCTCACAATTTTAGGACAATTTTGTATAGGATCTATAATCATATACTTTTTTAAATATTCACTTGCTTTTATTAAATCAATCACAAGAAAATACAGAACGTTTTCCCCTTCCACTTCTGAAGTGGAGGAAATCACTTCAAATTCATGGGATCTTTGAACTTTGCCCATTGGGCCAGACTTGCAGTATCATAAACTTCTTTTTCCTACCTATGTATGATTTTGCCATGTGCGAAACAATCATTGCTAGTACCACGAGTGAGTGATGATAAGCTTAGAATACATCCAGCTAAGATCAGTGCCATTTGAAGCTCCCTCAATATCGCATTTCTTCGGTTCTTTAAAAAAAATTCATTGTTTTGGAGTCAGCATATTATTAATGAATGGAGTATTTGAGGGGAATAAATATGACTTTGGCAATATCACATGCATGGGAAAAATTGGCTAGAGAAAGGGCTAAGTCTTTCATTCTGTGTTTTAGAGAACAGCTTTAGCTCGTATGAAAAAATTCTGGCATAGATATGTGAGGGGGAGTGTTGGATAAGAAAAGGAAAGAGAAAAAGCTTGCTGTGGAGTGGAATTCTCATCACATTTCTTTCTTACCTACTACTCTGGGGAAACTTCAGTTACAGGGCTGATAAATATTTATTAAGAATATATAGACAGTATAACCTAAAAACATTGGAAGATATTTTAGCGAGGCTTGAGTCAGATTAAATCTACCAACCGCTAAAAGATGGCTTTGCCTAGAGAAATTCTTTTTTCTTTGGGAGCAGCTATTAGGGAAAAGCCTATTGCCTAATATCTTAATTGAAACCTATGCATAAAATTCAATTAAAAATGGCCTATATTTTGAATTGTTTTTCAAGTTACAGAAGAACTTTAAGATCTTTGTAGGTAATTTCTAAAAAGCATAAATATCTTAAAATATATATCTGTACTATCACCATTAAAACTTACCATTCTTTGCTCTATATTTTCCAAAGCTATATTCAGAGAAAATAAAACCTATTATTTCATAGCCTGCTTTAAAAATATCTCTTAAAATACGCTATTTTTCATCTCCTGATCTATCCCTCAAGAATATGATTTTAAAACTGCATTACCTCATTTCGACTTATTTGTTTTATGTCCTCCTTGTTATTAACTATTTTTAATTTTTTCTGTGTAAAAACACTTATTTCTTTACATATTTTCTCTAAATTTGGAAGCTATGCCTTCGTCAATGATACCATGTTAACATTTTAAATTTTTAAAAATATTTTAATATATTTTATTCAAACAGTCCCAATAATTAAATTTATTTCACTGGCAAATGCGATATAAACCAATTGCTGCATCTCTCCTCTCCAAAAAGCATGTCTTGTTCTAGTGATGTATTTGGAGATAGAAGACTTAAATTATTTTATTTTTTTTTACTTTTTAAAAATGAGAAATGAAAACTCGGCTATATGCATGGTGTACACTGTGACGTTTTGATTGAAGTACATTGTGGAATGATTAAATCAAACTGATTAGCACATTATCATCTCACATACTTATCATTTTTTGTGATGAGAATGTTTGAAATCTACTCTATTATTATTTACCATAGTCACCATGAGTATATTACATCTTCAGAAATTATCCCTTCTGTCTAATTGAAACTGTACCCTGTACACAACATCTCCCCGTTGACCACCCCACCAGTCCCCGAGCCCCTGGTATCCACCATTCTACTCTCTGCTTCTATCATTTGATTTTTTTAAATTTCTACATTTAAGCGTGATCATGCATATTTGTCTTTTTGTGCCTGGCTTATATTGCTAAGCATAATGCCCTTTAGTTTTATTCATCTTTTTGCAAATGGCCGGATTTCCTTCTTTTTTATGGTTGAACAAAGTACCTTTTTTCCCCCCACTGTCCCAAATATATGGGCTCAACCCCCAAATTGGCAGGTCTAAGAAGTCTTTCCAAAGGGTAGTCTATTACATTTAATTTCTAAACATAAGTTGAAGAAAAGAAAATTTATCCTGACAGTTCCAAAGTTCAATAAAAAGTATAGTTTTTGAGTTTTTACTTCAGTAAGGTATTATTTTAGTTTCTTAGCTTTTCAGAAAGTCTCAGTCTTTTCAATGGGAAACTCTCTTAGGGCATTTAAAATATAATTTGCTAACAATGAACTTTTAGATGAGTAATCGTGGCTGCTATCACTGGCCCTGGATGGCAGTGGGATGAGCTTGCAATGCCAAGGATACAGCTGAGCAAATGCCACTGGAAGCTAAATAACATGAAAGAAACCAGGGTTTTGTTGTTTACAATGGCCATGTGATGGTATGAGTACAGGAAAGGGCTAGAACCTGGGCATCTGAGGAGAAAAAGCATTGACAGCATGGATGTAAATGACGACTGGTATTTGAATGCAATGTGGGGCCAGAGGTAGACATCATGGAAAAGTATCAGACTTTGCATACAGGACACAAACTAAAGTAATCACTAGGGTTAGAAGAGGAGCCCACTTTCTGGAGATAGGTTACTCAGAGCAAGAAATGCAGCAAGTCAGAAAGCTGTCGATTTGGGAAGCTACTTATTAATGTACCTTACATCCTCCCTGACAACAATCGAGATTGATAACCACATTTAATTCAGTTCTAGTCAGTAAGACGGAGGTTTTCTAGCACCAGCTGCCAAGATTAAAAAATGTGCATGTCCTAGCTCTGGGAAGTGTCTGGTATGATTGATGCTTGGTACTTGTTCATCTAAATATGAATTTACTACTGGGAAAGAAATTAAACTTCTAGATATTCATTTGGTAGATCGGTGAGGTGACTGAAGTGTGGCAAACCTCACAATGATTATGAATAAACTTTATTAAGAAAAACTGAGGCAATTAACTTATTTGTTCTTCAAAACTGAGGAAATATTTGTCCTCACATATATGATAGAATATTGTTTGCTGCTGGTAACCAATCTTTGCTTTCTTCTACTAACAACTTGTTTGTCAATATGTCTTATTTCTCACTCTAATAAGACTATGTCTAAATAACTTCTCTCCTAAGGGTTAAAAATACAAAGAATTTTCACACATAACCAAGTAATAAAGAATGTATATTATTGAATGAATGAGTAATTTACAAAAGAAAGTGTTGAGAAGTAGAATACATAATTTCAGATTTATGAAATATGAAATTTCAGATTCAGGATCTGTCCAGTGGAGTTGTGTTTTTACTTTTATGGGGATTAAGTCAAAGGCAGTATATTAAATATAATGGAATAATATTCCCCCAAAACATGGTAAATCTATACTTTCCCTGAATATAAATTTTCCTTTAGGACACCAAATCTTTAATTAGGTTAATTATAATTTCAGGTAGATTAAAGAGGACTATTTCTCTTTAAACATAAGGATAATTATATGAGAATTAAATCTGTGAGAAAGAATTGGAACCTGAAAAAGACAATGGAGAAAACTAGCAGACGGTATGTTCAACTAGAAGAAAGAGAATTTAAAAGTTAAACCCAAGGTGGTGAATAATCACAAAAATTGTTAATGAAGAGCACTTTTTTTTTTTTGCTGATGTTCTTTAAAGTTTTTTAGCCCTGGTAATACATATTTAGAATTATTTTAGAATTTGATTATCTATGACTGTACCAATATTATTGTGTTAGCAGTATGAGTCTTGCTTTCTATTATTGAAATCGTTGTTAACAGATCAAATTACCCATTATAGTTTTATGCTCTGTGCATACAGTGGCATGACTTAGATTAGAAGAGGTGGATAATGTTGTTCTCATATTGATATTATAAGCTTTTATCACAGATCTAGGGACCTTTGTCTTCTAATTCTTGTGTGTTTATTATTGCTTATTCCATTCAATTGGCATGTAATTGAAATGGAATTGAAGACAAGTACACATGTGTGTTCCTTTATGGCCCCTAACATTCACTGTTTAGTTATATAGGTCTAGATTATGAATGGTGCCTAGAAAAAAAAGTATGAATAAGGAATAATTAATAATGAATACTTATTTCCATCACCTGTTAACATACTCTGTCCATTTATTCCTCATTTTACCGTCTACATTTAAGTTCTCTTTTCTAGCCACCAAGCATTATTGTCTAGCTACCATCTACTGAGTGTTTAATATATGTCCAGAATTGAGCAGAGTGCTTTGTATGTAATTCATATAACCAATCTAGCAAACATCCTTGATTTTTCATTTTACCTAGTTGCCTAAACCTTCCAGCAATCTATTAGGAAGTCAAAAAGCTTCTCTTCCTCTGAAATATATTCCAAATCCATCCATTTCACCTGTTATTCTTCTAGGCTAAGCTGTCATCATCCTTTGCTCTGGTGATTGCAATAGAACCTAATTGTCCTATCTTTTTCTTGCTTTACACCCTTAAAATCTAATCTACTTCTTGAAATCAGGGTGTGTTTCATTGTAAATGAGATAATATCATTTCTACATCTTAACCTAGCAGTGACTTCTTTCCATCATATCTGGACTAAAATCCAAACTCTGTATGGATGATAAGACCTATCAGAATTGGAGTACGTTTTTTTCATCCCCATCACATGCCATGCCCGTTCTTTTCAAAAGGCTACGGCTCTTTCTTGTCTAACATGTAAGCACATTCTTTTCAAAGAGCCTGGAATGTTCTTCCCTAGATGGGCATGACTGGCTCTTTTTTGTGGAGGTCCCAGCTACCAATTCCTTAAGGGAATCTACCCTTCCTTATCTGTTCTAAAGTAGCCACCCAGTTTCTATCATGACCCTCAGTTTATTGTCATCAACACTTCATTTTCTTCATTTATTGTTTATTCCTTAATTGATTCTACTTCTTTAGTAGAAATTCCAGAAGCTTTAAAGTGTTTTGTTCATAGCTGAATGCCCAGAACCTAGACTAATTTTTGACATTCAAAAAATAGCTTATAAGCATTTAGTACATTTTATTAAATAAGAAAATAGTATCTCCTCTAATCTCAGAATATTATAAATTTATATTGTTATTATCACTTAATAGATTTAAAAAGTCATGAATGTGGGAGATAAGCCCAGGGTTATCCAGTTATTTCAGTGGCAGAGTCAGAATTTGAGCTCATGTGTTTCAGACCTTAGAACTTTACCTATAGTCTTTGATGTCTACATCACATTATGCTCCCTCCCATGTACCAAATTATTCTCTTAACTTACTATATCAACTAATATATCTATAAAATAATCTCTGGCATAGGAATATAGCATTCATATAATAAATCATTACTGTAATGCGTTGACAATGCATTACAGTAAATAATGCATTACTTAACCTGATACATTATTCAGCTGTTTAGATGAGTCATCAACCTAAAAATATCTGACTGGCTGTACAGTAATGTGGTAATACATTCATCATAGAGAAATTAACGTATGGGTTGAATATTCATAGTGATATGAATACAAATATGTGTATCAGTAGGATTATGGATGTATGATAGTTTAGTATTTACCTAGCATGTCAATGGATGATAACAATTATCTGCAAATATTTCTGAGTGTTTTAATTTGGGTTTCCCTAGAAGTAGACTTTGAGACAGGGAATTGAGGCAAGGAGTCTATCTGGGAGGCAATCCCAGGGCACTTTGGCAGGAAAATGGTAAAATGAGACAGGATGGGAGAGGACCCAATAAATGGTATGTTATCAAGCGAGCTATCGTTATGGGTATCTGGAGTTTAATTCTACAGGGGACTCTATGAAACAGTGTAGAACACACAACTCAGACTTATCCTGACCAAGATGCAAGGGAGCTGGGTATTTATACAAAAAGTCTTGTTAAACTTTGGCTTAGGGCTGCTCTGGGGAGCATAATTACTTGTCTCCTGTCTGCTGTAAGTGGGCAGCATGGGTTCTGGCAGTAAGAGCAAAAACTCAGGGAATAAAGTGGAGATGATAACAGTTGAAAGTTGGACTGGTATCTACTGAAATACTGAGACCATGGACAGCTCGCAGGCTATTAACAAGGTCTTCTAAACTACTCATATATGCATGGTAATCTGCATGCATTTCTGAATGTATACATCTATACGAATTGGAACCAACAGATGAAAGTAACTACATGAAAACTGTGAAATATAGAAATTACTTACCTGTAATAGGACAGATAGAATATACAGACAATGCTCTTAAGTTCATGGGTTTCTATTTGAATGTATATGTTGGTGCAGACCCTGTGACAATCTGTATTTTCAGGAATTGTAGGTATATTTGAGAAAGTTATATTTTTATGTAATATATAACAGTTCTCTTTAGGACTTATCAGTGGATATCCTAAGAAACTTTTAAATATTTTCCTATGTTTATTCATCCCACTTCACACTGGTATAGATAGATAGTTTTTTGATAACTCAAATCTACCTGTGGTAAGCAGAATAATGGCCCCCAAAGATGTCCACAACCTACTCCCTGGAACCTGTGGACTTGTTACCTACATGGCAGAAGGGGTTTTGCAGGTGTGGTTAAATTAAGGATCTTGAGATGGAAAGATTATGATCCTGGATTATCTACATGGTTCCAGTGTCTTTACAGGCTCTTTATAAGTGAAAGAGAGAGGATGTGGAGTCAGATTCAGAATGGTGTGATGTGAAAAAGACTCATCTGGTCATTGATGGCTTTGAATGTGGAAGGAAGCCATGAGCCAAGGAGAGCATGGAGCTTCTAGAAGCTAGAAAAGGGAAGAAAGTGTATTCTTCTCCAGAGCCCCTTACAGGCTTTGCCAGACACCTTGATCGTAGCCCAGTGAAAACCATTTTGGACATTTCACCTGCAAAGCTGTAAAAAAAAATGCATTTCTAATGTTTTAAGCAACTAAACTTGTAGTACTTTACACCAGCAGCAATGAGAAACTAATGAGCTACCTAATAAACACAGAGGTAAAGTCACCTCAAGTAAAAAAAAAAAAAACAAGTTAAGACCTATGTTTTAAAGGTCATAGCAGTATTTCCACTGTCCGTATGTCACTGCAGTGATAAATGCTGTGTTTTGACCATTGAAAGAATTCGAAATTCGAGTAAGCAAAACTAAGTTGGAATTCTGCCTAATTACTCTCTATTTAACCTCAGATAACTTTTAATTTCTCTTTGCTTTATGTTCATCATCTGGAATATGGTTACAGTAATAATATTCTGACTTCCCTCATGAGTTCATTGTAAGTATTAATTTGAATAACCTAGGCGAAAGGACGTTGTAGTCTGCAACATAGTACATGCAATTTTATTTGGCTTTGTTAGCAAATAATAGTGCTAAAAGAAATCAGATATCCAAAAGACATAAATTAAACCACATAATCCTAGTCAATTTGTAGATTTCTGAGTATTTCTGTATCAAACTGGCAAGTATATGCTATATTTATGATGAGTAAGTCATAACAGTTAAAAGATTGACTATTAATTGAGAGTAAAAATTGTCCTTGTTATTGTCTTATGCATTTTAATTTGCATTTTCTGTGCCTTAAATAGAAATATTTTAAAACAATTCATGTATGCAGGAATAAAAGCACTTTAGTGGACTATTAAATGGTAAACTTCTCCACATCATTCATGAGGGAGGAGTTATAAAACTGTTCTAACTCTCAATTTCCTAAAACTTTGGTAAAATAATATTCTATCTCATATTCTCCCTTCTGTATGTCTTTATGTTTGCAAAGATTCTTTGGGGCACAGAAATAAACAAATCATCCCTATGAAAGGGTCATCGTAGCTGCCAGTGACCAAAAGAGCTGCCTGCTGAGCAGTTTCATACTGTTACTCCAGCTGCCATGGACTCATGCGTGAGGAATTCACACAGCTAATCAATTCCATAAGGTGCAGTTGCTGGCTTCTCTCTTCTTAAGCCTGTACATAAGGAATTGGCACTTGAGTGTTTCATCCTGTGGACTCTACATCATTCCTTCACACCCTCTGCCATTTCCTGGCCCTCCCCAAAATAGACCCAAAGCAAAACAATAATAAACAATTTGCTGTTTGATTTTTAGTCAGCACTACCATTCACCAGCCCTTAAGAATGCCACAGCAGCTGCCTGTCACTGACTGTTTCAGCAGGATCAGGCTAGAGGTAGGAGAGGCGGGGCAAAATTTCTCCTCCTTGTAGGTTTTAGTTAATTGCTGTCAATGACAACTAGCAGTTGTGCACCTGTTTCCATGCATTTAGTTTCTACCCTCCATCAATAAATTCTAACAATTATTTATTGAACATATTCTATAGTTTTGGTCCTTAAAATAACATCTGATTATAGGTACTGTTGTTATCAAATGAGGAAGCAGACTTCACAAATAGCAACTGGGCCACAAATCTTGCTACCAAGTGTCCTAGCCAGTGGTCTTGGAAGTCTAGGCTCTTTCCCTATAGCCCCCCTGATTTTATTAGCCAAGTTCTAATTCTAACATGGGAAAGTCCTATTTCTTAGTTATGTGTGATGTAACTTAGATTTGTGTGTAAGTTATTATTTCTTAGTTTTGTGTGATATAACTTACATTATCATGTACATGTGCACATTTACATCTTACATGGGAAATTTTAATCAGAGGATGTCTTCATCTTTGCGTCACTACTGAATTGACTAAAGACTCACTCAAAGACATTTCCGTTTTAATAGTGAAGAGAAGGAAGTGATTCTCTTTGCATCTTATCCCTTCATCCTACAGGCATTGTGCTCCTACTGAACACTGAAGAGTAGTTTTGTTGGCAGTAACCTTAGAACGTTTGGAGTCAAAAGTTGTTGTCTCTATTACACTCAGATTGTAGAAAGTCAGCAGGCCATTCGGAGTGCCAATATGAGCTATGTAAAAGTCATCTCAAGACTGGAGGAAGAGTGACTCTTGAGGCCTTTATTTTCCATATAAATTGTGCCCTCTGTTTCCTAGCACCTTTCAGGATCCGGGGCAGCCTGTCTGCCATTTTCCACTTGTTTAGGGCTTTAAAATCGTAAAGAACTTCATTAACTCCATGAAGGCCTTCAATTTAATATTGAGGATACTGGAGTATTTATCACAGAAAAGATACAGCTCAAAAATTTTAACGCAATTTCATGGAAAATTAAAAAAATAACTATTACATTTTGGTAAGACTTGTATACTGAATTTTTCAGAATGTAAGCTAAATTGGGTTTAATCTTATATTTTATAAAAACAAAGAAATATGAAATTTATCCATTTATTTTTTTTTTCTTTATGACATATTCCAAATATACAGAGGAGGACAGAGACCTAAAAGCCTCAGGGACCCATGGTGGGGCTCTATCAAATTCTTTCATTTTGCCTTATGTTTCCAGATATTGTTATGAGAAAAAAACTTACAGGTAAATTGAAGACCCCCATATAAGCCTTCAGAAATCTCATTCCCCTTCCTCCACCAAGTTAACCAATATTCTGAATTTAGTATTTATATTTTTATGCTTTTTTTTTACGTTTACACATATCATTGATCTATCCAACTTTTTGTAAATTATGTTGTGCTGAACATACATTCTTCAACATGTTATTTTCTGTTTTTGTTTATGTTTTATTTTAGGGATTAAGCCTTGTTGATGCCTATAGCTTTAATATATATGTAGAAATCTGTTGTATGACCCATGGGTTAGCAATTCTCTGGTAAAGGATATTCCATTTTCTTCAAACATTTTGCTGCTGCAATTAGTACTGTAGTGAACATTTTGATGTTTCCTTATAAAAAGAATGGTGGTCTTTTTAGTTTGTAGGAATTCTTTGATCATTCTATTAATCCTTTGTCAATTATGTGGTTGAAATGCCTTGAATTTTCAAATTTATTTGTATGAAAATACTGACAGTAGTCCCTTATGATTTTTGCCATCCATTCTATAAAGAGCTATTCGCGTTTCAATTCTAAAATTCTTTGTAAGTTTTCTCTTTCATTCTTGGAAGACTGTTTGTTTACTCTTTAGTCTCTTCAAAGAATTTTGTTTGGTTTTTTGGCTCTCTCTATTTCTGTGTTTATATTTCACTATTTTATACTGTTGCTTTGATTAAATCCTTCCTTTTAGATTGTTTAAGTACATTTTCATTCTTTTTCTAACTTCTTGAGTTGAATTACCTTAAATTTATTATTCTCAGTCTTATAGTTTTTAATAAATGTATTTCATTTATTAAATAAATGTATCCATTTCTCTTTTAACTTCTTCCCACAAGTTTGGAAAAGTATTCCTTTTATTGTAAAGTTCTGGTTCTCTTTCTTTTTTTTCTTTTTGTCCTATTGGGATTTCCTGTTATAACCCATGGGCTACTGAAGTTTTCAAACGTATAGAAATTTTTTGCAGAAAGTTTTTGCAGTATCTATTAATTAACGATTTCTATTGTAACATCATGGTAAAAAAACATTGGTTCTGTAAGATACCAATTCTTTGAAATTGTTTGTGATCTTTTGGAACCCAGCTGGTGGTCAGTTTTCATAAATAGTTTTTGTGTATCTGAAAAAGATGTCAATCCAGACAGGATTTTATATGTATACCTATGAGAAGAAACTTGTTAAATTTATGTTAGATCTTTTCTATTTTACTAAATTCCTGCTTCCCCTGAAGGGTTTAGGTATGCAAGTCCTTTAGAAATCTAAAGGTAGTAATGTTAGGTTTATAATTGAAATGGCTTCTCAGTGGACTCTACGTCTTTTACTGTATTGTGAACCCTTTGATGCATTGTTTTACATTTTTTTCTTACTGGCATTAGTATTACTACATATATAAATTTTTTTCAAGTTAGTATCTATATAGTATATTTTCTTCAGTCTCTATTTTAAACTTTCAAAACAAATATAGTTTTGTTTTAGGTTATTCTTGTAATCATCATGTAGTTTTATAAAAATCTAATTTGATTATCACTAATATGTGAGTTTGATAAATCCACATAGTCATAATTACTGATATGTCACAACACAGTAAGGGCTGTGGTCTTCATTTATCTGAACAACTGCTTTACATTTAGTTTCAGAGATCGGAGTAATAATGAACCTTTCTGCATGTACCCAGTGTTATGACTCCTGTAAGGATTAATTTAAAAATGTTCAATATTTATTTTCCTTTTGGATTTTGCTGAAAATTTAATTTTAGAAATAAAAAAAATCTCTAGTTCTTTCAAATTTTCCATGAATTGAAGATTGTTTACCGATCTATTTTTTTAATACTGCATTTTGGCATAATTTTTTAATAAATGTTTACACTGTAATTTTCAGTAATTCAGTGTAAAGCTAACAGGTTTTTTTCAAAGATGAAGAGACACAATATGTTATAGAATATAGTACATGGTGGGACAGTTAAGTAGGGGTTCTGGAGTTTATTTTTGCTTCTGCTACTTAACTATGTTATTACAAAGAAAAAAATCATGTAAGAGACTCCGCCAAATTCTCTTCTGTATAACAAGAGGGAGTGACATACTATCTCAATTTCAGTTTTCATATTTAATGACTCACAATTGGATTTTTGGTATATATTTGACCACTTTCTAAGATTTTATTTTTTATGTTCTTGAAAATTTTATATTCTATAAATATTTTTGTATACATATGTACCTCACATTCAAGGTAAGAAATTCTTAAGTAATTGAACTTTGTGGCTATAATTAAATATATACACTAATAGATGACAGAATAAAGAAAATATTTTTATTCTGAGAGCCTAATTTTAGGTAATGAAAATCATTTTATGGGTAAATAAAGTACACATTTTATAGTGTGCTAAAAAATACACAAAATTTGACATTTAAAACAATAAAAAATATTAAATAACTTGGAATGAAAGGAGCATATCGAAGTATTTGTGAATAAATAATCTCAAATTGATTTTTTCCAACACTATAACATCTCTTTTCTGTTTAAAAGAAGTTTAATAGTTGGTTCAATCTTTTCTTTGAGTTTGTTTTTTATATTTTCCAAGCTTTTAATTGTCAGTGGAGGGAGAGGACTTGAGTGTTTTTAAGGTTTCCATCAACATCCATTCTCCTGTATTCATTGTTAGGCCAAAAGGACTCAACATCTTTGAGTCTTCCCTATTTGAGACCAAGTCTATACTCAGCTTCTAATTTCAGCTCTAGCTTCCATTCACTCTCAGTCTTTGTTAGCATTATCTAAGTTTAGGTTGAGATTATTGCATTATTGACTTGCATTATAAACTTCTTCTTTCAAGAATAATATGACCTTTTAATCTTGTTATATATGTTTACCCATCATTTACATAAATTTTTATTTTATATTCCATATGGTTTTATTCCAACAGTCTTTTGTAGTTAAATATTTTATACTCATTCATCATAAATCTTCAAGTAATTTTTAGAAGAATTTTGTAAAAGTATATGACTTTTTTAAATTTTGTGGGTAGACTATATCAATAAAATATTTAAATATATTCAGAAACTTCTTTTAAAGTTCATATCACTTTACTTTGGTAAAGAGTTTTAGCAAAAGCTTATAATTAAAATATGCGACAGTGCTCACAGAGCATTTCTGATTACTATCAGAAATAGGGGTTTATTCTGGAAAGTTGTTTTCCTGAAAGTCTTAATTGTAAAAAGTGCAGTTTAATACCTATTATATTCTTATGTGTATATTAATGCCAAATTAAGCAATCTTCCTCCCTTTCTTTCTTCCTTCTTTCCTTTCCTCTTTCCTTCTTTTCTTCGTTTCTATATTTATGCTGTATACGTACTACTTGAAATATCCAGACACTACTATTTGTTTAATTCACAAGCCATATCTGGTGATATGGATATTATTGTTCTTGTTTCATAGTTGAAGAAACTGAAACTTTAATGAGGTTGGATAAGAGCCACAAGTATAGCAGATTTTATAGTGTATAACCCTGCAAAGCTCAAATTTGGATTGATATCTCTGTTTATTCTAGAACCCTCCTCTGTGTCATTCTATGTCAGTTTGCTTTGTTGTTTATTATGGTAAAGTAATCATTCTTCACTTCAACAGTTATCTGTGAGTTGATTCTAAAACATAGAAAAATTTTGTTTTAAAATAAATTGTATGTATGTCGTCACCTAATAATGGGCCTATGTGGGGTCCACACAAAACCAGTTTGCTGCAGTCTTGGCATAGTGTAAAATTCCCAAAGTTTTTATATACATATTGAATGCCTCAAGGTATATTTTAAAAGCCCTTGCTAATCCCAAAGGAATTGTTCTAAAAATTTGTTTAAATGAAATTTTTATATATTTTAATATTTAAATTTTAAATAATATTTTTAAAAATCTTAGGCTGAACTTTCAGTTTGTAATTAGCAAAGTAATTATTATTTGCCCCAAGCCAGCTTCCTCCTATTTCCTGACCCTCATTTGTCTTCCCTCCTTATAAGATGCTTAATGAAAGAGAACTTGATTTTTGTTCATTTGTTTTTGAGACAGGGTCTGGCTCTGTTGCCCAGGATAGAGTGCAGTGGCACAATTGTAGCTCACTGCAGCCTTGAACCTGGGCTCAAGGGATCCTCCTGCCTCAGTGTCCTGAGTAGCTGGGACTACAAGCTCATGGCTAATGAGCCTGGCTAATTTTTAAATTTTTTGTAGAGATGGGGGTCTCGCTGTATTGCCCAGGATGGTCTTGAACTCCTAGGCTCAAGCAGTCCTCCAGCTTGGCCTCCCAAAGTACTGGGATTGCAGGTGTGAGGACCACGCCCAGCCTTGAAACTTGATTGTTATTTACATGGTGCACTTAAGAAGCCTAATCTTACCTTCTGACCCAGGGTTTGCAGTCACAGTCCTTAGAGTTTTTGAATAAAGACTGTGCTATTTCTTTTTTTTAAAAGGGATTTGTTTTTATCTAATTTATTTCTGCCTTTATGTTTACTCATTATTAATTATTCAAAATAAGATTGGGATCATCATTTATGTATGAATAACTCAAATTAGTTTATTGTAATACATAGTCCTGGTGAAGAAGAACATATTCAGTTCATGCCTTCAATTTGCATTTATCTTGATTAGTGTTTAAGTGCATCTCATTTCCCTATGCTTCTGTTTTCATAGCTTATATAACTACACTGTTAGATTTTATGCATGATGTAACAGGATACAATCCCATGATATATTTCCATGATGTCAAAGCTTTGAATTATGTAAATAGGAAACATGAAGCAAAAGCATACTACTTATTCATTATGCATTGCTATGCGGCAGACGCACAGTCAAGTGATGCTATTTAATCTCCCTATCTGCATATTCTTAAAGTGCATATCTCTGTGATATCGAAGCACTCAAGCAATGAGTAAATTTCTGCATCTGGTTAATAAATTCAGCAAACAGGAGTTCATCAACATCTGGCATCTGCCTTATTTTACTGGCTTTATATGAATAACTGATGGATGGCGACCTTTGATAAATTTAGTGGTTGCTTGGAATTTTAGTAGGGGTTTGATATTGTTTGTGTGCTATTGTGAATTTAATATGGCAATCAACTTTCTCTTGGTTGCTTTACTCATACTAGAAACCACAGCATCAACCAATCAAAAGGCTGTTTAGCATTTGGTGTTATCACATATACCCTAATTTGCACAACTTTCCAAAATGTAAGTACCAAGAGAGAAGACACATCAATAAAATATAGGAATTATAAGGAAGAGGAAGAGGTTTTTAAAAGTATATTATTATTCAGCAAATAATGGAAACTGGTGCTCACAAACTACTAAATTAAGAGGGCTTTTTTCCTTTAAAAATTAATGCAATGATAGTGCAGAACACCAAATAAAAACTGCATAGCCAAGGCTCTGGAAGGTTGCTGGTGGCTCCTGGACATCAGTGGGATTTCACATCTTTCTCTCTGACATATCATTTGTTCATTTCCAGAGAATGCCCAGCTCTGTGTTTTCTTAAAAATAAGTTTAGAATTCTCATAAAGGTGGACATTATTGGCCTAGCATGAGTTAATTTTCTCTACCCCTGGACCTGGACCAATCATATATATAAGCAGAGAGCAGAAAGGTAGCACAGACTGAGGCAAGGTGAGGATAAGGTATTTTTTGTGTGTCACAGAGACACCTTGCTTGTCTCATTTTTGAAAATGATGAAAACAAATGGTGACTAATAAATAGAAAATGCTCTGTGGTATTATCTTCTAGTACTAATGTTTTCTTCACTGTCCCTGGCCTGGTATCTTTCTTGGCATACCTCACAAATTACTTGACTTCTGTTTTATGTTGACTTCACTCCTTTACATTACATTATTGGGAAGCCCTAGGTCTTAGAAAACTATTTCTTAAACTGAATTAAAATTTTGCCCTTGTACACTGGTACTGGCTCTGTCCTCTCAGTAATAGAAAAGAAGTCTTCCATATGTCCACAGCCATTATTTGCAAAAAGATATCTCTTTCTTCAGGCTTATGTTTCCCATGCTACATCTCTCTTGTTCTCTGAACCACACTTTATACAGCCTGACTTTCCATATTCTCACTGTTGCTGTCATCCCCATCTGATCATTCCCCTCTGTCTTAAAATGTGACAATTACAACTGGACATAATACTCCATCTGTGATCTTCTCAGGACAGACCCAAGCAGGTCCCAGTATAGTGTTAGCAGGACATCACATTTTTGGCTTCAGATGAACCTGTAAATACCTAAAGTACCTGGACTTTTCCCATGAATTGTTGGTAGGCCAGGATGTGTGCCCCATTAGTTGGGGACACTTTCTAGTGACAGTTCCTGGAACTCTATCTGGCTATTTCTCTAGTCAGGCAGTGAAGGCAGATAAATCCTCGGTTCCTGGCAGGTTCAGGTGGAACACGCAGCACAGTGTGCGCTGTTGAATGAGTGTTCCCGAGATCTAATCACATGGAATGCCTGATTGTCAAATGATGAACAAATAATTCAGGAGATGGACCTGGGAGTTGAAAATTTTTTTAACAAAAAAGAAATTACATATATGCATTTTTAACAAAAGTTTTATAATCATTGATATAGTGATGGTAGCACCAGTAGATATTCAGGCAAGTAATTATCAACTGGATGACTTATAAAGGAATTGATAAAGCCTCCCAAGGGATTCAAGAAAAGGGTAAAGCTTGGAAGTCCCTAAGGATAAGTGGCTGAGATGTTTGATTCAGGACTTCCTGTCCTTGAAACCTTGGTCAGTTACTAGCACGTAGGACAGTCTCTATTGTGGACCAGTAAAAAGCTGGTTGTCTGGAGAATTCAGACAGAAAAGGTAAGGCTGGGACCCAGTTATCAAGGCTGCACTACAACTAGGGCTTGTAAAAGTTAGGGGATTTTGGAATTAGCGTAGAAATAATGTAATATGGTGTAAGTAACACAGGCTTTGTAATTAGTGCAAAAATCATAAGCATATGGGCTTGAGTCAGTCTTCTCTTTCCTACTTACTGGCTGCATACCTTTTGTCAGCTATTTAACCTCTCTCTAAGCCTCAGCTTCTTCATTTATAAAACAAATTAATATTATCTACACTGAAGTATTATAGGAGAGATGATAATGTATTTTTTAAAAACTAGCACAGACCCTGGTCAACAATAATAAACATACTAATAATTGTTACTATTATAATAAACGTGTTGATATCTTTTTCTTCATCAATGACTTTATAAAAATATTGGGATGGAGATGCCAAAATCTCCTCTGCTAAATGCCATCTTTCATCCTAAGGCTATACAGGAACAGGCCTTGCCTACTGAACTTTGTAGCTATAGGCCTACTACATTGCCTCCCACTTGAACCCTCGGTTATAAACGGAATGGAGAGTTACTTTTCCATTCAGAAAAGAACCTTGATATTTCAGAAGGAAAAGTTAGCCCTGGACACTTGAGCATTTCTAAGAAAATAGGTTTTTTTTTTCTTTTTAAATTGTGTACCTGCTGCCCTGAATTCTCTAGATGTTCTGAGCACTCTGTATATTCTTACTCATAGCTTAGTAATAAATTATGTTTATAAATTGGAGACTGGTATTGTATAATTTAGTTCATTGAAATAATTTGATCTGGTGACTTCATAGCCAGACAGAGTCAATGGATTCATATAAATGAGAATCCAGGGTTAATCACCATCAAACATTTTCAACATAAAGTGACATTTTTTTCCTTAGAATGGGATTTTTACTACATTCAAATTTTACTAATGCTGTAAACATGAAAATTTTGAGTCAGGTAATGAATTTGAGAATGGATAGCTAATCTTTAAAAATCTAGTAACAAATGTTTCTGGGAATTGTGGCTATTGTTCCCTTTTGGAATGATGACCAACATTTTTGGAAATGAAAATATTGATAAATTTGTGTGGACTTAAATATGGAGTCCACACAAGATTGGGGTCATAGGACAGAAACAATATTTGTTTCACATTTACATTGCTGAGGTATTATGAAGAGGTTAGAAAGGTGATTTTTATTTAGCTTGCAGAATAAATATTTTAAAATCACAGAATAACATATACTATTAAATGCCTACATACATTTATATCCATATGAATAAAACAGTAGAAGCTGAAATATAAAATAACATGCCACTGCTGCTGGAGAGATTTAAGCCAATTATCTGCTATCCTGGAGCATCAGACATATATATCTATATCTATCTATAATATTATATATTTCATAATTTATATATTTATATATCGGTATAATATATTGTTTTATACAGATTATATTATTATATGCTGTTTTTCACCAATGTTGTTTACATATATTATACATTATTTATATCCGGTGACTACATAATTGTGCATGGTACATCCCGTCTCTAGTCAGTTGTCATGACAAGAGTTTTAATCATTTATGCTTACTTTATGATTCTATTGTACAATTTTTATTGGACATTATTTCAGTTTTTATTAATTAACAGGGCATATCAAATACCTCCATACACACTTTATTACAGATTTTTTTGTCCCAAATATTTTTAGCATTTTTTTAAATATGAAAATAGATAGTTTGGAAACAAGCTTCTATCATCTACTATTTCTTCAGTTATTTGAATGCAGATGGCCTATCACAGGACACAAGAAGTTGAGAATGTGCTAGGAGAATTGCCAGCACTGCTCAATACAGGTGTTTGCCCAGGTCTACCTTTTGACTCTCTCACTTGATCTGTTCTTGTGCTTCTCACTTTCCTGGGCAGCCAGTCCCTTACTGAGTATTTCTGGCCTTCAGTATCTGCTTCTTCCGGTTCCTTTGATGCAGCACCCACTTGGGCTCGCTTCTGTAGTTCGCTAAACTCAGTTGCTTATCATTGTAATATTTCCGTAATATCAGAATGACTACTGTCTCAACTTAGGAGACATCCACTTGTCTTCTCCAGCACCTGACTGAGTTCTTGCCATATAAATTTTTGTTGAATAAATTCAATGTTTGGCTTTTCACATCATCATAAACAAGACTTACACCAACAATCATGGGGGAATTTGAATAAAATTAAGATTAGGTCTGACTTTTGCAATTTTACAACTTACAAGTTAGTGTTAAGAAAATGTATAAAGATGGTGATATGCCATTTTGAAACATATTAAGCATTTTCATCTTTAGAACAGCCTTCAAGAGAGTTATTATGAAACACATTTAAGCTTAAGAAAGCTGAGAATCAGAATGATAATTAATAATTATTTGAGGGTGGATGAAAAAGTAAAGAACATTTACACAGTTTTAGTGAGAATGTAAATTAGTTCAATCCTAAGGAAAACAATATGAAAATTTCTCAAAGAACTAAAAATAGAACTACAGTTTGACCCAGCAACCCCATTACTGGTATGCGGGTGGTACTATATAAGAGGAAAAGAAACATCCTGTCAAACAGACATCTGCACTCATGTTTATCGCAGCACTATTTTTAATAGCAAAGTCATGGAATCAGCCTAAGTTCCTATCAGCGGGGGACTGGATACAGAAAATGTGGTACATACACACCATGGAATACTATGCGTCCGTAAAAGGATGAAATGATGTGCTTTGCAGCAACATGGACTCTGCTGGAGGCCGTTTTCCTAAGTGAATTAACACAGAAACAGAAAATCAAATACTTCATGTTCTCACTTATACGGGAGCTAAACAGTGGTCATGTAAGCACATAAAGATGGAAACAGTAGACACTGGGGACTCCAAAATGGGGGGAAAGAGGGAGGAGAACAAGGGTTGTAGAAGCCAAATTGAAGCCTGAAACAATACACCTTTGTAACCCACCTGCACATGTGGCCCCTGAATCTAAAATAAATCAAACAAAAAATTAACAAGCAAACAAAAAACAGAGGAACTAGGGTTTGAATTAATATTTCTGATCTGCATATCGCTATTTTCCTCTTAAATTATGTGCTTAAATACATGAAGAAGGAGGAGGAGAAAAAAACAACTTAATTAGGAGACTTACTTTAATAATGTATCATTTATAACTTTTCTTCCAAAATCTGGTTACATGTCAAGAAACTGTATAATGTGAATCTCTCTAGTTCACCTTTCCTTTCCTTTATGTAGATCTTGGTTGCAATTCAGATTTTCTTTTTTCTAATGAACAGTACAATCAGTAACAGTTGCACCAAACATTTCAATTTGCAATATACATGTAATGGTTTTTCAAGTGAAGGTTACATTTTATCTTTTTTTATTATCCATAGAATAATGTGTTTTAGGATGAAAGAGACACTGTGTGTGTGTACTCCGTTTAAAATTAAGATCTGACGGTCTGAGACATCACATACAAAGCATAATTCAGTAGCTATCTGACAGTTTCCCAATTGCTATGACACTAAAAATAAACCAAACCAGATAAATCAACCCCCTAAGTGGACTCTCTGGCCTGAAATGTTCGGGTTTTAATGTGCCTGTGGAATGTTCCAATATAATTTTCATCAATGTTGATTGTCCAGCTCACACAGCCCTGGGCACTAGAGTGATTGACATAAACCCCGTCATTATTCCAACAATTAAATCAGCAGGAATTAGCACAAACATTTTTTTCCTGTTCCGTACACTAAAAATGTTTCCATGCTGCAATGTTAGGATTTAAATGTAACAAACATAATCTTCCCTGTGTTGTATAACTTTCCGATCTACTAAGAAAGCCTACCAAAATGGAGCATTTGGTTTAAAAATAAATACCTGGACTCTTCCATGTGGCAACAAACAATACATAAGAGATATTGGACAATGAACAATTAATTACATTGATAAAAATAATTGATGAATTAAGAATGTAAATCTAAAGATACTTTATATTCCTCTTTTTGGTTTAACTTTCAAATCCAGAAAGCTCTTAACCTGGTTAACTAATCGATGATAACGTTATACAACAAACTTTTGTTGAGTACTTGCTATTCATTCCTTGAACGTTATTTATTGTAATAAACGTGTTAATTGAGGTTCTACATATATAAAACTGTTTAAGGTGCAATGAAACAAAAATCACCTGAACTTCGGACAAATGTGATTTTTGTCTTTGCTTAGGACGTTTTTGGAATATTTACTTTTGAAAATGTCTCCATGACCTGTGGCAGTGTTTTCTTCTGAATAGTATAAATGACGATGGCAAATCTAAAATAAGTTATTTGGAGCCACATCTAGAAAATAATGTGAGTATTCCAGTTATTAGGGAAGGCTAGATTTGATCAAATATATATATAGTTATATGTATTCTCTCTCTATATATAGAATATATAGTTACATATGTTCTATATATAGTTATATATACTCTCTATATATAGAATATATAGTTATATATACTCTCTATATATAGAATATATAGTTATATATACTCTATATACTCTATATAGAATATATATATAACTATATATAGAATATATATAACTATATATAAATATATAGTTATATATAACTATATATAGAATATATATAACTATATATAAATATATAGTTATATATATTTATTTATAAATATAGTTATATATACTCTATATAGATATATACTCTATATAGAGAATATATAGTTATATATATTCTATATATATATTCTATATATAGTTATATATTCTATATATAGATATATATTCTATATATAGAATATATAGTTATATATAGTTATATATATTCTATATATATAACTTCTATATATAGTTATATATTCTATATATAGAATATATATATAGAATATATGTATAGAATATATAGAATATATAATATATAGTTATATATATTCTATATATCGAATAGTTATATATATTCGATATATCGAATATATAGTTATATATATTCGATATATCGAATATATAGTTATATATATTCGATATATCGAATATATAGTTATATATATTCTATAGCCATAATGCCTATTAGCCTGGCATTTAGACTTGCAAGTGTCAACTTATTACTTACCTTGTTTTATTTTATTTCTTTAATGATCTCAAAACCTTCCTCTCTCGATTTCAATCTGTGGTTTGTTCCCACCATTTGCCGAGGTCTAGCATCTTATTCTTTGATTTTCTTTTTTCTTTTCTTCAACTTTTAAGTTCAGGGGTTCATGTGCAGGATGTGTAGGTTTGTTACGTAGGTAAATGTGTGCCATGGTGGTTTGCTGCACAGATCATCCTATCACATAGGTATTAAACCCAGCATCCATTAACTATTCTTCCGATGCGTTCCCTACCCTCATACGCTCCCCCCACAACAGGCCCCAGTGTGTGTTGTTCCCTCCCATGTGTGCATGTGTTCTCATCATTCAGCTCCCACTTATAAGTGAGAACATGCAGTGTTTGCTTTTCTGCTCCTGCATTAGTTTGCTCAGGATGATGGCTTCCAGCTCCATCCATGTCCCTACAAAGGACATGATCTCGTTCCTTTTTATGGCTACATAGTTTTCCATAGTGTATATGTACCACATTCTCTTTATCCAGTCTATCATTGATGGGCAATGATTTTGTAATATAATGATTTATATTCCTTTGGGTATATACCCAGTAATGGGATTGCAGGGTCAAGTGGTATTTCTGCCTCTAGGTATTTGGGGAATCACCACACTGTCTTTCAGAATGGTTAAACTAATTAATACTCCCACAAACAGTGTAAAGGGTTCCTTTTTCTCCACAACACCACCAGCATGTGTTGTTTTTTGACTTCTTAATAATAGCCATTCTGATTGGAATAAGATGGTATCTCATTGTGGTTTTGATTTTGCATTTCTCTAATGATCAGTGATATTGAGCTTTTATTTCATATGTTTGTCAGCTGCATGTATGTCTTCTTTTGAGAGGCAGAAATACCATTCGACCCTGCAATCCCATTACTGGGTATATACCCAAAGGAATATAAATCATTATATTATAAAATCATTGCCCATCAATGATAGACTGGATAAAGAGTCTCTGTTCATGTTCTTTGCCCACTTTTTAATGGGATTTTTTTTTCTTGTAAATTTAAGTTCCTTGTAGACTCTGGATATTAGACTTTTGTCAGATGGATAGATTGCAGAAGTTTTCTCCCATTCTGTAGGTTGTCTGTTAACTCCGATGATAGTTTCTTTTGCTGTGAAGAAGCTCTTTAGTTTAATTAGATCCCATTCGTCAATCTTTGCTTTTGTTGCAATCGCTTTTGGCGTCTTCGTCATGAAATCTTTGCCTATGCCTGTGTCCTCAATGGTATTGCCTAGATTATCTTCTAGGATTTTTGTAGTTTTGAGTTTTACATTTAAATCTTTAATCCATCTTGAGTTAATTTTTGCATATGATGTAAGGAAAGGGTCAAGTTTCAATTTTCTGCATGTGGCTAGCCAGTTCTCCCAGCACCATTTATTAAATAGGGAGTCCTTTCTCTATTGTTTATTTTTGTCAGGTTTGTCAAAAGTCAGATGGTTGTAGGTGTGTGGCTTTATTCCTGGGTTCTCTGTTCTGTTCCATTGGTCTATGTGTCTCTTCTTGTACCAGTATCCTGCTGTTTTGGTTACTGTTGACTTGTAGTATAGTTTGAAATCAGGTAGTGTGATGCCTCCAGCTTTGTGCTTTTTGCTTAGGATTGTCTTGGCTATCTGGGCTCTTTTTTGATTCCATATGAATTTTTTAAAAGTTTTTCTAATGCTGTGAAGAATACCAATGGTAGTTTAATGGAAATAGCATTGAATCTATCAATTACTTTGGGCAGTATGGCCATTTTCATGATATTGATTCTTCCTATCCATGAGCATGAAATGCTTTTCCATTTGCTTGTGTCCTCTCTGAATTTTTTATCAGTGGTTTGTACTTCTCCTTGAAGAGGTCTTTCACTTCCCTTGTTAGCTGTATTAGCATCTTATTCTTTCAAGAGGACAGTTTGTTCAGTTTGTTTAAATTATTATCACCATCACAACCATTAAACCTTTATTCAGCAACTGAAGAATGTACCACAATATCTCTCATTTGCAAGACATATTCTGTTCATCTTCTGCTTTCTGCTTCTGTAGCTTATAAAGATATATAAATATATTTTAAACCCAATTTGTAATTATATATGATGGGAATTGAAAACGTGGGTGATTTTCAAATAATCACTAAGGAATAAAATATGCTAAAAATAAATTGTGAAGAATTGATATGATTTTCTAAGGATGGCTTTACTGGAGAAAAGCAGTTATCCTACAATAGTTAATATATAACTATTTTTATGATTATTCTGTTCAGAATCTGAATTTATATTATTATTTGGGGCCTTTTTTAATCAAGTGAAGAAAGGTATATTTTCTTTTCAAACTTTTTATTTTGAACATTCATAAATTACATGAACACTAAAAGACATAAATTATCTTTCAGGAAACATTGAATAAATTCTGGATTCGTCTATATTTTATTGATTTGTAAAACATCTCAAATTTAACATAGAAATGTTAAAAAGAGATTATATTATAACGTTTGTTGGAAAATATGCTATATTTATAATATTTATTCTGTATTTATATATTATAAATATATTCTATATTTATATATTATAAACATATTCTATATATATTATAAACATATTCTATATTTATTAACATTTAACATTAATGTTAATAAATATAGAATATTTTTCAACAAACTTTATAATATAATTCCCTCCTTCAATGAACTAATTTTTATGGTGGTTTACATTTCTTTTTCAATGTTGGTTTACATTTGACGTTAGGATGTTTATTAGTTAATACAATAAAGTGGGTGGTCTTTTCATTAATATTATCAGTCAGGTTTGTAAATAGTGTATGTTTTGTATAACCACTTAAAATTTATATACTGATATATATTTTGTTTAAGAATACTTAAAATAAAAACATTAGTTATCATTTGTTGAACTGGAAGGATCATTACTTAAAAATCCATCCTTAAAATTAAAATGACTTATGCTTCACTGTGTAGTGCATTGATAAATATTTAGTCTATAGTTTTTTCTATTGCTATGTGTTTAGCCAAGAATTGTTTTTAATTTGGTGAACAGTACCTTATTAGGAATATGAAAATTTTTGAAGCAGTCATGAAATATTTAACAATTAATTATTTAACAAACAATTATGCAAAATTAATTTTACTAAAGAAATATTTTTAAATCACTGCAAGAAATATTTTCATTCAAATGAGTACTTACAACCAAGAAAGAGTCTTTTATTTTTTAAATGTGTATAAATTTAAACTTCAAAATACTTAAATCACTTAATGCCTCAGAGAAAATATCTTAATACTTATGAAGTGTTACGTGTACTAAGCATTATGTTAAATTCTATAAAGACATCTTTTTAAATCATCACAAGAAATTACAAGGCAGGTGCATCTATTATATTTTTTATAGTAGAACTAATTGAGGCACAGTGAGAGGAAATGATGTACTCAAGTTCCACAGGTGATAAGTGGTACAGCTGAGTAAAATTCCAAGTCTAAAAGCTAGTCTCTTAACTATTATATATCGGCCTATATGCATAGGCCGACAAGTAGTTATTTAAAGTTATATAAATCAAGAGAAAACACTACAAAATTTACCTATAGGATATTTATACAAAATATGGGCATTTTATTAGGAAAGCTTTCTAGAAATATGGGGGAACTTTAAGAAACAGTGAAATTCAAAGCTATCATTGTCCAAAAGCATGTGGTCTTCTGTTTTTGCACTAGTGACTTAGGTGCAAATTACTTCCAAGATTTTTCTCCTAATTGAGAAGTACTTTTTAGGTCTAGATTCCATGGAGGAGGTGGGTCTTCGAGGTGGGGCTTCAAGGTGGAGATAGTGTCTTTTTTCTAGCATGTAATGAGGTAAATTTGCTTTTGAATGAACAGGTGCACCTATTTCAATTAAGGCAAATTAGTTTCCAAAGGCTTTGCTATTTAAGATATTATAGAAGGCTATTTAAATGTGCCAATTTACATAAAATACATTTTGAAAGATTACAGGAAACAATTTTATATAATTCACTGAAACAATTTCACAGTCCTCTCAAATGATGATTTTGAAAATGACCTAAATGGCAGGCACCTCTTTGAAGCAGCTGGCATGATGTTATGTGGTCCCATGGCCCCTTACATTTTCAGGTCAATGGTAAATTCTCCAGAGTCCAACTTCAACCCTGCAGTATTCTGTTCAAAATTGCCCCTGTTCAGAAGCCTGCATATGTAACCTCTTACATTTTGTGTTTCACAATTTCCATTGAACTCTTCCTACACACCAGAATGGGCAAAAATAGGAATTTAATTTCTGGGAAGATTTCCTCTAAGAGCCTCTGTCCAAAACATCCAGTGCTGAAACAAGAAAAGGTGGTCCTGGCATATATCCACTAGTAATTTTTTTGTCTTCTTCTTTTCTTTCCTGTTTTATGTGTGAATAGTGAAACTTATCGGTTCAAAGACCGATGAGTCAGAATGCTGTCATTTTACATCCAAACAGTGGAAATTTAAATTGTTAAAATAAAAATACACAATCACTAACATTACCCTGATGAAATAATGATAAGCAAAGTAGTCTTAAATTACAGGCTATAAGTGCTGGATAAAGAACAATATTTTAAAAATATCTAAAGTCATATAATGAACAGAAGACAGATTTCCATTTATACCTGAAAGACTGGTTTTCAGAAATTATAATAGAACATGGGGATTTAAAAATTGTATTTGGATCATTTATTTTACAGTTAGAAAGTGATGTAGGAAGGAGTTCCCAGAGGAGATGAAACAGATTGAAAACAGCAAAATTCCATGACAGAGGTGGCTTGAAATAGACCCTTTTTTCAAAGCAATAACTGGCCTCTTCATCATCTATAGATAGCATTTTTGGCAAAATCAGAAACATTTGCTTTGCCAGTCATTGAAGGTAAAAAGAAAAAAAAAATGGCTGAATGCTTTTAAATTACATTTATTTAATTTCTGCTTTCATACAAAGGCATAAAATTATCAGTTTAAATTTTAAAAAATATTATTATAAAATTACATGCTTAGAAGTCTGTTGATTGTTTTCCCACAGCCATTTTATAACTGAAACCCTCAATTTTGGATATGAATGTATAATAAACGCACATGTTCATTCTAAACATTTTCTTTTCAAATACTTTTACATTCCTTTAGGTTTCCTAAAGAAATGTAAATTCCTTCTGCCACTTAGTTTTTGCTATTTTTAGCAGTTTCTTAAAGTCTGCAAATTCCTTTCACTCAGTTTTTGCACTTAGTTCATAATGACTTCACATTTGACATTGATTGTCCACAAAAGGGGTTATTTTTAGTTTCAAAAGGTGAACGTTATTTGTTTTAGAAATTCTCGCGTATATTTCTTAGTCTAAAGATAGGTTTTCTAACATAAAAATGTGATAGTGTAGTCTGTTTGCTGAGCACTTGTAGTGGAACAAACTCAGTGCTAAATTCTTGGTTTTTAATAACTAATTTATTTATTACAGTAACTGCTAAATATGCTTCAAATTATAAACTATTTGCCAAAATTACAGATAATAATATAACCAAACACCATGTGGATTTCACCTAAACTAGAAGTAACTTGGTGACTTTCTTATTTAATCTTTTATTTATTGTACTTGGCCATACTTATTGTATGTTTATGTATAAAAACATAAAGCAATAGAAGTTTTTACAGTTATTATACTCACTGTCTTATAAATGGAGAAACTGAGACCCAGAGAATTTTAGTAACTTATTCAAAGTTACCTAGCTGGTGACTAGAAGCAAAACACAAATAAGACCACAGATTACTAGTTTTGTCAAGATCTTCAACATAATTTAATATTGCTGTCAACTCAGAGGTCTCAGAAGATAAGGTCTTACCATCTGAAAACAACAAAAAAGAAATTTCATAAAATCCTGTTTGTACCAAGCAATTTATTTCTAGAATGAAAGCAAAATTATTTTTTTAAAGTTCTTTAGATTGCTGAGAAATCAAGAGCATTAGGGTTGTGTCTCCCCTTTAAATTTACCTTTTAGTTTCTTTGGGTTTAAGTTTTTAGATGAAATTTTAAATTCTATTTAGCTCTCAGTTTATGTGTATTTAAAATTTAGATTTAGGATCTATTCTTTTTAATAAGGGTGAAATTACATATGGAGAAATTTACTGTTTATAGCGAGTTTTGACAACTAGAGTTGTATAACCACCATCCCCACAGTCAAGATACATCACTTCTCCCCTTCCCAAACATATTCCCTGGTGACACTTTGTGGTCATACTCATTCTCCGCCTCTAGCCTTTTACAATGACTTCTGTTACTCCCCCTGTAGATTTGCCTATTAAAGAATGTTATATAAAGGAATCACACATCATGTAGCATTTTGAATCTGGCTTGCTTTACTTGTTTTAATGCATTTGAGATTTGTTCCTATTGTGGCAGATATCAGTAGTAGTCTTCTTTTCATTGTTGGATATTCCATTACATGAATGTACAATCACATTTTATCCATTTGCCCAGCTAAAGAACATTTGGGTGTTTTCAGTTTTCATTATTATGAGTAAACCCTCCATAAACATATTGCATACAAATTTTTATGTGAACATAAGTTTTTGTTTCACCTAAACAGATACTATACAGGACTGAAATTTTAGTAAGTATATGTTTAACTTTGTGAGAAACTGCCCAACTGTTTTTGCAAAGTGGCTGTACAGATTTACATTTTCAACAGCAACATGTGAGAGTTCCAGTTGCTGCACGTCCTTGTGAGCACTTAGGGTTGTATTTTTAATTTTATCCACTCTAATGGGTGTGGAGTGGTGTCTTATTAAGGTTTTAATAAGCATTTCTCTAATTTAATGCATTATATTACTTCTTTTTGTTGGTTTGTAAACTGCTTATCTTCTTTGGTGAGTTTGATCAAATCATTTGTCCATGTTTGTGTTTTTGATTATATTTCAGATACAAGTCTTTACCAGTTATGTGCTTTGTAAATGTTTTCTCACTGTTTATCATTTGTGTGTTTTATGGAAAGCAGAATATTTCGATTTTCTGGAAATATAATTTGTCACTTTAAAAATTATGTAAATTGCTATTGGTATTAAGTGTAAGAAAACTTTGCTTCATCTATGATCACAAATATTTTCTTCTGAAAAAAAAGCTCTCTGAAGAGTTTTTTTTTTTCAATGAATGTGTTTTCTTTCTTCTCTCCATATGTTATCTTCTGAATAGCTAAGCAATGTTTACATTATTTATTCAGGCCTTTCCATCCACTTTCACGGATTCCACTGAAGGAGAAATTGGGTTTGAAATCCTCTTTTCTCAAAAACTAATGAGTCATGCATCTTCTCATTGATATTATCTGGCTCCCCTGAAAACCTCTAGTTTGGTCCATTTTTAGTGATATCTTTCTACTCAGGTTCCTCAAACCAATCTGTACCTAAGAGACCCCCAGATTAAAATTCAAGTTCATTCTTTTAACAAATTAGGTGCTAATTGCTACAAATGCAAGAAAACTTCAGGTGCTAATTTGTTAAAAGAATGAACTTGAACTTTAGTCTGGGGGTCTCTTAGATATAGATTGAAAAGGATTGAAAAGAATTATAGTTTCTTTCACTTTTGCCATCATACAATATGTATTATTTATATTTCTTCTTCGTTAATATTCAGTTCACCTTCTTTGTCCATCTTTCTATTGAAGCACCAGTATTCATGCAGTGTTTTAAGAATATTAGTCCATTTTTATCCATTATGTATATTGCAAATAATTTCGTACTTTATTGTCTTTTAATTTGTTTGCAGTGTTTTCTGCCATACAAAAATTTTCATTTTATTTTATATTCACTTTAAAAAGGCCTTTTTCAGCCTAAGAGTATAAATATAATAGCTTTTCTACTTTTTTCATTTTTTAATATTGCATTTTCTCTATTGTGAATGTTATGCTTATGTTTTTCTCCAGCTGATCTATTGAGGAACAGTGTTTTTTTAATAAATATAAATATTGTTATAGTTATTTCTCATTTCGAAGTTTTACGGTACTAATTTGTCTGTCTTAAAACTTCAAATAATACTTAATTGAAAGTCTCTGTCTACCATCATCCCTTTCTTAACAGTTCGGTGAATATCTTTTATTATATTGTGTAAGGATGTTGTATTGCAGCTCCTCTTGCTAGGCTGAACATGCAGACCTGTTCTGGAAATAGATGTGATCAGTTTAGGTCACAACCTGTCTTGAATCACAGCTGACTTGTAGTGGAGAGTTCCAGGAACCTTCCAATCACACACAGGTCCCTATTGCTCCTTTTCTTCTAGGGCTATTCAACAAGCAGAGACAAACAAAAACTGATCTGTCACATTTTACTGCAGGTAACAGTGACCACAAATACACCTGTACACTGTTTTTTTTCCAACATTATTGAGGTGTGACTGACAAATAAAAATGGTATATATTTAAGGTATGTGATGCGATGTTTTGCTGTACATGTACATTGTGAAATGATTATCATAATCATGTTAACATATCCATCACCTCACATATTGTTATTTTTATAATCACTTTTATAAATTTTCCCTTCAGTAGTAACCTTTTGAGATTCTGAAACACTTTTGAGTTTTGAATGTTGTGTCATAAGTGAGTTTTTTTGGCAAATATTTTATAAACATCTAATTGGGAAACTGTGAGAGGATGTTTTGTAACTTTCATTTAAACTAAGATCTCCTCTCCACCTCCACCCTTCCCATATTCAGTAGATTTTCTATGGCTGTATGGTGTATCAGGAATCATCCCATATACTTCAGAAAGTAATGGAATAATATAAATATTTTTCTAACATAGACCTACAGAGATTAAGTGATATACTCAAATCATACCATAAATGGTAGTGAAAGGGTAAACTCAACATTCACAGCCAACTTCATTATCTAATAGGGAACAACACATTTCATATTAATAATTGACTTTTATTTTTAGGAGGCTCTGTTATAATGAAATTAAAAAATGAGATTAGATTATGTTTCTCAATATATGGTACAAAAATCACTTACATAGAATAACTTCGATTATTAAAAATAGAAGTGAAAAATACTTTTCAGATTAAATAAGATTTCAATTTTAAGGCAAATATGTTCATTTTGTGCTCAAAAATTAGACAGGAAAACTATAATCTGTTAAAATGTAGGTTCTTGATCCACCCAAGAAACCATGGAGAGGTGGGGGACAGTTACCTGCATTTCTGACAGTTAGTTCATTGACTCTTATTCGACTAAACTTTGAGAACCAGTGTCCAAAGTATTTACTTACATATTTATATTTAAAAGCTGGGATAATCATGACAATATAAAATAAACAATTGATGTTGTATTTTACTTGGCAGATAGATAAAGCTATACAAGTTTCCTTTTTCCTAATTCTAAAGCATAATTAGAAAAAAATTGTATTTATTTCTTAGATATGGTAACTACTAAAATATAATTTGGAATGTTCTACTTAAATGAGTATACTTATGTATGCAGTTAGCCGTCAATAAGATTTAGTGTTCTCTGAACTATTTCATTTCTATGAAGGTGGTATTAATCTTGATGATAAAATTTTCTTTTAAATATTGAGAGATTCTGCCAAAATATAAATCTTACTGTGACAATGTTGTTGAAATTCCTTTCTTCATATGATTATTTGTTCTAAAATAGCTCCCATGAAAGTAAAATTCCTACTCTCAAGCATCCTGCTTAAGCATATTGTATTGTTGCTGGTAACTAAAAATAAAGCAAAGCATTAGGGTGGATTTCAGTGTAATTTTATCTGTTTAGTAGAGTGATACAAATGAATAAATTTTCAAACATACAAATTGACCAATTATTTGAAAGAGCTATGAATAAAATAAATAAGCTACCTTAAAATTATTTTAAAATTATATCACAAAATTTTTTTCCTAACAACAAAATATGTATTTTTAATTGTTTTGGTTCATACAAATTAAAATACAAATATAATTTTACCAAGGAAAGTGAAGTAATTTAGGAGTAATTAATAATATTTGTGTTAGGGAACGGAGCATAGATACTATTAAACCTAACCGTTTTATAGTGCATTTGTTTCTAAATCCCTTAAGCTGGTAAGTCATTGATCTTGCATTTTTCTTTGACAGGCTTATGCAAGCAAAGATCTGGAGGAGCAGTTACGGTCTGTGTCCAGTGTAGATGAACTCATGACTGTACTCTACCCAGAATATTGGAAAATGTACAAGTGTCAGCTAAGGAAAGGAGGCTGGCAACATAACAGAGAACAGGCCAACCTCAACTCAAGGACAGAAGAGACTATAAAATTTGCTGCAGCACATTATAATACAGAGATCTTGAAAAGTAAGTATGGGAAATAAAATGTATAGTAAGCCTTATATATCAAACCAGTAGAAGTTGCCAGCCTGGTTCTTTAATTTCAGTGTTTGTATCACCGAATACACCTTTAGGGCGGAAAGCAAATAGAAAATAAAGAATTACTTCAAAATACAACATTTTATGATTTCACTTTGAGTATTAAGATGACTTCATAAAATACAGGATAGATAGGTCCATGCATAAACAACACACATTTATTTTTTCAGGTGATAGCCATTGGAAAATTTTTAAAACAGATGGCTATATTTTACATACTATATCTGTTTAATAACTTAAACATTCTTTATCTTATCAAATAATTATACCTTAATTTCCTATCTGATTTGGATTGAGAAATGCTTCATTTGAAATCACCTTTTCAGATGTCACTTGTTGCTTTGCTGCTTCACAGATAACTGGCTCAGAGCGGGACTTAAGCTGATGAGGTATCTAGCATAAAGCTTCACAAAAAATGATCATGTTGCATAAAATGTCATAGCATCAATTGGTGGGGTATGACTGGGCACAGAGGTTCATGTCTGTAATCCGAGACCATTGGGAGGCCAAAGTGGGAGGATTGCTTGAAGCCAGAGTCAGAGACCAGCCTGAACAACACAGCAAGACCTCATCTCTATTAAAAAAAATTAAAAAGTGGTGGAGTAATTTAAAAACATATTTGCCTTCAGTTGGTAGCTCTTAATCGCTATAAAAGTTTGATATTGGAAAGTATTTTGAGAACAGAGGCAAACAAAATGGCTTCATGGTTGTATAACCAATAGTTTATGTCCTTTTCCAAAAATTCTATTTTAGGGGAAATATGGGATAAGTAAACTAGTATACTTAGGAAGTACATTATTTGTAATGCAGAATTTAAAAAGTCAACAGTATTATAGGTAAGCTACTAACTCATCAGAAACAAAATTCCAGAGGAGAGTTAAAAGGGATAGGAAATATTGACTTTGCTGAAGAAAGTTCAGAATGAGTCCCAGTTGGTGAAAAATAGCCTTGTATTTTATGTAGCTGCAGCCACGACATTACTCAAGGTTGCCAAATAGTCCGCCTGAAAAGGACGTTTGACTTGAATCTAAAACCATAGCTGTCTTCTCATATGCAACTCAGTTTTAAAGAAAAATAAAATTATATTTATATTTGCATTGAGAGCACAAAAATGGCCCATACTATAGAGAATGAACATGACTCTCTCTGCACATCTTATAAACATTCATATATTAAATTACCATTTTCCTAAGAAAGAAAAACCAAACATTAGTGTTGTGGGATATTGGTGTACTTTTAATAAAGCATAATGCTAATTTTTCTTATTGCCTAGCTATAGAAATGAGTTTAAGAAATATCCTTAGCTTGTCTTTTCAATGTTATATCATTCTCATTCACAAGTCAATTTAGGATCCCATCAGCTGTCTCTTTAGTTATATATTGAACTTAAATGTTAAAATCTGAAATGAATGTGAGTGATTTGCAGCTGCTGTGGGCTTTTTTTATCTTGGTGGTTTCCGTAAAACTTACTGATTTCCCTATGACTTGACAGGTATTGATAATGAGTGGAGAAAGACTCAATGCATGCCACGGGAGGTGTGTATAGATGTGGGGAAGGAGTTTGGAGTCGCGACAAACACCTTCTTTAAACCTCCATGTGTGTCCGTCTACAGATGTGGGGGTTGCTGCAATAGTGAGGGGCTGCAGTGCATGAACACCAGCACGAGCTACCTCAGCAAGACGGTGGGTATTGCCCATTCCTGCTACCTGCGAGAGCCCCCTTAATCAGAAGCTTTAACTTTGGGGATGATGTGTTTAAACTTCTGGTTGCTTTAAACTAACTTGGTTCAACTCAGGGTCTCATATTTTCTTTAGGGGAATGAAGTCAGTTTTTCAGTGTTTTGTGTGTTTGACAACACAGTGTCACAAAGAAAGTAATTGATGCTTTATTACTTTGCAAACTCTTCATATAGTGGAGTCAAAGCCTCATGCAGAAAACAATAAATATACGTATGTATGTGTGTACATGTACGTGTGTATGTGTGTGTGTTGATCTTCAAGAATAAACATGTTCATTTGGCAATAAAATACTTTTAAATGGGTGAGTTTTCAGATGGTGGAGATAACAGTGCAAACAGTATTCAAAGTGTAAAATTAAATGCGTGTGTTCTGTGAAACAGTGGTATAGTATTGAAATAAGCCATCTCACTGAAGAAATTTATTGTCTTCCTGTCGAAAGCAAAGGAAATAACTCTGACACTAAATCTCAGATGTTTTGAATAAACTGGGAAGTTTATCTCATTAAATGGTAAGCTTCTGATAACCAGGAAATGTCTCTTAAGGTTGGCTTTGGATCAGGGATTTTCAGACCAGACACATAAACCCGCTTTGTGGGCCTTACGTGGTAGAGGAGGCTGGCTGTGGAACACGCGTATGTGCTGGCGATAACCATGAAAGTGTTGTTTGAAATTGTGTGCACCTCTGGCCTCTGAACAGAAATGTTTGGAGAAATCCAGTCCCGTGGGCTGGACTGAAGCAAACTTCTCCCGAAAGACAAAACTGTGGTTGTCCTAATGACCTTTCTAAGCTATTTTTGGAGTTAGACTCACACACGTAAATCTGGCTAAATTCAGAACTGTTCTTTGACCTGGAGAATGAAAAATGAAATTGAAAGATGTGGTGTTAGATTTGATTTGTATGATGTGGTATGACAGAAAATTCACATTTTAATTTTATGCAAACTTTAGCTGATCTACATGGTTTTCAGTAATAAAACCTACTCTTATTTCAATATAGTATTAATAGAAATCAGAGTTAAGATTACTATCTCAATTCCATGAACTACATTTTTTCAGCTAGCTGAATATTTCCAAAATTTTTACTGTTACGATCATTTGGCCTCTGAGTTTGGAGACATTGTCTTATTATACAACCCAAATTAATTGCTTTCTTTTCAAAAATTGAGTTTCTTTATATTGCTCACCCACTTGATAAAGAAACAAGCCATTTTAGATTAAGACTTGCAAGAAGAAACAAAAAATAAATTATAAAGCTAAATTTTCTATTCAGCTTGCCTCTGCCTCAACTCTAAAGGTTAAAAAAAATTAAAAGGTGATGCTTTGGGGCCTGCTATCATTTCTTTTAGTATCATAGTTAGTTAAGCTTAGCCAGATGCAATTCATTCTGATTATTTCCTAAAAGCACAGCAAAATAATGTAGGGGTCGTTCCAACATGTGTTCTCAAGGAATACAATGTGACTCTAAACATAGTCCTGCATTTAGAAACTTTACCAGAAAAATGTACAGTTGTAGGAACATGACAATATTTCAGTGGTTGCCAAAATTATAATATTTTTGATAGACTAACATATAATTATACTATTGGACATAGCAAAAGTTATCCTTAGTTCATTTATCCTCCCTGAGTCTTTATCAAACAACAATAAACAATAAGACGTTATAGTTTTGTACTTACTATTCTAAATAAATTAATACTACTTTAACAGGTTTTATTGGTATTATGTATTTTATCATAACCCTGAAATCAAACAGGATTCTTTAAGATCCTCTAAATTTTAGAACTGCATACTTTAAAATAAATTAAATAGAAATACTTAGGCCAAGCAGATATTCTTTGAAAGGTAATATTCATTTTTAAAACATATTAATAATTAAAATGTTGTTTTTATCTTCAAGCCAAACCTCTTAATGGGAATTTTGGTATACTGAGTCTCTTGAGAAATATGTCATTTCCTTTTAAAGTTAGAGAAAATAAATATGGATGATTTAGGAATTGAAATATACAATTTTTGGAATGCCGTTAATGATTTATATTTTAAAATAATTCAGTTAAGCAATATGATGTATTCTAGATTATATTCCTAATATGGTATTTGATTTAAATCAAATAGTAAACCAAGGTACTTTGGATACTGTTTCCAACTAATAAGATAACCTTCTCTCTGCTCTTCCTCCTTCCATTTCCTTTCTTCATAATCTTTTCTATAAATTACTTTCAAGCATATTTTTTAAAAACATAGATCCAAATCTATGGCTAGGCATGGTGGCTCACGCCTGTGGTCTCAGCTGCTGAGGAGGCAGAGGCAGGAGGATCGCTGGAGCCCAGGAGTTCAGGGCTGCAGTGTGCTAGGATTGCACCACTGCACTCCCAGCCTAGGTGACAGAGCATGACCCTGTTTCAAAAACAAAAAAACCCCACAGAGCTGATGTCAGTCTCCAGCATAAAGGCCTTTCAGTGATTTCCCATTGCTTGTAAAATAAGACAAAAATCTTTTTTGAAGGTTATATTTATTGACATATCATAGCTGTACATATTTTGGGGTCATGTGTTATATGTTGATACCTGTACAAAATGTGTAATGATCAAATCAGGGTAATTGGGATATCCATCATCTCAAACATTTATCTTTTCTTTCTATTGGGAACAATACAGTACTTCTCTTGCAGCTTTTTAAAAAATATACAATATATCGTTATTCACTCCAATTTCCCTGATGTACTATTGAACACTAAAACTTACTCCTTCTATTTAACTGTGCTTTTGTACCCCTCAACCATCCTCTCTCCATCCTCCCTACCCTTGCCCCTCCCAGCCTCTGATAATCAGTATTCTTCTCTCTACTTCCATGAGATCCACTCGTTTAGCTCCCACATAAATGAGAACATGCAGGATTTTCAAGACCACATCTTTATCACAACCTGCAATCTCTGCCCCATAGCCCCTGTTCAGCATCATCTAATGTAATGATTCTTGATCTTGTGCTTCCAGTGCTCTAGACTTTCTCCAATTCCTGGGCATCATCGTGTTTCCTCTGCTCCTGGGCCCTTGCACACACACCTTTAGGTTAACCTGGCCTTCCTGTCTCCTCTTTCCTGAGGTGCTAGCTCTTCAGATCTTAATTTGGGTGTCAAGTGGCTTTGGCAAGGCCTCAGGCAAGACTTTCTGACCTATTTGGATTAGACCCAATATTTGTAGTAAATGCTTTATAGTTTCCCATATTTTTAAAATAGTATTTATTACAGCCTATAATCACATAGTTTATAGTTATGTAGTCATTGTTACTTGATTAATGTCTCCCTCCTCCACAAAGGCAAAAACAGATCCGTTCACTACTTATCCCAGTGCCTACCACAGAATCAGTGCACAAATCTCTTTTAGTATCACATAAAAACTGTGGACCCTTTCATGAGAACAAATGAAAATATAGACACATCCACAGCATTTCCCCCCACAGTTTTAGGGAGTTTGTTCCCTGACCCCTAGCCTTTTCCCTTTAAACCAGGCTTTAAAACTGCTGCCTTGAAGATTATTAATAATAAAATAGCTGATTAACACACTTGTGGAATTTTCAAATAATTGGTCTTTTTGCTAAACAAACGTTTATGCTATCAATTTAGCTTGATCTTTTAAAAAATATCTGTTTCTGGAGAGGAACAGAAAAGGTAACTATTGGGTACTGGGCTTAATTCCTGGGTGATGAAATAATCTGTGCAACAACCCCCATGACATGAGTTTACCTATGTCACAAACCTGCACATGCACCCCCAAACCTAAAATAAAAGTTTACCTATTTAACAAACCTGCACATGGACCCCCAAACCTAAAATAAAAGTTTACCTATGTAACAAACCTGCACATGGACCCCCAAACCTAAAATAAAACCCCAAACCTAAAATAAAAGTTTATGTCACAAACCTGCACATGCACCCCCAAACCTAAAATAAAACCCCAAACCTAAAATAAAAGTTTACCTATGTCACAAACCTGCACATGCACCCCCAAACCTAAAATAAAAGTTTACCTGTGTCGCAAATCTGCATATGCACCGCGAAACCTAAAATAAAAGTTTACCTATGTCACAAATCTGCACATGGACCCCCAAACCTAAAATAAAAGTTTACCTATGTCACAAACCTGCACATGGACCCCCAAACCTAAAATAAAACCCCAAACTTAAAATAAAAGTTTACCTATGTCACAAACCTGCACATGGACCCACAAACCTGCACATGGACCCCCAAACCTAAAATAAAACCCCAAACCTAAAATAAAAGTTTACCTATGTCACAAACCTGCACATGCACCCCCAAACCTAAAATAAAAGTTTACGTATGTAACAAACCTGCACATGGACCCCCAAACCTAAATATAAACTTTATATATGTATGTATATATATACATATGTATATACAGATATACATATATGTATCTGTAAAAGAAACATATCTATCTATATCTATATCTAGATATCCAGATGACTAGATGAGATATAGATATCTGTTTCTCTTACAGATAAGGAAGAAAATTCTTCTTTATTCTCTCATTCATTAGTTAATATGAGCAAAAGCCAACATTATATCTTTCTTACTATTGGTCAACCAAATAAATGCATACTTTACATATGGGCCAAATAGATACCTAAGCATACCTTAGGTAAAATCTAAACTTGGAAAACAGAAAATCAGTACATTGTTAGTAAGCAAAGTAAATAAATTTAGTCTTCTATTAACCATTTGAGTTTTTTCTGTGACCATTGCATATTCATTTTCTGCATTGGTCTAATTAGGTGTCACATTCACCCAGTGGGTATTGGAGTGAAAGTATTTATTCAAGGGTAGGTGTGTATGCTCAGTAGCATAAAAATTGCTCTATCAAGAGGGAGGTGTTGGAGAGGTTTAGGCTTTAGAAATTGCAAGGCTTCGCTGGGCACTGTGGCTTACACCTGTAATCCCAGCACTTTGGGATGCCAAGACAGGCAGATCTCTTGAGCTTAGGAATTGGAGACCAGCCTGGGCAACATAGTGAAACCCTGTCTCCCCAAAAAAGTATAAAAATTAGCCAGGCATGGTGTTGTGCACCTGTGGTCCCAGCTACGCGGGAGGTAGCTGAGGTGGGAGGATTGCTGGATCCTGGAAGGCAGAGGCTGCAGTGAGTAAAGATCGCAGCACTGCACTCCAGCCTGGGTGACAGAGCCAGACCCTGCCTCAAAAAAAAAAAAAACAAAAAAAAAACAAAAGAAAAAAATTACAAGGGGCCAGGGGTAAGATGAGCATTTAGTGCTAAGTGTAAGCTGCATATAGGTGAAATAATTTTGCCCAGTCTACTTAGTACTTAAACATCAGATATTTGCTATAAGAAAATTGTCTACTTTAGATCACATGGAATCTTTTCTTGCTGTATTTCATCTCTTTCACCTCCCAGCTTTGCAGAATTTAGGCTTACTTTTATAATAGATTTACAATGTTGATATGAGTTTTGTCAACTTCTTCCCAATCATTTGCTTGTGTGAAAAATCAGGACTTGCCCATGAAATTTCTGAAGTTTGTCTGCTTTTTTGTTATTGGTTGATTTTTTTTTCAGTTTTTTTTCTATCCTATTGGTGGGCTATATATTTACAATAATCACAATATTTATACATTCTGATCTGTAATGCAGTCATATTTTAAAATTTATATAGCATTAGTTTTTATTTTGTCATTTTAATTTTTTAAAGATTTGAAGATTTTGAGAATTAAAAATTTGTAGTTCATCAAAAATATGGTATTTCTCCTGAGAATTCTGACCTAAGACACCTTCTCTGCAGACTGTAACTCTCCTTGTATTTTCTCATCTACTTTTTTTTACTTTTCCCAAACCTTTCCCTCCAATTCAGGCTTCTTTCCTGATTTCTATACTGTCCACTCAACCTTGTGACTTGGCTGTCCCTCAGACAGGTCAGTCTGTCTCACTTAACAGTTAGAACCTATTCCCTACCACCTTGCCCAAATAAGCAAGTAAGTGAATCCTATTCTTTTTCCAGTGTTCTGTGTCTTAGTAAATGACATCATCATTCAGCCAGTCGGTCAAGCCAAGTTATTCTTCCTTTCACCAAAACTAATTGCTATTCAATCTACCTTGCAAACATCTCTAGGACCTATCCAGTGTCTCCACGCTGCTAATCCCGCTCTGATCTAGGTCACATTTACCCCTTACCTAGACCATTCCTCTTGGACAAGCCTAATAACTGGTCTCCTACCTCCATTCTTCCTTTCCTCCAATCTATTTGCCACTTTTTAGCAGTGATTTTTTTTTCTTTTCTTAATGCTAAGTCAGATACTGCTAAAAACTCCTTGATAACATTGCCTTATTGGGATGGAGCCAGCATTCAACTAGTGTGGTGATAAGCTTATCTTTTCTAATTGGGTTGCTTAGGCCAGCATCTGGTCAGATTGATTGGTACAAATGTTCTAAGTTGTTAGTGTTTTGAATGGAACTCTTCTTTCAGACAAAATCCCTTAAACATAATTTCCTGGGCCCTCAATGATCTGGATGCTACCTAAGTGTCCAGCCTCAAATGTCAATGCTTTTCCCCACAAACACTACTTACCACTAAGACCCAAATTCTTTTCACTTCTTGGGTTATGTCAATATCTGTCACCTCCAGTATTGCAATGCTGTACTCTGTGTTTGAAACATCTCCCTACACATGATCCCGTATCTCGATGTATCTAGTTAATGTCTACTCATCCTTAGGCCTAAACATAAATGTGACTTCCAGGACATTCTGTTATGTGCTTCCACAGCATCCATTGTTGCTGTATCTTAGCATCATTACCTTATCTGTCAGATTGTTTTATCTTTGTTTAATTCCCTAGGTTTTTTTTTTTTTTTTTTTTTTAGATGGAGTCTCACTCTTGTTGCCCAGGTGGGGGAGTGCAGTGGCAGGAACTCAGCTCACTGTGACCTCTGCCTCCTGGGTTCAAGTGATTATCTTGCCTCAGCCTCCCAAGTAGCTGGGATTGCAGGTGTGCACCACCACACCTGGCTAATTTTTTGTATTTGTAGTAGAGATGGGGTTTCACCATGTTAGCCAGGCTGGTCTAGAAACTCCTGACCTCAGGTGATCCTCCCACCTCTGCCTCCCAAAGTGCTGGGATTACAGGTGTGAGCCACTGCACCCAGTCTTATTCCATAGGTTCTAGACTCCATGAAAACAAAGATTGCGTCTGCTTGTTACACTGAACAATAGCACAGTAGTTGGCACATAGCAAACACTTAGAAGTGAATAAAATGAATATTTGAATAAAAAGAAACAAATTTGGGGTCAAAGGTCAAATTTTGAATATGCTGATTTGAAAGAGTCTGAATGGTGTTTAGGTGGAGATACCAGAAGGTTTGATGTACAATTCTAAAATTTTAGAACAATAACTGGGTCTTTAAATATAGATTTGGGAGGAAGCATCATTCTGATAAATGTCATTTGAAGCCTGGTGTGCTTATTAATTCTTAGGGTATTGATGTATCACAAGAGAAGAGCAAACATCAGTACCAAGGGAAAGCCAACATTCATCATTAGCTGTGCCCTGCATTTCCCTCTTTGATTTTGTATTATCATGCCCTTTTCCTATCCAAAGGATTCGCTTATATTTTTGTTTATAGTATAAGGAATTTTTTTTTTTTTGAAACGGAGTCTCACTCTTGTCACCCAGGCTGGAGTGCAATGGTGTGATCTTGGCTCACTGCAACCTCCACCTCCTGGGTTCAAGCGATTCTCCTGCCTCAGCCTCCCGAGTAGCTGGGATTACAGGTGTCCACCACCACGCCCAGCTGATTTTGTATTTTAATAGAGATAGGTTTTCACCACGTTGGCCAGGCTGGTCTCGAACTCCTGACTTCAAGTGATCCACTCGCCTCGGCCACCCAATGTGCTGGGATTACAGGCATGAGCCACCGCACCCGGCAGATAGTTTTAATTTAAATTCAGTTAGACAAGTGCATGTGGTACACCCATTATGTGACGCTTCATATTATGTACTAAAAGCATGCTATGCACAAAGTGTAGGTGTACAGTGATGGATAGATCCTGCCCTATGGAACTAACAAATTAGCAAGCGAAATCAACATTTATCAAGTAATTAAAAGTAGTTTAAGTGTTGTGAAGGAAAAGTACAAAGGCTTATGGAAGTGCATATCCAGGATGTTTATAAACCAAGGGAGGTCGAGGCATAAAATTTCTGAAAGCAAGAATGCAGTGTTCCTACATTTTTACTAATATTCCAAGTTCTGAAAACGTGTACTTAAGTAGCAGCTTTTCCTGAGTTTATTCAATTTATTGCATTATCAGTGTAGTATGAATGGGAGTGTGTGATGATTTCCTTCAAATATAAAAGGAAATTTCTTAATGCTGTGTTTTCTTAAGGTAAAAAAAAACAAAAAAAAGACTTTTCGTTTTGTTAAAAGAGTTCCAGGCACATTTTGTAGCAAAGCCACCAATTGGCATGATGTAAATTGTAAGGACAATGTACCTTAGGTAATGTTAAACTCAAGTTTTTTATAGATACTTCATAGAAATGCTTTTTTAAAATGGGACTCAATGAAGGGGAGGTTATCAGGGCGTGTGAGGAAGCCAGCTGTTCATTGAAAAGTAAAAGCATATGCACTGTGCATTCCAAAGTATACTAATGGATAAAAACTGCTTCAAAGTTCTCCACACAAGTATCTAAGTGGCTTTGAAAAGTTAAGTAGATTGGATGTCTTTTCAACCTCTTTCATAAACATACACTTTGAGTATATTTTCTTATGAGAAGTTGTATGTTTAAGAGATATAACCAAAAAGTAGAAAATGAATTTTGCAGGGGGTAAATTATTTGGTGATGAAAGCAGAAGCAGAAGAAAGTCATCTGCTTTTGAGGCACACATTTGGATTAAAAGTTACTTGAATGTTAGTATTTACCTTATATATTTTACTAAATCTAGGAAAGAATAAAGAAAAACAGCTCAATCTCTAGAGTCTTCCTGAAAATGGTGGGGTTAAATCAAGCTCAAGGAACTAGAAGTTCTTTGCTGTGTTCATTAGTGCCAGACTAAAGAAGCCAGTTTAGTTAAGAAGCTAGCTTGCTATGAGCTAATTCTGATACATAGAAGCAGCATTATTTTAAATTCTACATTGCCATCTTAAAAACAAGCAGCTACTTCTTTTTCATTATTTTATAAAGCAATAATATGAGCAATCAATAATATGAGCATGTATATTAACAAAGACATGCTCGATTATATTTAAGTTGGATGTTTCATAAAATTTTACAACAAAAAATATTTAAACCTAAGTAAAATATGCAACTATATAATGAAATTAGAGGTATTATTTTGCACTGCAGTCAGAGATATTTCTTCCATTAATTAAACAGAATACTGCAGCAGTCTGGAAGATTAATTTATTACATTCCTTTGTATTCAGCAAGTGGAACGTGATTTGTATTGTATCTTTAGCAAGTTAATATTTGGCAAGCACAGTTTTTGGAAATCAGGTTTTATCCTGATGTGGAAAAAGAACTCTATGCCAGTACCAGTTATCAGAACTTTCTTTAAGAATAACATTTGCCTTAAGAACATAATTAATGCATCTGTGAAAAATACCACTTTTTTCCAACCCAAGGTACAATGAGATTCACGTATTTTATTCAGTATTTCTAAAACTCTTCAATTGAGGTTTTTATTTTAATTGTGGTACTGTGTATACTTTTTATGCATAACAATATGTTAAAATTAATTCAGTACCAGATTTAAATCTGTTAGGCTATCTGTTATTCCATTTTCTTTCCCAAACCCAATTTAAGTTCCACAGGCCTTTTATAGCTGGCCATGTGGTTGCAATGCTAAGTCAAAATGCTAAGACCTTTTCCCATTTTGGGGCATTATTTCTTTAAATTCGTTGTAGTTTTAAAATCTGATTTTATAGTTATTAATCATATTCTTCTGGGGGTACATATATCTGTACTTAATGGACTAAAGTTTGGAATATTTAAATTTAAATTAAATATGGTAGTGAGATTTGTTCTGAAGAGAAACTGGTTATATTTAGGATATAATGGTGTTTTAAAGGAAGGCATTTTTTGTGTCATATTTGTATCCACACAAACATTACTTATAATTTAGTACTAAATTATAACTCAAGATCCTCTCAGTAAGGAAGTTCTACACCTTTTTCTTGAATAGCCAGCAAGATAAGTACGATTAGGAATTGTTGCTTTATAGCCGTTGCTATGCTGCTGTAAACAACCTATTGTTTCAAAATGTGGCTTTATTTGAAGTCCATTCTTGTTGGTGAGAATTGACTATTAAATATTCCTATTAAAGAATGCCAGTAGATTACAACTGGGAACCTCTCAGTTGGAAACACTTGCCATTTCCTCTTGTTTATTATAGTTTTACAGAATATACAGTCAGATTTTTTTTTCAGTTTCCAACCTTGCTTAAATGCCTTTTTTTATATGTCCTTTTGATCTTCTCCAAAACCAACAACTGGTATTATATGCCTAAAGTATATGTCAGGCTTCATAATGAATTGTATTATTACAACTTTTTTTGTGTCCTACATTGGACACAAGTTAATATTACTTATTGGTTCAGAACAATTCACTTTATTGTATAAAACTGTTTTAGAAAAATCATAATTTTCAAAATATCAAATTATAATAGATACATTATCAGTTAAATACATCATCAATCAGTATTTACTAAATAAACATACTTGGAGCTATTAGCTAGTGCTGAATAATACATAAATTTTATGTGCTATGAACTTAAATGTAGAACAGAAAATACTATTATATACACAATAAAGCACAAAATAGTCTGACAATAGTATCATGATTCATATTTTCTTAAAATAATCTACTTACTGTTTCAAACATTGATATGTTTGGATAGATCTAAACTCTTTTGAGAGGAAATTCTAGTTACTATGTTAGTTCAGATCATTATTAATGGCAAGAACAAATTGCATAAGGGAATTAAACTCCAGTGTTTACGGTAAGCTATTTGGTATTTCAGAAATTCTACCATAGTATCTCTCTCTGTGTATATGTATGTTCTCATTCACCCTCACCGTGAGGTCTCTTTTTTTTTCTTTTTCTTTTTTTTTTTTTTTTTTTTTTCGGAGAGGGAGTCCACCTCTGTTGGCCAGGCTGGAGTGCAGGTGCAGTGGTGCAATCTGGGCTCACTGCAACCTCTGCCTCCCGGGTTCAAGAAACTCTCCTGCCTCAGCCTCCCAAGTAGCTGGGATTACAGGCATCCGCCACGCCACCCAGCTAATTTTAGTATTTTTAGTAGAAACGGGATTTCACCATGTTGGGCCGGCTGGTCTTGAACTCCTGACCTCAAGTGATCCTCCCACCTCAGCCTCCCAAAGTGCTGGGGTTACAGGCGTGAGTCACCATGCCCCGCCCTCATTGTTAGGTTTCTGATCAGCATAGAGGCAAGGTCATTACTGATGACTGTTATCCTGAGATTCTAGCAAGGTGCTTGGTATCATGTAGGTACTGAATAAATAGTTACTGAAAACTAAACAAGGAAAGATTTTAAATAAAAATTTTAAAATTTAGAATTTCTTTAACAAAAATTTAACTAAATCTTGGCTGATGTGAATGATGATAAAGAACAAGAGAAAGAAGAGGAGGAAGAGAAATCCAAACATTACACTGAAATCACCATTATTATTATCCCTATTTTATAGGTAATGAAATGGAGGCTTGGGGAAGTTAGGTAATTTTTCCAAGTCTCAGAAGTAGTAAATTGAAGATCCAGGACTCTAATTACTGTCTGTTTCTCAAGACTAAGTAAACTCTTGTTTATTCTTACATACTTCGTGGAGTAGGGAAGTTGCCAGTGATTTGAAAATGTTATGTATTTATTTTGGGAGGGCGCCATGCAAGTTTATAATGCACTTCTAATTATTATTTTTTCAGTTCAAAAAATGTATATTTTCTAAGCACATACTATCTAGGAAAAAAAGCTTACGGAAATTCTTAGTAACGTAGGGATTAAATATAGCTATGTAAAAATTCACAAAGTGGTCTGTAAACAAGAAAATAGAATTTACTATATTTATTGAAAAGGCAGTAGAAACTGTAATCATGTCTAACTGATAAGAGTAAGTCAGTCAATATACACACATGAGACCAGCACAGAAAGAATTAGAAAAATTAAAGAGGCCTCTTTAGTATGTGACAAGAGCTGGTATAGGTACAATTATATCTTAATACATACCCAGATGGCATATTCCCAGTAGATATTACTAATTTTCCTGAAGTTGATAGATAAATAAAACTCAATTATCAAGACTCTTTCTACTTTTAATATTATCAAAGGTATCTTTCTCTGGACTCTTAAAATTTTTTCACACTGGTATCATCAAGTAGCAGGTCAAAATTTAGGGATAGAGGATGTGTTTCAAGAGAAGAACAAAATTTTTTAACTTTAATTTTTCAATCTCTGTTCCTTTTGACAAAATTAACTGAATTCAGCCTGCCAATTGCTACTTAGACACAAAAAAGAGAAATGAGACATTAGTTATTAAGATTTTGATTTTGATTCCTTTATGTTGTGATTTCCTTTATTTCCTTTAAGTAGTTAAACTGCAACAAAGATTTTTTTCTCTCCAACTGTAAAAAAGTCTTCCATTTTACCACTTATAAAAGTCTTCAACTTAGAGGAAAAGACAGTTCTCTAAACAGTGATTTGGTTTTAGTGCTGTTTTACCTGTCTCCTTATTCTTTTAGTCAGTGTATTCAAAAACACATTTCTTGCAGCCTTTGAAAGCATAGAGCCACACTTAGTTTTCCAGGAAGATGCTTTCTTAATGTGAATTAGCTATTCTTCATCTCACCAGAACATTCTTCAAAGCTGCTGTTCCTGAATTCATGCTTGATACCCATGGGTGGATCCTGATTTGTGAACATTATCTACCTAGGCATGGATGAGGTCTCTCCATGATCACTGATACTGCTCACGGCAATCTGTCTACCATTTGGAAAACAGGCTGGGGCAGAATCTGGAAGGGCAGCCATCAGTGGGAGCAGGAATGATGCTGCCAAGGGTTAGGGGTGGGAAAACATAAACTCTTCTACAATAGCTGTTAGTTATCTCAAATAGTGCCTTACCTTCACTATCAGGCTCTGTCCTGCCTGGTTTCACTGGAGACAATGCCAAATCCTGCTGTGCTTACTTATTACTTTGTTTTTGCATTGCTATAAAGGAATACCTAAGACTGGGTAGTTTATAAAGAAAATAGGCTTAATTGGCTTATGGTTCTGCAGGCTGTACAGGAAGCATGATGCTGGCATTTGCTCACCTTCTGGTGATGCCTCAGGAAGCTTGCAATCTTGGTGGAAGGGGGCGCTGGTGTGTCATATGGCCAGAGTGTGAGCAAGAGAGGGAAGGGAGAGGTCTCAGACTCCTTTAAACAACCAGCTCTAGCATGAACTAACAGGAAAATCTCACTTCTTACCGAAGGATGGTGCTAAGCCATTCATGAGGGATCTGGTCCCATGACCCATTCATCTCCCGCCAGCTCCCACCTCTAACATTGGGAATCACATTTCAACATGAGATTTGGAGGAGACACAGATCCAAACCATATCAGATTACAAACACTGTGCGTGTAAGCAAAATTGTTTCTGCTGGTCTGAGCCACTTGAGCCCTTTCCCACTAGTCACATGGAGCACCTCTTCTTGTCCCCCGTCTCCACTGCTGCTTCCTTCCTACAGCCCCTGCCCTGCCACAGCCCTTGGAACCACATCGGGTGCTGGTTATCTCCTGTCAATTCTTGTTACATTTGACTTCCCGAAGACATGTGGCCCTGTGACCACACACACCTGTTTGAAGCTCTCCCCTCTTTCTCTGGCACCCGTTGGCTTGACAGTCTCCCCTCCTGATGCTCCATCATTGTTATGCTTCTTCCCAGACATATTCACTAGTTCCTTTGCCTCTTCCCACCTCATAGATGTTCCTGTGCCCCAGGTTTCTATTCTTAGACATTTTCTCTTTTCATTTAGAGTGCTCATCAAGTAATCTCATCAATGTCCAAGACTCCAATTACAGCTTAAATGTTCATGACTTTTCAATGGCTCTCCTAAACTCTAGACACACATATGTGACTGCCTACTAGACCTAAATTCTTAGGTACACCTTCCTACCATCTACATTATTGCAGAGCTTAAATAATCAAATTATAAATTATACAAATATAAAAAATAAGTAATTTTATAAATTTATTAAAAATTGCTTTTTAAAACCACTTTGTATGTCTTCTGTAGTGCTAGTTCTTAATATAGATTCCATAGATGTCTTAAAAGATAGAAAAATTGTAGCTTATGAAGACACTGCAGAATTCTCTCTTAAAATAGGTATATATAGTGCAAAGGATTACTGCCATTGCAATATTTCACCTAATCAAAGATTTTATCCAACGTGTATAAACGGGTATCTTTTTAGATAAGAAACTGGTCAAAATCATAATAGTGGCATATGTTGAGGTCACATAGTGAAGTTATCTATGCAGATCAGACAGTATTGTGGAGAATACCTAGAATCTTGAGAATTTACACAAATAGTAATAACTTAGATCTGTATAGCAAATAATATACATATCAGATTCATTTAGTTTATGTAATCTTTATAATCTGAGAATAATGAGTCAAGTGTTATCCTTAGTTTACTGATTATCAAAGAAAAATACAGCTTGGAGAAGTCAAATGAATTTTCCAAATTTATGCTACTTATAAATGGGAGAGCTAATAAAAGCCACCTGTCTGGGTATAACCCTGTACCTATTTCTTCTAAAGCATATTGTTTTCTAAAGAAAGTAGTTACATTTTAAATGAATATATAAGGAATACATCTTGAATGAAGACAATATGCATTTTATAATTTACATATTTCTGTATTTCATTATTCAGAATTCATTTAAAAAGTCTCCTTGTTGGCATGGACAAAATTGGCAGCTAATCCTATCCCATAAATATTTTCAATGGTCTTCAGCTGATGGCGTGAAAGTTCAGCAAAGGCCAAGTCACAATGCTTTGAAGTTTGTCATCTTTTTTATCACTGCTCAGATTGTCATGAAGACACCAAGTAATACATGGATCAATTATAGTTAAATGACTGCAAGTTGATCTTATCAAGCAGTTAGTGGGCAAGATTTCACTTTTACCATTTTTTCTGGTAATGATTTAGAGTGTAAGAACACTAGGAATTTAAATCTACTTAGTTTTACTTAATCAATGATGTATTTGTTTATTTAATTTAAAACATTGTTTTTGGAGAAGGAAGAGAACACAAGAAGTTCTTGATCCATAAATAAGGCGTTCAGAAGGAGACCAGTTAAACTAAATTTTGACTGTAATTCAGAATTGTGTAAAATGCCCTACTTTATTTTAAGCTCATTATTTTCATAATTCCTTTACCAAGATAGCAGAAACATGGCTTTATCTATTAAATTATAAATGTAGTTTTTTTTGTTTTAAACATAATCAATTTATAAGAGATCTAAGACATATAAAACTACATTGAGGTAGAAATTTAATAAAAATTAACTTTACATCTATGTAACTTACGTCTATGTATTCAGTTTATTTAAAGTAGGTCATAACCAAGTATTTCTGGGTTGTGTGGCCAATAGCTTTGCTCCTAAATCACAAAGATGTTTCTGTGTGTGACACTTTTTAAATCCCTGGAATATTTTAAATGTTCATTTCAAATAATCTATAACTTTGAAACAGTTCTTTTTTCTTGAACACATTGTTCTGTCACGTCTAATAGGATAACCAATTAGTTGGTTATCCTAATTCTAATATGCTTCATAACTAGTGACATAAGATAAACATATGGAGTATTTATTACTCTGATAAAAGATACTGGTTAGGAGCAAGACAGTTTTTACTTTGTAATCATAAAAACATAGCGTCCTGCGTACACTAGGCAGCTACTTATATAGAGCTAATCTCACTCTTTTTCGGACTCCAATATTTACCATAAAAGTGCTTTACAGCATCTATATAATTTTTTCTTCTTTTTGTCCCTTCTTTGTAGTTATTTGAAATTACAGTGCCTCTCTCTCAAGGCCCCAAACCAGTAACAATCAGTTTTGCCAATCACACTTCCTGCCGATGCATGTCTAAACTGGATGTTTACAGACAAGTTCATTCCATTATTAGACGTTCCCTGCCAGCAACACTACCACAGTGAGTATGAATTAAATCTATTTTTTCTGCATCCTCTACTAATATTAAATTATTTTCAAGTAAACATAAGTTAAACAAATAACCTCTGTGAAATTTACTGTAATATACTCTGCTTCAAATACAAAACAAAGACAAAATTTTGTATAGTATACAATGAAAATAAACTGAAAATTAAAATTCAGTGGGAAGCGTATTTTAGAGGCAAAGTAATTCACAATATAAAAGAAGTATGTCTGTGAAATAAAACACATTCCACCAGTGTTCATAAAATATCAGTAAGGTAGCTTAATTGATTTAACATTCCTGAAATCAGGTATGCTAACTCATAAATCATATTAAAGTTCAAAACATTTCAGCCTTGATAAGATTTTAGGCCAAAACAAAAAGTAAATATAAATAATTTTATATCTATTAGCATTCAGTTGCTTTCTTCAATCTCAAACATAAAAATATATATGTGTGTGTGTGTATATGTGTATATATGTATCTCCATGTTTCTTATTTCAGCAATATTTGAATAGTGAAATAGTGCTTAATTACTTGAAAAAAATTTCTGTTAATATCATTTCAAATTGACATTCAAACCATTATTTGTTATTCAGGTTTCCTTTCCATCCTATTTTTTTGGAGGGGCAAATGGCAGCATATACCTCATGTGATCATATAGGAGAACTTATCACGTTCTCCTGTATGATCATGTTCTGACCCTGTGAATAGCTGATAATGAATTAATATGCATTACTGCCTAAGATCTGAGAGTTTTCTGCCCCAAAGTAGGGATGCAACCCTTTGTTCCTTAGGATATCCGGTGCATATGGATGAAACTTACATAACTCTAGCATTTGTAACAAATGTATAAATAAATTGATCAAAATACATATATATTACAAAAAAGAAAACCTTACATTTTTAAAAGACTCAACAATAAATGTAATATGCAAACCATGGTTTTCCCCACTGAATCACGTTGTACTACTCTGCTTAGTGTGGCAGATAGGGGGACCCCTTGTTTGTCCAGGGACAGTTTAGGAAAACCTGGAAGATAGCCTAATTTGAGTGACAGAGATCTGTCCCCTTTTATGTGAGAAAGCAAAGATCTTACAGACATTTGTGAATAAATGTATGCTAATACAAGCAAGAGACCACTACCATCTGAACTCAAGAGGATGCCGTATGTGCAATTTCATCCCCGCAGGCTAGAGAGTTCTGTTCACCTTCCTCAGCCCTGAGCAGAAGCCCTCAGTGACTCCTCCATTCTGAGAGCTTTAGCCATTATCTCCATACTCATGGCTTCCAAAATGACATTTGAAGATCTAACCATATTTTTGACTTATAATATTTTATCTAAATCTATCTTCTATTGCTTTGCTTGTAATTATATTAGCTGTAAGTACAAAGAGAAAGACTTGTTAAATCCTTTATTTCTACATTATTCATGGCAGTGTTTTCTCATTTTCTTTGAGGCCTTGAAATCACAGAGTTGTCATTACTTCTTCTTCTTCTTCTATCCCATCTAAACACAATTGATTATTTTGGAGGAGGGGGAGATATGTGTTCCAAGCTAAACTTATATTTCATTTCCATCACTGCCATTATCATCCACTTCATTATGCATGTCTCTGATCTAATGCAGTGATATTAATACTAGTTTTCAAGCATCAAGTCTTTCTCCTGTTGTATAATGTCACTGTTTTATGAAGTAAGCTTTAAAAGGCATCGTTTCATTCATCTCACCAGAAACAGTGACTTTCAGTTGCTCAAAGAACTGAGCACAAATTTCTCACCACCCTATTCTGGTGTCAGCCTTCCTTTCTTGTTTTGTCTTCCATTATTCACCCAGTCTGTGTTTCACCAAGTCCGATTCCCAGAACGCCAAGCTCATTTCCTGCTCTGTATCTTGTTTCTATTCTGGCCCTGGCTTGTGTTCTGCCTTTCCAAAGCCCTCTCCATTTCTCAGAGTTCAGGTAAAGGTCTTTCTCCTGCATTTGTCTTGTCCGAATACCACGGCCAACTTTGCTTCTTGAATACCCATAGCACTCACTGGATTAACTTCATCCTCACATGGCTTTATCAGGGTCTGCAAATGTTGCATGTGGAACTGGATTATGAGAGTGTTTCCAGTAAGTTTATATTGTCTGCAACATTCAGCTAACAACACTCAAAAATACTTGAGCCATTCCTGTGCTCTCAGCCCCTTTACCTGCATTGTCTGATTTAACCCTTAACAAAATCATCTAGAAGGTCAGCAGCAGCATTTGCCTTATTTTACAGATAAAGGTGGAAATCACACTCCAAAGCTGTTGGCTAAATAATGTACATAAATGCTTGTTAAATAAAATGACTCATTTCCTGGATGTATTTTATAGCATTTGCCATGTTTTCATCATTACTTATTCATATAACTACTATCCTATACACTGTTTGAGGTCAAGAAGAGACAGGAAGCTACAGCAAAAAGAGCCTGAGTCTTAGAGTAAGCCATACCTGATTCTGAATTCAGATTTGCCACTAATTCATTCTCTGTGATCAGGTAGGTGTTTTATGTCTCTGAAACTCAGTTTACTTATATATAAACTGTAAAGATGTAAAGAGGATTGAATGAAGTACTGAATGCTTATGCAATGCTTAGCAGAGTGTCTGGTATCCAGAAGGTAGTCATTAAAGGGCAAATTTATTATTACCATTAATATCTAAGTCTGATTCATTTCCTCACCCATGTGTTTTTCAGTATTTTTAAAACCACTATCTACAGTAAGAAAAACATTTTATATTCCAAACCAGGATGTGTGGTATACACACACATAGTGTGTCTCTGTGTATATATATATGTCGATATTAGAGAATTTTAAATTAGCTAGATAACTTCACATGTAATTAATTATGTATAAGCATAAAACTAAAACAAATTACCATTTAAAAATATTGTCCTTAATTATGGTGCTGCTCAAGCTTTCTCATTATCACAACCCCAAGGATCCTTTTATAAACATTTTTTCCCTAATCACTTTCCCCATAAAATTTTAATGTAACAAATATACTCTGTCTTTATACTATATGTATCTCTGTGCTTTATACATAAAAAGGAAGTGTAAAGTTTACTTTTTTGTTCAATGTAGTGTTAAATAACAAATAAAATGTTTAAGTTAACATTTAAATTAAAAATTTTTAATCTCTTAACAGCTAACATAAATTTATAATTGTATTTGCCAGGAAACTTTTAAGGTAATCTGTTTACTTATATAAATTGTAATATATCAAATTACATATGCAAAGTAACAATTGATATGAATATATAATACAAATATAATAATTTATAAAAACATTCAAAATCACTATTTTTCCAGCAAAAGTAAAATAATTTTTAAAATAACTTCTTTAAAAATATTTGGAGAGCTTAACTATTAACTTTGCTCAGTATGAGAAAACTTTTAACTTATATAGATGATAAATATTAATTTAGATATTGTCAACTTTTTCTTTTCATCATTTGACATGTAATGGTATGACTAACATTTGTAGAATTAATAATAAAATATAAATTATTATTATTTAATTCTCAAAGCTCAAGTCACACATGAAAACACCAAGGACCAAGCATAAGCAATATCCACAGGGCAACCAATGGCAGCCAATAGGCCCACATAGGTACCACTCAGTATATGTTTGAAATCACTCAGTCAATTAAGAGAAAATCCTCCAGTCATAGCCATCTAGTCACCATAATTTCATAGCTCATATATTGCAAACACTTGGGGTGTGTTCCGTTGCCAATGCTGTTCATGTAATGGCCAATAAAACCAAATAGAATTTAAGTATTAAGGAATATTATTTTCTTGGGTTTTGGAGAGCCAAAAATCATTGAGATATTAAGATTTTAGCCCCATCCAGGCCTCATACCCAATTTTTACCCCCTTAGAGATGATTTTACTCCCTTTATGAATATTTGCCTTATTATTACGTGTGATATACCCAAATAATTTTTCTATTCTGTTTTTCTTTGTGAAAATATTGGTCTCAACCCTTTATGAATTATGGCCCACAATTCAATAAAAGCTACACTAGTGATAATATATATATGATGGACATGTGACTATGTTATAAAATTCTAACATTTGTTAAGATTTAAGAGGAACAATCACCACCACGGTGGCTAAAATTAAAAACACTGACAAAAACAAGTGTTAGAATGTGGTGCAACCAAAACTCCTATGTCACCAATGGGCATTAAAATTGTTCAATCATTTTTCAAAACAGTTGACAGTTTCTTATGAATTTAACATGTACATATTTCCACACAATAACTTGTGTACAAATGTTCTTTATTAGTCAATAACTGGAAACAACTCAAATGCCCATGAAAGATGAGTGGATTAACACATCTTAGTATATGCATACAGTGGAACATTGCTGAGCAATGTAAAAAGAATGAACTACTGATACACACAAGAACATAAAAGGATCTCAGAGACATTAAGTTGAGTGAAATAAGCTTGGCTAAAAAGAGTACATTCTCTATGATTTGATTTACATGAGGCCCTTAAAAGACGCAAATGTACTCTAGAGTGAGAGAACGCAATTCAGTGTTTGTTTGAGGATTTGGATCAGGATTGACTGACAATGGGCAAGAGAGACATTGTGAGGTGTTAGAAACATTCTTTATTTTGATTGTGACAGTAGTTAATGTGGATACATAAACTTACGAAAAGATGATAAATTCAAAATAGGAGCATGTTATTGTATGCAAATTATTCCCCAATAAAATTGATTTTTGAAAAGCCTAGAAAAGAATTCCTTTATTAAGTACAATTTTTTAAGTAGCTTAGGTTTCAAATAGTAGATTTCTCTTTTTTTTTTTTTTTTTTTTTTTTTTTTTGAGACAGATTCTCACTCTATCACCCAGGCTGGAGTACAATGACGTGATCTCAGCTCACTGCAACCTCCTCCTCCTGGGTTCAAGCAATTCTCTGCCTCATCCTCCCGAGTAGCTGTGATTACAGTTGCCCGCCACCATGCCTGGTTAATTTTTGTATTTTTAGTAGAGATGGGGTTTCACCATTCTGGCCAGGCTGGTCTTGAACTCCTGACCTTGTGATCTACCCGCCTCGGCCTCCCAAAGTGCTGGGATTGCAGGCATGAGCCACCACGCCCAGCCAAAATAGTAGATTTTTTAAAACCTTTACAATAACATTTTAAGTCAAATCTTTGATTAGGGAGGGAGATTTCCCACAGTCATCCAAAAACTATACGTTGAGTCACTAAGATAAAGAATGCTTCTAGATCCTATTAGAGAAAACAAAGATGCGCTTGGCTGGCTCTGAACTTAGAGCACTTATAGTCAAGTAAGAACAACACATATTATAGTTACATTATTATTGTTTTATTTTACTAAATATTACAAAGCACCAAGCATCTGCCACACATTGTCTCATGTTCATACAAATACTGCCGGTGGCTCCATTCGTAATACACATCACATAGTACAAGGCTGAAGAGTGTGGATGCTGTAGGGAGCTTCCAGTTTTGAGAATTTAGTCTCTGATTTCTCTTTGAGTTTGAGTAGGTTCTGTAAACTTTCTTGTGACACATTTTTTTTAATCTACAAAAGAGCACATAAGTAAGAATGTTACATATAACATCATACAGAATATTTATAAGCTAATCTTCACTGAAATCAATCTGTTCAATAGCATTATACCATATTTGACATACCATAGCCATGTTAATCTGATATTGTAGAATAGCATAGTATAATAATAATAACTCCTAACTCAAGGATGTTGTGATCTTTATAACCAGCAATCCATGTTAAATATTAGCACAGTGCCTAAAACATATTAAGCATTCAATAAATGATCGCTACTATTTTTACTAACATCCTACAGATTTGGAAATTGAGTCTTAGAAATGTTAATGTGTAAAATGCTAAAGAGCCAAAAAAACTGCCAGGAAAATATAAAAATTAAAATCATTTTATTTCTGAAACCCATGTGTTCCCCCCAATATCTTCTAACATTTCTAGTATTTACAGAAAAACTTTCAAGTCTCAATATCAGAAAGTTTCATAAAAGCCAGAGGAAGTAGCAATTCTCTTTAGCAGACAGAGTTAGATACCAATTTTCATATTGGTGTTCTCACAGATTATTTTTTCCAATTATTTCCTCTCATATTTTCTTCAAATTTAACTCCATGTATTTCCATGGGCCCTTTAGTAGAGACTTTCTTTTCATGGAGGGAGTCATTTGTGATTAAGTAGCGATCCCCTAGATTTTCCTCCTTGGTAGTAGTGTTTGTTTATTCATTCATGAGACATTTATGTCAGGTCTTCTATCTCTATAATACTGTATTAGGAAATGTGGGGTATTTTTAAATGAATAATATAATTCTTTAGCTAAAATAACTCATGTACTAGAGTACAAACAAACAATATTTCTAGTATAGTAAGTGTCTAAAACACTATGCTGTACTTCATTCACTCATTCAACAAATAGCATTTGTGTTTCTGCTAGATACTAATAAGGTGGTTAGACCACAGAGATAGAAAGATACATAGAATTGTTACTCCAGAAGAAATTCCATTCTTGAACCAGACATGTAAACATATGACTGAAATCAGTGAAATCAGTGTGGTGAGGAAGCATCTTGGAGACATGGCTACAGTAGAGAGGGGATACATGAGTCTGGAGAGGTCAACAGAATCACATATGCCCAGCCAAGGATGGGCTGTTTCTTAAAGTCTCTTGAGAACTACTAAAAGTATATATGCAGAGATGTGGTATCTGCAGTTTTGTATTATAGAAAGAACAGCTTGGTGGCAAGGGAGTGTGTGGATTAGAGGAAGCAAAACGGGAGGTGGAAAAATTCGGGAGTAATCATTTGAAATAATCTGAGTGAAAAATAATAAAGATGGTGGCCACAGCAGTGGATATGGGGATAGAAAGAAAAGAGGTGGAAAAGACGTTTGAAATACAAGAAAGCATATGACTTGGGAACCGCATATGGGGGATGGTAAAGTGGGAGAAGTTGAGGATGAAACTGTATGGATGACATTCAAAAGACAAGGAGCACCTGTTCATAGTAGGAACTTACCTGAAAAGGAGAACTGAGTTTTTAACACATGTTAGCTTGAGTGCTTGTAATATTTGTAAGACATCAGAGTGGTAGAGTAATTGGAAGAGATGACCTCAACCAAAAGAAATATAGCAAGTAAGAAGACAAGATGAGCCACAGATGAAACTGTGGGGAAATCAATATTTAAGAAACAGTTATCTGTAGAGCAGACACAATAATCTGGAGAAACAGTAATCTGTACGGGAGACTGAGAAGAAGCAATCAGAACAATCGGAATAACAACAGAGAGAGAGACCACAAAAGCCAGTGGAGACATGAGTTCAAGGAAGGAGGAAGTGGTAAGAGGTGCCAAATATTAGAAAGGTTCAAGAATAACTGGGACTTACTCTGTTAGCTGAACAGCATGAAATAGAGATGTTTATTTACTAATAACTTACCATACTCTGGGCACAGAGAGGGAGAATGTGTTTTGAGAAAGGGGGAGAGAAAGCAAGACAGTGAAAGAAATTCACATTTACACATGAGAAACTGAATCAGAAAGGGTAAGTAAATTTCCCCAATGTCACACAACTAGAAAAGTAGCAAAGCAGAGATTCAAACTAAATTTGTTTGGATATAATCCATTTCTTTTGAGGTGTGGCTATGACTGCATTTTTATTGTTTTTTAGTTGATACATAATTGTACATATTTATGGGGTATATGTGATATTTTGATACATACATATAATGCGTAATGGTCAGCTCAGGATATTTTGGATATCCATCACCTCAAACATTTATCATTTCTTTGTGTTGTAAACATTTTAAATCTTCTAGCTATTTTGAAATATATAATAAAATATTATTAACTATTGTTACCCTACTGTGCTGTGGAATACTAGAACTTGTTTCTTCTATATAACTGTACTTTGGAATGCATTACCAACCTCTCTTCATTCCCCCCACAACTGACCCACACTTCCCAGACTCTAGTAACCATCATTCTACTCTCTACTTCCGTGAGATTCACTTTTTGGCTCTCATAAATGAGTGAGAACATGAGATATGTGTCTTTCTGTGCCCAGCTTATTTCACTTAACATAATAGCCTCCAGTTCCCTCCATGTTGATGCAAATGACAGGATTGCATTCTTTTTATGGCTAAATAGTACTCCGTTGTGTATATATAACAGATTTTCTTTATTTTTAACTTCTATAAATTAAAAAATATCAAACATCAAGGACAAAACAAAAACAAAACAAAAAAGTTCCCTTCTACCCCAATTTGAAATGTAACAACTATTTTTTTGTATTTACTAAAGATACAACCCAAATCCCCAGTCATCATTCTTCACTCTTCATTCCCAGAAGTAACCACCACTCAAAAATTGTATTATTCTCACTCTTCTGTATTTTTATGGCATCTGGATTTATTAACATACCAGAAGATATTATACAGTGCAGCTTTGAGTGTTTTGTATTTTAAGTTAAAATGTTGGCATTACTTTTTTTCTCTTGACATTATGTTTTACAGATATAGTCATATTGCTATCTGTACACCTGGTGTATTCATTTAATAACTATATAGCATTCCATTAAATAAACACAAGTTTTTATGTTTTTTTTATTCTGTGACGATGTACTATAGGGAAGTCAATATACACTACAGATTAGCAAGAGAGTACAATCAAAGAGGAGAGAGTGATGTCAAATAGACAAGGACCTTGAAGTTAATAGTGCTAAATTTATTAGTTATTTGGTTAGCATGGACAATGTCCCTAAAGATGTAATAAAATAACACGTTCTGTGCACAGTTAATAAACCAGGTTGATTTCAGTCTTAAGCTGTGAAAGCAATTGGATATTAAATGAAAACACAATACTGTGATTCTAAAGCTTTGAGCAGCAGCCTAGGGAATTTCACCTATTCTGTAGAGGTATTAGGGGAGCAGAGGTTGTTTCTGGGTAGAGGAATGATTGACAAGACAATGTTCAGCATAGCCAAGAAATCTTGAATTATTTTTAATGGATAATAAATATAGAAGATAGGTATTATTTCAATTTGGAAGACAGTCGCCTCGTGGTGAAAAAGAGAAAAGGGATGAAAAAAGATGAGGAAAAAAAATGGATAAATCTAGCCTGAAGGCTAATTTGCATATTTATTTATTTGCTGTCTTTTATTTCTTTTATTAAAATGTTGACATTGTTTACTCAGTAAAACTTATTTGCTTGCAAGAAGTTACACTTACTAGGGTTTATTTAAGAAGATTTTATTCTTATGAGAACATGTCTTATTTCCAAGGAATAGAGTAAGTAGATTTATAGCCAAGGAAACATTTGATTTGGAACTTGAGGTCTCCGTGTTTTTGGTCTATTAATATTTAACAGATCCTCAGTCCAAATGCCTAGATGCTTAAATATCCATAAGTTGTACTTTTAGCCATAATGCTTCACTCTTTCCTTTTTAATTTGAAGGTTATACATTATTGCTTTACCAAAAGACAATGAAGCAAAATAGCCTAATAACATAAATTTAATAAACTGTATCAGAGCAGAAATGGAGAGATAGCTTAGCTTCCAGTTAATTGGACCACAGTCTCGTACTAGATCATCAGAAACTACTGTTTTTCAGCATTTTAAAACATGCATCTTTAGTCTCCCCTGAAATTATCCTCTTTGCCAGTTCAAAATCTTTATGTCCATATACGGTTATTTTTGAAATCGTAAGTCATATGTCTGTTCATCCCCTTTCCTATAAAGCTCATTATCTAAACATTGTCTCACACTTCAAAGGATCACCTGTTGATGTGAATGGATTTACCAGTGGAACTCAGGCAAGAGATTCCAGGCTGTGAGCGTTACTGTTTTTGTAAAGGGAAGGTAACTTTTATATATAGTTTGCCTGCCTTTGGACAGTCTTGTTTCTACCTTCTAAAATACGATAATTGAAAGCACAGCGTTCCTATGGCTTGCTGATAGATTGTGAGAAATAACAGCAAAATATATACAGCTGAGGAGATTGCATCAATACATCTCTGCACCGAAATTATGGCAGTGATTTGCCTAGAATTGGGGGCTATTAGATCAAAGATTGTCCTAAAGTTTAAAGTTACATTCAACCAAACACATGGACAATTTTTGTTAATATCATATTAGACCAGATTTACCAGTTGTTTTCTAAAATTTAATATACATTTTTTAACCATTTTAGGTTACAGAAAAAGCAGAAAGTATAGAGAGTTTTCATATAACATCCTCTTTCACGAGTTTCCTCTAGTTTTAACATCTTGCATTAGCATGGTACATTTGTAACAGTTGAGGAGCCGATACTGACATGTGATCGTTAACTAAAATCCATAGCTTACATTAGGGTTCCCTCTTTTTTGGGTGTAAGTTCTGTGGATTTTGACAAAGGTATAAATGATGTGTCAATCATTACAGTATCATGCAGAATACTTTTACTGCCCTAAAAGTCTCCGTGTTCCGCCTGTTCATTTCTCCTCCCCTGTATTCCTGGCATCAACCAGCCACTTTGATGTCATATCAACTCTTATACCCTCATAACGTGTTTTTTATTGTCATCATTGTTTTGTTTTTGTTTTTCTGTTAATGACGTATGGCTGTGACAAGGTAATGAGACCAGCGGCTGTTGTTGGAGGACCTTTTTTCTTAATTCCTGGTTACTTATCCTTGAATTATGTGACAAGCTGATAAATCCAATAACCATGGATTTTCCATTGTTTCAACCTGCCAATACTTCTCTCAAGCTTGTATATCCAAGAAAATATAAAAAATAGTAGAGCAGAAAATTACAAGCTTCCATACTTATCCTACTCTCCCTGTGTCCCCATCCCCACTTCTGGTGGCTTTCCAACTCAGTTAAGTCCTGTACTTAGCCAGTTGGTGACCACACAATGTGACATGTTTTATATCCAAGTCAGTCTCAGACTAGGTGAGTTTTTTATGTGGCAGATTACTGCTTAGTTTATACTCAGACAAAAAGGAAAAAATTAAACATATAAACACCCTTTTTTTTTTTTCGAGAGTCTCATGCTGTTGCCCAGGCTAGAGTGCAGTGGCGTGATCTCAGCTCACTGCATCCTCTGCCTCCCGGGTTCCAGCGATTCTCCTGCCTCAGCCTCCTGAGTAACTGGGATTACAAGCACGTGCCACCACACCTGGCTAATTTGTATATTTTTAGTAGAGATGGGGTTTCGCCATATTGGCCAGGCTTGTCTCAAACTCCTGACCTCAGGTGATCTGCCCATCTCGACCTCCCAAAATGCTGGGATTACAGGCGTAAGCCACCGTGCCCAGCCTAAACCCATGTTTTAAATTAATGCAATGATTGTATTAGCCTTTCAAACATTAAGACTGGCAAAATTGTTACAACTATGGAGTTTTCATTGATTCATCCTACTCACCATCTTTTCCTTTAATATCTGAACAAACCCCAACTCTGTTCACTGTTCTCCCTGTGAGTAGACTAATGGAACAAGAGCAAACAGTAACACAAACAGACGCTAACACAAGTTCATGCAGAATCAATAAAAATCAGTACAACAGAAGATAAGTCTATGTGTTTTTGATACATACGATTAAGCATGTGCCTTTTTAACAATTTATATAAAACCTAAAATATATGTATTTCTGATTTTTACCTGTAGTACTGAAGAAGTTACTTAATAACGTTGAATATAAAGGCCACTTTTACTTAACCACCTTCCATTCACTATTAACTGCTGTTTCCAAAGTGTAAGCAAATCAGTCTCTGTGTACATAGTCAAGTGTATACAAGCGTCAGGCGTAACAAACTCAAGATGAACATGACAGTTCAAAGATATTTGGGACAAAATTGTTGAAGCATTTTTACCCAGGGCTCTGTAGCTCTGACAATGAAAGAATATAGTTGCTCTTCCAGCTGCTATTCAGACAGAAAGCTTGGGCAAGAAGGGTCTGTATCTATGTTCTTCATAATACAATTACAAGTTTGAACTTCAGATAACATCAGCAGTTGGCATGTGGAAAACCAAAACCCTATTTTGGTATTTATCAAGATTGTTAATGGAGTCAGGTTTCCCTTATTTGTTTCTTTAATGGGGTACAGAACATCCTGTTGGATAACCCGCTGAGTGACATGACGATGCTCTGAAGGAATGCATGAGAGCTTGTGGTACCTGCCTTGAAACATGGGTTTCACTAATGCTGGTGGCTCACACTTCCCATTGAACAAGACTAGAGATAGGAAGGCTATTTGAGGGACACAGCTATGGAACCATAGGTGCCACATGGTAAGCCAAATTTTTATTTGTTGTGTTGTTGTGAAAAACCTTATTAAAAGAGCTTCCAATGAGAGTACTTGATTAATAACACAGTTCGTATCTATAGAAATAATTTGCTTTTCAAGAAAATCATCATGTGCTACAGTTGAATTGACATTAATGTTATCATTCATTTTGAATGATCTGTGAAGTATTTTAAGAGAGATCTGGGGAAGTAAATCAATAAGTAGTTTAACATAAATCAAGGTGCAGTTAATTTTTTTCAATTAGAAATATATTACAAAGATTCTGTCATTTCCAACAACGTGAAATAACCTGGAGGAAATTGTGCTGAGTGAAATAAGCCAGACACAGAAAGATGCATATTACTGATCTCCCTTATATATGGAATCTAGAAAAGTAGAATTCATAGATACAGAATAGAAGAGTGGTCACCACGGTCTTGGGGGTGGGGGACATGGGGAAATGTTAGAGTGTGACAACTTGCAGTTACAAGGTGAATATGCTCTGGAGACCTAACGTATAGTACAGCATAGTTACTCTACTCAATAGTATTCTCACTGCACCCCCCAACTCCCCCACACACACAGTAACTCTTTGAGGTGTGGATATGTTAATTAGCTTGATTTTGGTAATCATTTCACAGTGTATACATATACCAAAACATCACTTTGTATACCTTATATATGTACAATATTTATCAATCATACTTCAATAAAGCTGGAAAAATGCATGAATATTATATATATGTATATGTATATACAAATGTATAAGAGATTATAGCAGATTATAGCTCTTTGAAAAAGAATAACATTTCAGCCCAGTTCTGACTAAGACCAAACAAAAGGTGATAGCATGTTTTAGTTCCTTAAATGTGGATTTGAGGAGTCAAGAAATCTCCAAGTGTAGGAAAACCTCCGTGGCAAAGAGTGTAGAATATGAGAATCACAAAAATAGCATGCACAAAATAGCCTGCTGTGATGTTGAAAGTATAAGAGCTAGTAATTATTATTATTATTATTATTTTTATTTTTATTATTATACTTTAAGTTTTAGGGTACATGTGCACATTGTGCAGGTTAGTTACATATGTATACATGTGCCATGCTGGTGTGCTGCACCCACTAACTTGTCATCTACCATTAGGTATATCTCCCAATGCTATCCCTCCCCCTCCCTCCACCCCACAACAGTCCCCAGAGTGTGATGTTCCCCTTCCTGTGTCCATGTGATCTCATTGTTCAATTCCCACCTATGAGTGAGAATATGCGGTGTTTGGTTTTTTGTTCTTGTGATAGTTTACTGAGAATGATGACTTCCAATTTCATCCATGTCCCTACAAAGGACATGAACTCATCATTTTTTATGGCTGCATAGTATTCCATGGTGTATATGTGCCACATTTTCTTAATCCAGTCTATCATTGTTGGACATTTGGGTTGGTTCCAAGTCTTTGCTATCGTGAATAATGCCGCAATAAACATACGTGTGCATGTGTCTTTATAGCAGCATGATTTATAGTTCTTTGGGTATATACCCAGTAATGGGATGGCTGGGTCAAATGGTATTTCCAGTTCTAGATCCCTGAGGAATCGCCACACTGACTTCCACAATGGTTGAACTAGTTTACAGTCCCACCAACAGTGTAAAAGTGTTCCTATTTCTCCACATCCTCTCCAGCACCTGTTGTTTCCTGACTTTTGAATGATTGCCATTCTACGTGGTGTGAGATGGTATCTCATTGTAGTTTTGATTTGCATTTCTCTGATGACCAGTGATGGTGAGCATTTTTTCATGTGTTTTTTGGCTGCATAAATGTCTTCTTTTGAGAAGTGTCTGTTCATGTCCTTCGCCCACTTTTTGATGGGGTTGTTTGTTTTTTTCTTGTAAATTTGTTTGAGTTCATTGTAGATTCTGGATATTAGCCCTTTGTCAGATGAGTAGGTTGTGAAAATTTTCTCCCATTTTGTAGGTTGCCTGTTCACTCTGATGGTAGTTTCTTTTGCTGTGCAGAAGCTCTTTAGTTTAATTAGATCCCATTTATCAATTTTGTCTTTTGTTGCCATTGCTTTTGGTGTTTTAGACGTGAAGTCCTTGCCCATGCCTATGTCCTGAATGGTAATGCCTAGGTTTTCTTCTAGGGTTTTTATGGTTTTAGGTCTAACGTTTAAGTCTTTAATCCATCTTGAACTGATTTTTGTATAAGGTGTAAGGAAGGGATCCAGTTTCAGCTTTCTACATATGGCTAGCCAGTTTTCCCAGCACCATTTATTAAATAGGGCATCCTTTCCCCATTGCTTGTTTTTCTCAGGTTTGTCAAAGATCAGATTGTTGTAGATATGCGGCGTTATTTCTGAGGGCTCTGTTCTGTTCCATTGATCTATATCTCTGTTTTGAACCAGTACCATGCTGTTTTGGTTACTGTAGCCTTGTGGTATAGTTTGAAGTCAGGTAGGGTGATGCCTCCAGCTTTGTTCTTTTGGCTTAGGGTTGACTTGGTGATGCAGGCTCTTTTTTGGTTCCATATGAACTTTAAAGTAGTTTTTTCCAGTTCTGTGAAGAAAGTCATTGGTAGCTTGATGGGGATGGCATTGAATCTGTAAATTACCTTGGGCAGTATGGCCATTTTCACGATATTGATTCTTCCTACCCATGAGCATGGAATGTTCTTCCATTTGTTTGTATCCTCTTTTATTTCCTTGAGCAGTGGTTTGTAGTTCTCCTTGAAGAGGTCCTTCACATCCCTTGTAAGTTGGATTCCTAGGTATTTTATTCTCTTTGAAGCAATTGTGAATGGGAGTTCACTCATGATTTGGCTCTCTGTTTGTCTGTTGTTGGTGTATAAGAGTGCTTGTGATTTTTGTACATTGATTTTGTATCTGGAGACTTTGCTGAAGTTGCTTATCAGCTTAAGGAGATTTTTGGCTGAGACAATGGGGTTTTCTAGATATACAATCATGTTGTCTGCAAACAGGGACAATTTGACTTCCTCTTTTCCTAATTGAATACCCTTTATTTCCTTCTCCTGCCTAATTGCCCTGGCCAGAACTTCCAACACTATGTTGAATAGTAGTGGTGAGAGAGGGCATCCCTGTCTTGTGCCAGTTTTCAAAGGGAATGCTTCCAGTTTTTGCCCATTCAGTATGATATTGGCTGTGGGTTTGTCATAGATAGCTCTTATTATTTTGAAATATGTCCCATCAATACCTAATTTATTGAGAGTTTTTAGCATGAAGGGTTGTTGAATTTTGTCAAAGGCTTTTTCTGCATCTATTGAGATAATCATGTGGTTTTTGTCTTTGGCTCTGTTTATATGCTGGATTACATTTATTTATTGATTTGCATATATTGAACCAGTCTTGCATCCCAGGGATGAAGCCCGCTTGATCATGGTGGATAAGCTTTTTGATGTGCTGCTGGATTCGTTTTGCCAGTATTTTATTGAGGATTTTTGCATCAATGTTCATCAAGGATATTGGTCTAAAATTCTCTTTTTTTGTTGTGTCTCTGCCTGGCTTTCATATCAGAATGATGCTGGCCTCATAAAATGAGTTAGGGAGGATTCCCTCTTTTTCTATTGATTGGAATAGTTTCAGAAGGAATGGTACCAGTTCCTCCTTGTACCTCTGGTAGAATTGGGCTGTGAATCCGTCTGGTCCTGGACTCTTTTTGGTTGGTAAGCTATTGATTATTGCCACAATTTCAGATCCTGTTATTGGTCTATTCAGAGATTCAACTTCTTCCTGGTTTAGTCTTGGGAGAGTGTATGTGTCGAGGAATTTATTCATTTCTTCTAGATTTTCTAGTTTATTTGCATAGAGGTGTTTGTAGTATTCTCTGATGGTAGTTTGTATTTCTGTGGGATCGGTGGTGATATCCCCTTTATCATTTTTTATTGCGTCTATTTGATTCTTCTCTCTTTTTTTCTTTATTAGTCTTGCTAGCAGTCTATCAATTTTGTTGATCCCTTCAAAAAACCAGCTCCTGGATTCATTAATTTTTGAAGGGTTTTTTGTGTCTCTATTTCCTTCAGTTCTGCTCTGATTTTAGTTATTTCTTGCCTTCTGCTAGCTTTTGAATGTGTTTGCTCTTGCTTTTCTAGTTCTTTTAATTGTGATGTTAGGGTGTCAATTTTGGATCTTTCCTGCTTTCTCTTGTGGGCATTTAGTGCTATAAATTTCCCTCTACACACTGCTTTGAATGCGTCCCAGAGATTCTGGTATGTTGTGTCTTTGTTCTCGTTGGTTTCAAAGAACATCTTTATTTCTGCCTTCATTTCGTTACGTACCCAGTAGTCATTCAGGAGCAGGTTGTTCAGTTTCCATGTAGTTGAGCAGTTTTGAGTGAGATTCTTAATCCTGAGTTCTAGTTTGATTGCACTGTGGTCTGAGAGATAGTTTGTTATAATTTCTGTTCTTTTACATTTGCTGAGGAGAGCTTTACTTCCAAGTATGTGGTCAATTTTGGAATAGGTGTGGTGTGGTGCTGAAAAAAATATATATTCCATTGATTTGGGGTGGAGAGTTCTGTAGATGTCTATTAGGTCCGCTTGGTGCAGAACTGAGTTCAATTCCTGCGTATCCTTGTTGACTTTCTGTCTCGTTGATCTGTCTAATGTTGACAGTGGGTGTTAAAGTCTCCCATTATTAATGTGTGGGAGTCTAAGTCTCTTTGTAGGTCACTCAGGACTTGCTTTATGAATCTTGGTGCTCCTGTATTGGGTGCATATATATTTAGGATAGTTAGCTCTTCTTGTTGAATTGATCCCTTTACGATTATGTAATGGCCTTTTTTGTCTCTTTTGATCTTTGTTGGTTTAAAGTCTGTTTTATCAGAGACTAGGATTACAACCCCTGCCTTTTTTTGTTTTCCATTTGCTTGGTAGATCTTCCTCCATCCTTTTATTTTGAGCCTATGTGTGTCTCTGCACGTGAGATGGGTTTCCTGAATACAGCACACTGATGGGTCTTGACTCTTTATCCAATTTGCCAGTCTGTGTCTTTTAATTGGAGCATTTAGTCCATTGACATTTAAAGTTAATATTGTTATGTGTGAATTTGATCCTGTCATTATGATGTTAGCTGGTTATTTTGCTCATTAGTTGATGCAGTTTCTTCCTAGTCTCGATGGTCTTTACATTTTGGCATGATTTTGCAGCGGCTGGTACCAGTTGTTCCTTTCCATATTTAGCGCTTCCTTCAGGAGCTCTTTTAGGGCAGGCCTGGTGGTGACAAAATCTCTCAGCATTTGCTTGTCTGTAAAGTATTTTATTTCTCCTTCACTTATATGAAGCTTATTTTGGCTGGATATGAAATTCTGGGTTGAAAATTCTTTTCTTTAAGAATGTTGAATATTGGCCCCCACTCTCTTCTGGCTTGTAGGGTTTCTGCCGAGAGATCCTCTGTTAGTCTGATGGGCTTCCCTTTGAGGGTAACCAGACCTTTCTCTCTGGCTGCCCTTAACATTTTTTCCTTCATTTCAACTTTGGTGAATCTGACAGTTATGTGTCTTGGAGTTGCTCTTCTCGAGGAGTATCTTTGTGGCATTCTCTGTATTTCCTGAATCTGAACGTTGGCCTGCCTTGCTAGATTGGGGAAGTTCTCCTGGATAATATCCTGCAGAGTGTTTTCCAACTTGGTTCCATTCTCCCCATCACTTTCAGGTACACCAATCAGACATAGATTTGGTCTTTTCACATAGTCCCATATTTCTTGGAGGCTTTGCTCATTTCTTTTTATTCTTTTTTCTCTAAACTTCCCTTCTCGCTTCATTTCATTCATTTCATCTTCCATTGCTGATACTCTTTCTTCCAGTTGATTGCATCGGCTCCTGAGGCTTCTGCATTCTTCACGTAGTTCTCGAGCCTTGGTTTTCAGCTCCATCAGCTCCTTTAAGCACTTCTCTGTATTGGTTATTCTAGTTATACATTCTTCTAAATTTTTTTCAAAGTTTTCAACTTCTTTGCCTTTGGTTTGAATGTCCTCCTGTAGCTCAGAGTAATTTGATCGTCTGAAGCCTTCTTCTCGCAGCTCGTCAAAGTTATTCTCCATCCAGCTTTGTTCCATTGCTGGTAAGGAACTGTGTTTCTTTGGAGGAGGAGAGGCACTCTGCTTTTTAGACTTTCCAGTTTTTCTGTTCTGTTTTTTCCCCATCTTTGTGGTTTTATCGACTTTTGGTCTTTGATGATGGTGATGTACAGATGGGTTTTCGGTGTGGATGTCCTTTCTGTTTGTTAGTTTTCCTTCTAACAGACAGGACCCTCAGCTGCAGGTCTGTTGGAATACCCTGCTGTGTGAGGTGTCAGTGTGCCCCTGCTGGGGGGTGCCTCCCAGTTAGGCTGCTCGGGGGTCAGGGGTCAGGGACCCACTTGAGGAAGCAGTCTGCCCGTTCTCAGATCTCCAGCTGCGTGCTGGGAGAACCACTGCTCTCTTCAAAGCTGTCAGACAGGGACATTTAAGTCTGCAGAAGTTACTTCTGTCTTTTTGTTTGTCTGTGCCCTGCCCCCAGAGGTGGAGCCTACAGAGGCAGGCAGGCCTCCTTGAGCTGTGGTGGGCTCCACCCAGTTCGAGCTTCCCGGCTGCTTTGTTTACCTAATCAAGCCTGGGCAATGGCGGGCGTCCCTCCCCCAGCCTCATTGCCGCCTTGCAGTTTGATCTCAGACTGCTGTGCTAGCAATCAGCGAGACTCCGTGGGCGTAGGACCCTCGAGCCAGGTGCGGGTATAATCTCGTGGTGTGCCGTTTTTTGTTTTTTTTTTGTTTGTTTGTTTGTTTGTTTTTGAGACGGAGTCTCGCTCTGTCGCCCAGGCTGGAGTGCAGTGGCGGGATCTCGGCTCACTGCAAGCTCCGCCTGCCGGGTTCACGCCATTCTCCTGCCTCAGCCTCCCAAGTAGCTGGGACTACAGGCGCCCGCCACTACGCCCGGCTAATTTTTTGTATTTTTAGTAGAGACGGGGTTTCACCGTTTTAGCCGGGATGGTCTCGATCTCCTGACCTCGTGATCCGCCCGCCTCGGCCTCCCAAAGTGCTGGGATTACAGGCGTGAGCCACCGCGCCGGGCCGGTGCGCCGTTTTTTAAGCCCGTCGGAAAAGCGCAGTATTCGGGTGGGAGTGACCCGATTTTCCAGGTGCTGCCCCTCACCCCTTTCTTTGACTAGGAAAGGGAACTCCCTGACCACTTGTGCTTCCCAAGTGAGGCAATGCCTCGCCCTGCTTCGGCTCGCGCACGGTGCGTGCACCCACTGACCTGCGCCCACTGTCTGGCACTCCCTAGTGAGATGAACCCGGTACCTCAGATGGAAATGCAGAAATCACCCGTCTTCTGCGTTGCTCAGGCTGGGAGCTGTAGACCGGAGCTGTTCCTATTTGGCCATCTTGGCTCCTCCCCAAGAGCTGGTAATTATTACCCAACGTTTAGAATATAATGTAACAGAACGTATTTGGAATACATTTATCTTTTAATATTTCAAAGGAGAGATAAATGCAAACTAAGATTTTATTTATCATTAAATTCATTGTTCTTTAGTTTGAAAAACACATATACTCATATTTTTGTCACGTGATTTTAACCAGCATAAAGCAATAGCTGCCACACCAAAGTCAAGTGAAGCTGTGAAAATAATTAATGAAACAATTCTGATAAAAGCATCTTTATCCTTCATACAGGTTATAGGCAGGATTGTGGTTGTGCCTGTGTGTGTGTGTGGTGGGGTCGGTGGGGGGATAGGAAAGTTAGTTTATTCACATGATTCTCAACATAGACATACCTTGCAAATAATTGTGCAATTCCCTGCTTTGCTTTGCAGACAGAATGTCTTTGAATCAATGTCTTTTATAAATACACTATACAAAAAACATAATTATAAACCTTTAAAGTATTTATGCATACTTTAATATTCAGAACTAGAAGAGAAATTTCTGTAAGGAGAAATGCTTTGGAGATTAAAACGTAAAGGAGATAACCAAATTTTACTAAACCTCTATCCATCATGACCACATTTCCTTTCATTCTAAAATAAAAATATTTTGGAAATGTTGACCCCCTGCCCACCATTTTTGCCTGAGAAGTTTTAAATGCGAAGAACTTGCTCCTCACTTTTGAAGCACGGTGCTTTCTTTAGGAACCAATCTGTATCACATGCATTCTATTGGTTTGTATTTTATTACATATCATTCTATTACATTTTAAAATGCATTTCTGAGCCCATGTCATTGATTTCATGATTCATTAATGGGTTGCAAGCAGCAGCTGGAATAACACTGGCTTAGGTAATGGCAGTATAAATCACATGTTGGTAAAATGAAAGATGCCTTTCTACCAACACGTTATAATGGCCACTCGATGCCAACATGGCAGTGTGTTACTTAAACCATATATCAATCAACACAGAAGCGACATAACCAAAATGTTTTTACCATCATTTATAGAAGATTATGAGTTTCATGCAGCCAGGATTAATTGCATTGCTATTATAGAACTTAATATAAGTTGTATCATATTTGATGGAAGGATGCTAACTATCAAGAGGATATAAATTTTAAAAACAATGATACTGTTTTGGATAAGTCCTGACTGTCTGCATTTTATCTAGAACAATATATGTTCATGATTAACCTAGAAAATAATGACAAAAATGCGCAATGAGTAGAGACTTGCCCTTGGAATTCCTAAAATTATTAGGAAGGTACAATGTTCTCCAAGAAATATTGGTAAGTGAAAAAAACAAGGTTTACAATAATGTGTAACGGATGCTATCTGTGTAACAAAATGTGAAAAAACATATATGCAATTTTTTGGCAAGAAGATACCCTGAAAACATAAACCAAAAAGCCAAAAAAAAAAAAAGAAACTTGCTGATGATACAGAACTTCTCTGACTGTACATTTTTCTCATAGTCTTAACTCTGATAATTACATACATGTTTGACATTCTCAAAAGTAAGAACATAGAAGTACATAATATATGCAGGATAAAGCAAATAACAGTTTATGTGAAGATTGTTAGAAGCCAAGGTTTTCATGGAAGTTATTAGTATGAAGTCAAAGTAGTACATTAAAATCCAGTAATGTTAATTGGATTTGGAAGTAACAGTATGAAATTTTTTCTCTAAAAATGTGTGCAGGAATCTCTTGCTTAAGATCAGTAATCTATTCCCAAAAATAGATTTTGAGAGCACATTTCTGTTCTAAATGGGAACAATTATAGTGAATGGAAGGTAAACCAAAACATAGCTATTTCCTACAAAATAATTGATACCTAATAATGCCTGTAGAAAAGCATAGAAAAGTGACAAACTCTCTTGATAAAATCTAAAATGTATATTGTTTCCTAATCAGCAATTATTGATGTTGCTAACATACAGTTGCTTTGTATCTAGTTACATGGACCGTGTATATGCTGTATGAGAAATTGTCACTTTGTGGTATAGCATAGCAAATAACACAGCAATCAAAAAGTTAAAAGTCAAAATTAAAATAAATAAAAGACCCATAATAGACTGTTTTTCACCTTGCTAAAGGAGAAATGACTCTTGAAGAAACTCAAGAAGGGACAAAGAAAGGTCAAATCAGTCATTGCTATTTGCAGAAGGTGATGGGTGGATGGAGGACAAGGGGGCAATCTTCGACAAACTGTCATATGAAGAGGAATGAAGAGACCTTCCCCATGTCTGTGTCTAGTAGATGCTGTAGAGACTTGCTGGACAGGAAAGCTTTGGTAAATCTTCAGAAATGATGTTCAAGCTGAAGGAAGATGTTCAAGCTGCATTTTGGTTGCAAAATGCAGATTTGCTTGTTTTTCTGTTGAAAAATTCCTCTATGTGATGCTGTAAGAGTTACCAGGCTATTATTAAAAGAAAGATGTATTGTCACACTGAGTATGTCTGCAAAACTTTCTTAGTAACTGGCCTGTTTGTTTATACTCAATGCACATGTTAAGATGGCTACATAGGATTCTTACTATGTTCTATCAATTTGGAATGTAACTCAACATTCTTCCAGCACATAAAGTTGTTTACAATATATAATGAGTGTGAAAGATATAAATAAATACTTCTATTTGATGTCTACACCAACATTAGATGAAAAAATGAGGTAGTGAGAAGTTGATATATATCCTGTAAATTAGCATATTTAAAACCAAAAATCCTTCTACTGGGTAAATATTAACTAGGAAAACATTCTACAGGATATAATGCATTTTTCTAGCTCTGCCCCCTGAAAAGGTCTAGTAGTAATGTGATCTGATGGCACTAAACACTTCTGATCTCAAATGATAGCCTCTAAAATGCTGTTTTCCAACAAAGAGAATTAGGGCTCCTGAAGAAATGGCTGATGCCAGGTGTGGAGGAGAAAATGAGCAAGCTGAGCTTGTGATATATGTTCACCCCAGAGAGGGCTCATGTCACGTGGGCACCAACAGAGAGGGGTCTCAGGTAGCAACAGTGGGGCCATTGGACCATCAAAGGAGCAATTAGGGTACTTGACTGAAGCCTGTAGGTTCATAATTTTTACTCTAAAACAAGGAAGGAAGGTGGGAAGAAAGGGGAAAGGAGGGGAAGGGAAGGAAGAAAGGAGGGAGGGAGGGAAGGAAGGAAGTAAAGAGCTAGAACAACAATGAAACAAAATATCTTTGATAACTTTTTGGGGGAGTACAGAGTGGAAATTTTGCATTTCTGGAGGCTTTACAAGATGGGGATCTGTGCTTCAGAAATAAGTCAGTAAAGATACATTTACATAGATGTTTCCTCCAGTATTGCTTGGAAAAGCCAAAATCAAAGTGATGTAGATAGTTACCTAAGAGATGAATAAAATAAATAATGGTACATCTTTTGTATGGAATATTACATAGCCACTAAAAATAATGGAGCAGAACTCTACTCAATGACATATAAAAATGTCCATGATATATTGTATAATGGAAAAAAATTTTAAAGCAAAAGGTTTTACCTTATTTATTTCACAAGCTAAAACCCTATATGATTATACAAACCAATGTGTTTGCCTTAAAAAGATAAAAGTCTGGTGTCCTCTAAGACCATACCACAAACAGTGATCACCTCTGGGATTGGAATTTTATAGCAGTTGTGGGTAGAGAGAGTTTGGGAGAAAACATTCACATTTTATCTCATAATTCTTATATTTTTAAAGCTTTTCTATGAGCATTATTTTGATACATATGTGAGCAGAGATGGTCCCTTCTAGGTACCAGTTACACCATTGCTAAACCTCGTCTGTTTCTTCCAAAGGTGTCAGGCAGCGAACAAGACCTGCCCCACCAATTACATGTGGAATAATCACATCTGCAGATGCCTGGCTCAGGAAGATTTTATGTTTTCCTCGGATGCTGGAGATGGTAAGCAGAATGATGCTTTAAAGACTAAACGCCAGGGGTCTATATTGTGATTAACATACTCTAATATTAAAACCACACATATAATATTCATCATTCTTCTAAATAAGTGACTAAAAAATAGTACATTTTCTACTTCACGTTGGTATTATTTTGAACTCCTTTATAAAGGAACATACTCATGTTTGTACCCAATCCTTTGATGGAAAACATACAAAAGGAAGATGCTTTTAAAAGCTTTTGTTTCATGCCACACCCAGAACCAAGTAAGGTATAGTAAAGATTCTCTGACTATTTGTCTAGACTCAACAGATGGATTCCATGACATCTGTGGACCAAACAAGGAGCTGGATGAAGAGACCTGTCAGTGTGTCTGCAGAGCGGGGCTTCGGCCTGCCAGCTGTGGACCCCACAAAGAACTAGACAGAAACTCATGCCAGTGTGTCTGTAAAAACAAACTCTTCCCCAGCCAATGTGGGGCCAACCGAGAATTTGATGAAAACACATGCCAGTGTGTATGTAAAAGAACCTGCCCCAGAAATCAACCCCTAAATCCTGGAAAATGTGCCTGTGAATGTACAGAAAGTCCACAGAAATGCTTGTTAAAAGGAAAGAAGTTCCACCACCAAACATGCAGGTAAGAGATCCTCATGAAGAATATTAATTTATCTTACTAGAAATATGCTCTAAACCAAAAGCAGTTTTCTTAACCAAAGTAACAATTGCTTGTTAGAATGAGGCCAATACATTCTGAAAGACAAAAATCTTATATTTTTTTAACCAATGCTAAACTTGCATGAGACTGGATTTGCTTCCAAAAAAGCAAGACAGGAGCCTTGAGGATCAAAATTAGATCCAAGCTCAGAATATACTCTAAATTAGTGGTTCCTGTGGGATGTTTTCAAAATACCTAAAGGCAATCCACTTCACCCCCACCAAAAAGTAGGATGCCTTCAGACATAATTTAGGACAACTGTTCTAAATGCAGACAATTTTTATGCAAAACTTACAAACAAAGGACAGGAGAGTACCACTGGTATAGAATTATATCTGGAAATGAAAATACATAGCTAAGTATTTGATAGAATTAGAGAAATAAATGAATATGTTGTTAAAGGTACCCAAGACTCATGTCTTAAACTTGGTTTTGACTCTTCTGCATCAAGAAAAAAAAAATGAAGTTATTCGACTCAAGCACATTCAGTGTTAATCCCGAAACCTCTTCCTCTTTAATCTCAGAGAATAAATTGATCCTACTATTTAAGCCAGACCTGTCCGTTTGACATTTTCTCCACATTCCTTCAACATTGCTTCATGCCATTCCTTCTTTCTTCTGTAACTTGAACATCTTCAACTCTACTTTTTTTCCCCTTAGTTTATAAAAGTTCCCAAATTTCTTCTATTTTATTAGCCTCTTACTGTGAAGTTGAGCAAACTTTAGCAACCCAGGTCTGTTCTCTTCAAAGCTGCTCAAAAACGAGGCATTTGTTTTCACCTCTTTCACCTACCATGTATTCAACCAACTAAAACCTGGTTTATGGCCTACAGTGCTATGTTAAACCTCTGTTTAACGTTTCATTGGCCTCATAGTTGCCAAATCCAACAGAGAATTTTGTCCTTAGGTAACCTGTCCTTTCCATGGCCTTTTTCTTTAAGCTCACCTCTTCTATGACATGACATTGTACTTTCCTAGTTGTCTACTTAATTTTCAGACCATTTGTTTTTAATCACTTTCACTGGATTCTCTTTTTACATCCATTCTTTACATATGGGTAGATAATGTTCTTTTTAACAGAAAAAAGCTTGTATTTCATTTATTTACTATCTTCACTAATGTTCATTATTATTTTTCCACAGTATATAACGAGTTCATCTTTTTATTCTCAAGAGTTTTGTGTCCTTATTTTAATGTATATTTTTGGTGGTTTTCCTAAACTAATATTTTAGCTACTGGATAAAAAGGCTTTAGTGGATCTGGCTATCTCATTGATTATATTTTTCTTCCCTTATACTGCAAAGTACATCATAGGTATAATTTTATTTTGAGAAAGAACTATATTCCAATTTTACCTATATATTCCTACTGTAATAACCAAGAGGACATTTCAAAAATGTATATGCTACTATTTTCAGAAGGATATAGATACTAAATCTTTTTAAGCCTTATTAAACTATGTTTTATATTGAATTCTTATTGAGTGAATTTAGTATACATTGAAAAATCTGAAATTCTTATGTCTGCATACCTACTTTTCTACAGAATTATATGAACACAGACAATATTTCTATCATTGCATTTCTCCTAATACTATACATTCTTTCAAAAAGACTCTGTTTACTGCAACTCATCCTAGATTCATTTTTCTAAGTGTATAATTCCAAGCTTTGTGATATAAATTGGAGCAAAAGAGAAAATATCATATTTTGAAAATATATATTCTCCTCATTCTCTCTTAATATCTATTACAAAGTGCAGTAGGCAGAGTATATATTCTTTGGTTCATTGCCTTAATTAACAGCTTTTATGGATCATTAAGTATCATATCCCTTTTTAGTAGAGGAATACCAGTAGTCATAACTATGAATTTGCATTTGCAAAGTTTAAGAAAAATTAACTAGACATGCTTTCTTTTCTAGAGCCAAATAAATGAAATGTCAAAACCAAATTGTGTAGGGTTTTTTATAGCACACTTTTGATTTCCACCTCAGGTCATCTTGCACTTTTCCCTTTACACCTATTCCCACACATTAGGCATGCTCATACTCCAAAATGTTTTTAAAAGATAGCTCCAATTCTCACCAGGCGTGGTGGCTCACACCTGTAATCCTAGCACTTTGGAAGGCCAAGGCGGGCAGATCACTTGAGGCCAGGAGTTCAAGACCAGCCCAGCCAACATGGCAAAACCCTGGCTCTATGAAAAATACAGAAACTTAGCCAGGCGTGGCCACACATACCTGTAATCCCAGCTACTCGGGAGGCTGAGACACAAGAATGGCTTGAGCCCAGGAGGCGGAGGTTGCAGTAAGCTGAGATTGCCCCACTGCGCTCCAGCCTGGGCGACAGAACAAGACTCTGTCTCAAAAAATGAAGCCTCAATTCACTGGAGCAACAGGGCAGGAGACACACTGACCAATTGATAATTTGTCCTCTCACCGCTACTGGAAACTGGAAGTCTAGGATGGGAGGAAGGGGACCCTCGCTGCTGAGTATTGTCCTTCTCACCTCCCTGCCCCAGAATGCCTCTGTTTCACCTGGAGCCAAGGTGGAAAGGAAGAGTTAGTCACCGTCATGCAGCCAGCTGCCAAGTAGAGACACAAGAGTGAGGGTGGGGCTGCTCACTGAGGACCACAGTTCTGCCAACATGGCTGGGTTTAATTGCCTGGAAGTCTGGGTCCCATACAAGTCCCAGACTCATGTGAATTCTGCCATGCTTATGTGATCACAGTAAGTCAGCAGACCTTCAGTGTTCACTTTCAGAATTTCTGTTTTATGTTTCTTTCACCCATGAAGCAAAGAGCACTTCAAAGGAACTAATGCTTACAATACCTCATCCTTCCATTTGTTATATCAGCAAGCAAGACTTTTATTTTAAGGCTTTTCCATTCCTCTTAAATGTTGTAATTCTAAGCAGAAACAAACTTTTTTAAACCTATGAACAATTTCGTCATAAAATTAGTAATTTTATTCCAGTCTGAAATTTAAAAACACAGAAATACCTTGGTAGCATGATGAATCCATTGCCTTGATCTTTAACGTAAGTGTGTTCTTGTTTGTTCTCCTAGCTGTTACAGACGGCCATGTACGAACCGCCAGAAGGCTTGTGAGCCAGGATTTTCATATAGTGAAGAAGTGTGTCGTTGTGTCCCTTCATATTGGAAAAGACCACAAATGAGCTAAGATTGTACTGTTTTCCAGTTCATCGATTTTCTATTATGGAAAACTGTGTTGCCACAGTAGAACTGTCTGTGAACAGAGAGACCCTTGTGGGTCCATGCTAACAAAGACAAAAGTCTGTCTTTCCTGAACCATGTGGATAACTTTACAGAAATGGACTGGAGCTCATCTGCAAAAGGCCTCTTGTAAAGACTGGTTTTCTGCCAATGACCAAACAGCCAAGATTTTCCTCTTGTGATTTCTTTAAAAGAATGACTATATAATTTATTTCCACTAAAAATATTGTTTCTGCATTCATTTTTATAGCAACAACAATTGGTAAAACTCACTGTGATCAATATTTTTATATCATGCAAAATATGTTTAAAATAAAATGAAAATTGTATTATAAGCTGCTAAGTTCAGTCCATTATCATCTTACATGATGAACGAAAACTACTATCATGAAGACACTGATCTTTCTCTGCCCTTTTTTGTTCTCTAACCAGATGTCACATATGTATTACTATGATAAAAAGTATGATCCTGTGAAAGAGAGTGTCAGAGGACAACAGAATGCTATTGCTTCATCTCTTATATGTTTAATGATTATAAACATTTTAGTACATGATACTTTTGAATTTATGACCAAGTGAATCAATATGAAACATCTTGTAAGATAGACTACTTAGCATTGTGATTAAAAGTCATTCAGTGCTCTGAGAACATTCAGAATCTTACGTTGGTAGAAAATCCTGCAGTATATATTAAAATGGCTTTAAATATTTTCTCAAAAATAATCTTTTCCAAATATTTGACTTTTTCTGGCCAGCTAAAATACTTTTTGTGAGTGGAAGTGCTCCTATCCAATACATTTTAAAAAAAAACTAAAAATAATATTTAAATACTCATGCATGTTTAAAAGGAAACATTTCAGCCACACAATTGAAGTGCTTGTTTCATTTTCAAAAAGGCATTACACTAAAATACCTTTATCTTTTTTTTTTTTTTTCTTCAGATAGTGTTGCTCTGTTGCCCAGGCTGGAGTGCAGTGGCGTGATCTCAGCTCACTGCCCCTAACCTCTGCCTCCCGGATTCAAGTGATTCTCCTGCCTCAGCCTCCTGAGTAGCTGGGATTATAGGCACGTGCCGGCACACCTGGCTAATTTTTGTATTTTTAGTGCAGATGGGGTTTCACCATGTTGGCCAGTCTGATCACGAACTCCTGACCTCAAGTGATCCACAGACGTCGGCCTCAAAGTGCTGGGATTACAGGCATGAACCACCGTGCCCAGCCTAAAATACCTTTTACTAAAACAAAGATTTTGCCTGCATAAATAAAACCAAATAAGTGGTTTGTTCGTTGACAGAGAATTATATACTGGTACATCATAACTACTGTATAAAAATAATTAGTCCTGAAAAGAGAAAATATTCCTCATAAGCATGTAAAGGTAGCACATTAATTTAACTAAAACATTTTTGTTTTTTTGAAACGGAATCTCGCTCTGTTGCCCAGGCTGGAGTGCAGTGGTGCGATCTCGGCTCACTGCAAGCTCTGCCTTCTGGGTTCAAGCCATTGTCCCGCCTCAGCCTCTCGAGTAGCTGGGACTACAGAAGCCCACTAAAACATTTTTAACTGGTATAGGTGACAAATCAGTATGATACAAAATATCAGTATCTATATATTTTGCTACAAAATAATGTTTTCTTTCAAACTGTTTAATTAGGAAGTCAGTGCCCTGAAAATATCCTGTTTTCAATACTAACTTTAAAAAATGGTTTTAGTGCAATGGTTACTGAATTCCAGCTGTGTGCTCTGTACAGCATTATCATCTAGTTCATGAAGTAAAGTTGTTTATGTCCTGGAAAAGGAAAGCAGTCTTCCAAAACACTCTCATTTACGAATTATAGACTATTTTTCTATTTTTTAGTAACAATGGCTCTGAAGCTTGTCAGCAGTCAACATATGCATTGGGCATTCTACATACTGGCTAAGGTCTAGAAAGTTTTCAAACTTAAGAATAGTTAAAAAAAAAAACTTTGAAAAGTAAATTTGACAATGGGTGATTACAAAACGAAAATTGAGATCAAAATAACCTCTTTTCATCTTATAGGGAATCACAATCCCTAGTGTATAAAATGCTCATCATCTTTGAAATTCAGCTAAGATTCATTTTTTCATCTTATTTGAGCCAAAAGGAATATAAATAAACATTACATAATCTGTTACTGTTGATCTGGCCAATCATTTTTACATTTGATATATTCATTAATTTTTAAGCTAAATTAGGAGTAAAATATATTCTAAGTTTCAGTAAGCACCCTGAGGCCATGTAAAGAATAGTAGAACCTGATACAATGACTGTCATACGTTATCAGGTTTGAAAACAAACTAAACCGTGTGCTAAACATTAGTTTTTTGGGGTAAACCAAAGAATGAAAACACGAAATCAAAAACTAAAGCCTGAATCATGCCAGAAAAACTATTTAATCTTGTCCCTGGAGATGTAATAATTTTGACCAAAAGTGAGAGTATCGTAAACAAAGATAATATATTGCCGAAGATACTTGCAAACAATTTTATGTGGACCATAAAAATCCCTCTTCAACACATTATAATGAGTGAGATGTTGTGTAGCCAGTGAAGAAAATGGACTAAAGATAAAGCTAAACAATTAATTAGATTAACAAATATGATGCAGCAAAAAAGCTAAAAACTACAGTGAGAATGTTCATAAACTTTGCAGGAAAGTCCTGAGATGCCAATTCAGTCAACCTAAGTGATAAAGTTAAGAAAACTCTGGAAGCTCGCAGCAGTTATTATCTTAAAGCAGTTAGTATATTCCAAATCTTAGAAAGTTTATAAACAGAATTTTATGTCCAGAAACCTAATAGCACATACTCCTTTTAAAAGACTCAAGGAAAAATTGTTTTGGTGAGCAGTTGTGTAAGAGTTAGCGTCCAGATTTTTTGGGGGAAAGCTTTTGACATTTACTAACTGCTTGGCTGAAACAGATTCCATTATTAGAATTTCTAAAAATAACCTTTGTTCTTTGTATTCACACCACTCAAAACAAGTTTGAGTGGCAAATATAAGACTGAATTCACTGACGTACCTAGAATGCACTTTAAAGAAAAGAGAAAGGGTCATGAACTTATCTCTAGGCACTAGGCTTTCTCAAGGGATACCCCGCTTATGAAGGAATTTTACTCAGTGGATGAGAGAGAAGAAACAGACACAACAGGTGAGAGAGTTCATATTACAGCAATTGTTTCATACATTTGCTGTATGAATACGGCAAAGCTTATGAAACTCCTTACCTACATACTGAAGCTCCCATGTTTATCTGTCTAGGAAGTGCTGGGGCTAAGAGAATACACAGGTCTCTCGGCCCACACTCTTCTACATTGCTATGCTGTCCCCAAGATCTGAGCTTTCATTAGCAGGTTTTCCAAAGGATATTTTTTAGGGACTTTACCTTTTAAATTAAAAATGAGAATAGCATAAAAATAGTATTTCACTCTGCTACAGAAGAAAGAGCAGGAATGTGTCTGATTTTTTCTAGATGAATTCTAGAAAGTCCTGAATAAATCCAAATAAAAGTGTCTATCGTACACCCAAACAACAATTTAAGGAAGTCAGTGACACATATCGTGTCATAAAGTAATTAATTATGAAAGAATTACTAATTTATCTGTTCGTATGTTTGAATTATTGGTATATATGGATTTTTTTTTTTTTTTTAAGAAGGAGTCTCGCTCTGTAGCCCAGGCTGGAGTACAGTGGTGCGATCTCGGCTCACTGCAAGCTCTGCCTCCCAGGTTCACGCCATTCTCCTGCCTCAGCCTCCCAAGTACCTGGGACTACAGGTGCCTGCCACCATGCCCGGCTAATTTTTTGTATTTTTAGTGGAGACGGGGTTTCACCGTGTTAGCCAGGATGGTCTCGATCTCCTGACCTCATGATCCGCCCACCTCGGCCTCCCAAAGTGCTGGGATTACAGGTGTGAGCCACCGCGCCCTGCCCTATATGGATATTTTTAAAGTGGGGAATAACTATCTGCTAGCTTATGGAAGTGTGAGCCAGTTTCATATGTTCTTTTCATTACATAACTAACAACTCGTTGTCTAAAGAAGCATACTGTAATAGAAGGAGCTCTGGATTGGGAATCCTAAACTAAGTTTTTAATCCTTACTTTTCTGTGTCCCTAGGCAAATCACCACCTCCCGAGTCTCAGCATGTTAATCTGTGAAGGAAAGAGTTGGATTAAAATTGTGTATGAAATCCTGGCTCTGAAGTTACAAAGTTTGTTCTAAACTATGTACAAGGGGAAAGCAAAACCAGAACATTTTAAGAACTCCAGGGACACAGCATTCTTGAGATTACTGACCCCATTAAGAGGAAATATTTATCTTTTAAAAATGTTGCATGTAAAAAAATTATAAATGAAAAACATATCAGCCTTATACTATAATTCTAATTCTACTTCTTAAATCCTAACACATTTCCATAGCTCAAAGCATCATTCTTCCTGATTTCTTCATATCAAAGGTGATATGGATAAAGACTTTGAAAAATTTATTTTCAAACATCTTGAAAAAAATTAAACCATGAAACTTTCATAAGGAAGGAAAAATTAAGACTTCTCGTGCATGCCTTCCAAAGCTCAATCAGATGCACATATACTGTATTCAGTCCAGGCAAGGCCTTTGAAGCAAAAATCAATTTCTAATGTTGTTACCATATGGCATTCTGATGATAGGATTTCATTAGGGATTGGACCTTTGTTTCTGGGATTTGACATCTATATAATTGTAAGTACAGAGGTCAAAATGTTGAATACTACCCATAGACTCACCCACCAGGACTGATTATATATCAGACTTGATGAAACATGACGATGACTGTCCACACTACCAGCAATAACTGTTTTGATTGGATAGAAATGATGGTGAAACACTGTTAAAAACTTTTTAAAAATTCACTGAGTAATGAATTTCCAGCTAAGAAAGAATTGAAAATGTCTCAAACCAAAATACTTAATTTTACAAAGAAAATTTCTGAATACTTTTAAAAAGAGAAAAAAGTTTTCAGGAATATTCAACACCATTGGACTTTATAGCAATATTTTTAATGTGCCATTAAAGTCATGTGGAATTTTTTTCATTATTTTAAGGCAGCTGTGCATCCTCTTAGCCTTTTTGAAAATTCATTTTCTTATATTCAAATGTATATAGTTTATATAGCTCTGTTCAGTAATTTTTTTTTTAAGACAGAATCTCACTCTATCACCAAGGCTGTAGTGCAGTGGTATGATCTCAGCTCACTGAACCTCCACTTCCAGGGTTCAAGTGAGTCTCCTGCCTCAGCCTCCGAGTAGCTGGGATTACAGGCACTCGTCACCATGCCCAGCTGATTTTTGTATTTTTAGTAGAGATGAAGTTTCACCGTGTTGGCCAGGCTGGTCTCGAGTGGTCCTGACCTCAAGTGATTCGCCAGCCTTGGGTTCCCAAAGTGCTGGGATTACAGGCATGAGCTACCATGCCTGGTCCATTGAATTTCTTTATTGGAAATATGATTACACCTATAAAAAATGTAACTCTGTCCATTCAATTTTAAAAGGACTCCTTTTCTTTGATATTAGTGACGTCGCTAAACACACGCCATCCAGATTTCACAGAGCCCTTCCTAAATATGTAACAAATGGCTTCTCCCTGTTATTCACACTTCATATTTCCTTTCTATACAGGTTTTTTTCAAAGCACTAGTTTTTTTTTTTCTATATCACCTTCTCATCTTAAACAATATGATTTAACCCTTTATTATTTCTTTCTTTACACTCATACTCTAATGTTTCCACTCCACAATATTTTTGGCAACTGCTGCTCAATAATAGCTATCACAGGAAAAACAATACCAGGAATCAGATAAGATTTTGGAATCTTAAGTTCAAACATTCTCAGCTTCCTTCCTTTCTTTCCCAGGCTTTGGATTGACAGAATGATACCCATTTTAATACTGCACTTCTTAATTGTGATGATACCTTTGAAGCTCATTCTCCTCATAGAGCACGCAGTAAGTAAAGGGCCACAGACAAGCACTTGGACTTGCTAACAAAAGGGAGGGAAAAACGAAGGAAGAAAGGAAATGAAGAAAAGGAGAAAGTAGGAAGGAAAAATATGGAACAAAATAAGGAAGGGTGAGAAAGGAAAACAAAAGAGAAAAAGCAGGAACACTAAAATTTTAAGAAAACATGAGGGGGGTCTCATGACCTGTTGGGACAGGGATAGGGAAGGTGTGGTCACGTCTTGAAATGCACAGAGAAATTTCTGCAATTTGTGAACAAGAATGGTAAAGACAAAATTATATTATCTCTTCAGCAGTATTTGAATTGGATTGTGGTATTTATTAAGTAAATGAGATAAATACCGTGATGGTTGTTTGAAAATTTCAGTGGTAAAAGTCTGAAATAAAACAGTGAAAGGTATTTGGCATGAAATAACTTCATTCTTTACTTGTGCACATGGACACTCTAATGCCACATCATCTATGATTATTCATACAATGGTGTATTGCTTTTGAGAGAGCATGAAGAAACTAATAATTTCCTAATTTCTAGATTTAAAGCAGATGTTTTTACATGAAATTTTGGATCACCTGAGAATTTGGTTGTGATTTTTTTTTTCTAACAAGACATATGACTGGCTTGCTCTTTGTGTGAGAAATTTACAAGCTCAGTTGTCCCTATCATATTGATGAAGGACAGGCAAGCCCCAAAATTGGGGCTCAGCCAGGGAGGGTTCTTGGCTTCATCTAGGAAAGAATTCAAGGACAAGCCAGTGGTGTGAGACAGCAACTTTTATTGAAGCAGCAGCAGAGGTACTTCTCCTTGTGGAGCAGGGCTACCCCGTAGGCAGTGTGCCCAGAATAGCAGCCAAGAGGCAGTTCTGCAGTCATATTTATACTCACTTTTAATTACGTGCAAATAAAGGGGAAGTTTATAAAGGAATTTCTAGGATGAGCGTCGTAACTTCTGAGGTTTCAGGTCATTGTGGTGGAAAGCGGTGCTAACTTCCAGGTGTTGCTGTAGCAATGGTAAGCTGACATGGTACACTGGTGGGCCTGTCTTAGGGGGAGGTGCTTCTTCCCTGGACCTGTTTTAGCTAGTCCTCCATTTGGTCCAGTGTCTGAGCCCCACCTCCTACCTCAGTATCTGGGTGGGCAGTCAAGCTTGACAACTCACCCTCTAGGGCATGTAGGAAAGAGAACTCTTATTTGTCCACATCATGTGGTAACTTATTCCCTGGGCTTCCGGGAAACTAGAGCTTCAATAATGGAGGGATATTGGAGTTTGCAGAGTTCACTTAAACAATCATCAGTCTCTTGTCTGCATCTGAGATAATTCGAGGAATTTGGTTTAGACCTAGAAGGGGTTTTCAGTAATTGTAGAGGTCAACCTCTCATTTTTACAAATAAAGTTATGGACAGTCCTGAACTTTTAAGAATTCTTTCACCAAATTCATATGCCTTGATTCTCTCTTCTCTTATGAAAATTTATTTTACCAAGGACTTTGCATCTTCATACAGAGGTTTCCCTGTTTGATGCAAATCCAGATGCAAATAGATGCAAATCCAAATATGCCTAGGTTTTTCAGAAGGTTGCATTTTCAAACCCACTTTCCCTGGTAGAGCCTGGTAGAGTTTCCCTAACAGAATACCACAGGCTGGTGGCTTAAACAACAGAAATTTATGTTTTCACAGCTATGGAGGCTAGAAGTCCAAGATCAGGGTGCCATCCTGGCTGGTTTCTGGTGAAGCCTCTCTTCCTGGCTTCCAGATGGCCACCTTCTCACTACGTTCTCACATAGATTTTCTCTGTACATATGGAGAGAGAAAGAGTGAGATCTGGTATCTGTTCCTGTTCTTACAAGGACACCAGTACTGCTGGCTGAGGACCCCGCCTTTATGAGCTCATTTAACCTTAGTTGCCTCCCTGAAGGTCTTATCTCAAAATACATTAGAGGTTAGAGCTTGAACATATGGATTTGGGGGAGGGGACACAATTCAGTCCTTAGAAATCTTTGTGCCCAAATTTTAATTAGCAAGAAAAAGTCGAATATGAATCAAACATTTTGAAACCAATGAAAATATCCCAAGACAGTTAGAGTATCTGAGTAGTGTTGAGAGCTGGGGATAAAAGAAAAGTAAACAAGAATTTTACAATCTGGAGATTTGCAGAGAGAACAATTAGCTCAATTATTCAAGTTATACTGAAAACTCTACCTGAGAGAGCTTGTTGAAAAACGGCTTTACTGAGCTTGAAGTAAAAATGATAAAATATCTGTATGCATGAACTGGATTTTGCTCCGAAGTCGGACTTAAAAATAGCTGCCTTGATAGTCTGATGCCCCACATTGTAAGGAGCTTATATTTAATTCTAAACAATTGTTTGATGCTTTCATTCATTACCAATATAGTAACTAAATTACTGGAAGGAACTCTGGTGATAACTGTGGCAATCTATAAATGGTTTTCCAAGCAGAAGATAAAACTGATGGCCTCACTCCACACTGGGATTCTATGGGGGACCAAGAATCACAGCCACAGTTGTTGATTTCAAAGGGCAATTAATTCCTTGGTTGCTGGTTACAAAATTCACAATTATTTTAAAGGTTAGAACAGTGCCTGATTCATAATAAGCCCTCACTATGTAATTTCTATAATCTTGGGTAGTTTCAAATGTGAAATTCTCTTTCTAAGCAGAATTAAATTAATTAATTAATTTCTAAGCATCCAGAAGTTAAGCCTCAAAATTCTAAGAGGGAGGAAACTTGAGAAAATATTGGTATTTGGTCAAACATCAAATTTTAGAATCTAAATTTACCACCACTATGATTATATAAAACAATGTTGTAATGCATTTTGGAATCAATCATACTTTTTGTTACATCAGGTCATGAAACTGTGCTTCAAATATATCATTCCTGACATTTCCTCCTTTAATATGTAAAACAGCACACAGAGACTGGAAGTTTGCTGTGAAAGATCAAGATAAATATTCCAAGAATGAGAGGCAGTTTTGACTGCATAAAAAATGTTTTTGAAACGAAAGAAACAGAAAAGAAATGAATATGAAAAAATTAAATGTACCTGAATATTAATAACAAAAAGTTGAAAATAAACTTTGAAAATAAAATTTGAATTTTTATTCAAATTTCTACTTGATTAAGAATTTCTCACATTTCAGTAGGAATTTTTTTCATTTTTAATAAAAAACGCTTTTTTCTTAAATCTTATAAACTCAGTTTAAATCAGAACTTTTCAAACATTAACTATGAGGGAATTGTTACTGCATTTTTTAAAGGCAGCATGATCTGGAAAATGTCACTAAGCAATGCGAAATGTTCCTGTACTTCAAACTGAACAAAGGGGTAACACCATGTCCTTAACATATAACTTGCTTATAAAGTTATATGTAACTATTAAGCAGCTGTTGGAAAAAAATACTCTAACTCAGCAATAGCTATGCTGGGAATTCTCACCACATTTCTGGTATATTTGAATTTAATTTTTATTCTTTCTCTTGTCAGAGGAAAATAAATTTATAGAGATCCACTGAAATCCAGTGTAAATTTCTTAAAAGATGAACAACAGAAGGTTCAGTCAATGTGATTCAAAGCATAGTTTGTCAAAAAGGTTAAAGGTTAAGGTGTAGAATTGTGAGAGCTTGGAGGAGAGGTGGCAGTAATTTAAAAATAATGCTGTAAATATCTTCAGACAAAGAGTGTGTGCATATATAATTTTGAAATACTAGTAGACAACTAAGTAAAACAGGATCGTACTATAATGTTCATAAAAATATAGACTATCCTCCATATTGTAAGTCCCACCTTAAATATTATCCATAGGTTCCAGCTTTCAGGTACTATTTTTATTTTACTATAACCATAGAATATTCCTCTATAAGGACTACTTCGTACACATTTGGGAAATGAGCTGGTCTTGAAATAAAACACTATCTTTATATATTTTGGTAAGGCAGCCACAACCTGGCGGACTATATTCAACATCTGAAGGTGACCGGGCATCCACAATTGTAAGCAACTTTACGATTTTGGAAAAATATGCTAATACATATTGTGTTAGTAGCATTTTAAACTATGTTTAAATAATTTCCAATTGGTTAGACATGTGTCATTTTGTTAACATGATATGTGAAAAAGAATAGATTGACCCAAATAAACTATGCTAATGAAGTTCATTTGGTGTAGGAGAAAGAGCCCAGTTTGAATGCCGACACTCCTCAATAGCTGTTAGGTCATGTAACCTCTCTAAGCCTCAGTTCCTTAATCCACATTGGGGTCAATGTTGCTGTAAAGATTCAATGCAATAGTGTCTATCAAAACCACAACAGATTTTGCATGTAAACGATGATCAATAAATATTTATTCAATACCCCATTTATTGTCCATGCATATGTTAAGGTTTCAGTTAATATTTTGGCATTAAACATATCATAAGCCAATCACATATTTCATTTTTTCCTATATTTGTTTACTCCTTTGGAGAAAGATTGATTTGATTAGTCAAATTCCATAAGATCTTTCCTTTCAGCATCAGTCTGTGCTCACTTTTATTAGTAGTAGGTACAGGTGGGGAGGAGGAAGAAGGTGGAAAAGAGAAAAAAAAATCACAAATTCAACATTTTAAGAAGCAAACTTTATTTTGCAGGATAAAAGATATCAGATACAACAGAGTATGAAATAATTCATTTTACAACAGCTATTGTAATCTGTTATTTTATCTACTACCTCTTATTAAAAGTAATAATTTTGGAAAAAGTTCATGTTTACACTAGAAAATGAATAATGTATATATGAGAAAATTAAAGTAGCCCATCATAATACTATTCAAACATACTTATTACATTGTTTATATTTTTATGACTATTTTAATGAATATACAAAACGGATCATATGACTTATACAAATTTGTTTCAGGCAGTTAGCACATAATTTTTTGTGTACACATTTTTGTTTTACAATGTTTCAATTTTGAATGACCACTAATATTAAAGCTGAACATAATTTTTCACCCTTCATATAATAATAATTTGTATTTGTTTATATGTTTTTGTCCATGGATCTAGTTCCTCAAGCTAGTTCCTACTTGTAGAACCTATGGGTCAAAGCTATTAATTTTTTAGGCATCATGATACAAATCCCAATATTGCCCTCCAGAAAATATGGTGGCCATTTATACCCAATAGTACGAAAGACTGAAGTTTCATTGCAACTCGACTAATACTGTCTTCAAAAAATCTTGGCCAATTTGTGAGTGAAAAAGCTATCTTAATTGTTTTCATTTCCAGTTTTATTGATCACTAGTGAGGTAGAACATGCTTTCAAGCATTGACAAAGTATTTCTCTGTGACAAACCTATTCAAGGCTTTTGTCAATTTTTATTGGATTGCTTTCCTTATCAAACTGTATGAGCTTTTTAAGTGTTAATACTACTTAACCTTTGATATTCTGCTTGTTTGCATTTTTTTGTTTTCTATTATCTTGAGAATGTAGTTTTTGTTGTTTCTAGGTACAAAACAAAATGTTATGTAGTCAAACTATTTTACTTTGCTATCTTTCATTATATTGACCTACTTCCCCTCTCCCTTCTTCTTTTTTTTTTTTTTTGTTTTTTTTTTTTGTTTGTTTGTTTTTTTGAGACAGAGTCTTGCTCTGTCGCTGGAGTTCAGTGGCACTATCTCGGCTCACTGCAACCTCCGCCTCCCGGGTCCAAACGATTCTCCTGCCTCAGCCTCCCGAGTAGCTGGGACTACAGGTGTGAGCCACCTCACCCAGCTGATTTTTGTATTTTTAGTAGAGACGGGGTTTCACCATGTTGGCCAGGGTGGTCTCCATCTCTTGACCTCATGATCTGCCCGCCTCGGCCTCCCAAAGTGCCGGGATTACAGGCATAAGCCACCGCGCTGACCCTCCTTCCCCTTTTAAAAGAAGTGCTGTTGCTTCCTATACACCAAAGGCAGAAATCAGAAGATATTTCAGGGTTATATAAATGTTGAGGAAATGTCATTACTCACAGAGGAATATCTACACGGCACTCTAAGATTGAAGCTGGGATATGAACTAAGTCTGTATCCTCTGTGCTCTCAGTGTGGAGGAATGTTCTACATGGCAAAGCTTTCACTTCCTATTTCCTTTCACGGTTCTACAAGAAGGGCTTTTGACTCCCCTGGCAGGCACATTCACGTGCTCCCCCGGATTGCAACACCGATGATATTTCACTGAACACGCTCGTTCTTAGATTAGAAAATTCCTGGAGTCGTCGCATATCCAGCATAAGGAGGTGAAACTATCCAGAGGAGAAAACAAACTTACAAAATGTAAGCATGACAGAAAATCTGTGATATAAATTATCAATTATTTTGTCTCAAAAAATCTTATTTTAAACAAGTAAATGGTTACTTAATGGTAATATATACAAAGTTTAACTTTTTAAACAAGAATTTATTTCAGTGTATGGTTTGATTTATGTTTTGCCCAAATCATTTAGTCAATTTCTCTACCAATATTTTCAAATAATTATTTTCTCCTGTGGGATGTGTGTGTGTGTGTTTATTCCATGTATCTTTTATTATGTATTATTTTCTTATGTATTTTTGGTTCCTTCCTAGGCCATATACTATTTTTATTCATCTTTTTTGATTCTTTCATCAGTATTGTGATATTTTAGCCTTAACCATTTTTTTTCCTCTGGTGAATACAGCATGTGTTCCTTATTTCTCTTCTTTTACCTAATTTTCTTAGGTCCTAATAGCCACAAGGACTTCATCTCATAAGACATAATATCAGTCACTCCCACAACTTCCGTACTTTGTATTTTCTGGGAATTTCAATCTCCAAATGATGCCTAAAGGTGTGTGAAGGGGAGAATATTAGTTTAATCACCTCAAAATTAGCACCAATACAGAAGAGGAAGGGGGCCTAACTTCCCCTGGTGATCTCTCTAGCCAACTGTCACACTGTGGGAGAATTACCTAGCAACTTGCTGTTTTATTCAGATCTGCCTGACTGCTTTGTTTCAGAAGGCAAATGACTGGATCCATCACCAGCCTTTTTCTAAACCTGATTATTTCAGTCTTAGAGTTTGTTTTTTTTTTATAAATTCCTCCAGATACTACCTGTCATCTGTCTAGCAGAGAGTTATTAGCGGTCTTCATAAGAATTTTACTACAGAGTTTAGAGAATTGAATGAGGGACTTCTAGCCAGTCTGATGGCATTTTATCTCCAAGTCCCACTGCTTCTTAAGATTATGATGTTTACGTAGCACAAATATTGAAAGAAGTCACATCTTAACAATTTGTCTTTTCCACATGCTGAGGATAAACATGCCTTAATTTGGAAATGGCCTTTACAACTTACTCTCTATACAGAAGTGGCCCCCAAAGATGGTTACAGAATTGACACCAGCTCTTGTTAGTCACCAACCAGGTAACTTGTAAGGAATCCTGGCGAAGGTGTTTTCTACTGAGAAAAATATAAAATAACTTCTTTCTCTTCTAATGGCATTTTATTGATCTTCATATAAAAATATAAAATCTTTCTGTTAATGTCAAAAACAACATAGGGTAAGAGGAAGGTTAGAAGCAGGGGAGAGAATGGCACTCCCCGAATGAAAGTGGTAACAGAATCTCAATTGAGGTTCTGTGTCCAGCTGTGCATGTCCCTTGGCAATAGGTGTGGAATGTATGAGGTGTTTAATTTTCATTGTACAAAATTAAAAACATCAAAATAAGTGTTTTTAGCCTCTGCTATTTGTGCAGCATAAAGACTGAAATCTATTGAAATAGAAAGGTCTTATCATTAAGTAATCAGAGCTCATTGTTGGTGGCTCATTAATCTGAAAGTGAAACTGAGGATCATTAAGTATAACATAATCATATTTTAAATATAATTGAATTTTATATACACATGTGCACTGATTCACTAGGCTTCTGTTGTGGGAATAAGACCTGTTCTTTGGAGTTAGGTGTTGGCTTTCTTACAGACATAATACCTGCGATCCTTTGTTTTTAAGTTTTTATTTCAATAAAGTGGATTAGAAATTCAAGTTTCTCAAAGCAAACTGTAAAAAAAATTATTTTTTGTTTGACCCAAACATTGATACTTGACTTGTGCGTACCTAATCGTTCAGCTTTTTTTAAAAAAATTGACTCACCTTGACTGTGTCTTTCCAAAGCATTCAGTCAGTTTTCCTAGATTTTCTAGTAATTTTTCCATATATTATGTTTCTTTTCAATGGAGTCGCTAAATAAGAAGAGAGCATTGAATAAATATGCATGCATTCATTTCACGTAAATAACTCACAATGTTATTATATATTTATATATAATATTATATAAATGCTTGAAAGATACATTGTTTTGGTAACTAAAACAGACACATGTGTTATTCAGAGGATTCAAACTGTGGACTATGATGTTTCAAAAAACTACTCTTTCACTGTTCAAGAAGACGGCACCTAGGTACACAAAAACAAACAAAAGCATCAAGCTAACTGTTCACAAATAGAGAACAATAAACTAATAGTGTAAGTGTGAACATGCTGGTGGTTTTCTGTATTTTCTCATTTTATATCCTTACGATGACTTCGTAGTACTCAGGATATGCTCAAGATCAATCCATTTATCTTTGAAACTTTTAATTATGTAGTCTTTTTTCCATTTCCTGCACCCCCACACTCACATCTCAACCCCCCAATGGCAGCTCTAGGAAACTTCAAAATAACGTGTCTGGTTAAAAGCTGAATGATGTCTGTTAAAAGCCTATGCTACTTACAATAAATAAGAGTAATAAAAGAATACAAATTTAACCTGTGACCTCTTTCAATCATGAAATGGCTTTTCAGGCTACAATGCCATGAATATTTTCCAAACAGAAGTCAAATAAGTTGCAGGTAACAGAGTACATTTAAAACATTATACCTTGCAGCCTTCTTGTATTTTTTCTTCACATAGTATTATGAGCAATAGACATATTTGAAAGAAAGAATCATTGCAGAAATAGTCTCAAATTTCATTTTTTTCACTTTTGCCCTGTTGCTGTCCTCATTTCATATGATAACCTTCTCAGAAAACTTCAGCTGCATCCACCCACTCAGTGTGCTCATATACTATGGAGCCATTTGTATGAAGAAGTCTCAAACTATCCAGTTTGATTTTAGATACAATTTCTAATAAATCAGTATCCAGTAATTTATGTTTTGTGTTTTTTAGACAGACTAAAATATTCAAATGTTATTCATTCTATTTAAAAATATTTACTTCAGTCCGCCAGTTTTTTTCTTTATCACCAAGGAAATCAGATTCTTTTTCTGTCCACAAGTGACTGTGACTAAAAAGAATTTCAGTACTTTAGACAGCACCTTTCCAATTTTGTGTCCTGTCAGGCCCTGTGAAGACATTGCCAGGTTGGCAATCCTCCTATTTCCTGCCTAACTTTATTCTTTCATATGTGCAGTCTGTTTACCTACTTTTTTTTGAGAACAGAATAACTTTAAATCGCCAGAGCCTCATGAGCTCCTGTGCCACATAATTCTATTTATAGCAAACCAGATATTTCCATGTAATTTCATAGTCTATGAAATGTTTTCTTCATAGTCAAGTAAACTCAACACGTTCACTTTTGAGATGATATCTAAAAAGAAAATGTTATCTGCCTCAGACTAAAGGAATGGGTTTCATTTAAATGTTTCCTGTTTTCAGTATATCGCCTGAACTATTATTACAAAACTATCATTTGTAACACAAAGTCTGACTCAATTATAAATGAAACTCTCACAACTGAATTTTAGGTCTAGTTACAAAAATATATAACGAAGTTGAACTACTGAAAAAAGAGGGTGATACCATTCTTAGTTGGAAGATTGAAGTGTCTTCACATTGGATTATAGGACTTTGAACCAATGAGTTAGTTTAAGACACTTCAAATGATTGACAAAATGAAGAAATTTGGTATTTTTTAATCATGTGCAGCATTAAATAAGTTGCAATAATGGTCACAAATATTCATCTATCTTTGCATTTTAAACATTACACCCCAAACCATCTACAAAGTTGAAGAGCATGAGAGCAGAATGCCAGAATGCTTAGTATAAGAACATTTCCAAAATACATACAATTTCCACAGAAGCACCTAGCACCAGTTTTTGCACATGGTCAGACGCACACAATGTTAATTACTCTGATGTCAATTATGAAGAATATATTTTTGCCCAATAGATTGATGTACTTTTAAATCAAACTGGAATTGAAATGTTTTACACAATATACCCTTTATTCTATTCAGTGCTTTCACCCCAAAGGCCTATATTTTCTGGTATTAATAGCTCCACTCTTTTAATTCAGTTTGCAATTGCCTCTTTATTTTCTGTCTTCCTTGATTCATTTGTTTTAAGCTTGTTTCTTGAAAACAGCAAATATGTTTTTGAATTCTAATGTAAGAATCTGATTTGTTCATATTTAGTTTAATGTCCCATATAATTGATTTATTTTATACACAATCATATTATTTATTTGTACTGTTATTTCCTCTTTACTTATTATCCTTATTATTGTTATTTTGAGACAGAGTTTCACTCTGTCACCCAGGCTGGAGTGCGGTGGCACAATCACAGCTCACTGCAGCTTGGACCTCCTGGGCTCAAGCAATCCTCCCACCTCAGTCCTCTGAGAAGCTGAGACTGTAGTCTCGCACCACCACACCCAGCTAATTTTTTTTGTGGAGATGGAGTTTCACTATGTTGCTCAGGCTGGTCTTGAACTCCTGGGCTCAAGCAATCCTCCCCAACTGGCCTCCCAAGTGCTGGGATTACAGGCATGAGCCACCACGCCCTGCTCTTTATTTTTGTCGGTTTGATAAAGAAAATCCACTTCAAATGTCCACTCAATTTATTGATAATTTCACTTTCTGTCCTCTCACACAGAGATTCAACTATAATATGAAGACAAGATAAAAACCATTTTCTCTAGTAAGACCCACAGTCCTCCTATCCACCTCAATTAGATGACGACTTTGCAATACATTGATCTCCATCATCTCGTAGTCTTTTATTGATGTCCCATGGTAGCAGTGGACTTTCCCTGGTTCACCTCACATTTCCTACCCCTACGTTTGCTAAGATACGTAAAATTCTCCTTTATTTCCTGCATTTCATCTCCTAGCTCCCCTACACTTAGGCGAGGCCATCAAACAGTCCTTGGCCAATAAAATACAAGAAGTCATGTTGGGTTTTTCTGGGCTGAGGCAGTGAAAAGCCTTTGTGGAATTCTAGAACCTCCATCTTCCTCTCCCAGGAAAATCAAGGATCAAGGGGAAGCGCTTGTCTTAAGATGGTACAGCCACAACATTTAAGCAGCTTGAAATTTGAGTGGACTCATGGAGGTTGGCTGTTTGGGAGATTTGCTCAACGTAAAGAGGATTTGTATGAGCAAGTGAGAAGTGAGCTTTTATTGTTGAAAGCCACAGAAATCTGGGGGCTGAGAGTTACCAAAATATAGCTTATTCTATCCTTCCCTTTCAAAAGTCCTAGTTACCATTTGCATTATATATTCTCATCCATGCAACAATGTTTACATGTATTTCCTTTCTGCTTTTATTTTCCCCTGTCTTGAGCTCTGTATAATGGTCTATTCGGTGATTGGTTAATGTCTTTTCTCAATTCTTTTTCTCATGGGGTAAATGCATGATATGTATTCTAAACTCTCTTTTATATTTTATTTAGGCATATGCTAGCTCAGCTTGATATCTTGATCTATAATTCTTTTTTTTTTTTTAATTTGATGGAGTCTTGCTCTGTCACCCAGGCTGGAGTGCAGTGGCGCAATCTTGACTCACTACTGCAACCTCCGCCTCCTGGGTTCAAGCGATTCTCCTTCCTAAACCTCCTGAGTAGCTGGGATTACAGGTGCCCGCCACCACACCTGGCAAATTTTTGTGTTTTTAATAGAGACGGGGTTTTGCCAAGTTGGCCAGGCTGGTCTCAAACTCCTGACCTCAGGTGATCCGCCCGCCTGGGCCTCCCAAAGTGCTGGGATTACAGGCATGAGCCACCGCCCCTCAGCCTTTGATCTATAATCGTTGAGTTGCAGTCATGTGTCATTCACTTATAGATATTATCCCACTGTCTTCTGGCCTACATTCTTGCAGAGATATATGTCAGGCCAGTTGCACATTTTCTACTTTGGTGTAACAGGTGAGTTTAAACTTGAAGCTTATCTGGTTTCCACTTGATATTTAGCATTGGAGACCTTTATGGAGAATATGTGTGCATGTTTTGTTATTGACCCAACTTGGAATTGAGTGTGCCCTCTGAAATTTCAGGTTGAGGTTCTTCTTCAACTCTAGAGATATTCCTTCTATAATATTTGTGGCAGGCAGCTTCTAAGATGGTTGCCAATAATCTCCACCTCCTAGTATTCCCACTCTTGTGGAGTCCCCTCGAATGTTATACCAAGGCTGAAGTGTTGCAGCAGAGAGTAGAAGAAATGGCAAGTCACTCCCAAGATTCAGGTATAAGACTTTGGCTTCTATCTTGAGCATTGTTGCTCACTCACTTTCATTCTCTTTCTTAAATCACTTGCTTTGGGGACACCCCTGCTCTGGGCTGTTCTGTTTAAAACAATTCATATGGTTCACCTTCTACCAGCAGCCACATGAGTTAGCTGAAAGTGGATGTGTTATCAACAGTCAAGTTCAGAGATTGCAGACGCAGCTGAGAGTTTGACTGCAATCCCATGTGAGGCCCTGAGCCAGAACCATTCCACTAACCCTCTCTGGGATTCCTGACCCATCAAAACTATGGGATAAAGAAAAAGTATACTGTTTTAAGCCACTTCGTTTTAGGATAATTTGGTTACACAATACAATATTATTCGTATATGTATTGCCCTTTCGCTATTTGTTTTTTTCTTCTAGAAGTTCTGTTAATCACCTGCTTGACTTCTTAAATATATCCTCCCAAAGGTATTTTCGTTTCCCTCATATGTTCATCTCCATAATATTTTCATTCTGGACTTTGAAATATTTTTATACCTCATCTTCCAGTCAAATAATTCAAGCTTCAAAGGTGATTGACTTTTCTTGCTATTTATCTACTGATTAATTGGAATATCATGATTTTAATTCCTATGTCTCATTATTGATCATTAAGAAGTTGCCTGTTTCTGCAGAAACACCTGGGGGAGTTCTACTTTCCCTAGACTCGAGACAAGGGAGACTCAGCTGGGGTGTTCAGCTCCTTCTTTGGCTTTTGAGAGTCAGATCAATAATGTGAGACCAATGGAGATCTTCCTATAGATCTCCACAGATCTCAGAAATCAGATCCCAGGTCATTCTCAAGTTACCCTGCTTTTCAGTCTTTGTCCTCAAACTAAGATGCTACTGTCTAGTGTCTTAAATAGCCAATAGATTAGAGTCCCCTCACCCCTTCTCTGTGTCAGAGCCCTGGAAGAACCCAAGCCTGCACTTTCGCTATTGCATGTAGAGCACAACGCTTTTTAGCCCAGTAGACGCAAAAAGCTGGGAGTTAGCAACGGACAGAAAAGAAGTCACTGTAGATTATCATTTGCATAGTCAAATTTCAGAGAAAAAATTTATTTTACTATTGAATCTTCAGTCTTAGAAAGTTATGGCCCAGTGCGGTGGCTCACACCTGTAATCCCAGCACTTTGGGAGGCCAAGGTGGGCAGATCATGAGGTCAGGAGATTGAGACCATCCTGGCCAACATGGTGAAACCCCATGACTACTAAAAATACAAAAAATTAGCCGGGCGTGGTGGTGGGTGCCTGTAGTCCCAGCTACTTGGGAGGCTGAGGCAGGAGAATGGCGTGAACCCTGGAGGCGGAGCTTGTAGTGAGCCGAGGTCGCGCCACTGCACTCCAGCCTGGGTGACAGAGCGAGGCTCTGTCTAAAAAAAAAAAAAAAATAGAAATAGAAAGTTATAATATATGCAAAATATTGTTCAGTAAAAGACACTAGTGTATTGGGATCACACAGCCACTTCATGGAAAAAAACCAGGCTATTTCCTGCTGAAAGTAACTGAGTTAAGGAGACTAGAACCATAATTTTATTGGCTTTTCAAAACCTGTAATATATGTGGGGTAAATATATTCTTGCATTTCAAATGATATGGAATCATACTCAATCCAGGAACTTTTCATCTCAATAAGATCTTTTAGCTATTTTTGAAATTAAGTGAGACAATACATTAGACATAACATGAGATATTTACACACATTTTCTTCAATTCTTCAAAATCCTAACATTTCAGTTATAATTGTTCCCATTTAGAGATTTGGAGAATGAGAAGCTAGTGGTTAAACGTATGTGTTCTAAATACAAAATAACAGGTTATTGAACTTTCTCAGTCCTGGTTTTTTCATACTTAGATGAGGTTAAGAATCATGCCTATTTCTAGGATGGTGGTAGAAATTCAAAGTGAGGGCTCAGGAAATCAAAGTTGCCCTGAGTGTTAAGGAGAAATATTATTTTGAAGCAGAGAATAGACATGAATTGATTTTTAGTAGTGAGGTGAGTGTGCTGGGGAGCATAGGGTGAGGGGAGCCTAGGGTGAGGGGTGTGGTTTGGGTTAAGGCAGCATGTCCAGTGTCCTTTGGAACACTCTTCTTCAAAAGCTTGAGAGAAATAAGAGGAGGCTTCCAATGCCTCAGCAATAAGGTCTACATTGCCATATTCACATGCATATTTTAACCACCCTGAGTATAAAAGTCCTCCAAAATCAAGATGATGAAGGAGTATTTTGCTCCAAAACCCCCTTTTTCTTCTAATCACTTAAAATCCAGCTCAAGAATCCGCCAAATCCTGAATAATTACGTGAGAGATCTAATCTTTCTCCCGCGTTGTTATAAATCACAGAAAACAATGTTCAGCTTTAGCCCCACACAGTTGCAAGTACAAAGTACAAAAAGAGCATTTCAACAATCACATGCCACCAAATAAAATTATGGCTATAACGGTGCTCAAATGTGTCAACAAAGGAGAATAAACCAGGATATCTGTAGACACAGAGGTCTTACAAATCGGGAGCTCACACAGGTGACTGCTTGGCCCACTTCTAAAGCCACCCCAGCTGAAACAAAGGTGCCAGACCCGTTGATACTACAGAACTCCTTTCATCTGCCACTGGGCAATCATAATGATAATAACAGTAATAATAATAATAAATAAGTTGCCTCTAGCCACAAATATCTCAACTATTTCTCTTTGAGAGAGGCAGTTATACCTTTACAAGGGCGACAAGGTGATCGACTGGTCTTTATGGGGAAGTTGGAAAACTTCCAAACAGCAAAATGCTCACATATTAAATTCAGTGGCAGGGGACAGTTGAGGAAGGCAGAATTATTTCTCCATGAAAGAACATAGATGACACTAATATGTCATTTTGAAGGTGCTGAAGTCTAAGTAAATCCAAGCTGCTACAGATCAGAAGTCATGAGAAAATCCCAAATTATTCATCTCAGCCTTGACAGTCCAAAACGACACCCAGAAAAGTGTGAGGCCAATGTTCGAGGAGAGGAAAATTTTTATCTGAAGGTTTAGAGTCAGCTCGTGCTTTTGGAAATTCCAGACCTTGCCATTTCCAATATTTTCCACTCTGCCCTTTTTTCCTCGGTCCTACTCATCGATAATATTCCAGTGTCATAATTTTTACTATTTATTTTCAAAATCAAGTTTTTTAAAAGTGATTTTTGAGTCCATAAAAAGAGAATGCCTTTACATTTGCAATGAAAAACAGTAAGCCGGGTAAATAATTATTATGTCTTCACGATTGAGAGAGTCTGCTCTCTACTGAAAACTCTTAACATATTTTCTACAGGCAGAAATTGAGAAGTTAACCATGTAGTATACTATTCAGACCCTCTTTAAATATTGTTATTCAAAAATATAAAGCTAAACAACTCCATTAATTAATGTCCTTTAAAAAAACCTGCTTCTGTGGGACATTTCCTCCAGGCATCTTGAGGAGTTATTTAGGCTCACCAAAGAGTTCACTGTCTGGAGAATTATTAAGGCAGAAAAAGAGAAAAGTGATTCAGGTATTATAAAAATGTTTCTTTTTCCTTAGTGCCTTTTATATTTTTGTTAAATTTTGTGTTCCGAATCCTTTTAGACCCTCTCAGCTCTCAAACATTCATGACAGTACCAATCTTTTCCTTAGCCATTGATTCGCAAGGGCAGTGATTCAAGATTTTTACATGTTTCGGGGGGAAGGGTGGTGGTGTCTGTGTGTGTGTCTATTCTTAGCCATTTAGTAGTAAAGATGAATTGAAAAGTTGATTTCACAGAAACTAATGAGTATTGCTATTTCTTATATTGCTTTATGTGCTTTCCATATAGATATTAATTTAGTCTCCATTGCACTGGGTGAGGAAGGTAATGTGATCTCCATTTTAGAAATGTGGAAAGTGAGGCACTAAAAGGTTGAATAAATTTTCCTAAACTAAGAACTAATAAGTGATATACCTGGGAATTGAACCCAGAGCAGCTACCTCCAGAGTTCACTCTCTTCACTACCTGGCTGTTGGGCCTTAAAACATTTACACTGTATTCTTATGGACTCCTTCAATGAGACACAATTGCTAATTCAGGAGCTGTCTGCACATTACATTGGTTTCCTGATTTATTATACAGATGGGGGTGAATGCTTGTTCATCATGAATGCTGATTCTGCTTGGTTCCCTTAACCTAAAAAGAGTTCTCTTTATCCTAAAAAGACATGATTTATTTTAAGATAAAAAAAAGAATTGAAACTTAGCACATGTTATAAACACCTAAACAAAAAAGGAGGAAGATGGTGTGGCAAGTGGCACAGCAGTTGCCCCATCGCAAGTCCTGTCCACTCAAATCTGTGTGGGCTGTGACTGATTGAGCCCAGTGGGGTCATGGGGCTCTCCAAACACCCTTTCAGGAGGATCCCTTGGTTACTCTGCTTCCATGCTATGAGGACTCAGCAACACAGAAGAGCCACATGCGGATGCTCTGGTGCACATTCCCCGCTGAGCACCGCCTTAGATTCATCCCAGCTCAGGTGCCAGACATAAGGGTGAGGAAGCTTCCACATGATTCCAAGTCACTGTCATTCCAATGAAGCCCAGCAGAGGCCCCAGATATCACGGAGCAGAGACAAGACATCTCACTGAATCCTGTCTGAATTCCTGAACCACAAGATCTTCGAGGAAAACAACATGATTATAATTATTTGAACAAGGTCTGAGGTGCTTTATTTATGCCATCATGGTAAATGAAATGGAATTGGGGATCTAGAAATGAAGTACCACCAAAACAAAACCTAAAACAGGTGGAATTTGTTTTTAGGATTGTGTGTCAGACAGATGTCCAAAAAGCCTTGTAGTAGGCTAAAAAATGCCCTTCAAAAGATGTCCACATCATCACCCAGGAAACTGTGAATGTTATCTTTTTTAAGGTTCTTTCCAAGTGTGATCAAAGTATTCTGTGATAGGGAGATTTCCCTGGATTATCCAGGTGGGCCTTAAGTGCAATCACAAATGTCCTTATAAGGCAAAGGCAGAGGGAGATTTGACCGCACCCAGAGACAAAGACAAAGTAAAAACAGAGGCAGAGATTGGAGTGATGCAGCTACCAGAGGCTGGGAGAGGTGAGGAACAGATTCTGCCCTAGAATTTTTCAGAGGGATTGGGAGGCCGAGGCAGGTGGATCACCTGAGGTCAGGAGTTCAAGATCCGCCTGGCCAACATGGTGAAACCCCATCTCTACTAAAAATACAAAAAATTAGCCGGGTGTGGTGGTGGGTGTCTGTAATTCCAGCTACCCAGGAGGCTGAGGCGGGAGAATCGCTTGAACTCAGGAGGCGGAGGTTGCAGTGAGCCGAGATCTCGCCATTGCACTCCAGCCTGGGTGATGAGTGAAATTCCATCTCAAAAAAAAAAAAAGAATTTTCAGAGGGAGCATGGCCCTGCCAATATCTTGACCTTCCCCAATGAAACTGATTTTTGACCTGTCCTCTGGAACTGTGAGAGAATAAATTTCTGTTGGTTTAAACTACCCAGCTTGTGGTACTTTGTTGTAGCTTCCACAGAAAAGTAACACAGTCCTCAAAAAGGGAGTCAGTGAAAGTGTGAAAGAGACTGAGGAGATTGTTATTGGAAGCTAGAGGAAGGAAACTTGTATATATAATGGTAGAAAGCTTGTCAACACAGTTACCACCAGTAATACGGAAAATAAGAAATATGCTAATGAACTTAATCAAGGTAAGGAGGTTTTTGGAAGAAGAGTGTAAGGTGCATTGTGGTTTCTTCTAGCCAGCTATAGTAGAATGTGAGAGCAGAGAGAAATTAACTAAAAAATAAACTCTTCCTTTTCAAGAACAACTATCAAGGGTTTAGGAGAGTCTTTCCAGACAGAAAAGGCTTCTCAATTAAGAAAGAGTCATTGATTCAAATATTAAATCCAGAGAGCTAGCAGAAAAACATTGTCTTGGAATCAAGATGAAACCTTAGATGTGACTACAAAACCCTTTATGCAGACCTCGGAAAAATTTATGTTTGTGCCCTGTAGACACACTGAGATGGACCAAAAGCTTTCAAACCATCTTCAGGGCATGTCTCTGTTAAGAAAAATATTAAGGCTTCTAAAGGTCTTAAGAATGTTATTCCAGGTTGGGTGTGGTGGCTCATGCCTGTAATCCCAGCACTTTGGGAGGCCGAGGTGGGCAGATCACCTGAGGTGAGGAATCCGAGACCAGCCTGGCCAAAATAGTGAAACCCTGTCTCTACTAAAAATACAAAAATTAGCTGGGCCTGGTGACGGGCACCTGTAATCCCAGCTACTTCGGAGGCTGAGGCAGGAGAATCTCTCAAACCCAGAAGTGGAGGTTGCAGTGAGCCAAGATTGGCTCTGCACTCCAGCCTGGGTGACAGAGTGAGACTCCCTCTCAAAATGTTAGACTTATAAATTGACATACAACAAACCCACAACATTTTTAAAGAAATTATATCAGATGGGAATAAAAGGGACAGAGACAGTATCAAATGAAAAAAGGCTTTTGAACTCCAAAACTTTTACTGGCAAGATACATGATTTAAAAAATAAAGAAACAGACAAATACAAATCTGCTTAGCTGTAGACATGGACTACTCCTTATAAAAAGGAAAAATGACTCGGGTGGAACAAAGAGCCCAGGATGAATATAAGAGCTGCGGAGAAGAACTCTCAGGTTGTGGGTCTAAGCCTTATCAAGGAACTGGTAACATGTTCCCTGCTGGATTTCAGAATTGCTATGAAACAGTGATTATATTTTCGAATAGCAGTGGTTATCCTATATCGGTTTGACTATTGTATGTTCAGTGTTTTGGAGAAAGATAACCTCTCTCTTACATTCACAGGTCAGATTGCAAGAAATACTTGAGGAACTGCACTCGAGGTGTCTTATTTACATATCACCCATTTGATTGATTGACTGATTGAGATGGGGTCTCACTCTGTCACTCAGGCTGGAGTACGGTGGAGCAATCACAGCTCACTGCAGCCTAGGCCTCCCAGGCTCAAGTGACCTCCCACCTCAGCCTCCTGAGTAGTTGGGACTATAGGCATGCCGCCACGCTCACTTAGGTTTGTTTTTTGTTTGTTTGTTTTTTGCAGAGACGAGGTCTCATTAAGCTGCCCAGGATGGTTTCAAACTCCTGAGCTTAAGTGATCCTCCTGTCTGGGCCTCCTAAAGTGCTGGGATTACAGGCATGAGTCGGCACACCCAGCCCCATATCACCCAATTTAGATGATAAGATTCTGGACCTTGAGTCTAAAATGAAAGTCAAAATGGAGACTTTTGGGGGTCTTGGGAGAGGGTGTTTTTATTTTGCATGTCAGTGGGATACAAATTGTTGTAGCCCTAGGGCAGATTGTGGCATGCTGCATTTTCTAAAGATGGCCACCAAATAGATCCCATTCAAAATATTTCTCTAAAATGTGCGTTGCTACTCTCCCCTCAAAAAGTGTAGCCTATGTCTCCTTCTCTTGCACCTGGGTGGACTTGTAGTTGTTTCAACCAATAGAGTACAACTACATGTGCAAATGCTGCTATGTGACCTTTAATACCAGATCATAAGTATCATAATGCATTTATGGTTGGGATGTTTGAGACCCTCACTCTTTGGACATCGCCCCTTGGTATGTTTCTCACAGAACCTAGCTACAGGTCTGGGTGGGTTCAGAACTAGCCTGGAACCTAGCCATAACTGTGGAACACCTACCTGCAGCCTGTCCAGTGGGTAAATATCCTAACCCAGTTCCAGTCAACATTTCCAGCTGAGTCCAGCCTTTGTTTTTGTTCTGTTTTTTTGAGACGGAGTTTCACTCTGTCACCCAGGCTGGGTGTACACACAGTCCTGGGTGTAACTGTTCTAGGGTTCTTAATGGCTTTAGAGCTTAGCCAGGCTAGAGTGCAGTGGTGTGATCTCGGCTCACTGGAACCTCCACCTCCCAGGTTCAAGTGAGTCTCCTGCCTCAGCCTCCTGAGTAGCTGGGACTACAGGCGCGTGCCACCATGCGCTAATTTTTATGTTTTTAGTAGAGACCGGGTTTCACCATGTTGGCCAGGCTGGTCTCGAACTCCTGACTTCAGGTGATTCACCTGCCTTGGCCTCCCAAAGTGCTGGGATTACAGGCGTGAGACACCATGCCTGGCCCTTAGTCCAGCTTTTGGGTCACATCAACTCAGGTACTAGGGCACCAGACGGGCTGCTGAGTGAAGAAGACCTCAGGTTATTCCAGCCCTCAGATGTTTGAATCACCTTCAGCTGAGGCCACAGACATTATGGGCAGACATAAGCCATCTCTGCTGTGCCCTACCAGAATTCCTAACACATAGAATCAATGAGTGTAACACAGCTGTTGCAATTTTATAGTACTAGGTAAATAATAGTTGGTTACATAACACTGGTAACCAAAACAAGGCTAGATCGAAGAATACAAGAGTAAAGGAAGAAACGACTAAAGAAACAGAGAAGTGGCTGGGCGCGGTGGCTTACACCTGTAATCCCAGCACTTTGGGAGGCCGAGGTGGGTGGATCATGAGGTCAAGAGATGGAGATCATCCCGGCTAACACGATGAAACCCCATCTCTACTAAAAATACAAAAAATTAGCCGGGCGTGGTGGCGGGCGCCTGTAGTCCCAGCTACTCGGGAGGCTGAGGCAGGAGAATGGCCTGAACCTGGGAGGCGGAGCTTGCAGTGAGGTGAGATGGCGCCACTGCACTCCAGCCTAGGTGACAGAGCGAAACTCCATCTCAAACAAAAAAAAAAAAAAAAAAAAAAGAAAGAAACAGAGAAGTGAATAGACACGGACATTACAGATGCTATTGTTTACGTGTCTAGGCCATTTCAGCAATGAGGCTTTCCATGGAATATAGAACTCCTGGATAGGGATAATTAGGCCAGTAAGTAATAAGGGCAACAGGAAACATACACAAGAGCAGCAGGAAGAAAGCGCCAGCGCACTCTTGTGTGACTGCTAGACAGATGCTGGAGAATATGTAAGCAAGTAGTTTGTTTTTAACTTAGCCTGATTTGCCAAAATACCAGTGATGCTTTAAGCATGGGAGTTAGAGGCAGAAAGGAGGAGGGAGAGTGGAAAGGAATTTTAAATTATCAAAGAAAGGTTCAGCCCAAACCATTTTAATGAAAACAAGACTTTATAGCAAAGTTGCCAGATATTCCAGTGGATTCAAAGCCTTTTTAATTCTTAACAGTACACAAGACACTTTTTCTGCAATAACTTCTTTCCTTCACAAACACAGACATATTCATTTTGTAGCCAGCATTCCACTACCAGGTAGGCCTTTGCATCTCCTATTAAAAACATGGTCCACTTTTTGAACATATAGAAAATATTACATTTTAGACCAAACTCTATACTCTTTTAAAATAAATTATCTTTAACGAACTAAAAGTTGACAGAATCAAATGCATTATTCTGATTTGGCACACATCAACCTGCTCAAATAAAGAAGAGCAAGTCTTCCAGTGGAGGAAATCTCATACTAAAGAAAAGTAATACATTGATCCAATTATTCCAGTAGGCAACCAAACTCATAATTAAGAACTGTGTCAAGAACAATACTAGTATGTGTAAGTGCAAACAATGTTAATTTGACCAGTAACCCAATTGCTGCAAAACAAATTATAGAAATTTAGCAGCTTAAAACAGCACACGTTTATTAGCCTACCTTCCTATAGATCAGAAGTCCAGAAAGCTGATTCTGCTCAAAGCCTTACAAGGTTGAACTAATGATGTTGGCTGGCCTGGACTCTTCTCTAGAGGTTCTTGGGAAAAATCTGCCTCAAAACTCATTCACGGTGTGGGCAGCATTGAGTTCCTGGCTGTTGCAGGGCTGAGTACCTGTTGTCTTGCTGGAGGTTGACCAGGGGCCCCTAGCACCACTCTCATCCCTTAAGCCATCTGTTTCAGCTTTCATATCAGCAGTGATTAATTTCCCTCACGTAGAATTGTTTCCATGCTTAGATTATTTCTGACTTACTCTTCCGCAAGCAGCTGGAGAAAATTGTAAAAGGCTCATGTGTTTAGGTTAAACCCACCGAGATTATCTCCCTATTTTAAGGTCAATTGATCAGTAATCCCAACATCTGCAAACTCTCCATGCCTCGTAATATAACACGATCAAAAGAGGAACATCCAGCAGAAGAAGGTCACGGGTCATCTTAGAATTCTGCCTAACAGATAACTTGCTATCATCAATGGAGCCACACTGTAAAAACTACAAACAAAAGCCACGAATTGACCTTCATTCCTTCCTACTTAGATGGCCAGTTTCAGCTCTTAGGAAGTGAAAGTGGCCTATCAGCTGGGTCTAAGTTTTAGAGTCAGAGAGAACTCTGACTTCTACTTCTGCCTCTAACCAACGCTGTGATTACACACACCTTCATTCATCACAATGAACCTCAAGTTCTACCATTTGGAAAAAAGGAACAAATAACTCACATTCCAAAGGGTTTTTATGAGGATTAAATGAGCTAGTACATTAAAGGATATCTAGTGCTATGTGTTGTACACAGTGGGCACTCAAAAGAAATTCCTCAGCCCTGCCTGCCGTTCCTGTATAAAGCTGCAGCTGGGCTATAAGCACAGTGTTGCACTTCATCCTCTATCGCCTCAGATACTTAGTATATTTTCTTTTATCAGTATCCTTTATGAAGCATCCACTATTGTGTCCAGCTTTGCATCTGTAACACTAAATGAAGGCAGAGCAATAAACCATCAGCAGATAAATATATCAGATTAACTTTAGGTATAATGGTAGTTACACATTTGGGCTATATTAGTTTATATCAATGCATGGTTACTGGCAGAATTTGAGATGAATGAGAGAAAAAATAAACATTTGGAAAATTTGATTTCAAATATAATGCCTATAAGTCCTGGAAATGTCCTATTAATTCTATTACAATCTTAGTTTTCAGAAGAGTGTACTATAGTATTAGTTATATTTCTCTCTAATGATTTGTAAAGTTAAGTAACCAATATCTATTTTTGTCATGATTCAGATAATGCCCTTGAGATTGATATGTATACTTACTCCCATCTTGCTGATGGAACTTGAGACCAATTTAAGTATTCTTCCAGGACTTAAATAAATTAATGGCAGGACCAGGAAGATTGCAGAATAATTGTCTCCTACTGCAGACCAAGCCCCAAGTCTTACACACACCCCTGAGGTCATAATGCTACCTTTGTTGTCACTGCCACGTCTTGCAAATGTTTCCACCATCACATGCATGGAGATGGCTTGATGCCATGAGGTGAGTGCAAACCAGATGCAAATAGCAAGTTAACCTAGGTCATAGTTTGGTTTGTTAGGAGCTGAGAATTCCTTGCCAATCCAAAATGCAGAACTTATGGTTCAGAAATATCAGATTCCCAAGTTTATTTATTCCTGTTCTTCAGAAAGCATCCTAGAAAAATCACCCACTTTATATTCAGTTGGTAATAACTGAGGAATGGACATGGAAAGTCACAAAGACTTGAAGGAAAACAGATGTTTTTTGTTTTTTCTCTGATACTGGAAAAAAAAAAAAAACCACAACAACTTAGAAAAACATGACTTGCTTGAGTGTTTTTTCTCCATAAAAACAAAAGTGAGAAATTGCTGCATTTTTCCTGTAACTGGATTCAAAAGCACCAGGTATCAAAAATTATCAAAACTATCACCAAAATATTCACTCTAGACCAGACCAGAAAATTGGCATTTATATTGACTCATCTGCAACTATTCCAGAAACTTGGAAGCACAGAGCTGGTTTCTGTTTTCTGTCATTGGAGTTTGGAAAGAAAAAAACAAAAGCTGAAAGGATAAAGGATTTTGGAAGTATATTACTGAGGAGAACTCTACAGTTTTATTCCTCAATTAAAGAAAACTTTTCTAAACTCTTGGAAATTTTTTAACTTTTGGAAATGAAGATTAATTCAAATATTCAACTTTTGATTTTAAATAAGGAAGTGGTCAGTTTATAGATTGAAGAGTCACACTTTTAGTAAGACAAGGTTTAAAACTAACTGTCAGGAGGTAATGCAAATTGTTTTCTTGTTTGGATATTGTTTCCAACTTCTATTTGATTCTTTGCTCATTCCTTTGAATTGCCCAATGTGTTTCCAATAAAAGAATTCAAGCAATATAACACTTCTGTTGGGCTGAGAGCTATATTTCAGTTGCCTAATCACTATTAATCCAAAGTGACAATCACAAAAATAATAGTCAGTTAAAAAGTTAATAGGAGGCTGGGCGCTGTGGCTCATGCCTGTAATCCCAGCACTTTGGGAGGCCAAGGTGGGCGGATCACAAGGTCAGGAGATGGAGACCATCCTAGCCAACATAGTGTAACTCTGCCTCTACTAAAAATACAAAAAAATTATCTGGGCGTGGTGGTGAGTGCCTGCAGTCCCAGCTACTTAGGAGGCTGAGGCAGGAGAATCGCTTGAACCTGGAAGGCGGAGGTTGCAGTGAGCCAAGATCACACCACTGCACTCCAGCCTGGGCTACAGAACGAAACTCCATCTCAAAAAACAAAAAACAACAAAAAAAGAACTAGTAATACTTTTTCATATTAACTTTTTTTTTTTTTTTTTGAGATGGAGTCTTGCTCTCATTCTGTTGCCCAGGCTGGAGTGCAGTGGTGCAACCTCAGCTCACTGCAACCTCCACCTCCCGGGTTCAAGTGATTATCCTGCCTCAGCCTCCCAAGTAGCTGGGACTACAGGTGCGCACCACCTCACCCAGCTAATTTTTGTATTTTTAGTAGAGACGGGTTTTCACCATGTTGGTCAGGCTGTTCTCAAACTCCTGACCTTGTGATCTGCCTGCCGTGGCCTTCCAAAGTGCTGGGATTACAGGCGTGAGCCACGGTGACCCGCCCCTACTAGTTCTTAAAACTAGTTTATTGGGTGGGGACTTTATTTAAGAAGGACCTAATCCGTAGAAACTAACTCCTTTGTTTATTTCTAGAGAGTCTACAGAGAAATACACGGTTCTTTTGTTCAGGAAGAACACAGTACAGCCAGACTTACTTATTATAGGAGTTTTCTTCTTTACCCTCTGTAAAGCTGCCTTGACTCTCAGATCAGCTTGTGTCCATCATCAAACATCTTTTATTCTTCTAAGTAGGAAGTAAGCAACTGTGCGTTATTTTATCAATTCCCTTCTCCCCCATTTTTCACTATATTTGAAATGAAGCACTATGAATACAATCATCTTCCTAAAACACTATTCCGATTATATTATTTACCTAAACATTTAATTTACAATCTTGAATTCTATATCAGAAGCAGAATCTTCCTTCTAGCTTACAAAGAACTCCACAAAAATCCCAGTAGCATTTTCTACCACTGTCTGGTTTTTCATAAGTTTGGACTGGACCCTCTACTTTTCCCAAGTATTTCTTTTCTTTTCCTAACACTAAACTTTTCCTGGTGTCATTAAGCCCCTTGTGGTGCCTATTCCATTCCTTCTCAATCAATTGATATCACATGTCATATTTCTCAAAAGCTATTTTCACTTTAAACTAGATTATAAAAAGAATCTAAATTCTTTATACAATGTTCAGAAAATAAACGAATTTAGGACTAACATTTTAAATTCACTTAATTCTATCATCAAGAGACAATCACTGTTAATATTGTAATTTTTTGAAATGATAAATGCATAAAGAGACAACTTAGTAAAATTTTTAAGTAGATAAATAAGAAGAGTGATTTCTCCTGAAATCAGAATATGAGAAGATGAGATCAATTTTCCATGTTGAAAAAGTGGATTTATTTATATGTACAATTTTCTATTAATAAAGGCTGTTTACAAAAGAGACAGGTAGATTGATCAATGGGTACAAATATATACAGTTAGAAGAAATAAGATTAGTAAGCTGACTACAGTTTACAGTAATCTATTGTACCTTTCAAAATAACTAAAAGAGAATAATTCAAATGTTCCTAGAATAAAGAAAAGATAAATATTTAGGGTGATGCATAGCCCAATAACACTAATTTGATCTTTATACATTATATGAATGTATGGAATTGTCACGTGTACCCTGAAAGTTTGTATATCTATCAAATATCAATTAAAAAGTGAATAAAGATTTTTGGAAATGAAAAAAAGAAAAGAGAAGGTCTAGAATATCTTCAGAAGGGATATTTAAAAATAATATATTTACTTTCTGAATAGTTTTTAAATTCTTTTAAGCAATACCAGGAAGCAAGCCTCTTGCTTTCAGCTCTTTCCAGAATATGCCACTCCTCCTTTCACGTGGAAAAGACGAGAGACACATCTGCCTCTGCATCTACCCCTCTTCTCAAGATACTGATCCTGCCAGAGAAATATAAATAGCATGGTGCCCATTACCATGGAAATACAACAAATCGCCCCAACACTTAGTGACATTTATTCTGCTCACAGATTCTGTGGGTCAGGAATTCCAGCTGAGCACAGCATAGCCCCATGAGGCCTCAGCTGTGACTGGGGGACTTCAAGACTGATGGCTAGAATTATATGAGGGCTTCTTCACTCACCCCTGTGGGAGGATGGCTCTGGGAATATTAAAATAGCTACTTTCTAACATCAGTGGGGCTCCATAATCTCTATTTGTCTGTGGCCTTGCCACATGGTCTTTCCAGCATGGTGGCTTCAGGAGAGCAGGGCCTCTTAGGTGCCCCCTCAGGGCTGCCAAGACGTGTGCCCCACAGCAGCTTTGTTTCTAATCGAGCCTCACAACATTCTAATAAAAGTGGGTCACAAAGGCTTGTCCATCTTCAGAAGACATTTAGACGCCACCTTGTGTGAGAGGATTGTCTGAGAATTTGCAGACATGTTTTAAAGCCACACAGTAAGAGAGGCAGATGACATTTCCCAGAAGATCAGCCACATGTTATGAATCCAAACCATTAGGCTTTATACTTGTCAGTTTCTGGGCACATGGGAATGATGTGTTTTCACTCACTTGTAGTCAGGTGGGGCCATGTGACTGCTTCTGGCCAAGGGATTGTGAGCAGAAGCAACTTGTGCCACCTTTTGACCAAAGCATTGAAGGGTCACTGTGCAATTCCCCCTTACTTTCTTCTCCTTTGTTGTAAGTTGGGTTGTATACCTCCCAAAATATACTGAAGTCCTAATCGCCAGTACCTCAGAAGGTGACCCATTTGGGAATAGTGTTCTTGCAGATGTAATTAGGTAGACGACAATGAGGTCACACTGGAGGAGGGTGGGCCCTCCATCCAACGTGACTGGGGTCCTTATGAGAAGATGATGCGAAGACACACCAGGAGAGAGCACCAAGCGATGCACAGGCAGAGGCTGGGGTCACACAGATGCAAGATAGGGATTGTCAAGCACCACCAGTGATGCTAGAAGCTCAGAGAAAAGCATAGAACAGATTCCTCCTAAGAGAATCGAGAGAGAGCTCTGCCTGCACCTTGATTTTAGACCTCTGGCTTCCAGAACTGTGAGACCATACATTTCTGTTGCTTTATGCCACTTAGTTTGTGGCATATTTTACATCAATGCTAGCAAAATAATACACTCTTGGCTGGGCACAGTGGCTCATGCCTGTAATCACAGCACTTTGGGAGGCCGAGGTGGATGGATCACCTGAGGTCAGGAGTTTGAGACCAGCCTGGCCAACATGGTGAAACCCTGTTTCTACTAAAAATACAAAAATTAGCCAGGCCTGGTGGCACGCTCCTGTAATCTCAGCTACTCCAGAGGCTGACAGGAGAATCTCTTGAACCCGGGAGGTAGAGGTTGCAGTGAGCCAAGATCGCACCACTGTACTTCAGCCTGGGCAATACTCTGTCTCAAAATAATAATAATAATACACTCTTCATTCAAGATTAACTATTGAGGAGGCCTCATGCTGAAATCAAAAGGCCAAAGAATATAGCAGGTGGCCATTGTCCTGACTCAGAGTAGATTTAGAAATCTTCTTTTGCTGTATGAAGCGAACAGAGATTTGGGGGAAGTTTGTTATTGGCGCATAAGCCAAGACTATCTTGATAGCATCCATATACAATTATTCATTTCCAGAAATGTGTTTTTATTTGGCTTTGAACTACATCTAATTTTGTAAAGGTGAAATTCATGTGCATTTTGAAACCAAGTGGTAACACGGGTGATGGTACCTGAGTACTTAGGCACTAAAAATATGTAAAAATATCTACTGAAAGTGGGTAGCTATAAAATATGATGATATATTTATTTTCAGACATTCCATAAGTGGGGGAAATAGAACAAAGGGCATTAATAGTTAAAATGGATCCTTTTTTTAATGTATATATATCGATTTATAATTATAGACATCAAGAAGTAATGAAACATTACCTATAATGTAATCTAAATTACACATTACAACGCAAGATTTCTGTAGAGTGAATCCTGTATGTTTACTGAACCTATTATATATTTATAATTTTTTTTTTTTGACAGGGTCTGCTCTGTCGCCCAGGCTGGAGTGCAGTGGATATCTTCCGCCTCCCCAGTTCAAGCAATTCTTGTGCCTCAGCCTCCTCAGTAGCTGAGATCACAGGCGTGTGCCATCACGCCCAGCTAATCTTTGTATTTTCGGTAGAGACGAGGTTTTGCCATGTTGACCAGTCTGGTCTGAAGCTCCTGGGCTCAAGTGATCTGCCCGCCTCGGCCTCCCAAAGTGCTGGGATTACAGGCGTGAGCCACTGTGGCTGGCTTAAAAATACTTTTTGTAAAAGAAATCATCTTTCATTTTCTGTCCTGGAGTCAAATGTTAAGCAAATCTTCGAAAATATATATTTTTTAAATTGTGTAAAACTAGAGTGTATATTGCATGAAATTTATGTCTTAATTATTTTAAAATGTACAGTTCGGTAGCATTAAAGTCTATTCACATTATTGTGCAACCAATCTCCAGAACATTTCATCTTATAAAGCTGAAACTCTACATCCATTAAACCATAGCACCTTATTTTCTCCCCTCCCACACACCCCCCCAACTCCCAGCCCCTGGCAACTGCCATTCTACTTTCTGTCTCCATGGAGTCAACTACTCTAGATAGATCATGTAAATAAAATCATATAGTATCTGTCCTTTTGTCACTGGCTTATTCCATTTAGCATAATGTCCTCAAGGTTCATTCATGTTGTAGTATGTGTCAGAATTTCTTTTCTTGTTAAGGCAGAATAATATTCCATTGTATGTGTATTCCACATACAGTGTTGTTTATCCATTTACCATTGATGGACACTTGGCTGTTTCCACCTCTTGGCTATAGTGAATAATGCTGTAATGAACAATGGCGTTCCAGTAACTCCTTGGGATCTTGCTTTCAATTCCTTTGGATATATATTTGAAAGCAGAGTTGCTGCATCAAATGGTAATTGAATTTTGGAGGAAACGCCATACTGTTATTCAAAGTGCTGCACCATATTCCATTCCTACCAATAATGTACAAGGATTCTAATTTCTCCAGATCCTCACCAACACTTGTTATTTTCTGTTTTTTGTTTTTAAATAAAAGCTCTCCTAATGGGTGTGAGGTGATATCTCATTGTGGTTTTGACTTGCATTTCCCTAATGATGAGTGATGCTGAGCATCTTTTCATATGCTTCTTTACCATTTGTGTATCTTCTTTGGCGAAATGTCTATTCAAGTCTTTAGCCTATATTTTATTGTTATTTAGTGCAGGAGTTCTATCTGTTTTCTGGATATTCAATTTTTATCAGAGATATGTTTTGCAAGTGTTTTCTCTTACACCACATGTGATGGACTAAATTGTGTCCCCACTGAATTGATGTGTTGAAGTCCTAACTTCCCCTACCTCAAAATGTGTGTTTGAAGGTAAAGCCTTTCAAGAAGTAATTAAGGTGAAATGAAATCATATTGATAGATCCTAAACCAATTTGACTGGTGTCCATTTAGAAGAGAAAGTTAGGGCACAGATATGTATGCACACCAACGCAAGATTATTTGAGTACACAGCAAGAAGATGGCCATGTGTCAAAGCCTCAAAAGATACCTAATCTGCTGACACCTTGATCTTGGACTTCCAGCCTCCAGAATTGTGAGAAAACAAATTTCTGTTATTTAAGCCACCAGTCTGTGTTTTTTTGGTTATGGCAGCCCCAGCAAACTAATACACTGTAGGTTGTCTTTTGTCTTTTCACTCTGTTGATTATATACTTTGATATGCAGACTACAAAAATAATTTTGTAATAAGTATGTAACATGAACTTCTATTGTAGCACATTATTTGCAAATTTTACCACATTCATTATTTCTTTTGATTAAGAATTAGGTCTCCCCAACCAGGCATACTTTGTTTGGTTCCCAGTTTTGCCCTATATCATCTGTGTGAACCTGGGCAAGTTTCTTATCCAAAGCCTACAATTCCCTATGTAAAAAGGAGAACAATAATAATAATCATTTCTTCACATAACTATTGTGGGTATTAAAATCATGTGTGTGAGATTGGCATGAATTTCATCCCATTTATTCAGTAATGCAAAAAACTTTTTTTAACTTTTTTATATGTAAAAAATTTTTTTTAACATTTTTAATAAATAATGTAATTTTTGTCTATAATGTGATTTTATCTCTCTTTTTAGGTAATATATATCTGATGAAAAAAATAATGTTGGCTAACTACGGAAAAATTTTGTCATTTCAGACTTTAAATTTAACCAAGTAGCATCTTAGCCATGAGGAATTTACACATTGTGGTGCTGAGAGAGAACACCTGCTCCTGGATATCAGCATCTGTTCCATATTGCCCTGTGTGAATTTCTGCACTTTCTGGTCCTTGGATGAGGTCAGCCAACCACACTGTCATTTGCTTAGATGTCTGCTTTTCTGGAATTCTCCAATTGCTAGTCAACACAATCTCTATTTTCCTTGACCTGACTCTCAAGGAACTCAGATATACAGTTTCATTTTTGGCTATCCCTAGTCTTGTGGGCTTGTAAGAAACACAGATGATGTTCAAGACTGCAGAGACTCAGTAAATTTCCTCAAGCCTTTTCTGCCTCAGCAAGTCATGCCGGCATCTCTACACTTCTGCTGCTACCACCGGCTGGCACACATCAGGAAGAGCCCGCACCCTGCTTGTTCACTTTTCCGAGAAAGCGGAGTGCACAGCTCTGTTTAGATTATCTCAGCTAAAGCCTAATCCAACCAATGGCTCTCTGGAGATGGGGCCAGGGCCATCCAATGTCCCTGTACAGAGAACCTCACTGTACTCTTCCCTCTGTAATTTCTCGTCTTCTTCCCAACCTGTGGAATTTTAAATACAATCTAGGTGGCTGGGGAGGAAAAAGCCTAGCTCTTACTATATATTCTCTGTTTATTGTTTAGACAGGGAAGCTTGGCTCTTGCTATTCAATAGATACATGTGAAAACTCAAAAAAATTTTGTCTCAATGACATGGACTTGACTTTGAGGCTCAAAAGTCTACTTTAAAACAACAGCAACAAGTATGCTCAGTAGATTCCTTGTATTACTACTGTAAGAACTCTACCCCGAGGGCAGTAAGTATAAAACGTCTTGAGAAGTCCCTAAATTTGAGAAGTGGGTGGGGAAAAGACAGAGGGAGCTAGAAATGTTGGAAATGCAAAGCACAGTAAGTCATTATAATTTTATTCCTCCGTGCATGTAAAGTACTCGGAATAATGCCAACTATGTAAAAAACACAGATTTATATTAAATCTGTAGGAAATTAGCAGAGCATATATTATCAGGACTTTACAAGATAGGGAAATTGAAACACAAAGGTTTACTTAATCACGAACAGTCTCAGGCAAGTGGGAGAGGCATAACTAAAACATACGCTCCCTAATAATTTTCTGTTTTCTTTCCAGGATATTGTGTGGCCTCAGGCATTTGGGTAAAAGTAAGAGATACTAATTAGTCCTTCATGTGTGCCAAGGCAGCAGTTCATGTTTCTGTCATTCTTTTAAACGAATAGTAAACAGATCTAAAATAAAGATACCATTTTTGAGATTTTTTTCTAGGTTATAAGACTTTCCCTAACGCCATGTCAATTTTAACAAATGGATTCCTCTGCTATATAACATGGATATTCCATGAATGTACAAGAGCATAACACTTTCAGTATGTAAGTAGGGTATAGAGAAGTAACATTTTGGAAATGTTTTGGACACATTTTGTGCGTATTTCTATATAAGTCCATATGTCTAATAAAGCTGGAATTGAAAGGAGTCTAACATTTTTAAGTGTAAAGAGGGAAAGTGTGTGCTAGTAAATGACCCCACATAAAGTTCCAGGATAAAGAATAATGTAATAAAAGAAGCAGTGTGATTTTAGCTGTTCCACCAGACAAACTTTATGTTGTTTGCTCTGTGAAATTTCCTTATATAATTTTTAAAGAGCCCAAGAAAATATATAATCAGTGAGATGATAGGTAGATTTTACACTGGTTCACACTGAGGTTTTTAAAGAGCATAAAGGAATATCCAATTCAATTTGGGCAAAATAGGTGGCAAAAAATGTCAAGTTCTCAACTTGCCTGAAGTTTGGTCAGCATATTTGACAGACCTGTACAATTCATTTTCATCAGGAAATAAAAATGTCAGTGATTTAAAAAATGGAGAAATCATTTAGTAATAAATTTTTGCCAAAAAAAATCCAACTCATTTCTAGAATGAGTTCTTATTCTGTAAAAAAAAAAAAAAAAAATCTTATTTAAGAAACCAAGTATTTTCTTCTATAATATATTTAGTAACCAATATCCCTGATTAACACAAGGATTTCATAGACATACGAATGTAAAACAATCATTTTATCTGTGATTACCTTAAAACTACACAATACTAAATGACTTTCTGAGGTTGATACATGCAAGCATCCCTGAGGAACTCTTGTCTTAACTCTTAAGAAAATAATGTGTCATCACATGTCAGATATTCCATAATAGGTTGAGAAGACATAAAATTAAATTTCATACATGGTGATCTAAAAGGAAAAACTTCAAATAAACTTTGGAAACACACTGATGATTCAGGAAGAAATTCAGTTTTAAGTCCCAATGGATTTACCAAACACGGAAGACACTATTTTGTTCTGTTCCTTTTGTGTGGCTTTCACCCAATACTCATTGTTTTGTAACTATGGAATTGTTTGCTTGTTTGCGTTTTTTTGCTGTTGAGTGTTGAGAATCCTTTATATATTCTAGGTACTAGTCCTTTGTCAGATATATGGTTTGCAAATATTTTCTTCCAGTCTGTAGCTTGTGTTTCAATCCTCACCTTTCAATCCTCTTTAATCCTCTCACAGTGCATTTTCAATGAAGTACAATTTATCAACTTTTTTAGGGATTGTCCTTCTGGTGTTGAATTTAAGAATTCTTTGCCTAGTCCTACATCTCATAATTTTATATTTTACTTTTAAGTCTTTGACCCATGTTGAATTAATTTTTATATATAGTATGACGGTTAGATAGAGATTCAATTTTTTGCTGATGAATAGCCAACTGACCCAGAGCCACTTGTTTAAAACTCTATCTTTCCTTCAACAAATTGCTTTTGTGCCTTTGTCAGAAATTAATTGAGCATAGTTGTTTGGATATATTTCTGGGTTCTCTAGTCTGTTCCATTGATTTATCTGTTATCCCTTTACCAATACCACACAGTCTTGATGATTATAACAACATACTATGTCATGAAATTGGGTAGAGTAATTCCACTCATTATATTATTTGTGTATTTTGATGTATTTAAAATGTTTTAGCCATTATTTCTTCAAGTACTTTTTCAGTTCCCTGCTGTCTTTCTCCTACCCCTCCAGGACTCCAATGACACCAATGGTAGATCTTTTGCTATAATCCCTCAGATCCTTTAGGCTCTTTATTTCTTTCCCAGTCTGTTTTCTGCTTTCCGGATTGGGTAGCTGCTTCATTCTAACTTCTGTTGAGATTTCACTTTTTGTATTATTAAGTTCTAAAATGTCCATTCGGTTCTTCTTCATCTCTTCTATTTATTTCCAGAACAAATAGAAAGACTTATCAAAAAAAAAAGAATAGAAAGTATTTGATGAGAATTTCTATTTTTTAATTTACTTAAAGTGTCTTCATAATTACACACTGAAATATGTTTATGGCATCTGCTTTAAAATCCTTGTCAGAGAATTCAAACATGTCTGTCATCTCAGTGTTGGTGTCTATAGGTTGACATTTTTTATTCAAATTGTGTTTTTACTGTATCTTGGTATGACAAGTAATGTTAATTAAAACCAAATAGTATTCTTATGATTAAAGGCATCATATTTATAATAATGCCATATGTTAGTGTATCTCTAATTACCTAAAATTTACTAAGATTTAGGGTATGATGGTAGAAGACTTTTGATCTTATTTAAACTTATTTTAGCTGGTGTCCTCTAATACCTCTTCAGCCGGGGAAATGAGGGGTGCCAGTTTGTTACAAATGGGCAGGGGTAGAAATCCAGGTACCCCAGCTGACTTCTGTTGACACCCAAAGTGGAGGGGCTACTTGGTAATCCTGGCTAGAAGTGAGGTTCTGTCTTCCCTCTGGCTCTCCTCTGATGCTACCTTGGCTGGGAGGGGTAGAAATTTCTTCTTTAGTCTCTCTATTTGTTCACCATTGACACCATGAGGTGGCGTCTCACCTCCTCTGGGCTTTGCTGAAAGTCTCACACTAGGCCTCCACTTTCATAACCACAGCAGGGGAGAGGGATGGGGAGAGATGCCCCGTTACTGACAGATGGGGAAGTCCTGTATCTTCACAAGGTCTCCACTGACACTACCTCAGAGGGATGCTTCATGGCCACTTAGCAGGGATGAAAGTTCCAGCTCCCTACCCAGGCTTCTCTGATCTCACACTGCCAGGTGGGTTGGGGCACCTCATTACAGTGGTGAGAATGGCAGTCTAGGCTATCCATTCGGTCTTTATTGTCATGGGCGGGAGTAGGGCCACAGTTTTTTCCACGGTATTCTGCTAGAGCAGAGGAGTTATTGTCTAAAAGTGTTCTTACTAGGCTGCCCTTTTTCTGGTCCTTTAGCTAGTCTGTTCCATTGATTTATCTGTTATCCCTTTACCAATACCACACAGTCTTAATGAGTTTAGCTAGAGACAGCAAACTTTGCTGAGGTTTCTGTTGTCTTTACCTGTTGGCCAGTCTGGGTTGCTGCTTCTTCATCTCCAAGTCTGGGATATATGAGGTGAAAGAAAACCCAGGGGACACACTGTTGTTTTATTCTTTGGGTTCTGAGGTTCCTAGCCATCATCCTTCTTTTCTCCACTTTTCAGAATTTGTTTTGTGTATATAATTAGCTTTTAGTTGTTCTTAGAGGAAGAAATTGGAAAAAGTATGTCTACTTCCCAGAAGTGAAGTCCTATGGTGTGATTTTTTTAGATGGTACTCTCTCAAAGGCATAATGGAAAAATTCACTTTATTAGTGATTCTACAACACACTGTTGGTCCCAAATTGATACTACTATTGAAGAACCTTCAGGAGAACATACTTTTGGAAAACCTCAAAAGTAAATACTGTCAAATAGTATTCTTATGATTAAAGGCATCACATTTATAATAATCCAATATGTTAGTGTATCTCTAATTACCTAAAATTTACTTAAAGATCAGAACACTGTTGGCAGACTACTCCAAAATGATCATTCTCTCTATCTTTTTATGGGAAAGGAGAAAACCAAATGATATGAAGAATGCCTTTGCATTATCAGCTTGAACTAAGTGACTTTTCCCACAGTGGGTTCAGTTCATGATTATCATTCCCATCTGATTATGTCAATCTAGTTATCAAGGTGAAGATCATCTAGAGGACCATCCTAGGGGAGTAAAGATACACTGAGTCAGTGCACTGAGTCACATAAGGGAGTCCCAAACTTTCACTATGTCACCGCTCCTAGCAACTCTATGCATTCCTGAGGACAAAATAATTCTAATCTATCTCAGTTAGGAGGTTATTACATCATAAAGACAATAGATGTTGAAAACTGAACAAGAATTGAACGTAAGAATTAAAGCATTGTAAATAGTGAGATTAGTCCATTGTACAGGCTCTGCTATGTAGTATGAGAAGTTTGAAAAGGCACAATCTGTTTTAACGTCATATTTGCGCTATATTTACTTGAGGCCAAGATGCTGAATGAAAAATATCTGAACAGTCAATTATGCGGTTGTTTGTAATTATCTCAATTTTGAGTTTATATAAGCAATGTTTTGAATTTAATGTCAACTTTGGTATGCAATACCCTAGACATAAAAATGCACTGACACATTAAGAGGAAACTAAGAATGAAGATGAAAAGGGTAGCATTAAACCAGCTCAAATATTTTCTAAAACTGTGACTTAGAGTCTAACTTTGATGAGGACTATCTTTTGGAATAGATAGTTTCAACAATGAACAGACTCGTTCTCATGATTTTTCACCATCTGTTTGCAGTCACAAATCTGTGAAAAAAATTCCACTCTTATGACATTTTCATATGAATTGATTGTGTCTTTTTTTTCAATAGTTGTATACTTCAGGGTCACGAAAAGCGGTAATTTAAGGAAGATATAGGATTTCTTCATTCTATATACAAAGCGGTAACAATGAGTGTTTTTTGATCATGTCAACATCCTACAAATCTAAACAAACATAAGGGTCCTTAATTTATATACCCACTCATTTAGAAACGGTCCCACCTAATGACTCAATTAGCTTAATAAACAGCAACATCAAGTTTCTTTTAATATTTCCTCACTGTGAATTCTTTCCCCAAGTGTTTGGATTGCCCAGAAAATTATTACTTCCTGTGTGAAGCCTTTCCTGATATATCCCAATAAAGTTTACTGCCCTGTCTCCTATGCTCTCATGATTCCTTACATAGATTTAGACAAGTGGTTCTCAACTGGAGGTGATTTTTTGCTCTCCAAAGAACATTGGCAATGTCTGGAGACATTATTGGTTGTCCCAACTGAGACTGTGCTACTGAAAACCAGTGGGTAGAGGTCAGAGATTCTGTTAAATATTCCAGAACTCACAGGACAGCCCCCACAACAGAGAGTTACTTAGCAAAAAATGTTGATAGTAATAAGATGGAGAAACCCTAGGACCCTGGTGTAGAATAAGTCACCTTGATGGCCATTCTTGACCCGGGATTTATGTCAAACCTGCCTACCTGCCTTGCCTGACTGTATCAGAGAAGCCAGTGCATCTTCTCACCTCCTGGCAACATCACCAGTCCAGAGGAATCTCAGGAACTCTGTTTCTCTGGATTTGAAAAGGCAGGTGACAACTTGAGGTCAGGAGTTCGAGACCAGCCTGACCAACAGGATGAAACCCTGTATCTACTAAAAATACAAAAATTAGGGGGACATGGTGGTGGGTGCCTGTAATCTCAGCTACTTGGGAGCCTGAGGCAGGAGAATCGCTTGAACCTGGGAGATGGAGGCTGCAGTGATCCGAGATGGCACGCACCGCTGCATTCCAGCCTGAGTGATAGAGCGAGTCTCCATCTCAAAAAAAAAAAAAAGAAAGAAAAGAAAAGAAAAGAAAGAAAAAGAAAAAGAAAACTCATTCCCTCTTTCACATCATCATTATTGAATGAAGAGGACCTCCTGGATCTCCATGTCCTCCTGACAAGAGCTTCACTCTCCTTCCATCCAGCAATCCAGGCCTCACTATCACTCTCTGCCATAAAATATTGAGAAATCATCTTATCTTGCTTTTCGCAAGAATTCAAGGTCTCCCCAGTCATGTCATCCTTCAGATTCTAACCTACATTGCCTTTTCTAACTTCTCTCCATTCTTCTACAACATCTAAAACCCTTCTTCCACTGTACCCTTCAGAATTTAAAGTCAGTAGTCAGAAAAATTGCTGTTATCTTTAAACTTAACTCTAACCAAAATATGGCTTTCTCTTAAGAGCATGGCTTTTTCTAATCGGCTCACTTCAGAGATGACTGTTTCTTGGCCACATCCCTGGCACCTCCAGACCAAGGAAGCCTTACTCTTGAGACCATTCTCCCCTCTACCCCCCTCAAGTCCTTTAGCTTCAGCTTACGCATCAGCACACTCCATGCACTTCCCTCCATATGGCCGTCACCTACTAAACTCTTAATAAAAGTCTTTATTAAGAGTTCTTTCCTGGATGACTCTTACTCTTTGCAATCCTGTATTACAACACCAAAACTCATATAGATTACATAATATCCTGTCTTCTCAGTTCTTTGATCTTCTTGTCTATAATATTTAGTTAATAAGTGAATGAAGGATCTCCTACTCCACCTATCTCATTCTCTTACTCCCATGGCCATATTCTGGGCCTTGTCTGTTTCAATATCCACAATCTCTCTAAAATATCAATTCCACGCATTCCACTCTATGAGACCTTTCTTTATCATTCCCTCTGATTACAACTATCTTTAGCTTGTTGAGAATTGCTAACCATTAACCAGCTACCTCCTAATGACATCATATCTCTCTGATCTAATTTAAATTAAATTTTATACTTCTTAATTATAACTATTCCCTTGTTGCTCATATGCACTCTTGGCAAACACTTTAACCCTGATAAAACCCAAGTCTGTACCTGCTCATCATCTTCCCACATGCACCCTCAGTCTCCTAGACAATTGTTGTATACCTTTTCTTCCCTCTTAGAACACCTAATATTTCATCTCCAATCTTTACTTTCAGCTACTTTTTTTCACTGAAAACTTGGAAGCAATCAGAAGGGCACTGCCACAATGTTCTTCGCAATATCTGTGCATTGACCAGCTTCTGTTATACCAAAATTACCTCCTTTTAAGCTGTTGCCCTCCTGATCTTACCTGTGGCCAACTTCTCACTTATGTTCTAGATTTCATCCAATCTTACCTACTAGAGGACATCATTCCAGCAATTCTACTCTCTTCTTCATGATCTATTTCTTTCTCTGAACTGGATCAGTCACTCATCATTAAATTATATGATTCTATCTCCCATCTTAAGTAGAACAAACATCTGAACACCACATTTTTTCTCCATTACCCTTATTTTTCTGCTTCCCATTGTTGCAAAATTCCTTGATAAAATGGTTTATAGTTGGATGCCTCAAGTACCTCTAGTCTCTTGCTTTCTTGAACCCTCTCAAATCAAAATTTTGTCCTAAGCAATTCAACACATATTAGATTTATCAAAACTTGTCACAGGTACCAAAATCCCCGGGTACCTCAGAATGTGTGTTGGATTAATGATTCTTTAACCCCGACATAATATCAAATACTTCAGAATTTTCTTCTCATCTTTATATTATTGTCATTCACTTATTTGCCTTATTCCACTATAAACTCATTGAGGACAAGAATTAGACCTCACCCAGCTATCTGTATCTACTAAGATATTTAGTTAAGTATCGTTTTGCACACTACTATTGTAATCGCTATCAATATAGCTAATATTTATTGAATTCTTAGGATAAGCTAAGCACTATTCTTAGTACTTTCAATAATTGATTCAGATAATCTTCATAATAACCCTAGAAAGTAGATGTACTATTATCCACACTTCATTATATCAGGTGAAGAAGATGGAGCATGAAAAAAATAAGTAATTTTCCAGAGGTCACACAGCTGTGATGGATGAATCACAAAATCTGACCCAGGCGATCTAACTCCTAAGCCTGCATTGAGAATAAATTATGTACTGAAATTATCAATCAAATACACTTAATAGGCTAAGGGCATGCCATTGCTATACTTTAAAGAATATCTGTAAAATTCAATGTAATTGGAGTGGAGCTTCTTTTCTTTCTTTTTTATTTTTTTTCAAGATGGAGTCTTGCTCTGTTGCCCAGGCTGGAGTGCAGTGGTGCAACCTCGGCTCACTGCAGCCTCCGCCTCCTGGGTTCAAGCAATTCTCCTGCCTCAGCCTCCCGAGTAGCTGGGATTACAGGCATGTACCACCACACCAAGCTAATTTTTGTATTCTTAGTAGAGACGGGGTTTCACCATGTTGGCCAGGCTGTTCTTGAACTCTTGACCTCGTGATTCCCCCACCTTGGCCTCCCAAAGTGCTGGGATTACAGGCATGAGCCACCGCACCTGGCCCGGTTTATTTTCATAATAAAATTAAGTTTAACAATATTGGTTTCAAATTTCAGAATATTTTTCTTCTTTTATTTTATTTATATTTTCTAAATATAATAGAATATACTTTAATACTGTAGATAATAGAAAAAGAATAAAATATTTGATTTGGAGTGAAAAAGGAGAACATATAGGATTCACCAAATGATAAATCTGTAGCATTCAAATCAGCTAAAATTTTGAACAGGAAAAGAATAGGAAGAGCCTTTTTTCTAGCGCACTCCCCTTTTTTGTTGTTTCTCTCCCTGGAGAAAAACTTTAAAAAGCACAATAATTTGGAACACTTATGGAAATAAATGTTGTAGAAACTCACGTTAATAATAATTCCAATAATGTTGTCATGTTAGATAAACCCCCTGAACCCTCAGAATCATTTATATTTATATTTTTTTGGCTTTACTTAATAACTTCATAATTACATAATTATGTCCCTGAAATTAGGGTGCAGGAATGTTTAGTCAGTTACCAGGACTGAGGATTTGGGGTTCATTTACAAAATGAACAATTCATTATTATTGAAAAAAACATCAGTTTAAGTGACTGTCAAATTATAGCTTCTTATTTCAGGACTGCAAGCAATTGAGCTCTGAGCATCCCACACTTCTGAGGAATAAATTTTGCATAATCATTCAATCATTTTGAGTGGGCAGCAATATAGCTTTAGCACCTTTGCTTCATACACTCAAATCTAATTACATAGCACTGAAGAGAAGTCATCATCTTCCAGAAATGTCCATTATGTTTGCAAGGCTTATCTGCTTAATGGTTTTTGTCCAGTGTCAGGCAGAACTAGCTGCACTTTGTGTTGGAAATCACACTGTCCTCATTCTCTTCGGAAATAATCAAGTCTTTTTATTCTTCTCTAGATGCTACTATGCAAGGCAAATATTCTAAAGGAGCATCTCAATGAGTTTAAGCCTCTTCTACCATATTCTGTGGAAACTTCATGTGGTGGTTTCTTTAGCTTCAGAGAAATCCAGGGCAGACAATCCCAGCCTTGATGCTGATACTATAAATGACCTTCCCCGGGTTCTCTACGTGAATGGTGTGCACAAGGGAATGACGTCATCATCACTTTAGTCATTTGAAGACGGCCTGAAATATCCCAGGGGAGCTGTGAGAACAATCAGCTCCTCCTTCAGGAAATGAGAGGAAGGGCCAACCCAAGGGAAATTTATTTATTACATGTTTGAAGGCTGCTGAAATAACAAAACATCCTTAACAAGCAAACCTATCCTATACAAAATAATAATAATAATAATAATATTCTCACACTGGGGCAGTGAATGTCATTCAGGCAAGTCTAGGGAGCATTCTGTTAACGGCACTCCCAGAAAAGGAGGAGGGCAATGTGGCAATATTAAATAAATTACTCATCAGTGAAAAACTTTCCTTGACCCATCTGCTCGCAGGAAATCTGCTCAAAGTTGGCCTTGGCACCAACCAGGTCAACAGCTTCTGCGTCAGAGCAAGTGCTTTGTCACAATTATATTGTGCTGAGAAATCCCTACTCTTAGGATCAAATAGTTAAAATAAGACCTGCTGCAGAAGAGCAGACACTCCCAAAATCAGGTGAGATGTCAGGCTTCATTTGTCAAGCCTGCAGGAAATCTAAGGTTTGAACATTTTCATCATTTTCTCTCCCTTCCCAAGGCTGAGCTTTGCAATCTGGAGACATGTTGTGTGCCTGCCCTGGGTCAACGTGTAAGGCCATCCCTTACCTAAACTGTACTTTCAGAGTTAGATCAAGTGTGGGAATTTGTCTCTTCCTTTGAGCTTTCTCAGTTACATTTTGCAGGTTACTTCTGAATTGTAAATCTCTGTCAATCCCAGAAGAGGGAATTCCTTTTTGCCATTTTACACTATTATTTTTTGTTAGAGATTGTATTTTTCCTACTTTTGAAAGTCCTCCTTTTCTCCAGTGTAGTTGAAATAAAATTATACATCAAAAAGTAGAAAGATGGAAGAAGGAATTCTGTCTCAACAATGTACCATAGAGGCCAGGTGTGGGAGCTCATGCCTGTCATACCATCACTTTGGGAAGCTGAGGCAGGAGGATCTTTTGAGCCCAGGGATTCGAGGCAGCAGTGTGCTATGACCACACCACTGCATTCCAGCCTGGATGACAAAGGAAGACCAAGTCTCTTAAAAAAAACAACAACAACAAAAAGAAAGAAAAAAAAGAATGTACCATAAAAATCCTGCGTAAATTCTCACCCTGCTGGTCTGTCGTACAGATTTCAGACTCAAGACCACAACTTCAACTCTTACCTGAATTTCCAGCCTGCCATTCTGCCCTTTCCAGCCCCCACATCATTAACTCCACCCAGTGAGCTACATCGTCGCCCATAAGGGTATGACTAGTAGGATTTGGGTCTGGAAGCTCTGCCCAACAGCTCTACTGGTCCAGGCATTTTTCCTTGTTGGTGCTCAGCAACTTCTCATCTGCAACATGACTTTGGGCCATGGTGCCCTGAGGTATGGCTGCTGGAATGCCCCAGAAGAAGACCATCCCTGCATTGCTGTGCAGTGTAATTCTCTCCACCTGAGTAGCCCCATATCTCTTCCAGGGCTGCCTGAGCCACCGACCTTTTGTGTTAGCAGCAATAGGACTATCTCCCAGCACAGGCCTGCAACTACAGATGCTGTCAGTCTGAGAACTGAACTCTACCTACAGACACCCAGAGGCCTTTTTTTTCTGACTTAGGACAGACCAAGACAGAGAATCCTGGAAGTTGTACTAGGGAGGAATCATTCACAGCAGAGACCCAGGTGATGGACAAGGAGGCTCTTAGCCTGAGTCTACTGGAAAGATAGTAAGAGAATAAGATGTGATTTGAAGAAATTAAAAGTGGCAAATTTAGCCAAAAGAAGATCTGCTCTCTACGCAGCAGCACACTTTCTGAAGATGACTCTGTGGATTGGAGACTGGCTCCAGGGTGACCTTGAGAGGCATGTGTGGAAAATGGCAGGGCCACATGAGGGAAGGAGCCTGGATCATGAAGTCAGCCCCAGAGGAGACTCATCCCCATCCACTTGGATCAAACAAGGACTAACTCGCTCCACAGAAAGTCCATGAAACTTGAAGACCTTGGCAGTTTCAACTGATCTCCCCAGAGTTCTTCAATAATTAATACCTCTTTTAGTTCTTTTAATTAATACCTCTAGTGAGACCCTTCAGTCTTCTGTGTCTGCCTGCCTGCACTGAGCAAACACAGGGGAGAGTGGGAGCCGTCGGGTCAGGGAGATCTCTGTACTTTTAAGACAGAATCAAGCCTTTCTGTTGCAGAGAGAAACTTTGATTCAAGAGAGTTCACCTCACCCAGGGATATGAGCACATGAGCCCTCTTCTACTTCAGGCCCATTATCATGCCCCCCGATGCCCATGTGCAGAGAAGTGGGAAAAGCATAACACTGCTTTGATCTTCTGGGGCTTCTGTATGGCCAGGTGGGGCCTAGAGTGGTGCAAGCTCCAAGGTGGTCTCTGGCTGCAATCAGATCTTTCCATTTCCCCAAATGCACTGGATAATAATACCACTTTCTATGTGTGCAGAGAAAATCAAAGTGCTTTTTTTTTTTTGAGACGTAGTTTCCCTCTGTCACCCAGGCTGGAGTGCAGTAGCACAGTCTCGGCTCACTGTAGCCAGGATGGTCTCAATCTCCTGATCTCGTGATGTGCCCACCTTGGCCTCCTAGAGTGCTGGGATTACAGGCTGAGCCACCAAGCCCAGCCTCAAAGTGCGTTTTATAGAACCTGGTTGGTTTCCCCTCTCCCCAGCCCAACTGGTGGTCTGTCCTGCTTGCCAGGCACTTGTTTGAATTTAAGGCAATACTCTCTAAGGTTCCATGCAGTCAGCTGTGGCCTACAGGATACTGGTAATCAGAGGCGGGGCTGCAGTGCCCTTTGGAGCCAAGGAGAGCCTGCTTTCTGTCACAAAGCTATCCTCCCAACTGGTCTCAGAGCAGCTGTGGGGTGCTTTTCTGGTGTTGTCTTAAAGCTTGAGACAAGTCTCAGGTCTCTTTGGATTTCCCTGGAAGATCCTGGTGTGTGCTGCTGTCGTTGTTTTTATAGTAAACAGCCAACAGACTTCAAGGAGGGATAAGCTGGCCAAAAGACTTTCTGCCCAGATCTAAGAATATCACAAAGTTAGTGAAAAGATGGGAATAATTACAGAAGCCTATCAAGCCCTCAAGTCACCTGTGGTGAAAGCCAGTCCCCCAAAGCAATAAACTCTGAGTTTCAAAGCACGTAATAAAAGTCCAAACAGGTCTTCACTTAGGGACACAGGAGACTTCCTTGGAAAAGGACAGAAAAGTGAGCTTGAATTTTCATTGCATAGGTTAATGATGATCACTCAAAAAGGCATCAAAATCCCACTAATCTTGGCTGGATGTGGTGGCTCACACCTGTAATCCCAGCACTTTTGGAGGCCAAGGCGGGTAGATTGTTTGAGCCCAGGAGCTTCAGACCAGGCTAGGGCAACGTAGCGAAACCTCATGTGTACAAAAATACAAAAATGAGCTGGGTGTGGTGGCCCATGCCTGAAATCCCAGCTACTTGGGAGGCTGAGCAGGAGAATCACTTGAATCCAGGAGACAGAGGTTACAGTGAGCTGAAATCGCGCCACTGCAGTCCAGCCTGGGTGACAGAGTGAGACCCTGTCTCTAAAAGTTAACAAACAAACAAAACAAAAAAAAACGAAAAAAAAAATCCTCCAATCTCAAGTGACTGATGCAAAAAAAAAAAAAGGTCTTAAAAGTATCTCAGAAGGAGGCAGATTGCTTCAGAATAAATTAATGCACACTTTGAAAGAAAATACTCATCTTTGGGAAAGTCTAAAACTGTTTGCCCAAGAAACTGCAGTATGGAAGCAAAGCTTAAAGAACAGAAAAAAGTGTTTGAAAACTCAAACCCAGGAATGAAAACGGTTGTAAATAACAAAGAGAGAAAATTAAGATGTCTGACTGAAACCGTGCTGAAGATCACACATTTTCCTGATCTCTTTAAAGATTAAATGAATGATAGCAACGTGGAATTAGAGACAAAGAGTGAATCAGAAAATGGAGATCACCTAGGCTAGCAGTCAGAAGGTGAAGAAACTCATGGAATCTATTAATGTAGATGTTTCCACTAAATGCCTTCAAGGAGAAAAATAAGAAATATTCAAAGACTTTTCTGAAAAAAATCAAACAAATGAATAACTTACAGGACAAATAAAAGGTCTCCAAACTGAGCAAGTGTCTTTGCAGTCTGAAAACTCACAGCTTGAAAGTGGGATTCAGAAGCTTCAGCTGAAACTTCAAATACTGCCTAAAATACATCAAGAACATATAATGAAGCTTCAGAGAACATCAGCTAAGGACAAAATGTGCTGCTTAGAAACAGAGAACAAACTTCCCAAAGCATATGTTAGCATGAACTACACATCTCAGAAGTGCAACCTCTATGGGAAGATGGCCAAAGGCCTGGGCCAAAAATTGGAAAGAATGATTCTTTCCTATCAAAACCAGGTTCTCTTCTATGGGAAAGGGCTTAAGAAAGTTGAATGGCAGCTCTGTTGACCAAGAGAACTCTCAATGAGTCAAGAAAAGAAAATGACCATAACAGATAAATATTGGCTAAAACAGAGTTTTAATTCCAGTCTTTTCCAGTGACCCTTTTCTCCTGCTGTTCTGCATGCAGCTCACAGGTCCTGATAACATTAGGAAAGCCCCTGAATCTTCAGGGAGAGCTTGAAGCTGTGATGGGATCACATGAAGATTTGACTCCAGAGTCACATGAAGGTTTGACTCCACCTTCACAGCAGCTGACCTCTGAGCACCCATAATTGCAACAGAAGAGTTGTCTGTGTTTTCTCTTTTCTAAAGCAATTTTATCTCTTTTTAGTTTAACTGCTGTTATTTAATTGCTCCTATTGAAATTTGATAGCATTATAAGACAGTGGTTTTTTTTTTTTTAAGCTTAGTGTCTTTTTTTAGTATTATAAGTTCTGGGATACATGTGCAGAACGTGCAGTTTTATTATATAGGTGTACACGTGCCATGTTGCTGCACGCATCAACCCATCACCTACATTAGGTATTTCTCCTGATGTGATCCCTCCCCTTACCCCCCACCTCCCGACAGGTCCCTGTGTATGATGTTCCCCTCCCTGTGTCCATGTGTTATAATTGTTCAACTCCCACTTATAAGTAAGAACATGCAGTGTTTGGTTTTCTGTTCTTGTGATAGTTTGCTGAGAATGATGGTTTCCATCTTCATTCATGTCCCTGCAAAGGGCATGAACTCATCCTTTTTTATGGCTGCATAGTATTCCATGGTGTATGTGTGCCACATTTTCTTTATCCAAAGATAGTGTTTTTTAAAAAAATACACATTTGTTTAACATAATTAGTAAGAATACATTATTTCCACTTCATTTGACCCTCTGGAGTTAGATAGTATAAGTACTACATTCTGCTTTAAATAAAAAGACCCCTATTACTTAAACTATCATTGACATTTGACATGGATGGAGACATTTAAAACAAGAAAGACGATTCCTGTTTGTAAAAAATAAGAACAGTATAGATATTTCACACAAAATTTGGTTGTAAGTTCAACACATTTTATCTACTTCTTCCATTAAAAATATTCTAATCTTCCATAAGACTTCAATTAATCCATAACACTGCAACTGAATTTTGTTCTCAGAAAAAGAGAGGTATTATTCGAATTCTTCTCTGCTGAGAGAAATATGAAACTGGAAAAGGAGTCAAAGGCAAGACATTTTTATCTGTGAAGCGAGATAAAGATGTAGTAATTGTTGCTCACCTGTGTGTTTGTACCACAAGTGCTTATTGAGCATCTACTGACTGTCAGACACTGGGCTGCGTGTGGTGGACTCGGTGGGTCTCCCTTCAGTCCAGTACCCTGAGAGAGCTCAGTGGGCAGAGAATGCCCAGGAGGGCAGTGCCAGGGGAATGTCAGGAAGCAAATCCTTCTTAAAACGGAAAAGGTATAACTTGAGGGGAGGAGCCCATCAACTCTGGATTGGATACAGAAAATATGGTACTTATACACCATGGAATGCTACACAGTCGTAAAAAAGAGTGAAATCATGTCCTTTGCAGCAACATGGATGCAGCTGGATGCCATTATCCTAAGTGAACTAACACAGAAACAGAAAACCAAATACAGTACGTTCTCACTTATAAGTGGGAGCTAAACATTGACTACACATGGACACAAAGAGGGGAACGATGGCCACTAGGGAATATAAGAGAGGGGAGGAGGGAGGGGGACAAAACTACTGTTGGGTACTGTGCTCACTACCAGGGAGATGGATCCATTTGTATTTCAAACCTCAGCCTCACAAAACATACCTTTGCAACAAACTTGCACGTGTACCTGCTGAACCTGTAACGAAAGTTGAAAAATAAATAAATAAATACATAAAAAATAATTTCCTATTGGTAGAAAAATAAAAAATAAATAAAACACACTCTTACATTGAAAAACCAGATCAGTTGTCCTTAGTATACCCACATTCTAGATCTCCCTGTTTGCATCAATGGATCACCTGGGGTGTTCTCCTGTTCACTTCCTGTAAACTGGAGGCTGCATGCCATCTGCATGTCTTTGGTGATAAGTCTATTCAAATGTTTTGCCCACGTTTTAAAAGTGGTTTGTTTCCTTACAAAAAGAAAAAAGAAACCTACAGTGAGACAGTCATCAGCCTCCAATTTTATGGTTCCTCTGGTCCCTTCCTATCTGCCTCCACCCAACCTAAAGGCAATCAATATCCTGACACCCTTGTTTTTATGTGGCTTTATGATATATAGAGACATGCAAATAGGCTCCTAAATGGATATTTAAAAATTATACTTATTTTTGGCTAGGCACCGTGGCTCACACCTGTAATCCCAGCACTTTGGGAGGCCAAAGCAGGTGGATGACCTGAGGCCAGGAGTTCGAGACTAGCCTGAACAACATGGTGAAACCCTGTCTCTACTAAATACAAAAAAGTAGCCCAGCGTGGTGGCACATGCCCGTAATCCCAGCTACTTGGGAGGCTGAGGCAGGAGAATCACTTGAACCCAGAGGTGGAGGTTTCAGGGAGCCGAGATTGCACCACTGCACTCCAGCCTGGGAAACAGAGTGAAACTCAGTATCAAAAGTAAAATAAAATAAAATAAAAATTACACTCATGTTTAACTTTTGACTTTAATAAGATACAGCTTAAGATGAATCCTTAGTATCAATGCCAGGCACTGTCTTTTTTTTCTGTGCTGTATAATTATCTTTTATGTGCTATTTATCCACTCTCCTGTTGAAGAACATCAGGCTGTTTCTAGGTTTGGGGTCTGTGTACAGCATTGCACACATACGTCTTTTTTTTTTTTTTTTTTCCATTCTATAAGATGCTGGTAATAGGTTGGGATTCCTTGTTAAGGAGAAGATGACATAAATTCTCTTTACACATTTTCTTTCCATGCAGGTTTTTAAAACACTTATTTTAATCCACGTGATCTATCTTTTCACACTGATCATTGATCCTTAATTTACAAATTACCTGTGTTTATATAACAGGAAAACAATATGTCATTTTGCCTAATTCAAACTATGGGTTAACTCAGTGGAAAATAAATCACTCCTACAAGTTATTTGGATTAACCAGTCTAATGAGTGCAAATAGCACATACAGAAGCCCCATAAATCCTCAACAATGGTAGGCTTGATTATTTCTTCCAACTCATAGATAAGAAGCTGGTAGCTAAAGGTACTCCTAACCCTTAAGACACCCTGATCTTGGAGAACACACTAATCTACAGTCAGTCAGCTAAAGCCGAAATCAAGGATGCTAAATATACTCCTAACTTGGAGTATATTCAGACTCTCTGAACTTGGAGAAGACACTAGTCCACAGTCAGTCAGCTAAAGCCGAAATCAAGGATGCACACCTGTTGCAAGAAGAAAAAATGTTGCTCATGTCTTTTGAAGCATGAGCATTAGCATAGTCATTGCTATGCTGTGAGGATTTCTTCTCCAACACACCTCCCCAACGTCTTAAGCAATCAGACCCCTCTGCAGCCTTCCTGACCTGGCTGTGTCTGTATCAGATACAACTGGACAATGCTGGTTGGGGATATTGCCCAAGAGAATTGCACAGATTGGGAAATGAGTTCTTACATGCTTTCAACAAGATACCACCTTCAAATCTTGCAGACTTGACTAGCATTTCACAAGTGGCACGGAATCCAAAAGGATTTCACGAGTGGAGCCATTGATGTTTGGGCCCATTCACTACACTGGGAAGAAAGGAAGTAGGTGGGTATAGGCTTTGGGGATGAGCATAAGCTCCATTGATTCCAGCTGGATTTATCAATCTTCTATTTCTAGAATTTCTGTCTCAACAAACTTTGAATAACAAATTCAAAGGGCTTTTTTTCTAATCTTTTCATTGTCTATAATCTCTCTGGGAATTAGGATTTTTTTCTCTCTTTTTTAGCAGATTATATAGCACCCATTTTATTCTCTCATTTGACAAGTAATTATTGAGTTAGAATTAGATGCCAGCTACTCTATTAGATACCAGAGACATAATGCTAAGCAAAAGAGACTATGGGACTTGGCTTAAAGGAGTGTATTAGGTTGATGCAAAAGTAATTGCAGTTTTTGTCATCGAAAGTAATCAAAAGCTGCAATTACTTTTGCCCAAACCTAATAATTAATCACACTGTGATAAGTGTTATGAAGGAGAAGGTGGTGTTCCCTGATTTATTCTGGGCAGCGTATGACAGAGAAATCCTTGGTAAAGAAGTGAAACTATGTTAAAGTGAGACCTGAATATGGGCCAGCAGCTATCTATGGAAAATATATTTCCTATTCCACCTCCTCTTTCCATCTCTCCTGTTGCCACTCTCATTCAGAACATATCTGCCCTTTGAACACTTCATTGCCCAGATAGGAGCCCAGTTTTCCCTCTTCCAGCCTGCCCAGTCCAATCTATTCTTTTCTCAGATACCCTTCTAAGTACTTCACATACAGCCACTCATTTAATCTGCACAACAATCCTAGGCATGACTGTCATTCCTCTTTCACAGGTCAGCGAGCTGAGACACAGGTTCAATAACTTGTCTAGGGACAGAGCCAATAAGAGGCAGATCTAGGATCCATATCTAGGTATGTTTGCTCTAAAATCTGTGTTATTAGCTAGTGCACTTGACTGCCTCTTGAAGATTAATCATGTGCCTCTTGTTTACACATGCTATCTCTTTAATCCTAACATCAACGCTGTGAGTTAAAAACTATTACAGAAAGAAAATAAGAAAACAAAGACAAATATACAGTGAGGAAACTGAAGCAAAATGATAAAGTGACATATGCAAGGTTACAACGCCAATTAGTAGAAGAAATCATTTTTCTAGTCAAATGTTTGACCCCTGAGCCAAATCTCTTTCAAATATTCCTCAACTATCTCCCTCCTATTCGTGGACTGAATTCAGGTGGGTTCATCCAGCTGCAAAGCAAAGTTTCCAGTCAAAGATGAAACATAATCTCATATTTACAACATAATCAGGATCATGGAATTTTAGTGAGGTCGTATTTTTTCTATGCAAATTATATGTATGCAACAAAACTGGATGAATGACTCTTATGCAAGTAGCGTTACGTTTCTGCCTTCCTTTTCTTTTATTATTGTCAATGATAAAAATTTCTATGCCAGCCATTCATTTATAGTTCAGGACACTTACATGGTGATTTAATGAATATATAATAAAATATTGAAGCAGCTTATGTCATCTGGGGTGTAAACCCGTGGTTCATCGTCACGTGGTGGCCAAGAAAGAATTCAGAACATGGACACACAGGAGGAGTTTAAGACTGGAGGTTTAATAGGTAGAAGAGAAGAGAAAGAGAAACAGCTTCCTCTATAGCAGAAGGGGTCTCCCAGCAGAAAGGAGTGGTTGGCATCCAATGCCCTGAGTTTTATCGTCCAGTTTGAGGAGGTGATGTCTAATTTACCTAGGGCTCACAGATTGGTTCAATCAGGTATGACCTATATATAGTGCATGAGGAAGGCTGGTTGCCCCACCCTAATCTTTTTATGCAAATGGACTTTCCAGTTGATGGGCGCCATCTTGTCTGCTCCTTACAATACATGTGGCTGGCGGAGAAGGGAAGATGGAGCCACCATTTTGAAAATGTCTAGTCCTTAGTTCCTGCCAGCATTCACCAGTGCAAGCTCCCAGCTTGCAGGCTGCTATTTGTTAGAAAATGATTTGGGGCTGCTTATCATTAAAAAGAAAAAGCCTTACCGAGGACTCCTATGGTCCTTGCTATCTAAGTACTTCCTTTTTAACTCCTGTATCCACATGTCTAACCCATTGGCTTAGGATATGCAAAACAGAAAGAAGATGATCTAGCTATACATTGCTGAGAATCTAAGCCTTAACTAGGCAAAGACTGAGCAGTCACCTGGGGCAGTTTAACAAGGCTTGTCATTAGCTAAAACCCATTCTACTGAGAGGTGACAGCGTGCTGGCAGTCCTCACAGCCCTCGCTTGCTCTCGGCGCCTCCTCTGCCTGGGCTCCCACTTTGGCAGCACTTGAGCCCTTCAGCCCGCCGCTGCGCTGTGGGAGCCCCTTTCTGGGCTGGCCAAGGCCGGAGCTGGCTCCCTCAGCTTGCAGGGAGGTGTGGAGGGAGAGGCGCGAGCAGGAACCGGGGCTGTGCGCGGTGCTTGTGGACCAGCTGGAGTTCCGGGTGGGCGTGGGCTTGGCGGGCCCGCACTCGGAGCAGCCGGCCGGCCCTGTCGCCCCGGGCAATGAGGGGCTTAGCACCCGGGCCAGCGGCTGTGGAGGGTGTACCGGGTCCCCCAACAGTGCCAGCCCACCGGCGCTGCGCTCGATTTCTCACCGGGCCTTAGCTGCCTTTCTGCGGGGCAGGGCTCGGGACCTGCAGCCCGCCATGCCTGAGCCTCCCACCCCCTCCATGGACTCCTTTGCGGCCGGAGCCTCCCTGATGAGCGCCGCCCCCTGCTCCAAGGCGCCCAGTCCCATCAACCACCCAAGGGCTGAGGGGTGCGGAGTCACAGCGCGGGACTGGCCGGCCAGCTCCACCTGCATCCCTGGTGCGGGATCCAGGGGGTGAAGCAAGCTGGGCTCCTGAGTCTGGTGGGGACGTGGAGAACCTTTATGTCTAGCTCAGGGATTGTAAATACACCAATCAGCACCCTGTGTCTAGCTCAGGGTTTGTGAATGCACCAATAGCTACCCTGGTGGGGACTTGGAGAACCTTTATGTCTAGCTCAGGGATTGTAAATACACCAATCAGCACTCTGTATCTAGCTCAAGGTTTGTAAACACACCAATCAGCACCCTGTGTCTAGCTCAGGATTTGTGAATGCAACAATCGACACTCTGCATCTAGCTACTCTGGTGGGGACTTGGAGAACCTTTGTGTCCACACTCTGTATCTAATTAATCTGGTGGGGAAGTGGAGAACCTTTGTGTCTAGCTCAGGGATTATAAACGCACCAATCAGCGCCCTGTCAAAACAGACCACTCCACTCTACCAATCAGCAGGATGTGGGTGGGGCCAGATAAGAGAATAAAAGCAGGCTGCCTGAGCTAGCAGTGGCAACACGCTTGGGTCCCTTTCCACATTGTGGAGGCTTTGTTCTGTTACTATTTGCAATAAATCTTGCTGCTGCTCACTCTTTGGGTCCACACTGTTTTTATGAGCTGTAACACTCACCGCGAAGGTCTGCAGCTTCACTCCCGAAGCCAGCGAGACCACGAGCCCATCCGGAGGAAGGAACAACTCCAGACGCACTACCTTAAGAGCTGTAACACTCACCGCGAAGGTCTGCAGCTTCACTCCTGAGCCAGCGAGACCACGAACCCACCAGAAGGAAGAAATTCCAAACACATCCGAACATCAGAAGGAACAAACTCCAGACGCGCCACCTTAAGAGCTGTAACACTCACCACCAGGGTCCGAGGCTTCATTCTTGAAGTCAGTGAGACCAAGAACCCACCAATTCTGGGCACACTACTATTCTCCATACTTTTAGAATTCTCCTTTTGTGAATGGAAGGGGAGTAATCTTGTGAACCTGACTAAACAATCAGAAATCCCAAGCCCACCCCTACATGGCTTTAAGGCTGCTTAATCAGGAATGAAGGGCCCTCTGGTGCACGTTGCCTTTTCGTGAACGATGGTGTAAGCCAGCCATAGCAAATTCACCACTGATTAACGAAACAAAGCAGATGATATTATTTGCTTCAGACGAGCCCCACATACACTGTTCCTCCTTATCTTTTTTATTTTTTCTACCATTTTCAGTCTCTCTCTCTCTCTCTATATATATATATAAAATAATATATATATATTTGAGATGGAGTTTAACTCTTGTCACCTAGGCTGGAGTGCAATGGCGTGATCTTGGCTCACTGCAAACCTTTGCCTCCCAGGTTCAAGTGATTCTCCTGCCTCAGCCTCCCGCGTAGCTGAGATTACAGGCACCTGCCGCCACACCCAGCTAATTTTTTTTTGTATTTTTAGTAGAGACGGGATTTTGCCATGGTGGCCAGCCTGGTCTCCAACTCATGACTTCAGGTGATCCTCAGTCTCCCAAAGTGCTGGAATTAGAGGAGTGAGCCACCACACCTGGCCCACTGTCTATAATTTCTCCTAGAATTAACTCACATTCTATAGGTTGCTTTAATAATAATTCTAAATATTTCAAACTACTGTTCAAATGTTTATGGATATACATTCATCTGCTTGTTTTAAAACAGTTCTTAGGCATGATTGTTGACTTAAAAACATATTTCTTTCAGATAATTATATATAATTATAAAGATGGGCTTGGGTTTGGACACTGTGCAATATAATATCTAATGCATTAAAAAAGACATTACAAATAATTAACATTAGCTAAATGGGCAGCTGTGAAGTGTATTTCTCAGCAGATATTTTTTTAATAGACTAGATTCCCATCTGCCCAGCACAGTTGCTGAGAAGCTGCCTAGATGCCTAGAAGCAAATACAAGAAAAAATATCTTTTAAAAATTCATATTCCGCTTGCTTCAAGGATAAGTAATCAGTCTGCTAGGACAAAACTTATATTTTCCAAAAGTTTTCTGGTTTCCTGAGGAAAGTCTAAGGAAGTTATGGCAATAGAAAGCAATGCTGATTTTATAAATGTGAGTTTTCACTTAAAAACATGAGATTTGTTGAGGTTTGCCTGACAAATATTTCAGGTTATATCCTTGGAGAAGCTCTGATTCTCTACCTGCTGATGACACACATACTTAAACTTTGTTCAACCAATCCAGAAATAATGAGCCCACATCCTAGGGTGAGCTACAGAGTTTGACAGTAGCACAATGAAAACACACATTGGAAACATCCTTGAGGAAGAGGTCTGGACGGCTGGCAGAGCCTAAAGACAGTCTGTTAGTTGAGAAAGAGAAGGTTAAGCAGTATTATTTACATTGCACAATTCTCTCTTGTGTTTATCTTGGACAAATCCCTCAAATCCTCTATTTTCTTGTAGTAGTGACTGACCAGATAGAAGCCTTTCTACTAAGGCTTGCATTTTATTTTCAGTCCTGTCATCTTTTTTTAGTGGCTCCATAAAAGATATAAACACAAGGTGCCAAAGAATATAATTCAGTGATTGCAACTCACCAAGGAGTTTACTCTGTTTCCCTATGGCGTATTCTGTAATTCTTTCTCTCTTTTAAGAAACTGATGGAGTTGTACCTGTCAGGAATAGCAGGCTGCTATGCTTGGCATTTCCCCAAGTTGTGCTAACAAGACCTTGAATTTGACTTTGTTATCTTAGCTTGAAATATTTCAACCCTACTATAAAATGGGACAAACCAGCCAAATAAGTGGGGAGAGGAGTGTATATATGTTTTGGAAGAGGAAGATGGAGTCTTATCTTCTGCAATGTGTCACCAGCTAAGATTTTTAACTGAAAGTACAAAGTTTGAGTTCACGCCAGTCATTACTTCTTAAAATTTATGGCTTATTGATGCATAGAAAATGCAAACAACTTACAGAAACAATATTGCTTTTTATTTTTTGCTATCTCTTGGGTCTTATAGTTAGGAATATGTTTCCAAATTCCATAACTACATGTATTATTAAACAATTCCTATACCCCTTTGAAATCATTAAAAGAGGTATGTAATAGAAATCACATTCCCTTATTACATAATAAATGCATTTTTTCAATATTTCCGCACGTTAATTCTGTGTGCAAGAGTTGTATTGATGAGAAACGACTTATCTGAAATGAATGTTGAAGGAGTTGCCTTTCCCCTCTGCATTGCAATAGATACTTCAGCTCTGAGAGCCAGTTGGGGGTTTTTTCTAGGTAAGCATTGTTCCTGGCTGCATCCATTCAACACATTGGAACTCACAGAACCTCAGCTGAGAACATTCTGGGGCTAAGTTACAGGAAACCAAAAATTAACACAGATGTATTTGAAATTTTGTGAGCCAATGAACACTTGATAGACTAACTGCATACAATGAACCTTGTCTGTACAAAAAATTAAAGAGGGGCCAGGCATGGTGGCTCACACCTGTAATCCTAAGATTTTGGGAGGCAAAAGTGGGAGAATTGCTCAAGTTCAGGAGTTCAAGACCAGCCCTGGCAATACAGCGAGACTTTGTCTTTACAATTTTTTTATTTTTATTTTTTAATTGTACATGTAGGTAGTCCCACTTACTTGGGAGGCAAGAGGCTGAGGTGGGAGGACTGCTTGAGCTTGGGAGGTCAAGGCTGCAGTGAGCCGTGGTCATGCCTCACTCACTGCATTCTAGCTTGAGCAACAGATCAATATCCTGTCTCAAAGAAAAAAAAAAGTAAAAAAATAAAAATACAAAAATGAAAATAAAAATTTAGCTAGTCATGCTGGCTTACGCTACTCAGGAGGCTGAGGTGGAAGGATTGCTGGAGCCCAGGAGTTAAAGGCTTCAGTGAGGTATGATTGCATCACTGCACTCCAGCCTGGGTGACAGAGTCGAACTTTGTCTCTCCCAGAATAAAGTTTCTATACGAATGAAGTACCTAGTAGTTTGGGAAGTTGTGAAGGAAGTTTAGCACTGGATGAATTAAAATCAAAGGGTACAATCAATGACTAGATTGAGTACATCAAGGCAACTCTTTGAAAAATATTTTAAATTTGTGTCATTTTACTGTCAATTTTATATTATTTCATTTTATTTTATTTTTTATTTACTTCAAATTTATTTTAAAACTTTTTTTTCAAATGACAAACATATAAGCTTTCTTTGCAACAAATTGAACTTCGATAGTAATTATAGTTGAGTAAATTTCAGTCACCATCTGTTTCACCTTACTGAAATGGATTTGCGTTCCACACAGCACCTATATTTGGGATTTGTTTTTCACCAAGTAATCTATAGCCTGACAGATTGCATAATTTGGCAGTAAAATTTATTGGTGTGTATGTGTATACCTACACAATATTCTCTTAAAATATACATTTGAATCATTTCCTGCTATTGTGTTATTTTAATGTTGAGGTCTAACCAGGTCAATGTGCTCACTTAAAAAGCAACATTCACATTTTATTTCATTTTCCACTTGCAGGTTATTGTTATTCCCAAGTTACTGTTTCTAGGCTGGGGACCTAGTTTGGAAAAAAGCCTTCCCTTAGTTCTTTTGGATCAAGTGAGACTCACAAAGTAGCTTTCCTAACATATTTCTTCACATCTCATAGAAAACTAACTACAAAGAATGGCATCAAGTACTTATGTATTGCTATGCCACGGCCAGGAATAAGAGAGTCACCCATTGCTGATGGTGCTGGCTTCCCAGCTTCGTTGCCACTCAGGGGCATCAGAGTCTAAATGATGCTTTTTCTGTGTACTCATTCTTAGAACCCTGTGCGGAGGAAGGCTGCAGAAGAGGATACAAGATTGGGTGCCCCCTGGGGAGGAGGAGCTCAAGCTCCAGCCTGAGGAGCTAGTGGGGGTGGAGAGGGTGTTCTCAAGTGCCAGTCATTGAATTCCAAACTTCTAAGGAGGCAAGATAATAAAGCAATGGGGTTAAGTAACGAGAAATAAAAATGCAATCCTACACCCCCAAACCAATGGAAAGAAGCTCCTCCTGGCCAAGGGGACTCCAGAAAAACCTTGAAAACTGAGTTTCTGGCCATGATAGACACATCTCACTATACCCTCACCCTCTCTAACCACCATTAGGCTTACTACCCCAAAGTCTAAAGAGAAGCCAGCCCTTTGGAAAGACTGGCTCCACCGCTGATTTCAACCAAAGGCCTGACTGCTGCTCTTCCCTTTTGTGGTTTCTGTACAACATCTGACCAGCATGCCTTCCTGGTAAGAGACCACCGACCATGGAGTGGTTCTGGCCAATCTAGGGAGGATGCAAAGACAGGGCTTTTATGTCCTCTGCTTCACTTTTTGACATCTGAGGGCTGAAAACTCCACCCTAGAATTATGCTAATGCCACCATTTTTTGGACATGGGTCCCACGAAAAGGCATGAAGCTGCATTGTGTATGTGTGTGCTCTTGCTTTATGAATATTCATAACTCCCCCCCAGTTCATTGAATATGTATAGTCACCCCACAAACACATGAATTCCTGTTCTCTTTGCCCCTCCCTCCAGGTGTCTGTTTTTGGCTTCTGACCAGAGGCTGTGCTTCCCAGCCTGTAAGAATGGCCACGCTGTAGGCTGCAATCCTTTATGAAAAATGAAGCTCTGTTTTCCAAATTTATGAACATTGCCATTCATCAGTGGACAATAAATTGGGAACAGTGAGGCTAACTGGGAATGGGAAAACAAATACATCTCTGAATTCAAGCACAGATAATTAAGAAACCAGTGCTACTCTATCCCCAACTCTGTAGTCTCATACTGTGTTTCTACCCCTTTCTTCTTCTTTATATAAAGCTTCTATAGGCATCAAATTATTTGAGTTTCCAACACAACACTTGATAACTCTCTGGTTAAACCAGTCATCACTGGAATCCATCAGGACAATGGAAACACGTATTGAACTGATTCTCATTTACCATTTTGTGGCTACATGGGCTGTTTTATTTGTTCCTCAAAGCAACCCAGTGAGACAGGTCCCGTTATCTTCTTTGTCCAATTAGAATAGAGAATAAGAAAGATTAAGTAACTAGTCCAAAGACACAGCTATCAACTCCCAAGACAGTTTGACCCCAAACTTCATTCTTTCTTTTCTCTTTTCAGTTGTGGAATATTCACACAGAGTACCCAGGTGATCTCAATCCCACCTGAATTTCTGTTTGCCTTCAGAAGTGGCAAACTGGCAACCCCCAGATCCATTAATATTCAGACCACAGAATGACTCTGTGTGAAGCACATAGCATTTGCAAATTTGGGATTAGTTGCAAATATTTAAAACAAGAGAGATAATAACATCAAAATATAAATTTCCAGCTTCTCTTGAAAAATTTCTATACCCATTCATAGACTGTAAATTAAGTCCCTGTTAGGAGTCCATAGAACTAAGGCTAAACCCCATCTAATAGCAACTTATGAATAGTACCTGGATATGCAAAGCCAAATAGAAAAATGTAGGTACCTAGAAGGAAAAATTATACTAACTAACTAGTATCTACTATAAACTGAGAGGGAGAGCAGATCTGATGGTGAAATGGGAGACAAGCTCTGAAATGGCTTAGGAGCTACTTAATCTTCACTTGACAAATACAATCTGAAGTGTTAGATATTGCTAAGCAGTCATTGCTGAAGCGTGGTCTTTAGAGTCTCTGTGTAATAACATTTATTACTTCTTCTGCCCAGGCAGCAAAATCCACCTGAGAGTCTCAAAGGTCTTTTCTATCTAAGATCTATGGGCTAAATCTATGCTTCTTACTGAGACAAAATGCCCATTGAGCACTTCTGCACTTGGCAGAAGCTTTAAAATATGATTCTTTGGTTCCATAAATGTCCAAATGCTAGAACTTATCTGATGATTAAGAAGCTTGTCTCTGTGTCAAAGGGAGGTGCATTTTCTATAAGCAAACTTGGTGGAAAGGAAGGTATCATTTATAATCCTGTATTTAAGCATACAAAACTGAATAAATGTTGTAGGAGTGTCTACCGAATTAAAAATAAAGATGTTTCCTTTGGTCTGTCTGATAAGTGTTATGAATTATCTATAAATCCATGTTCTGACACCACCTTCCATCTTTTTCTGTTGTTTATTTCTGTCTTCTGTTTTTTATATCCTGAACTTCTTTTTTTTTTTTTTCTTTTAGACAGAGTCTCACTCTGTCATCCAGGCTGGAGTGCAGTGGTATGAGCAGAGCTCATTGCAGCCTCAACCTCCTGGGCTTAAGTTATCCTCCTGCCTTGATTTCCCATGTAGCTGGGGCCATTTTTATTTTGTATTTGTCATAAAAGATAAAAAAATATTATTTTTATTTTTGTAGAGATGAGATCTCACTTTGTTGTCCAGACTGGTCTTGAACTCCTAGGCTGAAGTGATCCTCACACCATGGCTTCCCAAAGTACTGGGATTACAGGTGTGAGCCACCACACCCAGCCATGAACCTCTGTGTTTCCTCAAGATTCCTTCCCATTTTATTTCATGAAGCTCATGTTCCTCCCATAGGACATGATTTATTGGTATCCCTGAAATCTTTGTTCCTTTTCTTGCATTTAGTTATCAGAGGTGACATGATGTAGTGTTTAAGAACCCTGGGTCTGAGGCAGACAAATCTGAGACTATTTTTAGCTGGGTGAATGTGGATAAACACCTTCCATATATGTGAGATGCCTGAATCTGTAAAATGGGAATAGCACTTACCTCACATGTTTCTGGTGAAAATCAAATAAGATAACACATTAAAAAAAAAAACTTGCCAGGTTGTCTGGAAACTGTTGCTCATTAAATGCTCTTTTATAACTATAAAGAATATATTGAGTTCTGTGATTCAAGTTGAAGTAGAAAATTAAAATTATAAAATTAAAAAAAGTTTATCACTTACCTTACAGCAAAAGGCTCCTATTTTCTACCTCTTCAATTTTTATACAATAATGTGAAAAAACATACCAAAAAAATTAAGCACTGCTTTAGCTTTGTGTAAAATTTTCTTTGCCCTTTTTTCCCAACCTGTAAAATATTTTTAAAGTAAAATCGAAACTGAGTCTTTAAGAATCCAAGTTAAATAAAATATTTTGTGGATTGCTACATTTAGGTCAATAGATTTTCTTCAATTTTTTTTTTTCAACAAAGCCTTCGGTGAAAGAGCTTATACTTGAGAAAATATCTGAAAAATAAAATAGAAGTTAGCATTACATACTCTACATGCTCTGAGTGAATAACTGAACCAAAATGAGAAGTAAATTACTCACAAACAACCCTTTGAGGAATCATAATTTACAGAAGTAGAAAGTTAGGGTGAAGAGGTTAAGTACTTGCCTGAGGCCATGCAATTAGTATTCTGTCAAGGTAAGCAGTTGAGGCAGGTTTAGAATCCAATCCTGTCTGGCTCCAAAGCTAGTGTTCTTTCCACTCTACCACATTGTTTCTGCAATTTCCCACTGGATCTTAAAGACCCATGTCCTCTGTATCACAAAGTGAAATCTGAGGCAAATGAACCAGAATGCAATTATTTTTAATTCACAACACACTACAGATATCTTCATATCTTTATTTTAAAATATCAATACTCTAGGGCAGTGCTTCTCAACTAAGGAGAATTGTGCTTCCCAGGGGCTATTTGGCAATGTCTGGAGACATTTTTTATTGTCATGATTGTGGGGGCGAGGAGGGTGCCACTGACATCTAGTTGGTAGAAGCCAGAGACATTGCTAAATGTCTACATTGCACAGTACAGTGCCCTCAAACAAAGAATTGTCCAGCCCAAAATGTTAATGGTACTAAGAATGCAAAACCCTGATCTAAGGACTTCTGACTCATGGCAAGGAAGATCATTTGAACTAACCTTCCCACTGAGGACAAATTTTATAAGTCAATAAAATATACATGATTAAAAAAAAACACTGAAATAACAGTAAAGAATTGTGGGTCCGAAATCTGAAAAAAATGCAATACTCTTGAGATGTAAGCCTACTATATAAAAAAACTCTGTGCTGTGGACTTTTATTCATTAGAAGAAACAGCTACTAAGCTAACAGCTGGCTATGTTGGCCTTTCAGGAAGAATAGAACAAACGCCAGGCACCACTTAATGTGGAAAATCAATTTACATCCTCCTCCAATTTAAGCTAGGAGCCAATGACTATACACCCAGAGTTGCTCTGAACTAGAAATTAATTAGCTCTTGTGCAAACTTGCAGCCCAAGTGTGTGTCCTCTGGATAGTCCAGGGAACCTGAAGCTTTACTCTTAATTAAGATGTTCTCAGACTGGTAGTGCCCCAAGGTGCTTAGCAGAAGCTAATGCAAAATTTCTCTTAAAAAATGATACAGTTATATTAGGTCTCAAAGTTTCTTAAAAATAATTTTGTAACTACAATGACCATCACACCATCAAAAATAACCTGACACATAAGTAAACAAATCCCCGTGATAAAATGCTCTGGAAATCACAGCCAACAGAAACATCTGCAAGAACTGAACATGTTAGTATAAGTAGATACAAACTATAAGACCCCTGTGCTCACTACGGCTGGTGAGCATCCTACAGTCCACCAGTATCTGTGATGGATATCCTGCTTCCAGCATGGGAGAGGATCACAGTTCTTCATCTTTGAATTCAGGCAAGGCCAATACCTTCTTTTTGTCATGGCTCTTTATAGTGCAGTTTCAGCTGTCTTTGCATCCAGAAATGTTGTTACAGACCCACTTCCACTTCACTTTAAAAATTACTATGGTAATCTGAAATAATTCCACCTTTGCATTCAGGGGCAATACACTATTAACCAGGTCATAAAGAAAATGACTTTATGGATAGGAGGTACTCTAGTTCTCAGATTGCCAGGGTGTTTAATCCTGGAAACACCAGGAAGTTATTCCTAGCCTCAGACCTGTCTGTCTTCAGGCACTCAGCTCATCTGCCTCACAGGCTCTACAAACAACCTTGCATGTGGCTGAATAACATGACTGTACAGTTCTGGCACCAATATAATGTGATATTTTGATATTTATATTTCTTATATCCTCAAACTATAACCCCACGAGCAGAAACTACTCGTGGCTCAGGCTATTTATTCTATAGTTCTTGGCACGGTGCCCAGCCTTTCTTAGATAATATACATTGGAGGTGAGATTGTGGATAAGTGAACAAATCCTCAAAGAATTTATCACATAATTTTCCCAATAGTAATAATCCAACCATTTAGATAAATATTTGTAAGTTGACACTTTATGATAAAAACCAACACTACAGTTTTAGGGCCTCAATTATTTACCTCTATAGAGATTAAGGAAAGTGAGCCTCTTATATATAACCCCTATTTTGGGCCTTTGTTATTTAGTAGAAAGTCTTTGCCACTAAGAACATTATTAAAATGATAACATTCTCTTAAAAGTATCCTTAACCTTGGCCTGGCTTAGATCTCCATAGAAAAGAGTATTGTATAAATAGAGCTGAAAATGATCTGTTTTGTTTGACCAGATTTGTTCAGGGATATACACCGCGTAGTGTGAAAAGAATATAGAACCATTTAGGGGAAGAAAACAAATGTTGTATCTTGAAATATTGTAACTGTGAATGTCTGCTTGAGAAATGTTCACTTATTGATGAAACTTTTCTTTTGAAATATATTTAAGAATCTTGTGTATATGCTGTCTTTCACGTGAACTTTCTCTCATTTAAAGGTGGGTTATTTTGCAGTTTAATGTGCTGAATGTATTAATTATATGAGGTTTAATTCATCTTGAATCATAGAAGATCACTATGCTTGGATAATTAGTGCCTCACTACAAATAATAGGGAATGATGTTGTATGTAATTAATATCTAGAAATAGAGATACTGCTAAATATATGAAATGTTGGACTCACTTTTTCCTTTCTCAGCTAGGGAAAGGCCTTACCATTTGTAAAAGAGAGATCTTTCCTTCAGGGTATGTGCTGGAATCAGGCATTGATACACATCTAGCTCCAGGGAAAAACTGCTCCTTGCTGAGAACAGCCTAAGGGGCTTCCTGCATCAGAGCTTTTGCTAAAGGTACAGCAACCGTGCCTGGAGGTAGTCATCTTATCTTCTCCCTTGAGCCTTCTTTCCAGGAGGAATATCTGGAACAATGTAAAATGCGATAGCCATACATGGACAACACAGTGGTGGTTTGTCCATTGTCCAATGGTGGACACACAGTGGTAGTTTGGGGAAGGTCATTGATTTCTCCTTTTAACTTAAACTCATCTAAGACACTCCTGTATTAGTTTTTTTTAAGGCTGTTATAACAAAAGACTACAAACCGGGTGGCTTAAAGCCAGAAATGTATTGTTCCACAGTTCTGGAAGCTGGACATGTGAAATTAAGGTGTTGGCAGGGCCATGCTCTCTTCAAAGTCTCTAGGAGAGGAAACTTCCTTACGTCTTCCAGCTTCGGGTATCCCTAGGTGTTCCTTGACTTGTGGCAGCATCACTCCAATCTATGTCTCTGTCTTCATATATTCATATGGAGTTCTCTGTGTCTGTTCCAAATTCCCCACTTCATAGAAGGACACTAGTCATATTGAATTAAGGGCCCATCCTACTCCAGCATGATCTCATGCAATTACAGCTGAAGAGACCCCAATCCCAAATAAGGTCACATTCTGAGGTACCATGGGTTAAAATTTTAGCCCATCTTTCAGGGAGACACAATTCAACCCCAATACAGTAACAACTCCCAATTAATAGCAAAGCAGAGTCAGGCTGAATTGCCTTTGTTCTTTGAATTTTCTGAACATCAAAGAGTTCCTTTTTAATTTCCTCATAGAACTGGCTCATGCTTGGCTACAACCAGAGGGCAGAGAGGGAGCCACAGTTCAGTAGGACACTGAGGCCAACAGGAGAACACCTCTGTCCACCTTCAACTTGGGTGGAAAAAGCTTTCCACAGAGAGCAATTACCTGAAACAAATACAGGAGAAAAGTTCTTGAGGTGAAGGTGGCTCTAACCTTGAGAGAACAGAGACAGCTGCCCCAACCCATCCAAGCTGAGCTCTAACAGGCAAGCAAAAAGAGTTCTCATCCCAGCCCCAGCCACTCCTCTCATGTACAAACTCACAGGTATGCATACTTTCACTGCCCTCCATCATCCAGTCTACAGCATCCAGGGTTCCTTCTGGGATTTCATGCCTAGAAACTCCTCAGAGGCTCTGCCGTAATAGGGTTGCCTAAGTCTAATAGCAGAAGAGGCAGATTAGAGGGAGACAGAGGTTGGTGGGGGATAATCTTCTCCCATAAAAATAGTCAAGCAAATGCCAAAGAGGTTAGAAGGGAAAATTCCATTCATTAAGGTATGGTTCATATGTTCTATCATTAATTATCACAATAAGGAAGTTCACTTTAAGATTATACAATTTACTCAGTGGAATGGCCCTTGCACATATTGCAGGCAGTGTCTAACAGGAACTAATGGGCAGGTGCAGTGGTTCACGCCTGTAATCCCAGCACTTTGGGAGGCTGAGAAGGGTGGATTATGAGGTCAAGAGATCAAGACCATCCTGGCCAACATGGTGAAACCTTGTCTCTACCAAAAATACAAAAATTAGCTGGGTGTGGTGGTATGCACCTATAATCCCAGCTACTCAGGAGGCTGAGGCAGGAGAATCACTTGAACCCAGGAGGCGGAGATTGCAGTGAGCCAAGATCGCACCACTGCACTCCAGCCTGGGCAACAGAGGGAGACTCTGTGTCAAAAAAAAAAAAAAAAAAAAAAACCACACACACACACACACACACACACACACACACACACACACACACATACAAACACACACAACCCCCCCCCCCCCAAACAAAAACAAAAACAAAACAAAGCAAAAAACAGGAATTACTCTCCGGCTATTTATGGCCATTCTTGTCTCTACTGAAGTTTGGTGGAGGGTGTGTGGGATTGAAGGGTTGATTCATGCAGTAAACCTACTCAGTTAAAGAGAACATAGGAAACTGTGGTTTCAGAGACTTCCCAAATCTGGCTTTTTGCTACTAGGGCCAGTCACTGTGTAAGATGTGCAATGGCTTGCTTTAAGTGTCACATCAATGATTTGCACCCTTTCATTGCTTTTTTATGTTGTTGTTCTCCCAAAGGAGGACTGATCTATTGTTTTTATTCTCCTCTGTCATAATTCTTAATTTCACTTGCATATCTTTATTGAAAATGCTATTGCTTTGTCTTTGCTGGAGAGTCAGTTCAAATCCACCACTCCTCCACTTAAGTTTTGGATGAGTTACATGGAAACTTCCTTCTCAGAAGCATGTGCAAAGTATGTTTGTAACATTCAAGTTCTGAAGAGCAAATGCATCAATATCTTTTCTAGAACAACAACAACAAAAGAATAACTGGAAAAAGAGCAAGTGTGGTAAAATATATTTTAATTTACTATGAATGACAAACGTTGCAATATTAAGTTAGAGTACAGAATGAGTATGTTACTTGCCAGGTCACATTTAAACAGTTAGTTCATAGCTAGAGGATTATCCAAGCTATCACTGACATTGGCAATAAGACAAGAGTAACATTGCTTAAAAGGATTAAATGTTCTTGAAAAATATCTCAAAGGAATCAGATGTGGCTTCACTACTTTCATAATTATCCATATTTCTTTGCCTATTTCTCTTCTTCAGGCAAAAAATAGGGAGTCTTTCAAAATAAAAGTAGAAAAAATGTCATCTCTAATTCCATGTCTTGGATTACTGCTGGTACTTAATACAGTCATCATGGAAATAATTTTCTGAAGAAGTGCAAATATTTTATTTCTCTTTATGTCAAATGATAGCAAAAGACAATAAATTAAGAACAGGGAAAGATGCAAAATTCTGAACTGAATCTAGATAGAAGTCAGATCCCTAGAACAATTGTGTGTGTGTGTGTGTGTGTGTGTGTTTATTTTAGTGTCAGGGATACCACAGACCAATCCTTATTCACACACACAAAAAAGATTTTATGAAATGAAATGAAACAATGAATCAGTCAATTACTCCATTAATGAATAAATGTATAAAGAAGAATATATAAAAAATAAAAATGCATTTAATGCTGTAATTTTTCCCTTTGTAGATACATCCTAAGTTTTAGGGATTGAAATTTAATATTTTTAATGAAATAATGGCAATATCAGATGGTAGTTGCATTCTAAATATCATTTCCTGGAAGAATAAAAGCTTAGAAATTGTAAGGTCCCCATAGACATTTTTTGTTTTGTTTTGTTTTGTTTTTAACTGACAACTTATTTGTGAAATTCAGGAAATCACGTGACTGTCATCAGTGAGTTGACTGCTCTGGGTCTTTGCTGATGTAGCCACTTTCATGAAAAAAGAAATGTAGTTTATTTTGCCCAAGAAATGTCATAGGTAATCACGAAGCAGATTGTAGACTGCTTTGCTACACTGAGCTCCATTCAGTTACTCAGAATGAATAATTGCTTTAAAGGATGCTTATTTGAATAAATGAAGCCACTGGATGACCCTGAGTAGAAAAAATAAAAACAATGAGGCACAGAGATACTGTTTCAACCATTTGGATTGTGGAGATTACCATAGGATCTATACAAATTGGGAGACTTTACCTCATTATTGGGATTGTAGAAGGGTAAATAAAGGGTAGGAGAGCTTATGAAAATAAAGATGGATTCTTCAGATTAAATGTCTCCTTCAAGTGTCCCACAATACAAATTCATCCCAAAACTATATTTGATGAATATTTATGGAGTTCCTATTATGGGCCAGACATGTTGCCACAAGGTGCCTGAAATCAGAAGTAAAAAAACCAAGTCCTTGATTTTATAGAGTTTCTATCCCAGTGACTAAGAACAGCCTGGCACCTCCCTGTGAAATTTTAGCACATCAAGAATAAAGCAAAGATCCTAGATGATCCCCAAAAGGAAAAAAAAAAAAAGGCAATCATCTCAATGGCTCCCAAATTCTTATCAACAACCCAGAGTGACAGAAGGTTTTGGAGAAATACCTTCAAAATTCTGAGGGAAAATTTTGAACTGAGAATTTATGACTAGCTAAAATATCAACGAAATGATAAACCTTGAATTTGGGAACACAAGGGACAAAATGTTTATTGTTCCTTTTTGTTGCCTTTCACATTCAGTCAGAAGGATTGCCTGTGATTGCCCCTAGAAAATACTAGAAAGTGATTTCCTAGGGCTTCCCTTTCACATATTAAAGAAGAGTCTCATCTTTGGGCATGAACATTTTCAGTCATATTGTGTTGTATGAAGCTTACAAACTTCTCTCTCCTCTATCCTCTTCCTACCCTCCAACACACACACATGCTGTATACACACACACACATATACACACACAATTCATTTCTGACTCAGGTTTGGAGCTAGAAGTAGGAGGGGGAAGGAATAATGTCTTCTTTCCCTCTCTTTCGTTCTATCTCCTGCTCCAAACACTTCTACTGTATCTGGACACGCTCGGTTGAGCAAAGGTACCCTGAGTGGAGGGATATTGCCTGGTAAAAATACATGCAGCTGCCTGAATCCACACAGACTTTCCCTCTGTTCGCATAACTTAAGGTAACAACATTTACATATGTTATTATGAAGGGAATCAGATCATTTGTTTTGTTTGACGAACTTAACTACTTTACCCCCACAACACGTCAGAACAACACTTTCTGGTGCTGGGCATTACGATTTAAAAGAGCTTTCCCGTTTGCACTCTCATTTGAATTTTACATCCCTGTGAAATGCACAGGCCAGATATTTTCATTCCTATATTATGCAACAGACAACTGAGCTTTAGCAGGCTCTGTGGCCTGCTCGTGGCCGCAGGTAAATAGCAGAGCAGAAATTTAGCTCTGCATTTTGGACTGCAAATTGTTCTTCGTATTTCATAAATTCCCTGTCTTTTCACTTCGTAGACACAGTATCACATCAATGTTTTCCTTTATTTTGGTGTATTAGGGACTCTCTAAGCAGGCTTACCACTTGCATTCAAATCCAAGAGAAAAGTAAACGTTCATCTCTGCCATCTTTCTTCTTTCCTAGTTTCAGTAAGTGCCTGAAAACCTCACGCCCATGCACTAGAGCATGACATGTTCTTCTAAGTGCAAAATGTGATTTTCATGTCATGTACTACCTGTTTGTGCTCTTATTCAATGTGTACTTGGGTGGCAATATTTATTGTGGTTACAAAGCACAGTTTTAAAAACTCTACCTGAGTAACTCATTAATCTTTACAATAAGAAACTGTATAAGGTACTATTAACATTCTCATCTTACAGATAAGACTGAGGTAAGATACAGAAGATAAGTAACTTTCCCATAGTCACAAAACTAGTATGTGGCAGTGTCCACAGCCTAGTCTTAACTGGTTCCACTTAGTCAGGGCTTAGCTTGTGCCTTGCTAAGACTGTGTCTACACATTCAATTAGACAGCTGTGAAAACTATCTTGCTAATTCATCTGACTTGCTGATGGATTATTAAGGGACCTTGTGAAATTGTAAAATGAAGTTTGCTCTTTTGAATTTCCTTACATCTCCAGGCTCTTTACATCACTGTCACCTTTCCCCACTTGCCACTAATGCCAGAAACTCACAGAAACAGAGTCTATGAGTCAAAGGGAATTAGAGACATTATTCAGCTCAACATTGTCCAATCGAATGAATCTTTACTGCAACTTTCCTATAACATTTGGCTGCTGCTGCTGTGGTGCTCTGGAAGCGCAGAGAGATCTCTCATTGCAGAGGCAGATTGTTTCCTGGCTAGACTGTGCTAATTATCAAAAAAATGTCCTAGAGTTGTCATTTTTCTCTCTGTAACTTCTACCACTCTTCCTAGTTCTATCCTTTGGATACGCAAAAATAAGTATATTCTGTTTTTCACCATACAATATAACAAATGAAGCCTATGATGACCTAGCTTCCAGATGTTTTCATTTTCCTTTGAAATCTACCCAGTATGATCCTCTATGGCCAGGAAGCCCAATCAGCACCGTTCTTCAGATGTGATGAGATCTGTTTTGTGCAAAGTAACACCAGACTGTTATCTACCTAATTTTAGGTATTGGTTCTCAATTAAGATTCTAACATTAAGCTAGGCCAACCATGGTAGTTCAAACTTGTAATGTCAGCACTTTTGGAGGCTGAGGCGGGCATATCACTGGAGGCCAGGAGTTCGAGACCAGCCTGACCAACATGGCGAAATCCCGTCTCCATGAAAAATACAAAAATTAGCCGGGCACAGTGGCTCACGCTGTAATCCCATCTACTCAGGAGGCTGAGGCACGAGAATTACTTGACCCATGAGGCGAACGGCGTAGTGAGTTGAGATTGTGCCACTGCACTCCCGCCTGGGTGGCAAAGTGAGATTCTGACTCAAAAAAAAAAAAAAAAATTCCAACATTAAGTTATTTAGTGGCCACAATTCCCCACTGACAAATGTCGGTCAATCTCAGGGTGTAGCTTTGAGAATGAAATGGTTTAATGACTTCTAAAGAATTATCTCAGCACCTAACAAATAATAAGCACTCAGTAACTAATAATGAATGTTATTATTACCTACATTTCATAATTTGGAATTTGGTCTATTAATGGTGATCCTTCAACATATTAGTTTGTTCTTGAGCTTTGTCATTCTTAAATTTCAAAAGTATGCTTTAATGGCTTTGTCTGAGGTCAAAATTAAAACATTGAATGTGTCAGGGTTAATAAAACGCCAAGGCCTGCTCTCTGGGAGGAGTCTCACCGCACAGTGTTTCTGTTTTGCCAGCATCGTTGGTTATGTACCCTTCATTTCATTTTTGCATGTCCAATTTCTGCACGTCACGGGCACATGTATTTCATTAGATAATTCAGCCCTGTCCTTCTCATTAGGATTGTTAATGATTATGTCAACATTTCATTTTATAAAGATTCCCATAGTTCCCTGTGAGATACCGATGGTCCTGGAAATACTATCTGGATCTTTACCTGTATCAGTTTTCTAGGGCTGTCATAAAAACTTATTACAAACTTTGTGGCTTAAAACCAAAGCGATGCATTTTCTCACAGTTCCAGAAGCCGGAAACCTGAAACCAAGGCGTCGGCAAGGAAATGCTCCGTGAGAAGGTGGAGCCTTTTCAACTTCTAGTGGCTGTCGCTGTTGTTCTGTGGCTGGTGGCTGCATAAATCCAGCCTCTCTCTCCATCTTCACATAGCCTTCGCTGTGTCTGTATCTTTTCCTCTTCTGTCGTTTAAGACAATTGTCATTGGGTTTAAGGCACGGGATAATCCTGATGATGTCACCTTAAGATCCTTAACTTAATTACATCTTCAAAGAGGCTTTTTTCCAAACAAGGTCCACATCCGCAGGTTCAGGAATTGGAACAAGCCCATTCCTTCCAGCGAAAGCCCTTCATCCTCTGACCCTCCCGCCGGTCCCCTTGCCTGTATATCGGCATACCAAATCATCTCACCTCTTCTAGGCAGAACCACAATTAAATCATCCTTGGGAGAATCTTATCTATTTTATTTTAAAGGAGAAAAAGAGACTCTATAACATTTATTGATAAGACATTCCAATAAATTTCCTCAGTTGTTGTATTATTGCATTATTTAACTTAAATGTTCCAACTTTTTATTCAAATCCTTTCCAGTTGAAAAGTCTTCCGTGGCAGTAGCTCCAAAGGATCTTCTTTTCTTTAACTAAGAGGATATCTAGGTTACAGACCATTATTAAAATGCCTTATAATACTGTTATAAAAGAAAAATGAATACAGAATCCTTCAGAATTTCTTCATTTGTCTTATTCTTCTCACGTAAAGTTGTTATTTTAACCACTTCTGAACTCTTCACAGAATCTCCAGAAACCTTTGCATTACAAGACAATGTAATCTTAGAGTCAAATTTTCTAGGTTTAAATTTTGCCTACTCTGCCTGGTGTAGGACCTTGGGAAAGTCACAAAATCTTGCTCAGTTTTCTCATCTGTAAAATAAGAGTAGAAAATAATTCTGACCTCATACATTTCATGAGGACTGAACAGGGTGATGTCAGTAACATCCTTAGCACAGTATTTGGCACACTGAAGTGCTCAATAACAACTGGCTGTCCTTTTCATTACTATCGAATTCAGAAATAGACAGAATATCACCTGTCCAGGGACAAGTTCAATAGTCTAATTTGATGCTTAGCTAAAGGTTATTGCATTTTATGCTATTAGAAATGTCTCCTATGACAGGCTTCTTCCTTTCTTCCTACATTCCTTTCTCCTTTTTCTTTTCTTCCCTCCTCCCTTCCTTCCTCTTTTTCTTCCCTCCTTACTGCGGAGCTCTATTGTTGGTTCCTGACCTGCTTATTATCCCAATATGATACCTTCGTTCTAATTGCCTCATTCTTTGATTCTAGAGAACTGGACTATTCCTTTTCATTTCCCCTGACGGGGGATTTTGTCCAGGCATCTGGTGCTTCACAAAATTAACTGTCCTCTCTGACCCTGAAATAAAGTATCTCTATTCTCGTATACAGCTATCCCACGTGTGTGGTAGTGTTGTTGTACAATTTACTGGAAATACTTTGGTCAGAATAGTCAAAACAGTTATACCAACAGATTTTTCTAGGCATGTGAGATTAATTTTTAGGCTTCTTTTCTGAGACCAGGCTGGTTTTAATAATACTTTCTTGCAGCATCTGGAGCCAAGAGAAACTCAATATTTTACTCAGCTTAGCAATTGCCAATCATTTTTATGTATCAAAAACATAATTGTATGTTTTATAGAATTGGGGAAGCTTCCAGTTATGAACAAATTTGTGAACTAATATGAGCCATGTCCTCCAACCTTGGAACCCAATTGAAGAGATGTCACAGAAGCAAGAGGGAAGCTAATGCAACATCTGTCTTGACACAAAACAGCAGGAACCTCTGTGAGACACATAAACTAGTGGTTGTGTCCCTGCAAGAAAGAAGAACAGCATCCTGTAAAAAGAGAGGACCAGGACGAGGTGCCACAAATATGGGGCTCAGCTTGGGGAAGACATTCTAGTGGCACATTAGTCTCCTTCACATTGTTCTGTTCCTAACATGTTATAAAGGATAGGCAGGATAGCAGCAGTGCCCACAGTGCCATGCACAGGGCTGGGTGATGTCTCTCCAGCACCAGAATCAGCTGTGCTAGAGACAGATATAATGTCTGGAAACAAGCTGGTCAATGCCTCGGTAATTTCTAACCAACTCCCACCTTCTGGGCCAGACAACTGCAGGTGACAATATCATCTCTTGGAAAAGAATGGTGACTGGAACAGAGGAAACCACAGGTTTCCCGTAGAGCGTAACATTACCTGAGATGGGGTGCAATGGCAAAAGCTAAAGCTTCAATTTCAAGGCCAAGGCTTTCTGTCCTGAGACAGGCCTCCAACCCTTGCTCCTAAACTCATGAAAATGGGAACAAACTGGGGTTTTTACTTACTCCTCCTCCAGGCCTACAGACATGAAAGACAGACAACAAATTGAAGAGCCTCTTCAAAAAGAAGAATTTATAGTCCTGCAAAACAAGAAATTTAAGAAAGAATAATAAGTATTCTCAGATATGTAGGAGAAGATGATAAAAACATAGGAAAATGATTTAAGAAAAAACCAATGGAAGATATTGGGTTTGAAAGTGTAACTGCTAAAATAGAATCTAACATATGGGTTGCAGAGCGGACTACAACTGAGCCTTGAACAGCACAGGTTGGAGCTGCAAGGGTCCATTACACATGGATTTTTTTCAATACACGTTACACTGAGTGTGCCTGCCTCTTCTGTCTCCCCTTCCAACTCCTCCACCTCTTCTATCTCTGCCATTCCTGAGACAACAAGACCAACCCTTTCCTTTCCTCCTCCTTCTCAGCCTACTCAACATGAAGACAATGAGGATGAAGACATTTATAACAATTCGCTTCCCCTTAATGAATACTAAATATTGTTGTTCTCCCTTAAGATTTTTTTTTTTTTGAGACAGAGTCTCGCTCTGTCACCCAGGTTTGCTCACTGCAACCTCCGCCTCCCGGGTTCAAGTGATTCTCCTGCCTCAGCCTCCTGAGTAGTTGGGATTACAGGAGCCCGCCACCATGCCTGGCTAATTTTTGTAGTTTTAGTAGAGACGGGGTTTCACCACATTGGCCAGGCTAGTCTTAAACTCTTGACATCAGGTGATCCACTCACCTTGGCCTCCCAAGGTGCTGGGATTACAGGCGTGAGCCACCATATCCAGCCAACCTTATTATTTTCTTAATAACGTTTTCTTCTCTATAGCTTGCTTTATTGTAAGAATATAGTATGTAATACAAACAACATACAAAATATATGTTAATCAAATGTTTGTATTATCAATAAGGCTTCCAGTGAGCTGTAGACTATTAGTTAAGTTTTGGGGGAGTCAAAAGTTAAATGTGTATTTTTGACTGTACAAGGCATCAACCCCTACATTGTTCAAGGTTCAACTGTATACACAGATTACAAACAAATCAGTAAACTGGAATATTTGAGCAAAGATCTCTTCTAACGGGCACAGGAAATGTAAGAGATGAAAAAATAAGATGGAAAAGATATGAGTACAAGTATTTCACCCTTCTAAAACTAGTTCAAGAAGAAGAGGAAAAAGTAAAATGAAATTTAAAAAATAATGGAAGACAAAATAGTCCAGAATTTCTCATAATGAAAGAAAAGATGCAAGACTTCAGAATAAAATAGAATATTGAAAAAGAAACATAAACTTAGTGAAAATTTGGAAAGTATTTGCATATACTTGCAAGACACGGTTATTACAAGATCTAAATGACAGATGAGTGTTAATAAGAGTAATCTACAGACAAATAAAGATAGAAATTGTAACTCTCAAAACAAAAACCAAAAATTAATCTAGGAGATAGGGAAGGTAGGGAAGAAAAAAAAATCCTGATTGATATAAAACAGAAAACAAAATGGTAGAACAAAAACTGAAAAAAATGCCATTTTCAGTAAAAATATGATCTCATTGATCAAGACAGACTCTCAGCTTGGGTTTTCTTAATCCCTTTCAGGCCATAAGTGACTTATGAGAGACATGTTTTAAATGACCATTTTCTCATTTAAAATATTTTTTCTTTTGATACATGCTAATAATTGCCAACTGCTAAAGAACACATAAAGTAAAAAAAAGAAAAAAGATAAAAAATATGCCAGGTAAATATAAACAAAGCTGTCTTTAAAAATATATTGAAATTTTAATATTAAAACCAGGCATTTCATGTTAAAACACATTAAACAAATTTCTAAAGGACAATTATATGCTGGTAGAAAAGCACTCTTAAACCAAGTGGGTATACCTTATATACATACATATACACATACCAATTTTAAATCAAAATATATAAAAATAATTAGAAAATTTATGAAGATAAAATTTAAATTGGCCTATTTTTTTTTTGAGATGGAGTCTCACTCTGTCGCCCAGGCTGGAGTGCAATGGCACGATCTCGGCTTACTGCAAGCTCCATCTCCTGGGTTCACGCCATTCTCCTGCCTCAGCCTCCCGAGTAGCTGGGACTACAGCCATCCATCACCACGCCCAGCTAATCTTTTTGTATTTTTAGTAGAGATGGGGTTTCACCGTGTTAGCCAAGATGGTCTCTATCTCCTGACCTCGTGATTTGCCTGCCTGGGCCTCCCAAAGTGCTGGGATTACAGGCGTGAGCCACTGCACCTGGCCCAAAATTGGCATATTTTAAGTATTCTTTAAAAAATTCTAAATTAAAATATAAAAATACACATAAACATACCAACTATTCTTTAAAAAATTCTAAATTGCAATATAAAAATACACATATACACATATATACATACCAATTTTAAGTCAAAATATATAAAAATAATTAGAAAATTTATGAAGAGAAATTTTTAAAATTGGCATATTTTAAGTATTCTTTAAAAAATTCAAAATTGAAATATAAAAATAGGCAAAGCCGTGAAAGATCTGAGCAATACAATAAATAAGCTTGAATTAGTATTCATATATATAGATTTACATTTAACAAAGGTATGATATCCTTTCTTTTAAGCCATAAAAAGCAAATTTATACTGGGTCACAAAGGAAGACTCTATAAATTCCCAAGAATCAACTTCATATAAACTATGATGCAAACCATAATGCTACAAAATTAGAAATTGATAACAAAAAGATAGCTAAAATAGTCCCATATGTTTGCAAACTAAAAAAAAAAGGACTACGAAATTACTCGTGGGTTAAAAAGGCATTTGCAAGGTAAATTGTAAGAAACACAGGCAGGGTTGAATGACTGTGAGACCACCATGTATTAAAATTTATGTGAAAAACCTAAAGCAATATTTGGAGAAAAATTTAGAGCTTTCAATATATGTGTATATGCCTATGGGTAAGTGTGTGTGTGTGTGTGTGTGTGTGTGTGTGTGTGTGTGTGTATGTGTAGACATATTAGAAGCAAAAAATATTGAAAACAAATGACCTAAGATTCAACTCAAAAGTTAGACGATAAGCAACAGAATAAACAAATAGAAAAAAGGAAAACAACAAAGAAAAAGACAAAGGGAATGAAATGGAATAAACAGAGATGAGAACTGGATCAGCCCGGCAGGCTCCCTGAGACACCAAGAAACTCTAAGTCTGCTTGCTTTCTTAATGGGGAGGTTTGTGGTCTGGGGCAAGTTCTCAGCCCTAGTCACCAGCTGCCTGGAAATAGACTAGATGCTGATGTGGGCGCGTGGTGGGAGTGAGACCATCCTTTAGGACTGCGGGCTGCGTGGGAGCAGGGTAAGGACTGTGACTGCCGGTTTTCCCCCACTTCCCTGGTGACCGGTATGACTCAACAGAAATAGTCATAATCCCCCAGGGAATATAACTCCATTGGACTGGGAACCGCACCAACATCCCCTACAGCAGCCGTAGCAAGCCGCACCCATGGAGAGGCTGAGCTCAGACATACTTATCCCTGGCCCTTCCTGGTGTCTTTCTCTACCTGCCCTGGTAGCTGAAGACAAAGGTCATAATCTCTTGGAAGCTCTATGGCCCTGCTCACTGCCTGAGGAACCTGAATACTTTACCAGGTGTCCCTAGGGCAAGTTTGCATCCTCCTTATAGGATCGTAGCTGATGTACTCTTGAAAGCACCACCTCCTGACTGGGGGTTAACCAACACAAAACCAATGCACTGAACAAAAACACAGCCAAGGATCCTCATAGAGTTTACTTCACTCCCCTGCTACCTCCACCAAAGCAGGTGCTGGTATCTATGGCTGCAAGACCTGAAGAGAAATCACATCTCAGGACTCTTTGCAGACACTCCCCACTACCAGCCCAGAGCCTGGTAGCTCTGTGGGGTGGCTAGACCTAGAAGAGAAAAAACAATCACTACAGTTCGGTTCTCAGGAAGCCCTATTCTTAGGGGAACGTGGAGAACACCATATCAAGGGAGCACCCTGTGGGACAAAAGGATCTGAACAACAGCCCTTGAATCCTAAATCTTCCCTCTAACATAGTTTACCCAAATGAGAAGGGACCAGAAAAATGATTCTGGTAATATGACAAAACAAGGTTCTTTAACACCCCCAAAACATCATACCAGTTCACCAGCAATGGACCCAAACCAAGATAAAATCTCTGAATTGCCAGAAAAACAATTCAGAAGGTGGATTATTAAGCTAATTAAGAAGCCATCAAAAAAAGGTGAAGTCCAACTTAAAGAAATAAAAAGCATGACAGGATATGAAAAGAAAATTCTTCAGTGAAATGGCATAAATAAAAAATAATAACAACTTCTGGAAATCAAGGACAGACTTAGAGAAATGCAAAATGCACTGGAAATTCTCACCAATAGAATCAACCAAGCAGAAGAAAGAACTTTAGAGTTTGAAGATAAGGCTTTTGAATTAACCCAATCTGTCAAAGACAAAGAAAAAAAATTTTTAAAAATGAACAAAGGCTCCAAGAAATTTGGAACTGTGGTGTCTATATATATATATATATATATATATATACACCATAGAATACATATATATATACACACACCATATATATATACACACATATATATACACATATATATATACACACCATATATATATACACACACCATAGAATATACACACATATATATATATATATATACACACACACACACATACACACACACTATAGAATACTGGCATATATATATATACCATAAAATACTAGTCAGTCATAAAAAGAAATGAAATAATGACATTCACAGCAATCTGGATGGAACTGGAGACTATTATTCTAAGTGAAGTAACTCAGCAATGAAAAACCAAACATCATATGCTCTCACTCATATGTGGGAGCTAAGCTATGAGGATGCAAAGGTATAAGCGTCATACATTGGACTTTGGGGACTTGGGGTAATGGGTGAAAGGTGGCGAGGGATAAAAGACTACACATTAAGTATAGTGCACTTCTTAGGTGATGGGTGCACCAAAATCTCAGAAATCATCAATAAAGAACTTATTCATGTAACCAAACACCGCCTGTTCCCCAAAAACCTATTGAAATAAAAAATTAAAAATGAAAAACAAATATTAAAATAATACTATGTACGGCTATACACAAATGAATAGGGTAAATCAGATGAAATTGTTAAATATTAGTAACATAAATTGACAAAACTATCAAAATAGAACATTTTGTAAACAATAATCATTATGGAATCAAAAAGTAATTAATATTTCCCCTAAAAAAACCACAGAGATAATTTAACACATGACCTGTAACAAACTTCAAAGAAGCACATTATCCCTACTTTAAACATGGCTCATTCCAGAAAATGATTTTGAAAACCAGAAAACCTGTACAAGGTTTTATATATCTTTAATTCATTACCAGATAATACTAGTACAAAACAAGAAATTATATAGCTCCAAATTAAAATATGATTATTATATATTATAAATTATATTTGAAATTACATGAACCCTTAAACAAAATGCTATCTAGTTTAATTCAGCTGTGTGTTAAAAATATAATACATCGTGATCAAGTAGGATTTACCCTAGGGTTATAAAATAATTTAGCGCAAGGAAATATATCAAGGTAAATCATCACAGATCTAAAAGAAAGATCACTGATCTTTTCAATAGTTGCAGAAAATGCCTTTGAAGTAAAAGCTCTTGTGAAACTAGAAAAGACAAGCCTGTCTTTAGTTTGTAAAGGCTATGTGTTAAAACACTCACCATATCATACTCGAATAAACATTAGAAGTATTCCTTTTTAGTTCTGGGAAGAGTAATATGCCTCCCATCACTGCTATTTTCAGTGAAGTACAGGAAATTGTAGATAATGTAATAAGACAAGAGAAAGAATTAAGGAGTACATGCATTAACTAAAACAGTCATTATTTGCAAATAATCATTCCATGAGAACCAGAAGAAAAACTATAGCGTTAACAAGAGTTTTGAAATTTCCAAAGTTTGTGATCAAAATAAATTCCAGTTCCTCCTTCTGTGTCTCAATTATTCCTCCTTTTCTTCCAGACTTTCTAGTGTTAGAGCATTCCAGGGCTTACTTCTTATTCCTTTCCTCTATGAACAGTGGAAATTTCAAACTTTCTCGTGGCTTGAAATACTGCCTGTGTATACCCAAGTTTGTATCTCTATCCCATACCTGTCTCCCATCTCCTCCAACTCTGGAGACTATGTTTCCACTTGAAGTCTACTTGACATCCCAAACTTAAGACATTCAAAACTTAACTCATTTTCTTCCCTAAACCTACTTCACCAGCATCATCCTCATTTCAGTAAAAAGCAGTCACGTTCTTGAAATTGCTCAAATAAAAATCCTTGAAGCTATCATTGTCTTCCATTTCTACATCCTACATCCAATCCATCTATACATCCTAGTGTCTCCTTCATTAGAAATTATTCAGAATATGATACCTTGAACCATTTCTATCACTACGGCCCTTTCTCAGGCAATAACACCAGTCCTTGGAATTAATGAAATAGCCTCCAAACATCTACTCTTACCTCTTCATAATCTATTGTCAGCATTATACCAGAGTTCTCCTTATAAACTATAGGTCAGATCATGCCACTCCTGTGCTCAAAGGTCCTCAATGTCTTCCCTTTCATTCATAGTAGAAGCTACAATCCTTACAAGGGTCTACAGGCCCTACATGATCTGCTCCCCCAAACCCTCAGCTCTTCAAAATTTTCTCCAATTGCTCTTTTCTCTTACTTAACTCCTTTCCAGCCCCACTGGCCTTTGTGCTGTTCTTTGGGTTTTGTGCTGCTTTGACTTATTTTTGCTGTTTTGTTTGCTTTTTTGTTGTTCTTGCTGAAGCTGTTCCTTCTCTCTAGAAATCTCTTTTACTTCCAGACACCTGTTTGTCTAGCTCTCCTTCCTCTTTCAAGTCTTTGTTCAAATCTCACTGCTTCAGTGAGGTTTATCTTGACCACCCTATTTAATCCTGCAAACTCTCCCCTCACAATACTCCTGATTCTCCTGACCACATTCTAGTTTGTCTCTTGTCCATAGAAATTATCACTATATACAAAATAAAATTCCTATGAAAACTCAAGTAGAATTTTTAGAAGAAATTTAGGAAACTAATTCTAAATATATATTTAAAATATAGTTACATAAAATATACTTGTATATATAAGTATATAGTATTTATAAGTATATAAACAAGTATATATAGTATTTACATATAAATATTATATATTATGTAAGTATAAAAATATACATTGTATATATAGCACTGAATAAAATTACTTAAAAACCTAAGAAATTTTAGAATATAAAAACAAAGCCAAGTAAATGAACAAATGCCTAATTTTATTTAACTATAAATAGTGATGTTACAATTTTCCACTCAACAGTATGGTGAAAACTCAATATTCACTCACACGCATGGCAAAGCTAAGAAAATGCAGTGTAAGATCGGTAAACTGGTGCAGCCATCCTAGAAGTAATTTGCCAATGTTAGCTAATTAACTTGTTTATATCCTTTATCAGCCCTCCTTCCTTGGATTTACCCAACATTTTGTTGGGTAAATTTCATCCAGGTCTATGAAGAGACTTGATAAAAGAAGTTCACCAGGGTGTTATTTAAGGTACCAAGAGATGAAGTCAGCCTAAACTTGTAATAACTAGTGGGAATATGGTAGACTGATTGCTCTTCACCAATATCGGATTTCTCTCCCTACGACAGAAGCAAGGATTCACAGGCAGTCTGGAGAACCCACCTAAGAACTAGAGAGAAACAAATGGAACCTCTGTAGTTAATTCCAGAGCTGGGTCATATCACCAGATCAGCTTTGTTCCAAAGCTGCCATTGGCCCCACCACACTGGGCATTTAACCAAACACCACTGGATTCTTGTGTTTTGCTGCTGCCACTAGGCTTGCGAGAGCTCTGCTGGTGCCCTCTATACTTTCTCCAAATCTCCGGGTCATTTTTCATATCTCCAAAAGTGAATGATAGTAGCTCCACATCCTCTTTGACTGCCTGGAGAGAGGGATAGGGGAAGGGGTGTCTTCCTATTTTGCTTTCTGCACGCTGAAAGATGGAAACTGCTTTCACCAAATCTCACAATCTGTGAGGAAAGGGAGAGTTTCTTACACAAGGAGAAGGGACAGGTGCAGGACAGACTGCACATGACAAATGTCTAGTTACTCTGCCTTTATGACAGTTCATTATCCCATATCTGATTTATCCCGTAGTTATGCTTCACAAAAATGGTTCCTGCCTGTAATACAATAATGTATTGCACTAAGACACAAACCACATTTACATCCTCTCACAGAGAGACAACTCCAAAATTGTGAGTTACTGCACCTGACTCAGATTCCACACAACTGAGTAATGTCAATTCCTCCTCAAATTCTGTTGCGTTCTCCTTTTGGTAATCTGCATTTTAGATTAATTGTATCATTTTTGTAATACTGAGGGAATTTAGAAGAAGTAAAAAGAAAAATAATTAAAATATGTAAATAAATATATATCTTAGCATGAAAAATAGGACCAGGATCTTATTTGTACAATTGACCATGAATTCTTTTATGTAAATAAGACCAGAATCATTTGCACAGTTGACCATGAACCCATTTATAACATCTCCTCACTCCCAATTCAAAATTCCCTTTGCCTATACCCAAAGCCTTAAGTTTTTGGAGGTACTTTAACTTATAGTATCACCTAAATATTCTCTCATAATGGATCTAAGCTCTTGTTTGTCCTGTCTTTATAGAATTGCATTAGACTTCCATTAACTTTTATGAATGATTTTGGTAACATGATGAGGAGTGTCCTTCCTTCCCCATATAATACAGAAAGGCCCATAAATACTGGGATTCTTTTTTTAGTGGTAAGAATAAACACACAAAAAAATCCTATTAGCCTGGAGGAGGTTAGCTTACATGCTAAATCTGACTGGATTTAGCATTGCGTTTTATACTGTTGTATTTTACTATTTTTATCTTCCACTTGGTGGTATGTATGGCTCTTACCGAGGCATCTGGGATATCTATCACTTCCTGCTCTTTAGGGCATATCTATAGAATGCTATAAGTGCAGTGGAAGTCATGCTAAACCTTGAGATAATGAGATTATCAAGGTTCCTAAAGACTAAACAAAACTCAGAGCTAGAGGATTGGCACAGCCCTGAGATTAGATGGTGAAATTCTACATACACCCTTGCATATGCAAAGATAACTGTTTCTGGTGCTCTTTGCTTGGTGGAATAGAGGAAAAAAAATCCATGAGTTTCTAAGAGCTATGTTATTTTGCTCCTGTATTAAATTAATGCCTGTTATAATAACTGCAATTGAATGCAACATATTTTTAATTACCTTCCTGCAAGATATGGTATTGATTTATAATTACAATTTTGGTTGAGAGAGCAGTCTTTATTCTAGAGATCAAATTATGTGTGTTTATGTGTATGTGTGTGTGTGTGTGTGTGTGTGTGTGTGTATAGACACATAGATAGTTACATAGATAGTAAGATAGACAGACAGATAGATAGATAGATAGATACATGGATAGAGAGAGAGATGATAGATAGATGATAGGTAGGTAGATAGATAAATATGAATAACTAGATAGTTATAGATATTAAGATACATATTATATATATATCTAAATCTTCATCTATATCTATATTTAGATATTTGTAGATAAGAACCTCTATTCTAAAATTTTACTGAGGTTCAGTAGTACAACTTGGACCAAAATCCGTCAGTCATTTGATCTTTGGAAACTCTCCCTCTGACCAATGGACTGAACAGTCTTTCTAGGTCCCCATATATTGTCTAAGTTCAAAGTCAATGTCCACTGAAACATTTGGGTAGATCTAATTTTCCAGGGCACAGATTGATGGGTAAAGAGATTAGTATTTCTTTGGAAAAGTCTAGGAGGAACACTGTTTATATGTAGTTATGATTTTTGTTACTGGGTCGCTCCTACAAGACAGGGCTTTCAGCCTGTTTGACATCATGGCATGCATAGAAAATAATATGTCTATGGTATACCAGAGTAAATGGAGAAGTCAGCAAAACTGGTTGTACTTGGCCTGGAATCTCTAGCTGCCCACATGCCATCCATTTATTTCAGGCTGAGGAAAACAGTTATCTCAGCAAGCTGTAACCCCTGCAGTCACACCAGTGTGTTGTGACCACCAATTAGGAGATTCTGCTCTGAAGTACCTGATCTACTCTTTATTCAGCTCTGGGTCTGTGAACCAGCTTAGATATGGAAATCAAATGTGCAAGTCATTCATGGTGACTTATGCTGGGCTTCTGCTCACTAGAAGGAGGGTGTTTTTAGGTTAAAAAATATTTTATTCACTTAATAGACTGCCCAATCTTTTCAAACACAGGGATCCCATGTAAATTAGCCACAATAAAAAATGTCGTCAGGCCAGACCCTTCTGATGAACACCCTGCCTTGCTGTTTATTTAGGGCAGCCACACCTGCTTTGCTCTTGATTTAGTTTCGACTACGTTGCTAGGATACCCTAAGATCACCCTGTGTCAGTCTGCTAGGACTGCTATAACAAAATACCACGTGCTGGGTGGTTTAAATAATAAACATTTGTTTCTCACAGTTCTGAAGGCTGGAAAGTCCAAGATCAAAATGCAGGCTAATTGGGTTTCTGGTGAGGGCTCTCTTCCTGGCTTGCAGATTGCCACCTTCTTGTTGTGTCCACACATGGTAGAGATAGAAAGAGAGAGAAAGCTCTCTGGTCTCTTCTTATAAAAACACTAATCTCACCATGAAGACCCTACCCTTAGGACCTCCTTTAAGCCTAATTACCTCGTAAAGACCCCTTTCCAAAAACCATCATGTTGGGGGTTAGAGCTTCAACAGATGAATTTTGGGAGGACATAATTCAATACATAACACTTCCCATGGTAGTTTTATTTAGGGAACTCATTCCCACTGTGAGGTCTCCTAACAGTCTCAATGCCTTTGAGGAACTTTCCAAGATACTGACCCTCCCCTTACCAGCATATTTCTCAAGGCCTGGATGAAGGGAAAATCTGTGCCCTCTTGAGAGAATATATTTAGGGAATAGGCAGGGAGTTCATACACACTAAATTCACTTTCAAGTTCATATCTCCCAAAGTATTTGGATTGTTTCCTTACTTTAACAGGGTAATTCTGCTATCTCAACTTTGTTTACGGTGGCCTGACATTGATTCCAGACTTCTGTCAGCTGTTTGAGTAAACAATTGAAACAAGACCCAGTTGCTCAAACCAGCACTCAAAATTCAGAATCTCTGATGAGTTCACACACATTGATAAATTGAGCCCGATTCTCTTTCCTTGGATAAATATCCTAAGAATCCATATCCTAAAGGATACACATTTTTGTTGATGTAAGTGAACAAAGACCTGTAAAGTAATTTTGTATATTAAGTACATAAAGCTTAACTTGCTGAGACATGTTGAGCTCTGGCTTTAGTCATAAGTCTGGAAATGATGAGGTACATATGGAGAACTAGTTTAATATTACAAGGTAATTGAAATAGGTATGGCATATACCAGGGAGGGAGAAATAGATTTCTAAAAAGAGAAATAGGTGCTCCAGTTAGCAATGCAAATTCAGCTGAGATTGAGGGGTTGGGAAATTCTGATTACTCCAAATCTTACCATAAGTCCCCCAAACTATCATTTGTATCCTACTACTTCCCTCCTGCCACCCCCACCCCAAATGCTCTGACATTCACTGTAAGAGATCCAGCATGGCTGTGAATCCAACTGACACTGTAATTTGGTAGCCAACAAAATCAAAGTATGTGTCTTGATTTTGGCTATATCAGTCTTTTGGTAGGATTTGTAAAGTCTATAAGCTTGGTCTTAGAAGTTCCCTGGGACTGGACCTTTTCCTTGAGTTGAGAATTTAGGGATTTGAGCTATCCATTTTATTATTGTTGTCATTAAAATTATTTGAGACAGGGTCTTACTCTGTCACCAGGCTGGAGTACAGTGGTGTGATTATGACTCACTGCAGCCTCAACTCCCTGAGCTCAAGTGATCCTCCCACTTCAGCCCTAAGTATCTGAGACTAAAGAAGCATGCCACCATGCCTGGCTAATTTTTAAAATTTTTGTAGATATGGGGTCTCACTATGCTTTCCAGGCTAATCCTGAACTCCAAGTGGCCTCCCATCTTGGGCTCCCAAAGTGCTAGGATTACAGGTGTGAACCTCCATGCCCAGCCTCTATTCTTTTTCTTTATGTTATCCTGTACCATTGGAAATAGTCACTTTACATCAAGTGTTGGAATTCCTCATGTCCTTCATATTCTTCTATGACAGTAACAGTAGCTTCTCTCAAAAAGTTGCTTGAAGTGAGCACCTCACTCCAGATGATAATGTAAGTGGTGGTTTCACCTCAGTGTGTTCTGTGCAGCAACATTTTCTTCCATAGCTAACAATATTTTTGTGGTTCTTTAGCCTCACCTAAGCTCCCTCAAGCCCCAAAATCTCAAGCCCCCCTGCCACCTTCATTGTCACCCTGAGGGATATTGCCTCTCCCTGCACTAGTTTCTATATTCAGAGCATTTGAGGTGTCAGAGCATTTGGGGTGGGGGTGGCAGGAGGGAGATAGTAGGATACAAATGACATATTCAACCCCACTCCCTGTACTAATTTCTATATTAGGCAGAATTCTTGTTACAAACTAAATAAAATAACTCTAGCTAATTTAAGCAAAAGTTAATTACTGGCATAATATCAGATCACTATGAAAAACTGGAAAATCAACCTTAAGTAATTGGCATGAACCAAGAGAGGACACAAAACCAAGATTACACCTCAGGAACAGTTTGATTGGAATGATAACCTTGTACACTCAAGGGCAGATCTCTGATTTTGTTGTTGTTGTTCAGTTCATGTCTTTATCCCTTTGTTTTAGTCACCAAGGAAAAGGGGAAAAGTTGTTCTCCCTGCTTTGTCTGAATGGGGGATTTATGGACCCTGACTCCAAGCAAGATTCACACAAGTCTCTAAATATATAACAGGGGATTGAATGACAAAGACTATACCTGTATTTCTTCATTTAGTTTTGTACTGTACCAAAGTGTCACTGGAGTAAAGCTTATTTTCATGTAAGTATTCTCAGCTTCTCTACCCCCTTTCTGGGATATTTTTCTTTTCATCTTCTAGTTTCTTAGAGACTTGCTGAAGTCTCTTAGGTTAATAGCTGAAGGGAAGAATTTAAAGATGCCAAGAAGTAAATTGATTTGGTAAAGAAATAACTAAAGAACTGATAAGAGACTTAATAGGCTGCTTTTTTTTTCCCTTTGGGAAATGTGAGAGAGAGAGAGATTTGATATTTTGGAAGAGAAAAAAAAAAGGCAACTAGCATGATAAAGAATCTTTAGCCTGCCTAGGATATATTTCCCCCTTTTCAAGAGACTGTATAAGTCAGTTATTTATTATGTTTTCTGTTTGTGCTGAGAATTGCAGTTATGTGTATTTTTATGAGATAACAATAGACCGAGTTTTATTAAGATTAAAATTTAAATACTCTTGGCTTGGTGGCTCATGTCCAGCATTTTGGGAGGCCAAGGCGTGTGGATCGCTTGAGGCCAGGAATTCGAGATCAGCCTGGCCAACACGGTGAAGCCCCATCTTTAAAAAAAAAAAAAGATACAAAAAATTAGCCGGGCTTGGTGGCATGTGCCTGGACTGTAATCCCAGCTAGTTGGAAGGCTGAGTCATGAGAATTGCCTGAACCCAGGAGGCAGAGGTTGCAGTGAGCTGAGATTGTGCCACTGCACTCCAGCCTGGGCAACAGAGCAAATATAAAAAGTAAAAATAAATGAATAAATAAATAAATATCAAAATAGAAAGTAAAAATTTTTTATCAAACATAAAAAGTAAAACTAAATGAATGAATAACTAAATACTGTTAGTTCTATTTAATTCTTTTGGAGTTGATTTCTACGTCTGAAATTTTATTTTATTTTTACAGGTGTCATATCTTCTTGTATTCTATTGACATTTCCATAGCCTTTTCTGATTGATGTTATTTGTTTGTTCCAGAAGGATGCTATTCCTCTGGACTTTCAGGTTGCTGTTCAATTTCTATGGCAATATAATACTTTTTATTGACCTGTTGTTTTGTTTCACTTTGTTCAGTCTCAAACCAAAGTAAATATATCCACACTACAAACAAAGGTGAAACTTATACTACAATTGCTGTCTCGATTGGTGACAGTATGAACTAATAGAAGTCTTGAAAAAGCACAATCCTCCACTTTACTGCTACTATCAACCCCACCCAGAGAGTTTTCCTTATACAGACTATTATGTGCATGCAGTAAACTACAATCAATTATCATTTTATTTGACCTAATTTTGACAGTCGCATTTGCCAAATAATTTTTAAAAGAGAGCTGCATAGGAATGGGAAGGGGGCATTATCTGATAAGGAGCAAATATTGAAATTTTCTAATTACCTCAGTGTGCAGGCAGTGGTGGATAAATGAAAATTACACTAAACATTTTTAAAGCCAGGAAGTTCACTGTATTTCAAATTATAAAGCACTACAGCCCTCCAATCATACAGGTCAATCCACCACTATTGAATTTATAGTTAATTGAAAAACCTTCAAGATTCTTACACTAGTTTGATTGCGATTTTTAGTTTTTGATACTATGAATTCTTTGTCTTCATAAGTAATTTAATCTATCTTCTTCATAAGTAATTTTCTTCAGAAGAGACTGCATTGGCTTCACTGATGAAATGGCTTCACTGATGATCTATTTACATGTTTCCCTTCCCCTAAATATAAAGTGAACTCATTGAGGATCAGGATTGTATCCTATTTTTTGTTGCAGTTTCAGCTATAATAATATACAGCATATAGAGCATGTTCAATAAATATTTTTAGTGTACACTAAACGTGTTCACCAGCAAATTTCTGAACAGAACTTTTCATTCTCCATTTCTCCACGTCACTGTGAATCTTCCCACTACTACCTGATGTTGGTCCTTGCCTCTCCAATGGCACAGCTCTGAAAGGACACCAAGTGCCTTCCTCATTGCCAAATCCAGGATCCACTTCACAGCTCTCATGGACTTGAGGTTGCTGTAATGACTGAATTTGATGACTAGTCTCCACGTTCAAAGAAAAAGAACCTTTGCTTGGTTCTCCTTTTATCTCCCCTTTTCGCTCCAATGGTATCTCTTCTTAGTCACTTAATCTTAGGGTTTCCTAGGATTTCATGCTTAGCCCACTTCTTCTTCTGCACTCCCTTCCTTCTGCTCTGTACTCTTTCCCCAGGTATTTTCTTCCCATGTCTTCAGCTCTTCTCAAGCAGAGGTTGTAATAGATGATAATAATCTTTCAAATCTGTATCTACAGGGTCTGTCTCTCTCCTTAACTCTAGACATGTATTTCTCATTTTTTAAAACTTATATGCTTCCTTAGAACTGCACGCTCAGTATGTCCAAAACCAAATGCATCCCTCTTTCTTTTTCTCCTCACCAATTTTCCAGAACTCCTTTCCTACAGATGTCCTCAAACCAATTAATGACATTTCTGCATTCCCATAGGTTTCTGAACTAGAAATTGAGATTATCTTTATTCCTTCCTCTTTCTCCTTCTACTAGCATCCCCACATTTAATTTACTTCTGAACTTAGTCAAGTGTACAAAGTTTTTCTCAGATAAGCTTCTTATATTTCCTCTCCACTCTTGCTGCTATCATTAAAACCCATCCATGTCTTTTATCTATGTGTATAATCCATCACTCTGTCAATCACATCCACTTTACGTGCCATCAAAACATGATTTTGATCATGTTTCCTCTCCTATAGCATGCAGTCCAAAACTTCTAGCATGACATCAAAAGCTGTTTATAATATCTTGCAATGTATCTGATATGGTTTGGCTTTGTGTCCCTACCCAAGCCTTATCTTGAATTGTAATCCCATAATCTCCACCTTTTGTGTGAGGGATGCGGTGGGAAGTAATTGAATCATGGGGGTGGTTTCCCCCATGCTGTTCTCGTGACAGTAAGTTCTCATGAGATCTGATGGGTTTATAAGCATCTGGCATTTCCCCTGCTGGCACTCAATCTCTCTCCTGGTGCCCTGTGAAGAGGTGCCTTCTGCCATGATTGTAAGTTTCCTGAGCCCTCCCCAGCCATGCGGAGCTGAGTCAATTAAACCTCTTTTCTTTATAAATTACCCAGTCTTGGGGAATTCTTCATAGCAGCATGAGAATGGACTAATACAATATCTTACCAACTTTCCCACTTCCTCTACCCTATTGGTCTCCAGTCTCACCCAGCTCTGATTATTCTGTGTTTTTCAGTGTCCCAGTAGCTTGGCTAATACCATTTTCTCCACCTAAATGGACTTAATTTTGTCCCTTTTTTCCTCTACTCACTTGCATACCCAATCTGAAATTATTCTACAGCCTTGGCCTTGACCTCCCCCATAATTCATGATTTCTCCACATCTTGCTATCTTTTTTTAAAGTTGTTGGCAACGATTTCAACATGAGTCTGTATTTCCAGCATAGCATTGCAACATGCATCGTTCTGTGGCTAGCTCTGAAACACTGTGGGTATGTGAGAAAGTGAAGGAAGCATTCTAAAGATTTCAACACAGTAAATTTTTATAGCAATATTTGCCACAGCTCTACACCTTAATTTATTGACTGGACATTATTTCAGGGAAGAAAACAATTCTTATTAGAAGTTACACAGAGTACTTTCCTTAGAACTTTTAGTCTAACAATTCTTATGCAAAATGAAGAATGAACTCCATTGGGAACCCTGGATTCTAGACTTAAGTTTATCTTGATGTGGACTTCAGCCTTCTTGTCTAAAGAAAGTATGTTAACAATATCTCTTATTTGCCTCCACATGGAATCTTTCTTGGAGGAAATATACATACAAATGAATGGTATAATACATTAAAGCAAATACAATAATTATATTTAATGTTTACACCTGAAAAATAAAATCACAGACACACACTCATAGTATTTCAAGATACTATTCAAAATTCCTAAACTCCACCTAAAATTAATCATAGAATATCTGTGTCATATGAGTACTAAAAATTTTTAAGAGATAATATACACTTTCAATCTGTGATTTCAAAAAGACTTTAAATGAAACTAACCTGGAAAATATGGCTTATTAATTTCATATTAATTTATAAATGGCTGGTCTTGAATCCTTCCAGAGAACATGTTTTAGTATAGAAAAGCAGAGAATGTGGGAGGGGTTGGGGTCATTGATATAGGTGGGGTGACTTGAGGGTAGAGAATATCCTATGAGAAGGAAATTAGGAGAATGCGCTTTGATCCAAAGAACTTCTGCTGTAGACCTTGTCATTATGTATGGCCAGTGGTTTTATCTACAGTGGCATAAACTCCAGGAGATTGAATGGAAAAGTTTCTGGCACATTCCCCACATTGACCACATCACTACCAGATGATAAGTTAAGACTGTCAGTAGGTGTTCCCTTTCTCATTCAGAGACTGTTCACAATTTTACAAATATGCCTAATGTCACTCTGAAACTCACCTGTTGGCTGCATCCACACAACACCAGTATCACCACACTGGATTTTAACTGGGTAAAAGTTAATTTTTGACAAGTGTTCTCCAAGAAAGGGAAAAAAATCCAATCTTTTCATTGTTTTATCATACTGGATAATATTTATCATAAGTTACATCCTAGTTCAATTATGACTCAACTTCTTCAGGCTTCAACAATGCATTGATACTAGTGTTTCTTCAATTCTGCTTAAGCTCAAAGCTCCAGTCTGGAAACTTGTAATCACTGGGTTTCCCAAAGTTTCCTTTTTTTCCCAAAAAAAGGATGCATCTAAATTTAAAATGTAATGCTTCTTTGATAACTTTGACCCACAGGGAATCTCTAGCTTTTATAGTGTTGCCTAGGATTTAATTCAAATCCTAAGACTATTACAGAGTTAAAATAAGGGTCTCATAGGTGAATGTGGGTCATACCACTCCTGCAGTTGTCTTCTTGACACTTATTTTGGAAATACTAAAGCAATTAGCAAATCAGAAGACATTAAATTGTTAAGTTGGCTAAAGTTTCAAACCAGTCAATATTTGCCACAAATCTATTGGTAGAGTCTATGCTCATTGTTTTTTATCTTAGTTGTTTTATATTACATAAGAAGAGTAAAGAAGACACAGACTGAATAAAATCTGAATATGCCACCTGTGAAGATTATCCAATCGATACTTAATTTAAACATTACTAGCAATATTTGCTATCTGGCAAGAGCAAATTCTATGCAGGCGATCTTTCTACTACCCCATGTATTCTAACATGTTGGCTGGAAAGCAACCAATGTCCTTGTTTAGTATTTTATTGGATTTGAATCATTTCTTATTCATCTCATACTTTGATACAATTGGCTTGTAACTGGCATCTCATGTCTTCAAGGACCACTACGGCACTCTGTCTATAAGCTTTGAAATGACGAAGTAATTCGTTTCTTTTTCTTTTGGAAAATTATGTGGTTTGCTTATTTTCTAAACTTTAAAAATAATTCCAAAGAACTCTAATGTAATATCTATCTGTTAAATAATACTGCATTCTAGGCTTGTGAAAATGCAAAGTTAAATTGATATTATAACTTTGAAATAAACACTGCACAAATACGGCTTATTTTGTTTTAGTCTTCATGCTACAACAAAGGATAAAGATTTCTATCAACTAAAAAGAATGTATAATTTTTGTAGAGAAACACATTTACATAAACCATTGAAAATTAGTTCATGGTTTATGTTAAATATCTGTCTATCCATCTTTGGACACAATATCCATATGTTTTTCTTTCACTACATCTTATCTCTAAACTCCCATTCCAGAACCACACAATCTGAACACGGTATTTCCACAATCACCCAAATGGTTCACATTCCTCAACCTGCAGAAGAATAAGGCACTTTCGTGATCACTGAGCAGTCATTGTCTACACACACTTTCTCTTCCCATCAATCATCAGTGGTACTCCCTCTCCTAGTCAACAGAATAACCAAAGGTACGTGGGCTTGAAATGATGGGTGCTTATCAGGTGTAGTCAATGACTCTGTATCAGAAAAACTGGGTCCATTGGAAGCTAGTGAGGCATTAGTGTAACTCATACTTACACAGAAACACGGGTCTCAGGTTCTGGTGAGCTCCACCACTTTAACTAAATGACTCTCTGATCAACCACTTAAATACTCTGGGCCTCAGCATAAAATGAGGAGTTTCGTCTGATCAATGGTTCTTTATCATCATGGGTATTACTCAGAGAGCTATTCAATATATGCACATTAATAAATAAACAAACAGATCAATGGAATAAATGGAGGATGCATAAACAGACCCAAATAGCTGCATGTGTTTATTTGATGAAATAAGTAGCATTGCCTAACAGTGGGGGAAAAGAGGGTATCTGATAAATTATATTTAGGTAATTGGTACCCTCTGAAAAAGTTAAATTGCACCCCCAGCTTACTTCCTATGCCAAAATAAATTCCCAGATGGGCCACAAATGTAAATACATAAAAAAGCAAAACCATAAAATTCTAGAGGAAAACATAAGAGAAGGATTTTATCACATCTCTATGAAGAAACCCTTTCTAAGTCACAAAACTACTATGATTTCATAGGACAGATTGATATATTTAATATATTAATTTTAAAATTCCTGAATAAAATCACAGATAAACTTGAAGACAAAATAAAGAAAAAATTGGGATAAACATTTGCTAAACTTATCATGTAGGGTTAATTTCTTTAACATATGAAGAGATCTGATAAATCAGTAAAAGTTAAGTATCTTATTTTTAAGTGGTTAAATATGAAGATACAGTATATAGAAAATAATATACGAATGATTTTAAAATACAAAATATACTCAATCTCACTGAAATTTTTAGACATCACCTTTGGAAATTAGAATTGAAGCACTATGATCTATTTTTAAAAGAGATTTCATTGATTGACTAGCTTGAAAACCACTGAGCTAGATATTGCCTGAGATCCACTGATCTCTGAAGGTACCTGTGATCACCCTGTCTTTATCAATCTGTGATTCTAGCTATTGTCTCGTGTCACTTTCCCTACCGTTGATAGGGAATAGTGCGGCATTTATAGTGCCATGCTTCCTACAGCCACCCCACACTGCAGCAACCATATACACAGCCCTCTGCATTTCTTTAGCTAAGGGCCTGGGTGTGGCTAGGAGGAAATCATACACATATCGCATTGGGATGTTTTGAGAGTCATGCTTTCCCAATATGGGGCTTCAGTTATATTCTTCAAGACGTTTCTCATTGTTGGTCTTTCCCTCTCACATTCACTAAGCTGTATCATCCTGCAAAATTTCGACTTCCTTAGTCTTCTCACTGAGCTGCTGCTGCTTGTTCATTTTTACCAGATGACCTCATCTCATTAATTCAGAGGGAAAAAAAGTTATTTCTTCGTTTCTTGACCAATCTTCCAGACCACAGTGTGAATGTCCTAGCATTTCTGTGCTCTTTTTCTCTCTAATTTTGGAGTCAGAGGAAGATATGTCTGTTCTGTACAAAGGAAGCAACTTTATCTGTGATTTGGATCCCCGTGCCTCTGACTACTTCAGTGGATTCTGCATTATTTTTCCCTTCTCTGTCTTATATCTTCAATCTCTTCCATTTTCTTCTTGTCTAGTGTTTCTCAACCAGGAACAACGTGCCTCCCTCCCTCAGGAGATGTTTGGCAATGTCTGCAGATATTTTTGATTGTTGCGACTGGGGTGCTACTGAGTCCAGTGGGTAGAGGACATGCATCCTGAAAAACACCTACAATGGAGAAGACACTCCCTGCATCCCATGCTCATTATCATGACGTATTACCTGGTTCCAAATGTCAGCAGTATCAAGGCTGAGAGACCTGTTAGCTTATAAACATGTGCCTGCCTTCCTTCTCTCTTCCCCATACACACCGATTATATTTTAAAAACCCTTTTCTTGACCCTTCATCCCCCTTTAGCTATTCTTACCTTTCCCTTCCTTCTTTTCCCAGCCAAAGCTTCTTGAGAAAAAAGAGCAAAACCCATTGTTCTCACTTGCTTTTATCTCAACTATATAAGGCAATGTGGTTTCAGCCCAGGCTCTGCCACTGAAACCACCCTAAGAAGGGTCACCGAGAATTCGACGTTGCCAAATCCTAAAACAAGACTCAGTCTTATCTCAGAATACTTCTCTGTGGCGTTTGGCTTTTTTCTTTCTTTAACAAATGTCTCCTTAAAATTCTCTCATTCTCTGTCTTCCACACCTTGATTTATTAGATCTTGGAATGATAACTTTTTCATTCTCCTTTTTAGGATCCCATATCTTTATTTTAATACAATGATATTCCTTATTATTCTGTCTCTTGGAGTCTTCTAAGACTATACTATATCCTCTATGTCAAGCTTATGGTATCCACCACCTAAAAGCTGATGATTTGTAAATATATAACATTAAACAAAATAGTTCTATGGAAGTCAAGGTGAATATAATGGATCACCTGTGTTAGGGCCTCATCCTGTATATCTCCAAGGCACTTAAAATTTTATATACAAGAAACAAACATATTTACACTTCAAAATGACATTCATTCTCTTGTATTTCCTATCTCGTCATAAACACCATTATCCAACCAATCTTATAAACCAGAAGCCACACAGCTGGGAGTCATCCATTCCATTCCGTTGCTATAACAAGTATTATTAAATCTGCATCATCTATACAAATGCTTTTTGACTTATGACGGGGTCATGTCCCAATAAATCCAACCTAACTTGAAAATATTCTAAGTTTAAAATGCACTTAATATACCTCAACTACTGAATGTCATATCTCAGCCCAACCCACCTTAGGCATGCTCAGAACACTTCAATTGTCCTATAGTTGAGCAAAAATCATCAACGCAAAGCCTGTTTTATAATAAAGTGTTGAATACCTCACGTACTTTATTGAATACTGTACTGAAAGTCAAATCAGAATGGTTGTACGGTGCATTAGTCCATTCTCACACAGATATAAAGAATACCTGAGACTGGGTAATTTATAAAGAAAAGAGGTTTAATTGGCTCATGGTTCTGCAGGTTGTACAAGGAGTATAGTGGCTTCTGCTTCCACGGAGGCCTCAGAAAACTTACAATCATGGCAGAAGGTGAATGGAAAGAGGCACGTGTTACATAGTCAGAGCAGGAGGAAGAGAGAGAGGTGGGAGGTACTGTACACTTTTAAACAACCAGAGCTCATGAAAACTCACTCACTATACAGTACCAAGGGGGGATGGTGCTAAACCATTCATGAGAACCCTGCCCCCTCTATCCAGTCACCTCCCACCAGGCCCCACCTCCAGCATTGGGGATTATATTTTAACATGAGATTTGGGTGGGGACACAGACGTAAACCATATCACATGGGTACGTGAAGTATGGTTTCTACTGAATGTGTGTGGCTTTTACACCATCATAAAGTCAAAAAATTATAATCAAAGCATCAGAAGTTGAGGACCATCTTATTTCAAATATGACTTCTCCCATCCAAATATGTCACCATAAGTGCCATGACTTAGTTACCCATCATGTCTCACTTGGACTGTTACAATACTTACTAATTGATGTCCCTATCACTAGCCTCTCTACACTGCTTCAAAGGTCAACTTTTAAGACCAGGTTTTATCACAGCTCTCCTCTTTTTAAAATCCTTTCAGAATTCTTTATTGCCTGAGCCAGATTCTGAGTTGTTTTACAAAGCACATAAAGCTTTAATAAAGTGACACTTGCCAAGCTCTTAAGCCTTATATCTTTCTCCTTTGCTCCTTCCACTTTATGTTCCAATAATATGGAACTGCTTAGACTTTCCCACACTCAACAAAATGTTCCCTATCTCCTCAGCTTTGACATTTTTAATCTTAGTGCCAGAATCAACCAGCATGTTCTGTCTAGCAAACTTCTATTCTGCTTTCAAGACTCAGATAGGTGTCTGTCAAGAAAACATTCCTTGGCACTCTTTGAAGATTAGTTGCTCTCTTTCATCCTCATTGCCTTTTTGCTTTGTATTTGTGTTCAAGGTTACATTTGCCCCATTGTATTGCAATTTAAAAATACATATTTACTTCCCCTACTTAATCATGACTTGTTTAGGAAGGATCTCTGTCTTAGTGGTCAATGATATAGCACCAGAGCCTAGAAAAACGCTTGGGACTTGGCACTCAGTGAATGTTTGTTAAAGAAAGGAGAAAAGAAAAGAGGTAAAGAATGAGGCAGCCATAAATTCTTTACTAATTGGCTACAAAAAAAAGGTCTAAAAACCTTTAACTCCAGCATCCAAAGCATTTGTGAAACATCTCTATGTTCTTGATAGTATACTGAGTACCATACAAAGCCAATTAATTTAATTGGTAAAATATGCTCTCAAACAAATATAAAACTACTAACTAATCCTTAATATGACTGAACCTGATGCAATTGTACCATTCCAGTAGCACACATGAGTGAATAACACTAGCTGCGAGGTTTCCTCACTTTAGAGTCTCAGTGAATATTTACTTTCTCAGTTAATTTTAATTCCTTAACAATAAAAACTAAATTTCTCAAAGTGTGTCCCAAGGAACCTGGTCCCTTGAGATTTTCTCACATAAAAGAGTCCTATGGTCCATCATGACTGTACAACATACATGTCATATCTCTCTACTCAAGCTGGAGAATGCTCTATTAAAAGTGGATTAAAAACTGTGAGAAAACATCATAGTAAGGAAGTCCATTTACATTTGCTGTATCTACCAACCCACAAACTCATTTAATCATGGAACCTTTTTCATGCCTTCCCTATAACATCTCATGATGCTAGTGTTCTGTAAAACAAACTTTAGGAAACACTGGTCAGAAGCGTAGTTTTAAAAGCATTAAAACTTTAGGCCTCCCTCACTCTACTGGCTCAGGTCGGGGATGAGGCTGGGAGTGATGCTGCAGGGATGGATATTCAATTGTGGAACCCCAAATCAATTTCATATTTATTCCAAATAGTTTCACCAAAAAATTTTTAAGTGGAAACTGTCCATTACTAAAAAACCTAACATCACTTTTCTGTAAAATTATTAATATATTATAGAACCAAAATTATATTACTATTTTGATATAAGAATTAGGATGCAAATAAAAGTAAAATTATAAAAGATCTTTCTTCAAAACAATTATCTGAAAATAAAACAAATAAAAAGGTGAAAGATCTTATTTCATAATTAGACAGTATGACATGAGCTTTTCCTATTTCATAAAAAATGTGTACTATAGTTACAAAGAATCATAGTGCTAAAAAAAAGATGTTGAGATTACTTAACCCAGTTGCTTAATTTTGCCAGTGAGGACTTTGAGGCCCAGAGATGACAAGTGACTTATCAAATATTACCTGAATACTTAGAGGGGTTGCAGACATAAGGCTCGTGATTTCCATTTCAGTGCTTCTCCATTTCCTGCTAATGGACTTAAGTCTAGGAATAGTGTTCAGGATTGGAATCAAATAAAATGTACATCAATACTAACCTGTTACATATTCAGTTCAATGTGGCTTGTAAAGTGCTCTTATTCATTGTCACAGTTGACAGTCACATCAGAATTGTAAGGTGAATTGGGCCGTCCTTACCTCCTTCATCACCGAGATTTGCAACCTAGTCCTAAGTGAAAAGTTCCCTGCGCCTGGGAGATAATACCTTGTTAAAAATGTAGAAAAACTCAGTTTTGCTTTCCAGAGACAGGTCCAGGAATAGCCCAGCAACAGCTTAGACTGAAGATGAGGTTGATACACTTTAGTGGAAACTAGAGTTCTGAGAAATCTGCAGCTAATCAGAGGTTGTATTTGTCTATGTTTTGCTGTTGGAATTTCAATATCTTAAATGGTTAAAAATACACATTTTCAGGAATCCAAAGTGTTTAACTTGAATCAAATCTAAAGTAAAAGACCAACAGTCTGGTACATGGGGAGCTCTTCTAAAACCACTCTTCCGAAGACAAAAGAAAACAAGGTTGGTATTGAAGTGGAGCCATTTTCTAAATAGCTCTATCAACCAAAACTGAGGCCTCACTAAATACAAACGATTAGAGCGTCACGGAAGATTAGCAAACATTCTACTGCAAACAGCACTCCCAGATCCACAGAAACCAGGTCACTACTATGTAAACATTTTGCACCACTTCGTAAACAGATAAAAATATCAAGTCAGTTTGGTGTAAACAGACCAACAGCAGGAGAAGCCAGCATCCTTCTTAGATGGGACTCTGCCTACAAGCAGAGACACATTATCAACTGATTTAGAATTGCATTTCATGGTTTCCATTTAAGTAATTACGTTTTCTGAAATCTGGCCCATTTGTTGAGAAGACAGTGACAGGGTAACAACAAATTCAGGGTGGCCCACTGCAGGCTCCAGATATTACTCCATAACTTATATCTCTGCTCATACCACTTCTGAAACCAACAACGATTTTATGCCATAATTTAAAATATGAGCTGAACATGGCAGACATGAAAATAACAAAAGACTGTGTGCTTATAGGCTGACTTTGAGGATAAGAGACAGGAAAACTAGGGGAGAGAAACAAGTCCTGCATGTGAGTTAACCCCATACATGGGGGCTGGGACACATAATTTACAAAGTATCTAGCATATTTTGGCAAAGTATTTAATTCTCTCTCATTCTACCGTAATATCCTACCTGGCCCATTCTAGCACCCATTGCTTCTTTCTGCCTTCACAATTATCCGAAGAAAAAGGAAAGTAAATAGTGAAGAGAGAAAGGGTTTAATCTCCTAAACATGTCTGACATTGAAAAGACCAAGCAGACTGGATTTACATTAGCTGTCTTTGAAGATCGTTCTCCTGTACACCTTTACTAAATATTTATTGAGCTCCTTTTGTTGCCTGTCCCTCTACTACACATATGATGGTAAAATAGATAAAATATGGCTCCTGCTCTCAAAGAGCACATTTTATATATTCAAATATATTTTAAACTTGTGGGACATTTAAGAATATATGGCTATTTATAATCCCTTCAGGCAGATAAAATACATACTCAAATTAATACAGCATTCACCTTCACTAACCCATATGTGACTCAGGTGCTAAGCTTTTGATATTTTTTAAGAATTGTGGATCTGACACCTCTTGTGTCCTGCTCCAAGTTCCCTTGGCCTCACATTCAGCTCTGGATGCAGTGACGAGTTCTATGTGGGCTGGCTTTGCACAGGTGTAACCTGGCACTGCCTCATCCCAGGCATTTGCTGTTAACTCTGGTGTCCTTTCCAGTAATTTTTCTGACCGGGTGGCAAGGGAAACCTTCATGAACCATTAGCGTTCATGAAGCACAACACAAAATTATAGAAGAGCTACCACTTTGTGGGACAATCCTTGAAAAGTGAAGGAAAGAAATGGGTAGAAAAGTGCTTTTCTCTTTCTTCCTTCAGATGGACAGTTCCGAGATGCATTCCACAAAGGTTCTCAGAAGGTCATGGTGAAATCTAGCATCTGTCATATGCAGACATAGGTGATCAGTTGCATAGCATACCTTGTTTTGATATTGCCTCCCTAATTTCACTCCCTTGGTCCCTGACTTCTACTCCCTGGGAATATGTTCAATATAAACTCCCTGCCTGCAAGCTTTATCTCAGGTCTGCTCTGGGGGAGACCATAAGACAATGTGAATTGTCCCTCAATGTGTGAGTTTTTTAATGATGTTCAATGCAACTGAATTTTTTTGCATTTCTTTTTGTGATTCTTCCTTTAGATGTAATTTTAGGAGTCTAACAAAGATTTCACCTACATATTAATCAGTATCTTTTTCAAAGCTTCTCCCTTAAATGGCAACTTCATTATGTACAAGGAGCTGTATCTAAGCATTGAGAAAGGAAGAAAGGAAAAAAAGAAAGAAAGAAAGAAAGAAAGAAAGAAAGAAAGAAAGAAAGAAAGAAAGAAAGAAAAGAAAGAGAGAAAGAAATCAGAGCCGATTTTTAAACTGCTTGACAGAATCTGAGAATCCACGGCATTTGTGAAAGACCATTTCTAATGATTAAGTTTTTGCAACCACAAATAATGCCAATATGTTACCTATAATTCTACTTTGTTTATATATATATATTTTTTGTTGTCTCTTTTTCTAATTCCTAACATTCTTCTTTCTGGTCAATTGAGTGGTGGGAAATACAGCAGAGAATGTGCAATGATACAGAAGGAAGGTATTCAAGTCTGAGTCCATCTGAGAGATGACCCAGATATCCACTGTGGAGCAATGGACACAGAAAATAAAATTACAGCCACGTGCTAGAGAGAAAATAAGACTTTATCTTGTACGCGATTAGAAAACTCATTAATGGAACACATACGATATATCCTGCAAATTCAAGTTTTCACTTGCTATTTATGAAACCTTTGCATATCTACTTTATTCTCTTGAAAAGCAAACACATACTCCATCCTGTAAATATGCTACAATGTACTTGGTCATTTTTCCTACTGTTGGATATTTCACCCTCTTTGGATATACATCAAACTGACAGTAGTAATTTCTGGGAAAGGAACTAGGATTGGCTTGGTAATCAAAGGGGATTAACCTACATCCATAAATTTTAATGCCTTACAAGGAGGGTATATTCATGTATTATTTGAAAAACTTGAAAGTAATAATTTTAGAAAATCTCCCATGTCTTAGTTTATATAAAAAGAAAGGCCAACAGGCTACAAAGGCAAATGCCATTTCTACTTTAATACACTCCACAGATCACTTGCTGTGCTTTTGTGACAATTCTCCCTTTCTTGTACCTCCCTTTGCGCCCAACATCTGTATCTCGTTTTTGATGTCAATTATATCCTGATTTTATGTGTGTCAAATGTTAATGGGGAAAACATCATTGCTTCTACCTGGGTGTCTATGTTGCTTATTTACCTGGTGCCTCTAGTTCCATGCCTGCCCCTCTCTGTTCTGCTTAGAGTTTCTGGGGCTGCTAGTCTGCAAGCTACATTTCCACACTCCCTTCCCTGTTGGCTTCTCATTCAGTTCTGTCATTTGAAAGTGCTACCAGGAGATCAGAAAGTGGGAGAAACTGAGGCATTTCTTCCTTGTGGTTCAGATCCCAATGGCCATTGCTGACAGTTGTTGGTTGTTGCTACAAGAGCAGCAGGGAGGGGCTGCCTGAAGGCTCCACAGCCCCTGGAAGCAGTAGCCACTCACTTAGGTGCTGATTGCTCTAGAATTGTCAGAATTTCCAGAGAACGCTGAAGAAGCTGGTTCCAGGGAGCTTGGCTCAGGGGGATAGCGCAAGAGTCTTAATCTCCACCCATCACTCCTTCCTTTTTTGGTCCCTTGATACCCCTTTCTCTTTTTCCTTCAGTTCCTCTAGTCCTTGTAGGTCCTTTGTATCCAATTTCCTTCTACCTAAAATGCTTAGCATGATTTTGTTTTCCTGACTGGTTGTTGACTGATCCACTACTTTTAGCTCTAACAATGTTCAAGGTTGCTTTTTGGTACAGAAGTATTTACCCAAACTACTTAATTTATATTTTACTCCACTTCAAGCCTTGACTTAGACAAAGAGTAATACATTCTCAATTCATTCAACCCCTGCTATAATACCTGAGGTTGATTGAACTTCAGAAAGCAGTCATCCGGGCTTCAAAGCAGAGAATCCGGTTTTATAAATGCACATAGTGAGCATGTCAGTAAAATCTAAAACATCAAGACGTCAAGTGGAGGTTTAAGTCCATCATCCAGAGGTTTCATACCAATGATGCAAAGCAACCAAGCATTCGAAAACACCTAGATGACTGTCTAAAACTTTCCAGGTAGCTTGACATTATGTAGCCAAAGCTTTGAAAGGCACTCAGACAGTTGCAACCATTTTTAACGTTGTGCTTTTAGCATATGAAAGCAAATTGCCTAAAATACAGCATATTCCCATCATGTGGATCTCTGTGGCTATCAGCCCATTACAATCCTTTTAAGGAGGACATTGATGAGTCCTCTGTGGTTTCAGAGATGAGAGGTCAGCAGCAGAGACTGTCAGAATCACATGGCACCAATAGTAGACAAATAAAGAATGTTCAGAATACATGTATTAATATGCCAGTTAATATTTCTGCACAGTTTGTTTTCTCAGCAGTATTTTGCTATCTAGGGACAAAAAAAAAATGTGTTTTGCTTTACAAGCGTGACATGATTGATGCTTTACTAGGAGAGACTTTTCATAACAAAACAGATGTCTCCTGACAAGAAAGTTATTGGTACAAGCAAACTACATCATTGCAATAATGTTATGGTTCAGACTTAAGCAAAAGATAGTAAGAGAGTGTGGGGGAGGATGGTGGGGAGAAAGAGAAAGCAAGCATGAGGCAGTGAGATACAAGGGAGTGAGATATAGTTTGTTAGAAATCTATATCCTTAACCTACCACATGGGCTTGATCTGTGATGAATTGAGACAGGGTAGAGCTCTCAGAAGGCTAACATATGCAAGCTTTAAAAAGCCAATCTCTGCACGTATTCATTTGTCAATATCTTAGCAGTAAGCACTTCTGGTTTTCTAAAAACTCTTAACTTTATGATATCAAAATGTCATTATGTGCAAATTAAAGGTGATAATGTCCTTAATCCATCATGACAGATTCACAGAATCATAAAATATATAGAATATTGGATCATTTGGAATTTTGTTCTAGTATTTAATTTACTTGTAATGTTTTTCATTATTATCAATTCATATAGGACATAAGTCTATAGAATTAAGAGAACAGGTTTTAGATCTAACGGGCCTTCTGAAGAAAGGCAAAGGAGGGTAAAGCTATGTGTCTCCACAGGAAAGGAAAGTTTTATACTTAAAAACCAACCAAACAAAAAACAAACAAAACCTAAGAGTTCAGGATGTAAGCTAAAGTCACAGTTCTAAGTGGAATTTATTTTGTAAACTTGATTTAACAGTTTCATAATTTGCTTTTCTTCAACTTCCCAAACACAATTATTAAGACCCTTAATATCTAGCAATGAATCCTATTCAAGTATGTCACCTATATATGTATATGGTTTCAGTAGAAAAGATGATGATGTCTTCCATCACCTACGAAGCATTTTCCTTGGACTGTAAGCATTTTCAGAATATTTTTCAACAACCTAACACTGTTTGCATCTCTGTCTTTTAGATTCATGCTCTGAAGATGCTCATGAAAAGTCATCTGTCCCTGACACCTTTTTTCCAGGTTGATTGTTACTTGCTACTGTTCTTTCTTAGTTACTTATCCATATTAAGTGTTTTTGAGGCTGCCTTTTAAGGAAACTTGAAAGCACTTTTTTCTTCACATCTGGCTTCTGACTATCTCACTTCTCATTACAGAGCAGAGCTTCAGGATAACCTGCTGTCAATCAGTCTTCTGCAGGTGTCCTGCCAGGCCAAGAAGCACATGACAAGGGTGGCTTCAGTGATACCTAGGTGGTCTTGTATTGCAATGCGATACTGAGTGATAAACATACTTGCCAAACAAACACATACAAGTATTCCCATCAATGGTTTGATTAGGTGTTTTATAATCAAAACTATGCAGTCGTTTCATGGTTTAGACTTGCTCAATATTAATAGACATTCAGTTATCTGGGAAATAGATGCCAGAATCTCAGGCACTCAATAAGGCATTTGGAATCCATGATGTGTCTTTCTACTTTCGGGTTTATTAGAAGATTTTAGCAGAGATCTTGATGGTGAATTTGGATCTAGTTTCTCTTTTTTTTGGACATGAACTATTAATACATAGCAGATTCTGAAAATCTCTCAAGGAGTTTTTATAATTGTCGTAGGATATCGACTCAAGCATTTTTCCTCCTAGAGGAATGTAAATGTGATATACAACAAAATTTAGATAGATTAAAGAATAGATAGTAATGTTTCTTGCAGATGTCCTACTATGGACATGTGACTGGAACTTGCTTGTGTCTGTAAAATAAACAAATAACAAAAAACAATTGCACCTTTAAGACTTGGAAACATAAGCAATGTGCAGAATCAAAATACATAATCAAGCATTGTTCTTGTGATTCATAGGACATCAAGGTTCAGCTTTAGAAATAATGGTAAGCCGCACTATCATGAGCAAAAATGCAGGAAAAAAATGTAAAAATATGTCAGGGAGTCCCCGGAACCATATTGCTAACAGGAGGCACTTTAAATTGTGTAAAAGAGAAGGTATCTTAATACAGTAGGATTTATTCTTGACAAATTGCACTTTGAGCCACGGGGAACTCTTCCTATGAGAAAATGCAGACTGTAACCTTCCTCTTTGCTTCAGTGAGACAGGCAATTCAAATAGAGCTAAGAATGAAGTTCACGGAGGCAGAGTCCTTGGACTACAGCCATTCCCATGATAACATTCCTGATCTGGCACCCAGTACTCTCCAGGGCACTTTAAATTTGTATAAAAAGTTATTTAAGACAGATTTAATATTTGAAGTTAACGTTGAACAACCGCATCAACAGAGATGGAAAATCTGCAAATAGTTCTAAGGACTCTGGGTGCTAGCAGGCTAGCATGTCAGTTGTGGAACACAGAGAAGAGCCAGTGGGACATGCGAGAAGATGCTAGCCCTGAACAGGGCTGTTCTCTCAGTCATGGGGACAAGTGCTAACACAAGTTCCCAGGGGGACAAAATGCAAATGGAACCTTCTATCACAATCAATCAGTGTATCCATTTGGTTCTTTTTCTAGGGTGTACAGATATTCTCAATGTTTCTTCAAATATTTTTCCATAAGCCCATGTTTGAACCCTTTGAGTCAGGAACCTGAAAATACCTGTTCAGATAGATCCTGTGAACCAGGGAGTTCCCTTTATGTCCTTGAGAGCATCTTTACCAAATAAAATACATTTTAGTTTAATTTGATTTCTAAAATTAATATTTGGTTTATTAAAATCAAATGTAAAAAATCTAAACTTTCCTAAATTTTTAAAATTCAACTAATACATCATTTTTTTTCTATTCAGCAATCTGGTAAATTTTGGCAAGCATCGAGAGAGACGCTTTTAGTAAACATGCTAAATTTAGTAAATTGCATATATCAATTTACTGTATTTGATTTCTTTGAAATACTTCAAATGATTCTTACAACCAAAACCTAAGTACTTAACCATCCTTATAAGTCTATAATACTTTTGATTTACAAATACAGTGACTCACAAGTTTTTCTGAACTCCTAACACAGTTTACTATCAGTACTATTTCCTCATACTTTTTAACTTAAAATCATGAATCTAAATTAATTTTCTTTTTTTTTTTTTTGAGACGGGGTGTCTCTCTGTCACCCAGGCTGGAGTGCAGTGATGTGATCCTGGCTCACTGCAAGCTCCACCTCCCGGGTTCACGCCATTCTCCTGCATCAGCCTCCAGAGTAGCTGGGACCACAGGCGCCCGCCGCCACCTCACCCGGCTAAATTTTTTTTTTTTTTTTTGTATTTTTAGTAGAGACGGGGTTTCACTGTGTTAGCCAGGATGGTCTCAATCTCCTGACCTCATGATCCACCCGCCTCGGCCTCCCGAAGTGCTGGGATTACAGGCGTGAGCCACTGCACCCAGACAATTAATTTTCAATTATATTATAAATTTGAACATAAGTCAAATCTCTTATACTCTCTAAAATGCCAAATTTATTACAAATACTGAAATATTACATAATTAAGATAATTTCCAAACAACAAAAACAAACTTTGAATTATTTTATTATTTCTATACTTATATCTGACTGGAGTTAAACTATATGGCCAACATATTAATTACACAATAGATAAAATTGATATTCAACTGGAATTCTCTAGAGTAGGAGAAATTGTTGTTCACAGCTGGTTTCTAGTCTCACTATCTTAGCATTCATTCCGATTGGTTGGTTCCAGTGGGGGTGTGGTAAACCAGCTCTCCGGAACAAAATGCCCTGATTTGTAGCATATGCCAGCATTTAACAACTCATTCTCATGAGCCAGTTTAAGCAGACTTCCGAATACCATTGCTTGATCCCATATGTACCCATTGTTACAGGTTTTGCATATCACTCTGGTAGAGGCTCAGTTCCAGCAATAAAAGGAGTTGCAAACACGTTTGCTATATGTACACTATTCGTGGAAATGTGAAATGCTGCAGCTACTTTGGAAAACAGTTGGGCAATTTCTCAACATGTTAAACATAGTTACCATGTGGCACTGCAATTTCACACCTAGGTATGTAGCCAAGAAAAACGAAGACACACATCCATGCAAAAGCTTGTATACTAATGTTCATGGTTCGTAATAGCCCCAAACTGGAAGTAACCCAAATATCTATCAACTGATGAACGAATGAACAAAATGTGGCATGTCTATACAGTGGAATATTATTTGGCAGTAAAATGTGATAAAGTTATGATACATGCTACGAAATGGATGAACCTGAAAAACATGCTGCATGAAGGAAGCCAATCACAAAGGCCACATATTATACAATTTATATAAATATCCAGAATAGGCAAATCTATAGAGATAGAAAGTAGGTTAGTGGTTTTGCAGAACTGGAGAAGCGCTGCTGAATGAGGGCTTGGGGGTTAGGTAGTAACTACCAATGGATGCAAGGTTTCTGAGGGGAGTGATTCAAGTGTTTCTAAATTAAATTATGGCACAACCTTGCCAATATACTAAAAGCCATTGAATGGTTCAGTTAAAAGAGGTGGCATGTAAATTATATCTCAATAAAGCTGTTAAAATATTCATATGCTTGAACAAGTTATAATTTTATTTCTTTCTCATGTAGGAGTTTAGGCCAGGCATGGTGGCTCACGCTTGTAACCCAGCACTTTGGCAGGCCGAGGCAGGTGGATCACCAGAGCTCAGGAGTTTGAGACCATCCTGGCCAACATGGTGAAACCCCGTCTCTACTAAAAATACAAAAATTAGCTGGATGTGGTGGCATGTGTCTATAATCCCAGCTACTTGAGAGGCTGAGGCAGGAGAATCACTAGAACCCGGGAGGCAGAGGTTGCAGTGAGCTGAGATTGTGCCACTGCACTCCAGGCTGGGCAACAGAGTGAGACTCTGTCTCAAAAAAAAAAAAAAAAAAAAGAAAGAAAGAAAGAAAGAAAGAGTTAAGAGGTGGGTGAGTAGTAGAATGTTTCTTCACCTACTCTGGATTGACTAGATGGATTTTTCCATTTCCAAAATGTCGCTTATATTTTCAAGTCCAAAGTCGTTACTTCCATATACACAATCTCCCACCCAGCAGGAAGGGAGAAAAAGCCAGGGTAGTACACACTCAAATTATCTTAATGGAAAGACTAGGAGAGGGTGTAACAAACTTCTGTTTACAATGTAGTCATATGGCTACAACTATAGGGGAGTCTGACAAGTGTCCTCTCTAGATGGATAGACATGTGCTCCACTCAATCTCAGCAGGTCCAATTATGAAAAAAAAGAGAAAATGTATATTTTGTTCACCAGGTGCATCTGCAGTACCGCTAATGAAGTAGCTCTACCTTTCCAAGATAATTTGGGGTAATTATCCTAAGAAAATTGGGATTAATTTCTCAGTAAATGAGGTTTCATTCTTATAGAGAGGTTTTTTTTGGTTTGTTTGTTTGTTTTTCTGGATCAATAATATTTGAAAGTGCATACACCAGGATAGTTTTTCTTGGATCTTAAATAATGAGTTGAGCCTTTTAGTCAGCTGCAATGCCAAGCAAGGACTCATGCCTTCTAAATGGGTGCTCTTGAAGACTTTGTCTTTGGAGTCTGGTAACACATAATACCCTATTTTCTAGCATAATTTGAATCTGTAATCCTCTCATATAAATGACTTTACAGCCAGATTAGACTCAACTAATTTACTTATTGATTCTATTTAGAATTTGTATTCATCCTCCCTGGTTGTCCCTCAACTTTTATTTTGATATTTAAATAGCATTGAGTTTTGTTTCACATATCTCTAGGATCTGCATTTGGGTCTTCTGAGTGCAAATGATACGGTCACTCAAATAACAATGATTATCAGAGTCCAGATCTTATTCCCCAAGTGTGCAAAACCAGATAAGAAAGATCTTAGCAAGTGCTGGCTTGGAGCTTACGTTGCCCTCTGTAGGCTAGAGTCAAGATCTTTGTGTTTTCAATAAGAACAAAACAAGTTAATTGACAAAAATCAAAATTAGTCATGCTTACCTGGTTCCTTCCTATCTTATCTTTGTCACCAGTAGGTATGAAAAATCCTTTTGATAAGTACCTATAATTTCTTCAAGAATTATTCCATCTCATTTATATCTACAGCTATAATGGGAAGTGTATGCATTACTGACAATATCCTCCTTCTTTTATTCTAGGATTGTGCAGTTACTAGAAAGCTGTTTATACTCTTTGTCCACTACTAATAATATGTTTGACCTGATTGCATCCTACTCCCCCAAGGCTTCCTCAGTCAAACGGAGAAAATAAGAGTATGACATAAGGTGGTTTTCAGTTTTAAGATATAAAATATTGAGCACACAGTAAATTCTCAAAAATGTTTGCAGTTACTATTTTAAGTGTCACTTTGCATAGTCTTAGACAACTATAAATATCTGTCAAATTACAGAAGGATTCATTTCTCAAGAAAAAACACTCTCTTTTCAGAAAACAGACAAAAACTCTGATACATGATTTTTCTTCATATGTACAGTGATCCTTCCTCCATACAGAATAATTACATTTGTACTGTATGTGGCAATAACATCATCTTTATCTCAATTCCTGCCCTTTTTCCTGGTGTCCGATAATATGGCATTCATTTTCTCTGTGTGGAGTAGGGTTCTCCTAGTTCTTCTCCACAGACCATGGTTTGATAAAGGCAGAAGATGATTTAGGACATTTTTTTAATCTCTCTCTCATGTGAGTGACTACTGGGCCTGAGTAGGAAACAGGGACTTACAACATTGCAAGGCCTTCTGTGTCCAAAGTTGCACCGTGGTTGGCTGTATTTGGTGTGCTATCGGCAGAGGGCATGTGTTTTAGGACTCGCCTGTAAGTAATCATACTTCTGGAGAGGTAATTTGCACATCAGATGACATATTCTCTTGTGGCTTCTACATTAAAAAAGCCACTGTCCTTTGCTCATCGCATATGTCAGTGTAGACCAAGGCAGCCCCATCAGCAGGACAAATGCTTTGCTCCATGAAAATCCCTGGTCTAGAGGGAATTATCTGAAAATTAACATGTGTGAGTGAGAGAATATCTATCATCTGCCTATTTATTTTCCTGTCTGTCTCCACATATATTCGCATATGTAAAACATACCTTTATTAGCACAAACATAAATGGATGTACATTTGTATATATAAGTGTAAGTGTGTATTTGATGCCTGGCTATAGGCAGACTTCAGGAGAAACTTTGAAAAGTTTTAAAGAAAATTAAGAACTATATTCTGTTTTTCAGGGACTGAAGTTTAGGTGTTTTCTTGCTCTGCAGATTTTATGGTGTGTTTTTACCTTTATCCGTTAACTCTGTGTAGCTAGTCTGTCCTTTCCTTAATATCTGAAGAGTGAAAACATCAAAATAGTTTCAAACCAAGTAGACTGAATATGTGAACAAGAACTATAAATTTCCTTTAATCAGCAATACAATTTGATACAAATCCTACATTTAAAACAAATTCAGAAACTCATCTCCCCCCCAGAATTGCTTTATCTCCCCAGTGTCAAACCCATGACTTAGTCAGCCAAGGAATGGGTTAGATTCGCATGAATTGGGATCTTGAAAGCTGACAAATCTGTGACTGTGAGAGACACAGACACCTAGGCTGCATGCCGTCCTTCCAGAATTCGGGGAACCAATGTTAGAAGTTGGTCAGCAATGTCTGCAAAGCATCTGAAAAGTGGGAAGACCATGGTGATGATGAGCAGGAAACATTACTCCAAAATATGACACTTTGACATATTCAGTATGTTAAGCTGGAGGAAATTAACAAACGTGCAAAAGCAGAAAGGGCTCTCTGACCTTTTCTTTCTTTTTCCTGACCTTCTCCCACCTTTCTCACCTAACACCATAAAAATAATTATATGACCTATCTCCCCTGGAAGTAAATCATAGGATGCTGACTCCAAAGAGGTCCTGCCCTATATTCTGAAGCCAAGAAGAATTGGAAGAAACTGGCCTTGCTAAGTTCCCCCTAGTTTATTACCATTAGCTCATACTCCCTTTGGTCCAACTACTTATTCTTTATCAAAACTAAGCATAAAAATATACAGCTTTTGCTTTGTCATTGAGTCTTCATTTCTAAAGTTTCCCATGTCATATAAAACTTAAATAAATTTGTTATACTTTTCTCTTGTTAATCTGTCTTTGTTTCAGGGGTATCAACCATAAGTCTTACAATGAGTGAGTTAAAATATTACTTTTCCTCCCATACAAGGGAAGCAGGTAAGAGGTAAAACTCTTATTAAGTAAGCAGTGGAGATCCAGGTGGTTGTGTCTAGACTTTAGAGAAACAGCTGTAAGGTGTGAGATCCTGACTACGATGGTTAAATGTGGGATTGGGTCCTAATCCCCAGAAGTCCATGCTAAGGGAAGTAATATAAAGATTAGTCATCAGAACAGGAACTCTTACAAAGAAAAGCAATCTATGAACGAGTTACAGGAACTAGAATAAATGATCCTATTTGGACTTCGCATAAGACAAACACAAGGCTAAGGCTTTGTGTTCTGAATGAACAGTTGAGACATCTGGGGGTGGGTATGAGCCCTGCAATTTCAGCAATAGTACTTGGAAGACAATTTAAAGAAGTCAAGAGGCAGGTTATTGACAACCAAGAATCTGAATGTCCTTTTTGATTAAGCCAGAAATATAAATACAGTCAAATGGGTCATTTAATTAGCAATCTCAAAAAAACACACAGCCTAGTAAATTATGAATGAAAGATCAAATGCTGTTATTACATAGGTCATGGCTTTCTTATTTCATAATTTGTAAATATCAGAAGGGAAATCAACAAATGTCTAAAATAATGACTGCATATGCGTATGGACACCAAAATAAATGTTGGAATTCTAATAGTGAGTAAAATCCATATTGCAGTCTGTATTTTCCTGATACGTTATATTCCACAATCTGCAAAAAAAGAAAATTATAACTAAAAAAGAGGTTAGTGGACATGAATGCTAACTAGGGGAGCTCCAGTAAAGCAGAATTAGACCTGAATATGAAGTCAGGAAACCTGGGCTATAGATGCATCTATCCAATAAGTGACTATGTGACTGAGGAAAAGAAGAAAACTGGTATGTATGGAGCACTTTTTTGACAACTCTCAGCAGGAGGCATTGTATATGCTATGCCATTTAATAATCACGAAACCTCTGTGTGTTAGATAAATTACTACTATTTTATAGCTGAAAAAGTGAGGCTCAGAGAGTTCACGTGGCTATTGTCTGTTTTGAAAGAGAATCAGTGAACAGATTTCTCAATTACTATATATTTTTTGATGAACATAAAATATTTTCATCTGGGGCCGGGCACAGTGGCTCATGCCTGTAATCCCAGCACTTTGGGAAGCCAAGGCGAGTGGATCCCTTGAGGCCAGGAGTTTGAGACCAACCTGGGCAACATGGTGAAACCCCGTCTCTACTAAAAACACAAAAATTTTTCTGGCGTGGTGGCACGTGCCTGTAATTCCAGCTGCTCTATAGGCTGTGGCATGAGAATTGCTTGAACCTGGGAGGCGGAGGTTGCAGTGAACTGAGATCGCCCCACTGCACTCTAGCCTGGATGACAGAGTAAGACTCTGTCAAAAAAAAAAAAAAAAAAAAAAAGAAAGGAAGGAAGGAAGGAATTTTCATCTCAATCTTATCCAATAACGAGGTGTTTAATATTGTCATTTTATGATAATTTCTAATACATTGATGTCCATCTTGATCACAGACTTGCTAGAAACTAAAAAAGACAAATATATTTTATTTTTCATGTTGAAGTTAAAACTTACATTAGGAATCTAGGTCCCTTGGAGAATGGTGTGAAAATTGGTGTTTCAGATCTTTGATTTAGAAATTCTATGTGTAAGCAGAAAAATAACTGATGGAATGTTTTAAGATGAGATAATATATAAATGGCTCTTGGGCTATAAAACAAGGAAATATATTAATAGTGTTAGCAATTAGTGAATGTTCTCAAATCATTAAGATGCTTATTTTAAACTTCTATGCAAATCAGAGTAGACACTTACGTGTCACAGTAGGCTGTCTTCTGACCTGAGAATAAAGGTAAAATCAAATCACAATTATATAAACAGTCCTCTAAGATGCTGTGTCCTGTTTGCATTATCAGAATGACCTCTTATGTGAAGCAATTCATTTCCAATGTCCTTTATGGGTCATCAGTTGTGTATGAGTCATAGATGGCATATTCAAAAGGGGTTATTTCAGAGAGTTTAATAACAGGACAGAGTTAAGGAAAACAGACAGTGAAACATCCAAAGTTATCACCCATGGCTTGAAGGAGCAAAGAAACGGAGCCAGATACCAGATACCTGTGGCCTTCTGGGGAAGAATACAGTTGGGCCAACTCATGACTTGGCTCAGATGGAGAAGGAAAAATAAATACCTCTACACTTTTTTTCTTATCTTCATATTTCTTGTGGTGCTTCCCATTGGCCACACCAGCTGGAGGCCAAGGGGCATGGCTGGTTGATGGATTCCACAGAGGTCTGCTTCTCATGGTTCGGAGCAATGTGATGGAACTTGGAGGGCAAACAGTGATATCCAGAACAAAAGCTTTTCTAACAGGAATTTATTTTTTCATTCTTTTACTCCTGCCTTGTATGCATATTGTTGAGCACCAATTACATTCAAGATGCAGTACTTCTTATAAAGGTTTCTAGAGGAAGGAAAAAGAGAAAATATGCATATGAATTTATCTGTGTTCTCAAGGTGCTTACAGTATAGTAAGAAAAGTATACAACAGTGCAAGGCAGAATATAATATGCATAAGATAAATACAAAGAGTTGTTATGAGAATTAAGAGTAAAGAAGGAGGTCGGGCGCAGTAGCTCACGCCTGTAATCCCAACACTTTGAGAGGCCAAGGCGGGCGGATCACGAGGTCAGGAGATCGAGACCATCCTGGCTAACATGGTGAAACCCCGTCTCTACTAAAAATACATAAAATTAGTCTGGCATGGTGGCATGCACCTGTAGGCCCAGCTACTCGGGAGGCTGAAGCAGGAGAATCATTTGAACCTAGGAGGCGAAGGTTGCAGTGAGCCGAGATCGTGCCACTGCACTCCAGCCTGGGCGACAGAGCAAGACTCCATCTCAAAAAAAAAAAAAAAAAAAAAAAAAGTAAACAAGGAATGATTGAGGTAATCAGAAAGGTTTCATGAAAGGCATGACATTCGAAATTGGTCTGATAGGCTAGGCAAGGTCTGGACAGAAACAGATGGTGGATCTATCTCACTTGGAGGAACAAAGGGTGGGAGACAAGATGGTGTGAAGATGGAAGCTGTGTCTAGGATTATTCCAGTCGCATTGGAACATAGTGCACCTGTAAGGAAATAATGGGAGATAAAAATCAGAAACAAATCAGATAAAACCAGAATACCTATCCCATATAAACATACGTAAGCATTCATGTTCTCACTGGCACACACATTTATTAAAACAATGTTGTCATAGCGCAGAACTTCAGCAAGTCATTTTTTCAGGTAAATATAAATGCTGCAAAAATGAATTGTACACTGATATTAGTGTATCCCCTAGTGTCAGACAAAATTCCATATGCACACTGGGCTTTCCTTCATTCCAGCTTTGACATAAGCACTGTTTAAATGCGTGGTTTTGCTGCTAGGATCACAGCACCATCTAGTGTGTTCTTTTTCGTTACGAAGCTCAAGGACTTCTGATCTGTTTCTAATCCTATTAGAATAATCATAAAGGTACAAAAAAAAAAAAAAAACCCAAACTGCCATCCATTTTTGTCTTTAAAACATGCAGTTTAATAGATGGAAATTTGTTGGGATTTATTTCTAAAGAATCCCCAGAGAGAAAATTGTTCCGTCTCCTCAGTAACTGAGATGAAGAATGTGTAAAACGTAGTTTCTTGTCATGTTCCCGGTTTGCCAAATCTGGCAACCATAATGTAAAAAAAAAAAGTTTTTTCCATTAAAGACAAATGCCAATATTATTTCTAAGTACATGTTTTAACACTTAAACAATGCATATCCTTACACATTAAACATCAATGATGACTGTGTAGTTATATAACATAAAACTTAACATAAAAACCATAAATACTGTTTACTTTAGTCATTGGAATACGACGATGAAGCTTTCAGCCATATATAATAAACCAAAACGGAAAAATAATCAGATCATGCAACAGAGTAACTGACATGCCAGAGAATCAGTCTCATTTGTCTTGCTGTTGGCTGGCTTAACAGAAGACAGAGAATGATGGAAAGAGAAGAAGACAAGAGTCACCGAGTCACAGACAGAAGAGAAAGCAAAGAACAGGAAGCAGAAAAGGGGAGTGGGAATTTGGGAAGAATGAAAACCACTCATTTTATTTCCCCACTTTCCATCTTTGAGAATTTTAAATTTCAGCATCGGACTTGCAATCCTACCACGTTTTAAAATGAAGCCAATAATTTCCTATTTATCATTATCAAAAAGTGTAACAAAATGAAATAACTAAAAAGAATACGCCTAAGCAAATGATACTCAACAGGGACAATACTCATGCCTCTCCTAAGCGTATTGCAATGTACCCAGACAACATTTAGAGAGAGAATGCCGCCCACGCTTTGGTGCCACAGCAATTAAGCCACTTTCCTATTTAACTTTTTATCTGTTGATACATCTGAAAAGAGCTGATACTAGCTCAAATGAAAGCAAATCCAGCGTTTCCTGATTGGAATATTTCATGTGGAGAATACGTAGGTTGAATGTTAACAAAGAGCCGGTGTATTGAGACGATGTTTCCCATTGCTTTATACGTCGGTGCTTTCAGAACCACAGCTATGGGCAAGAACTTGCCCTTCAATTAGAGTCAGCTGCTACCCCGTAGGCGGTGGCTTGGCATGGTTATGGCCTCCTATGGCCATGTCTTGTTACAGGCTGAATTAACCGGGAGGAAATTTACACTATCTCCATCAAATATGCTCGAAGTAAATATGCTTTCAAGATCACAAAAACCTATATTAAACACATTTTTACTATAGGGGGTCTGGTTCTCCAGCTTCCACAGACATAGCAATCTCCCGGGGTGTTTAGAAATGGATAGCCCAGCGACTCACCCTCAGGCCAACTGAATCAGAATTTCTCTGGGGAGGGTCAGGAATTTGGCATTTTCAACAAGCTCACCAGGTGATTTTGAGATGGATCATTAAAAATAGGCTTTTATGAAAGCAACATGAATTCCCCTATATTTCTTATTGACCAATAGAAGGCTTTTCTCTGTATACTTTTCATAACCATTGTAGTTTGTCCTTTGAACAAGGGGTTGCATGTATCGATAGATTTATACTGCATCATGTTTTAGCAACTGTGATCCTTATAGTTTCTGATGCATCTACTCTAATTACAAGTTCAAAGTTTCAAAATCTTGATCTTCCATTCAAAATTATGAAAGCATATTTTGTTTACTGAAGACTGAATAAAGTTTAAAGTTTACTGAAGATACAAAACAGTTTGTTCAAGGTCCACTATACACTTCTACAAGACACACTCTTTCATTTCCTTCCTTTACATTCTCTTTGTTACTGGAAGCCCCTCATGATTATGTCTCATCCTCTGTCCCACCTTCTTGCTAACCCAATCACCAGGAAAAACGCTCCACCTGCTCTCAACATCTTATTTAATTCCTCTGTGTCTCTGTTCTTCTTTCTGCCTCTGAATGTTCCTTTTTCCTAGAAAACTTCAACATGTTTTTCAAGACACAGATTAAATGTCACTCCCTTGTGAATCCCTCTTCCACCTCATCGCCTCGCCTGCACTCTATGCACCTCACAACACACAAAACATTGAATCACGCCTCTGTGCTTACATGCCTCTCCACTGACCAAGCAGTAAGCCCTTTCAGAGAGGATAGTTTCTTACTTTACTGTCCAGACCCAACCCAGAGTACAGAGACAGTCAAAAATTGTTTATAAATTAAATGTGTAACCAGTTCTAAGCGCTTGTTCATCTGGAAATCTGGAGTAGATGCAAGTATTCTAAAGCAAGACTTTGAAGAAACATTTTAAATAGTTTGATATCTTCAATAGTGAAATACCAAAGACCCCTTTTGCCCTCAACTTATTTTGTTTGAGGGTAGTTCCTTATTTCTTAATCTACTCCACAGAAAAAAAAAAAGGATATGTATTTGAGGTAAATAAAAATGTGTGTGGAATGATAGAGAATGTAGAGGCGGCAGTTATAAATACTGGTCTGAGACTCTTTGAGATGCTTTATTTTGTTTTTCCTCTGGCTAGATAATAAAGTAGTGTGTACAGAGGTGTTGCTATTTGGGAATAAGGACATCTGTGAAACACTTCATCATTTCCCAGTCAGTTACAGGAACCCCCAGAATTCTTCAGTATTTCATAAAAAAGAGGACATAGGGAAGGGAACATAACACGCAGGGGGCTGTCAGGGGGGTGGGGGACAAGGGGAGGGAGAGCATTAGGACTAACACCTAATGCATGAGGGACTGAAAACCTAGATGACGGACTGATGGGTGCAGCGAACCACCGTGACACATGTATACCTATGTAACAAACCTGCACATTCTGCACATGTATCCTGGAACTTAAAAGTAAAATAAAAATTAAAAAATAAATAACTATTTTTAAAAAAGAAAATAAGAGGAGCAGTCTCTCAAGAGCATGAGTAGATCTCAACATGACGGGCCCGGCAGAGCACCTTCCATATCACAGGTTCTCAAGAGGGTTGTGAAATAAACCTAAAATTCTTGTGAAAGTGAAGGTGTATTTGTTACAGATTAGTGCCAGTAAGATTTTCTATACTGCAAAGCACCATGAGTACTCTTAGTAGAAAATGTAATCACTAACAAACACTAACCATTAATAAAAATAAACACTACTCAGATGATCTAACATACTGATGTACGCTACAATACCTTTCTATATTTGTAGGTACTACATGTTTATTTTAGTATTAGTATCAATTGAAAGAGAATTTTAAAACGCACATATCTTCCTTCATCTTTTAACACGGGAAATTCCATTGAGCAGAAAGTGAAAATATAGCTGTCTGCACCTTATATTTTGTCAAGAATAAAATGATTACCACTTTCTTAATTTCAGAATTGGACTTACTACAGCAAAAACATATGGACTCCATCATCTGTTTATCTCAAGATACACTTATACTCTATAACTGCAAATTAAGAACATACATCTGAAATAAAGATACATGTTCCATAGAATTTTTTTAGTAGTACAGAAAAGTATGCTATAATCACCAGTGGAATTCACACATATCTATGTCGAACAATCACTATAGAGCTTAATTTAATCAACGCTAATCAACTTAAAGCAAGAAAAGGTAAAGTTAGTAATTTTATGATGAATAAGGTTAGCATTCTGATGTTGTAGTATTACTCTTCTGATGTTATTAAAGGGAAATCTTTGGGAAAACATTCACATTTAGGATATGTGTACTGTAAATGTAGTTAGGATAAAAGATTTTAAATCCATTTTTAGTGCTTCTTGATTGTGAACACATTGGAAAAATGTCCCATACACGAAAAAAGGAAGATTTGAAAAGAGTAATTCCTTGAATAAGAAGTGCATCAGTGACATTTATATTAGAAAATAACAGTCACAATTCAATAGCTGAAAAAGAACTACAGAGCAGTAAGACCAGTGGTTAAAAAGATACATACTTACATGTTTCTAAATATGCAGAACATCATGTGCCTTCTTTATTTTTTTCACTTGCCTCTGATAAAGTGTATTACTTGAAGTTCTGCTTGTATGCATCATTACAGAGCACATATTTATCCCTACAACTCCAGTGGCTGGTTCTGATATGTGGTTTGTGAAGCTAGGTTTCCAGGTTAAGATTGGGTGAAAAGATGCAACAGATTTGTTTACTAGAGCAAGTGGGAGCAATTCAGGCCAGGGAAGTCAGTGATGTTATGTTATTGAGCTCCTGAGTTCTCATTTCATAAGTGAAGGACCTGAATCAAATCATAATTTATTGCTTCACAGCTGTTATTTTATATCCATAGTTGTGTGCCAATTCCCAACCTGTCAGCAATAGACTATAGATTTCACTAAGGACTATCTGTTAAATAATTTGAATTCTATGGAGAATTATATATATAAGATAATGTTATAATAGTAAAATATTTGGAAGTTTTTTTAAAAGTTCATTAGTTTTTTTTTCTGTGCAATAGCTCCTATCACTAAACATGTCCCCCAAATTAGTACCTTTATTTATTTATTTATAAATTACAACTATAAATATTTGTCAGTAAGTATGAAAAGCAGTAAATCAATCAAATCAGATTGAAGCCAAATAGCCACAAACAGCTTTGTAATCAAAATTGAATGAGAGCCCACTTTTTATTCAAGATAAATCACATGCAGGCACATAATGAGCTCCAAGAATTCATTCCTAAGACAGAAGAGCTAAACTTCGAAACAGACGTTTAGTACAAGATAACACTTAAAATTATAAGTGACTTTGTGATACTCTAGGGTTAAAAAGAATGTATATCCTTTCAGAAAATTGACTATTCTATTTATATGACAGTAAACTTAGGCTCGGATTCAAAATCTGTCTGCAGCTCCTGATTCCAACGAGTGTTTGGCAATTCCCAGGCCTGACAGTTTCCAAGTGCACTGTATTATAATGGTATGTTTCAGCCTAACCCAAACCAAAAATTTCCCATGTAAACTTAAATTTATGTTATTTGTCCTGATTTCATTTATAGACGCCAATTATCTTTTGAGCAAGAATTAGCATATCCACTTTATAAAAGACATTCATACACGATAAAATATAGCCTTCCACAGAAATTAGTCACAACGTTTAACATATCTCTCTGACAGAGGATTATTCTTATCCATATGTCAAATGGTCCAATTTTGAACAAATTTTCTAATAGGACTTGGATTAAAGGAAAGGGTGAACAAAAGTCAATAATCTTGAGGTGCTGGAAATACCAACCTCTTTAAGATATTAATATTTGCCAGTACTTGATGAGGACACAGATTCATTCTTTATTAAAAATAAAAATATTTCATTTAGTAAACTGAGCTTTTAATTTAGAGATGAAAAAAGACATATCACATATGAAATACAGTTATTTGATATTTTAAGGTAATTGATTTTCTGAAAATTAATGAGAATTAAATTCAATAAAAATGTATTAAGCAATAACTTTTAGTTGCCCGTCATCTGGAATTAGGGATATACCAAAATAAACAAAACAAAGCAGTTCTCGAATTTCCTTCATTTAAAGGAAGACAATTTGTCATATTGTCCCATACATTCCTAAGCCTTTGTTTTTCCTCATTGTTTTTTCTCTCTGTTACTAAAATAAAATAATTTCTCTTTACCTGTAATCAAGTTTACTTACTATTTTTTCCATCTTAAATCTGGTCTTAAGCCCTTAAAAATCTTCTTATTTCTGTTACTGTATTTGTTTTATTTCAGCATTTTCAGTTGATTCTTATTTCATAGTTTTCATTTTTCTGTAGGGATCCCCATTCTCTCACTCATTAAGACTATAATTTCCCTTTTAAGATAAATTTATGTTAGTGGCTTTAAGGTCTTTCCCTGTTTAAGTTCAACAAGTAGGCCATCTAAGGTTTGGTTTCCATTAATCACTTTTTTCTTGACTAAGGATCAAATTTTTCTGTCTCTTTGATTGCCTTGTGATTTTTTTAAATGAAAATACTGGACATTTTGAATAATACATTGTTAAGCCTCTAGATTTTAAAAATCTTTTTCTGAAAACTGTTCGTTCTTGTTTTAGAAGGTAGGCTAATTACTGACTGATCATATTGATCTTACTTGGACTTGAACTTTCACTTTGCTAGTACAGATCTGGATGAAGCCCAGATATTGATGGGGCTTCATTTTATGCTTTGCTAGGGTAGACCTATAGTAGAAATTAGAGAGATTGGTCCTCAAACCTAATGTGAAGATTTTATGGTGTCTAGCTAATGCCAGGGATTTCTTACTATTGTGATAGCAGAATGCCAAAGGTAAGAAGGAGGTAGATGTCAAGACATACTCCAAAGTATGTCTAGACCTGCTCTTCTCCAGCACTGCTCATTTTATAGTATTTGTATTGCACTGTTAATCCTGTAGTACTTTAATCTGGTAAGCACCATGTGGTCTTTCCCTATCCGTGGACAACCCATCCCCTAACCACTGAGGATGACTCTTGGCATTGTTGTGCATAAGCTTTTGGAGTCACCTCTCTTGCCAATTTCCCTTGTCTTTCATGCCCTACTCTATCCTGCCTAAGCTGCCCTCAACTCTGATCTCTGTCTCTTCGGTTTCTCTGAGTACCACATTCTCTCCTCAGACTGGGGCTCCTTGCACCATAGTCAGGGAATTGGCTGTCAGAAAGCTGGGCAATCATGGGAGCATAGGGAGAGATTCCCTTCTGTCAGTGTGCACAGTCTTGCACTGCTGTTGGCTGCTGCCTGAAAATGTTTGCTTCACATGTTTTTCCAGTTTTAAAGTTGTTTATGGCAGGACTGCTGGTATATTACCAGTCACCCCATCTAACACATATTATTTTATTCATTTACATTTACACACTGAATTTATACAACTCATTTCATTTTTCTAGGTATGTTCATGCTAAATAACTTTTTATTTAAAAACAAACAAACAAAACACTTTTAACAGTTTCCCATAAGGGTCTTTTAAGGCATTTTCAATCATTAATTATAGAGTCCTAAAATAAAAATACGACAGTTTATCTCTTTTTAAAAGTCATTTTCCTTTGCATTGTGTTGTTAATAGATATATTATTTCCAGGTTTATTGAAAACCCACAATGAAAAAGTTGCTACAGAGATTATGAAGAGAAATCAGATAAAGAATATTTTTTAAGGAATTTATAAGCAGATAAAAAGTTACTTAAAGTACCATGATACAATGTCAAAAGGAACAGGGGCATTGAAGCATCAGATAAAATATTAGGAGTATGTGGAAGAGAGAGAATATTTCAGAGGGGAGGAATGTAAAACAAAAGCTTAAGAAGCCAACACTTGAGATAGGTCTTGAACTAGTTGTATTCGTTTATGAATAAATGAGTAAGGAATGAATACCTCCACATTAAGGACACAAGGATTAACAAAAGCAACAAGGTTAGAAAACTAAGGGTAGCTACAAGAAACGATAAGCACGTCAATTTGTTTGGAGTTTAAGGTAAGCTAAGAAGAAATAAAGGAAAATTTTAAAAGTACTCTAGAGGCAAGTCTTAGAGCACGAATACCAAGAAGGGGTTTGTACTTTATTCTTCAGAGAGTAGAAAATCTTTGAAGATTGTTTAGGCAGAAAATGTTTTCAATGAATGAATGTTAATGTGTTATGAATGAATACATACCTTCAAATGATTCAGAATATTATCTAATCTGCCATGAAAGCTTAACACATTTGACAGCTATTTATTCTTAGAGCAGTCTAAACATAGTATATTTTGCAGCTATCAGTAATTATTAGTTTTGACTTAAAATCTTAGAAGTCAAAGGAAATTCTAGCTCATTAAAAAGAAATTAAAATTCAAAGGGGAAACCTATAAACAAAATAAATTTACTCATTTGTAAACTTAACTGTTGTTCTGAAATGTGAAATAATTAGATCAATTATTATTTCTTTGCCAGAGATCAAACTTAAGAGCTGATGATATGTGCAAAGTGATTTTCCTCCAGAGGAAAGACAGAATGGTTAAAGCAAAAAAACCTGGCTTCTGATCTGGTCTCTGCCTTTAATGAGTGTGTCTCAGTACTTTTGTATGTAAATTAAATAGGCTATTTTTCAAAGTCCCTTGCAGCTCTAAAATTCTATACAGAGAAGTGCTTGCTACTATCTTGGTAAAAGTTTCCAAGTCATCTTTTCTAATTATTGAAAAGTGATATGAGCTAGAAAGAATTTCTCCTGTCCAAACAATATTGGTATTCTCTTTTAAAAATTTATTTGTTTGTATTGAACAAATTTTTACTGAGCACTTACTATGTGTAAAGAAATATAATGAGCTCTTGAGATGTACTGTTGACTACGCCAGACAAGATCCCTACCTCCAAAAAAGGTGTGAGCCCAAGTCTGTATCAGATTGCAGGGGAATCACTGAAGAAGTTACACCAAACTTTATATGACAGACTTCTTTTCTGAGGAGCAGGTTAACCAGAAATGCAAATGAAAGAATGTCAGCACTGTGGACTTACTAGCACCTTCCAGCTCTGTTAGAACACTGTTTCTACCATGGGTCAGCGGTGTTGTTCCTGAAAATTTGAGAAAATCAACCACAGTCTTCAAAACATGTTGTTTCCAAGAATGCCTATCTCTGTTAGCGGGAAAGAGAAGAAATTAGAAAGGAATAATTCCAATGAGTAAGCCCCTAATTTGGGCATTTATAGAGATTCAAGTTTAAAACAGTAGGAATTTTCTTAATTACTTTCCTCCTTAGGAGCCACATTATTTCGCTCTTCCCCTACAGTATCAACCCCCCCATAGACAAAGACAAAAATAGTGACCTATTAAGGCATTATAAGATTTACAGGTAATTCAATAACAGAAATAAACAGTGAAATAATTTTGGCCAATAAAATACAAGCAACACTTAAAAATGAAAATACTCATTTTCAACATGGATGAAGCATAAGAGATTCCATTAACATGCTATAAAAATATGACTTGAGGCCGGGCGCGGTGGCTCACGCCTGTAATCCCAGCACTTTGGGAGGCCGAGGCGGGCGGATCACGAGGTCAGGAGGTTGAGACCATCCTGGCTAACACGGTGAAACCCCGTCTCTACTAAAAATACAAAAAATTAGCCTGGCGTGGTGTGGGCGCCTGTAGTCCCAGCTACTCCGGAGGCTGAGGCAGGAGAATGGCGTGAACCCGGGAGGCGGAGTTGCAGTGAGCCGAGATGGCGCCACTGCACTCCAGCCTGGGCGACAGAGTGAGATTCCGTCTCAACAACAACAACAACAACAAAAATATGACTTGATACAAGACTTTGGGATAGCAATTGTATGAGGCTTATGAAGAAACACAAATATTCATATCTGTATCGGTAAATGTGGTGGGAAGATCTAACTTTGTGTTGTAGTAAAAAATCACATAACATGAGATCTACCTTCTTATAAAAATGTTTAAGTGTGCAATATGATATTATTATATTATCATATAACATTATAAGTGTGCAATATTATATTAACTATAGCACAATGTTGTATAGCAGATCACTAGATGTTTTTTCATCTTGCATGACTGAAACTTTATACCCATTAAACAGAAGTTTCCCATTTCCAGCTCCCTCAACCCTTAGCACACACCATTCTATTTTCTGCTTTGATGAGTTTAAAGATACCTCATATAAATGGAATCATGCAGCATTTGTTTTTCTTTGACTGACATTTCATGTAGCATAATGTCCCAAGTTTCATCCATGTAGCATATTACAGAATTTCCTTCTTCATTCTGGTGGAGTAATATTCATTCTATGTTTATACACATATTCTTTCATCCATTCAGCTGTTGATGGGCATTTAGGTTGTTTCCACCTCTTGGCAATCGTGAATAAAATTGCAATGAACATGGGAGTGCAAATATTTCTTTGAGATCCTGATTTTAATTATTTTGAATAAATACCCATTAGTGGAATTGCTGGATTATATAGTAGTTCTATATTTAATTATTTAACAAACCTCCATATTAATTTCCATAGTGGCTGCACCATTTTACATTTCCACCAACAGTGTACAAGGATTCCAATTTCTTCACATCATCACCTACACTTGTTATTTTCTGTTTTTGTTTTTATAATGGCCATCCAAACAGGTATGAGGTAATATATCATTGTGGTTTTGATTTGCATTTCCCTAATGGCTAATGATGTTGAGAATCTTCCCATATACTTGGCCATGTGTATGTCATCTTTGGAGAAATATCTGTTCAAGCCTCTTGCCATTTTTAAATTGGATTACTCATTTTGTTTGTTGTTGAGTTGTTTAAATTTCTTATATATTTTGGATATTAACTCCTCATCAGCTATATAGTGTGCAAAAATTTTATCCTATTCAGTAGGTTATCTTTTCATTCTGTTGGTTGCCTTTTTATTCCTCTGTTGTGTAGATGCTTTTTAGTTTGATGCAGCCCCACTTGTCTACTTTTGCTTTTGTTGCCTGTGCTTTTGATGTCATATTCAAAAAATTATTGCCAAGTCCAACGTCAGGAAGACGCTCCTATGTTTTTTTCCTAAAAGTTTAACAGTTACAGGTCTTATGTATAAGCCTGTAATCCATTTTGAGTTGATTTTTTGTGTATGATATAAAGTTAGGGTTCAATTTCATTTTTTTGTGCATGGATATCCTGTTTTCCTAACCCTATTTGTTGATGAGATGAGATTATCCTTTCTCCATCATATATTCTGTGCACCCTTATTGAAGATCAGCTGCCCATATATGCATGAGTTTATTTCTGGGCTTTCGATTGTATTGCTTTGATCTATATATCTACCCTTATGCCAGCATCATACCCTTTTGATTACTGTAGCTTTGTAATATATTTTGAATTCAGCAAATTTGTAAGGCTTCCAGCTTTTTTCTTTGTCAAGATTGTTTTGGCTCTTCCAGGCCCTTTGTGGTTCCATATAAATTTTAGAATTTTTTTCTATATCTTTAGGATTTTGGTAGGGATTCTATTGAATCTGTATATTGCTTTGGGTATTCTGGCCATTTTAACAATATTGAGTTTTCCCAACCATGAACACGAAATGCCTTTCTATTTATTTGTGCCTTCTTCAATTTCTTTTAGCAGTTTTACAGTTTACAATGCACAAGTCTCTCACCTCTTTGGTTATTTCCTAAATATTGTATTCTTTTAATGCTATTACAAATAAAATTATCTTATTAGAGTGTTTGTTCTTAGTGTATAGAAATGCAATTAATTTTGTATGGTGACTTTATGTTCTGTAACTTTACTGAATTAATTTATTAGTGGAAACATTTTTTGTATGGAATTGTTAGGGTTTTCTACATGTAAGACTATGTTATTTATGAACACAGATAATTTTACTTTTTCTTTTCCAATTTAGGTGCTTCTTTTCTTTTCTTATCTAATGGCTCTGACTAGTATTTCCACTACTATTTTGAATAGAAGTGACAAGAGTGGCCATCCTTGTCTTAGACAAAAAACTTTCAGTTTTTCACTATTAAGTGTGATGTTAGCTGTGGGCTTTTCATATGTGGTCTTTATTATGTTGAGGTAATTTCCTTTTATTCCTGGTTTGTTGAGTGTTTTTATCATAAAAGGGTACTGAATTTTGTGAAATGTTTTTCTGCATCTATTGGTACAACCATTTGATTTTTATCCTTAATTCTGTTGATGCGGTGTATTAAATTGATTGATTCTCTGTGTTGAACCATCCTTACACAGAGATAATTCCCACTTGGTCATGGTCTACGATCCTTTAAATGTGCTCTTGGAATCTGTTTGTGAGTATTTTATTAAGGATTTTTGAATCAAAATCTATCAGAGATATTGGCCTATAGATTTATTTCTCCATTTCTACATGAAAGCTTTTCTGAATTCCTTTTCAGGTAATTCGTTTACCTCCATTTCTAAATTATCAGTTTCTGGAGATTGTTATTGTTTCTTTCTTTCATTGGGCCATACTTTCTATTTCTTTGTGTTCCTTGTAACTTTGTGTTAGTGTCTATGCATTTGTTGTATATGCTGGTGTTGTGGTAGGGGGAGGGACTATGGCAAAAGAGTTTTCTCTTTAATTTTTCTGCCAGCTTTGATGCAGTTGGTTTTGTGTTTGCCTAGGGTACAAGAGCATCTTAACTGCTCCCTTGATTTTTCGCAAAGGGACTTGATCCGTGTGCTGTTGTTAAATCAGTGCTTCCGAGACGAAAGAAGGTCTGGGGTTTCCTATTCAGCTATCTTGCTGACATCCTGAGGAGATTTCATTTTTATTAGTTGGCATGGTCTCAGGCTTGCAATAGTATTCAAACTGAAACTAGCATAGGCTAAAAAAACTAAAAAACTAGAGCAAATACCTGAAAAGTTAGTGACATGGAGTACATTTTAGGCAAGGCAAAACTTAAATGATGTAGTTCAAAGCTCTTTTTGTCCATTATTCAGGCAGATTCCCTCAAACAATGAACAAAATTACTGGTTTAGCAGTTTGAATGAAAATTCCAGCCAAACAGTCCTGGAAAAGACTGATTGTCCTGGCTTAGGTCATATGCCTTTCTCTGAGCCATTGACAGTTTCCAGAAAAATGTAGTACTCTGAAGATCATGCCCACATGTGCTCCGCTGCATGGCTAATATTGATTTCAATAAGGTAATGGAATGCAATCCCCTCAGGAAGTGGGAATCTGTTTCCATGAGCTAGGAGAACATGCAGACAGCAAAAACAATAGATTTTCTCTCCCTGTCCTACTCATGAAGAAAAGTTTTCGGAAACAAAGCTTAAGAAATTATTAATCATAGCTTAAACCTTAACACAAAGAATAAGGGAATGGTTAATGTGATGATATATCCACATGATGAACTATTTTGAAACTGATAAATGTTATTTATAAGTGATTTATTTACATGAAAAATTTGTTATAATGTTAAATGACAAAATAAGGACACAACTCTCTAGTGCCCTATTTATTTGATCATAACTATAAAAAGTTTGTAAAACACATAGAAAAAATCTAGGAATATTACAATACGAACAACAGATCTTTGGGGATGATAAAATAATTTTTTCCTCTTTTTTGTATTTTTAAATTTTTATATAATGAGAAGGGATTTCATATTTTGAAAATAATCACAATTTTATTTGAAATAGTAACAGAAAGCCTCATCTTTGCTAGCATTTATATTTGTGGGTAGGTCTTACAATGAGGACATCAGAAGCAGAGGAGAAAGTATGGGTATACTAGCTGTGTAAGATCAGAGATTTAAATGGACAAATTGTGCTTTAACCAAGTGGATAGAGTTTTCATTTATTTTGAGGCACTTGGAACAGTTCGGATACATGACACTGAGATGCCTTCCTTAATTTTCTCCAAAAGTCTTGTAGGGCATATTGGCACCTTGCTTAAGAATCTGAGAAGTGTTCACTGTGAAATAGCCTACAGTCAAGTTTTACTAAAGCTAGAAAAGGATGCTTTTGTTCATTAACTTAACAGGGCTCACATAGGGCCTAAAACTTCAATAAAGCCAAGAAATAAATGAGACTGTGAAACAGAACCCCATGAACACTATCTGTTGATTACCTGTATTAAATAAAGTAGGGTTTCTTTTAACTGTACCTGTCTCTAAGAAAAGTTGGAACTGATGATTCTCAGGGTATGTGAGACCTATAGTAATTTCAGAAAACGCTGTCCATCTGGACTCTTGCTGTAACTGTTCTTGCTACTTTAATTTAAAAATCTTATGTTGATCTATTTACTTATTATAACTAGCAGTTACATTTCAGTTTTAATTTTTAACATTTTAATTACACCACTGTCACCGTATTGCCTCCCACATTTTCTCTGTTCTTCATGGGCAAGCTAACATGGCCAGCTGCTGTTAACAGGCCATGGATTTCCTTGCACAGTACCATCGAAATATTAAAGAGGCAAATACTTATCAAAACATAAGCTAACTTGGTGAAAGAGTAGAATCCACAATCTTAAAACCCTAACTTAGAAGGTTATTAGAGTTACAAGTTCATTTCCTTATGTGTTTTCTAATCATCCACTATGGCCATACTAGATATGGTGACTAAGTTCGAAGAATTAGTCATGGTCCCTGCTTTTAAGGAGCTTAAAACGTTGTTGCAGGCATGAACAAGTAAACCACTGTTATGAGGTTAAATATAAATATTGTGTATGTATATGAATGTATACATGCACGAGGACAGTAAGATAAAATTTGTCAATCAAGTAGAAAAGAAAAAAATTTTCATTCATATTTGCAGCATGAACAGCTTAGAGAATTTCAGGCTGAGAGTTTTTTTTTCCTTTTCTTTTTTTGCCAAAAAGTCATGTGTTTATGAAAGTGCACTCAGGGACAGTGAAAAGTCCAGCATGCCTGCAGCCTAAGTGTGTGAGGAAGAAAGCAGGTTGTAAGCATATTATTAAAAGCCCTGGCTACCATGCTAGGGACTGAACATTATTTTGTAGACTAACAGGAGCCAGTAGGGTATTAAAGCAGCAGAGTGTGGCATGAATAGGTCTGGGCTATCATAAGGTAAAGTTTGTGACAGTAGAAATGATGGATTTAAAGGGTGAGAAACTATAAACAAAGAAACTAGTCGGATGCAATAATTCACATGAGGAAAGGAAATAAGGTAATGGCAGCAGATATAAAAGAAGGGCACATAATTTAAAGACAATCCAGAGTTACAACAAACACTGTAATAACAGGTAAATATCAGATTTCTCTGCGTCCACCAGTGTATTAAGGACTCCATGCACATTTATCTCATTAAATCTTCCTTAACAGCCCTGTGAGGTGCGTTCTGCTTACTATGTCTGTTTTACAGATAAGGGAAGGGATGGGAATTCGGTAGCTTGCTGAAGATCACATAGCTGGTAATTGCAGAGCTGGGCCTGAACCTAGATCTAACTAATTCCAGAGCATGACAAATCTCTAAGATAAACAGCCTTCAACATGACTATGTGACCAGGCAATTTCTGACCTCAGTGACTTAAGAATGAGGATCTGATTGACTGAGGAAATGAATATATAAAGGAAAGCAAGTTCTGATAAAAAAAAATTAGTGTTGGACATATTTACTTTGAATATTGAAAATACATGTATGTTCCGTAGAAAGTTGAGAGTTTCATTTACAGCCGAGTTACTTTCATGGGGATTGTTGTAGAAACCACAGCCAAAAGTACATTGCCAAGGTAAAAAGTCTACAACTAGATGCCAGCGGAGCTGGGGGCAGACACCTAAGGAATTACTTTGTTCAAGGAGTGCACAAAGGATGATGTCTTAGAAGAGGAGAAAGGAGAGGAGCTTTCAGAGGTCCAGCTAACGACCCTGGAGAATGCAGGGTTAAGGAAGCCAAGGAAGATGAGAGTTTTGAAAAAGAGACATTGAAAACGATTTCCAAAAGCATAGTTTCAGATATCAAAGAGCAATCACGTTGGAGGAGAACTGGGAAATGTTTGCTGGATTTGGCCCTCAGGAGATCGCTGTTGACATTGAAGCAAGATGGTTTAGGGAACGAAAGGGGTCTGAAGTCAGATCACTGTGAGGTGCACTGCAGAGGGCAGGTGTGGAGGAAGAGCAGATTCCTCTAACAAAATTCACTCTGTCCTGGTGAACGTGTCTATCTCTTCCCCAAATTCCACAGTGGAAATATTATAGTGTTACATAGCAATAGCTACACTTGCACAAGAATACTCAACCTTCTCCTAGGGTAAAAAAATGCTTTGCTCCTTTAAATCTCCGTTACAAGCCTAAAAGAGCCTCTCAGTCACGTAGTTAAAAGACAAAACTTTCTCCTCACTCCTGATGTTTTCTTCCTATGGAGGGTATTCAATTAGTGTAACGTACTCCGCACTTCTTCCTGCACTTTCCCTAAATCAAACACAACCACATTGGAGTATCTTTTCTAGTTGGTAAGTTTGGGAAGATAAATGGGGCGTGTTCAGCTCAGCTGCTTTCCATTCATCTCCTTGGTGCTCAGCCTTTGGCAGAAAGAGCACAGTCACTACTGCTTTCTGCAGGCAGGTCCGCCATCATTAGGGGGACCTGCAAATTTGAGGGATTACCTTAAAGGAAACAACATTTGGTGTATTTTGATGGGAATACTGCCAAATAAGATGCAATGAGCAAAGCTGAGGAGAAAAAGAAAATAACACATGGAGAGACTTTTAATTGGGGCAAAGACATGTGGTTTGGAGTCTTCATCGGGTTTTGGAGCAGAATATTTTGAAGTTTGTTATGGCATATACTGAACCAGCTTTTAAATATCATGGCAAGGGCCAGCACCTTTAAGACGCAGGGCACACAATATTCTGATCTGGATCTATGAATATAGATTACGGTGTATTTCTCTATGACAAAATATTTCTCTATGACTTACGGAGCTAAGTCTAGAAGGTCCTTGACAAAGATGCTCAAGGCAGTGAAAGCCTTTCACAGGCACAGGCAGCCTGGAGCTTGTTGCTTCCTGACCCTGAAATACAGTTGCATATGTTATGTGGACAGCAAAAACCACAACAGATGTCAGTGGCTGCAGAGGTCTTAGAGCTCAAGGGCAGCTGAGGCAAGAATTAAACTATAAAGAGAACAAGTTTTTCTGTACAATTGTAGAACTTGATATCGTTGTTTTTAAACTACAAGGCTTTAAACTACAAGGCAGCTGGGTTTCGTGTGTGCTCTGTGCTACTTCTGACATTCTGTCTTTAAATGGTTAGTGTCAGGCTTGGGTAGGCAGCAATAGATCAGCAATTAACAGCCCCTGATTACTCTCTCTATTTGGGGCCAAGAAAATGATGGTGAATTTATGAGGCTCATTCAGAGACTCAAGTGGAAACTGCTCAAAAGAAATACTAGATGTGTTTCAAGGTGATACAGTTATTGTAGGGGGACTTTCATTGGTTTCCTTTATTATGAAGGAAACTGACTGAGAAACTGTAGAATTCACAAGCAGTGAAGAGACAGTGCCCTGAGGAGCACACGGAAGGGACCTTGGGCCACATCACAGCCCAAGGAACACTGGCTTCAGAACCACCTATGCTAGTTTCATCTCAGGAATATGTTGCAAAAGTTTTTCCGGTTGAAACAGATATGGAGACAAGATAGAAACCATCACTAAAAAGCAAATTTCTTAGGTCTAAGCAGTTCTCTAATAAGAGGCAGTGGAATTAGCTATGATGGCACGGGAATAAAAATGCCTTTCTACAAGATACGAGGTAGCTATGTGACCCAACAGAGCTCGTTGCCTATACAGAGCAGAAGTACCCAGAACACAGAGGTCCCAGAGGAGATGGACACTAAAAGCTGTGCGTGGGCAGATTTTTCTCTAAGAGATGGTAGTGAACTGTACTAAACTTTTTGCTGAAGATTTCCCTCTATTAAATTTAAATGATCAAATCATAGATTCTGCTTAATTTGTACCAACCAACCAGTGGCATCCTGGTGAGGGTAAAAATTACGATTTTTTTTGCCATCACCTCTTTTGGAAGCCAGTCCCTAAGATGGTCCCCAGGGTTCCTTGCCTCTAGGTATTTAAGCCCTTGTGTAATGCTTTCCATTGAAGGTATCATGGGACTTAGTGACGCATTCCTAAGAAATAGAGGAAGGCAGAAGAAATGGTGTATGACTCAGAAACTAGGACATAAATGACAGCGTGACATCACTGTTTTGCTTTCCTTCTCTCTCAAATCACTGCTATGAGGGAAGCCAGCTGCCATGCCATGAGGAGTCAAGAGTCTCATGTGTTAAGGAACTGAGGTCTCTCTCCAATGGTGAAAAACTGTAGGCTGCCTACATGGGTAAGGGTGGGAATGAACCTTACCGGTGTCAGATGACTACAGCCCTTGAGGACAACTGGACTGCGATCCCAGGAGGGACCCTGAACGAGAACCAACCAGAAAAAAAATGTGCTCCCCAATTCCTAAAATACAGAAAATGCAAGAGAATATATGCTTGTTTTATTAAGCTAAGAAATTTTGGGGTGCTGCGTCACACAGCAGTAGAGAATTAATATGCCTTCTTTTACTTAGAAATATAACTGAGCTTTTACTACAGTTTCAGTCAATATTAAATAACAGCTTCAGGAATTTTCACCTGGGAAATTGTCCTAAACCCTTTTTTGTAAAGTTGGTATATGTGGGGAGAGTGTCGTTATAATCTCCTGTGTCCCGTTAATTCTTTGGATTCTAAAAAGAGACTTATCAGATACCTGTGTTAAAATAATAAAATGTATGAGGTCCTAAAGAAATATCAGCCATTCTTATGCATCTAAATAATTGAGAAAACCTCTAGTATAGACTAAGCAGAATTTTCTAAAAATGAGAATTTCTTTAATTTCTAACTTTTAACTCATATTTTCTAAAAATGAATTTTAAACATTAATTTCCTTTAAATGTTAATAGGCATAGCCTTTACTTTCTCCCTCTGAATCTGACAGCAGAAGAGGGCTTCTATGAAAGTTTTCTGGCATTTTAGTATTATAGAATTTATGTATTTTATTCTATTCATTAATGTCATTAAATCTTATTACAGGATCAATGACATGTTACACAGGAAAACATGCTTGGACATAATTTGGGATGGGAAAGGGAATAGGTAGTAAATTTGGAAGCTTAAGTAAAGTAGCCCTGGAGTAAATTTAATTAATGGAGTAGAAGACTCATTTCAGAGTCTTCGTGGGGCAACATGTGTCTTTCCCATGAGAGGTTCCAAGAGTCTCCTAAAGGGCTAGTTTTTCATCCTTGCAGGGAGGCAAGCAATCCCCCTGTGCGTGTGGTAGGCAGTCTGTCCTGGACTGCTGATCTCCCACACAGGGAGATCTAACCAGAGGCTTGGAAGCTACACCCAGCGAGGTACAAGAGAATGTGAGAAAGAGATCTGAAATTTTCTTCTTCTGAAGGCAGTTCTATTGCTGTAAAACCCACCCTTTCTTCACCCCTTTACTCTGCTCTCTGGGAGTGAGGTGATTTATCTGATGGACACGTTTCAAAAAAAAGAGCCGGGTACCATTTTCTTTGTGAGAGCTCTTGGCTCTGGGGTATAGACTTTCCCTGTTGTTCTTGGGAGCAGGCTGCTCCCAACACTGGTGGCTGTCAGTGCCTTGACCAGGTAAGTTAAGTCTGACTAATTCTGTGGTTTATTTACCAAACCTCTTTGGCCCTCACAACTTGGCCTTTATCAGTTAAAACAACAATATTTTCTGTTTTCCATATACCTTACCCTTCATCTTATTTCTCAACTTGTTTAGGACCTGCACAAGAACAGGTGTGTTACATCCCAGGGGAACCAATACTTCTATCAAAAATCAAGTAACAGCAAGGATTTAGTCTGAAGTATCCAAAGGAAATCATACAAAATTTTTCCTTTTAATTGTACACTTTTGTCATGAATAATTCGATATGTGATTCAGTGTTGATAAGATGCCGCCTTGGGATATATATTTTCTTGGTTAATGGAACAACAAATAACATGAGAAAAGGTATAATTAATAAGCAAATGCATCCTGGGCTCAAAAAATTGAGTCTTTGTAGCCAAGCAGATATGGATTCTAATCCCAAGTCTAGCAAATCACTTAACTTCATTGGGGGCTGTTTCTTCATTCGTTTCTTCACCTTCATTTGTATAATTAGGAGTAGCAGCAACGATGGAGGGCTAATGTATGGATCAAGTGGGATAACGCAGGCAAGGTGAAGCACAGCATCTGATATCAGTGGGAACCCAGTGTACAGAAACTGTTAATATTGGGTCCTAAAGTCTATTTTGTTTTACTGTGTAATAGTTGATTAGGTGTAGAATTTCACACTATGTTTTACCCAGAAGATAGCTACATCATAAAGAAATTTCCTTAAGATATTTTTATTCCCATGAACAATTTTTCTGTCAAGCTTGCAATTAGTGAGTATATTACTTTAGGCAAGTGTCGGGTCATCTTCTTGCCTACTTTAAATTCAGAATGTGCCATTTTAAGGTAATTCAAACGTCTTGTCAGCTTTCACTAATTAATTTGTATGAATTTTGGATCTAGGGGCAAGGTGAAGTCAAGGAATAAAGGTCCCTGTGGACACTGTTGTTTAAAAAAAAGAAAAACCTCAACATTCTTATTAGATTTGCTTGTAGAATGTCCATGGTACAATTTAATAAATTCTGGTTTTATCGCCTTAGAAAAAAGTTTCTTATATCAGTCCTTAAGGAATTATTTTGGACTCTCTTTCTTGGTTAAATTATCCCGTTAACTGAAGTGTCCACTGTTGAGGGACTCAGTTTTGCAAATAGAACTTCAATAACTTTAAGTGTCTGCAATGGATCTTTCTCCGAGCATTTAGCTGTCCTCCTGCCAAGCTGTAAAAGATCCTTACCCCATATCATATGCTCCAGGGGATTATTTTAAGCTCAACTTTCCAAACTGGCTCACAGATACTCTGTAAGAAACTTTACTTGGGCTTCTGTGTGTGCCCTGTCTAATTTTATAGACTTACCTTTTCAGACATTTCCTAGCTTCCAGCCTATGCTCCTTTTTCCCTCAGATCTCTGTTTCTCTTTGTTCTGGGCCCCAAATCCTCAGGCAACACCAATCACTTCCAAGACTAGTTACAGTTCCCTGGGACCACACTCAATGTGGATGGAGAACTGCTTGTAGAAACCATAAAAGCAGTTACTAATGAAAAAAAGATTGTGTTTCTATCAACATAATTTCAGTATAGTACACTTAAAAATGACAATAGTATTCAAACATAGATTCTATTTTAATGGAGTAGCTTGTATTTGTATATTTTTTAATTTCAAAAAATTATTGTTATGTGGTATATAACAATAATTACGTCTATAACTTTAGGAGATGAACATTCTCTTTTCAAGAAGGAAAATCAAAAAAAGGTTAAACCTTAAACAGAATGTTTAAAAGGAAGCATACCTGAGTGCTATAATTTTAAGGCATTTCTTACATTCAGTTCACTATAACACAGACAAATTCAATACTTCCCTAGCAAAATTAACGAAATGTGTTTGGACACTGAGAACAACTCATTGCCAGAGATAAACTTACTCATTGGTAGGAACTGGCTATGCAATTATACCTAATATTTAAAGGAAGCATTTATTAACAGAGCTGAGAATACTGAAACTTCAGTTTAAATTTCATTTAATAGCTAAAATAAGATATGGTTATAAATGTTAATATGAAGGGTATGCTAATCATCCAAGTTCTGTTTTCTTTTCTTTTCTTTTCTTTTTTTTTTTTTTTTTGGACATACCAGGTGACCCAAACAATAGGAATAGTAGATTGCTTACAGAGACAGGGTGGTTAAGGTGAGGAGGAGTCCTGGATCCAGTTTATATTTCTATTTACTAACTATGTGACCAGAAGCAAACGGCAACTTCTCAGTTTTCTCATTACTAAAAGAGAATTAAAAATAATTTCTATCTTGTTAGGTTGCTGTGAAAATTAACAAAGAAAATGCGCAACGTAATTCGTACAATAGCTGGGCTATAGAAACAGGGCTCCGTAAACATTAGCTCTTATCATCAGAGAAAAGGAATGAATACGTATTCAATAAAAGTTTCTGATATAGACATTCTGATCTAACTGTCTAATATACTCATGTATTGGCTATATTAAAAGAATTTTTTCTCAGTTTAATATCCATTTAACACAGTTAGTCTACAAGCTCAAACATGTACAGTGAATTCTTTCTGACATTTTATTTAACGTTACATTCCTTGGGCTACACAGCAGGTTTTTAATCTCACAGAGATCTTCTTTTCTCAATCACCTTAAAATACTTACTGAAACTAGAATAAAGAAACTAATGTAGCAACCCTAACATGCTTTAGATCAAGGATTTCACTCCACACAATATGGGAAAAATTTTTTTATCAGACCATGTTCTACCTAAGGTAAAGTTGGAAGCACATTGATTTATTTTGGAGCAGTCCGAACAGTTTCTTTGATAATAAATTCAATCTGCGCTCAACTTTTTAAACAGTAATCAATGACACTATCATTGTTTCACTAGTACTTTACAAATATTTTAATTCTAACCACTTTTTAGTGTTCAAGATCTTGGGCCCCACAGGAAAAAAAAATTTGTTTTATGTTTTGGGGTGTGTGTATGTGTGTGTGTATTGTTTTGTTGTTTTTCTTTGCTTTTATTTCAAACAACTACTCTTTCTTCCCTGTGAAATAGACATCTCATTTTAATTTTAGTATTTCTCTTATCTTCATTCAGGAATTCTTTAATTTCATTAAAGAAGTCCTTTTATATACTCTCCTTTTAATTTTTAAGTAATCAAAACCCACCACTCTTGTCAACCTACCAGAAGATTCATTCATTAGTCTTTTCTCTCAATTCCAAGTAAATGTGAATTACCTTGTGAAGTATTGTCACTGTCACTGTAATCTATTACCACTTTAGAAGTGAATCATTTCCTTTTAGGTTTCCTCTCTATGTTCCTCTTCAATCTACCAGCAGAGAATAATTACCATCACTTTATATTTCTGGAGTGCTTTATTTAAATCTCTAAATAAGCTCCTAATACCTATGATCTAGTATTACAATTATTGAATCCAAGCTCCTAGCACATGGTTTGAACATAATAAGCATTTATTTAATGTTAATTGAATTGAATTGCCTCTTTGAAATGATTATTAGTGATTCAGCCACTTACATTTCTTGGCCAACATTGTGCCAACCACTCTGACGCATAACAGTGGTGCTCCCACAGTGGACTTGCAGGCGTCAACAAAACAGGAATGTTCATTGACCTCACATAGCTGAGTGGGCTTCTACTCTATGCCTGTCTTTATTCAAAGTATTATTGCAATTTTGATAAGTGACTTAAATAATTAAAAGAATTATATCAGGGATTATACAGTCCAATTTTGCTTCTGCCAAAAATATTCCACTCTATTTCTTTTTTTTTTTTTTTTTTTGAGACAGAGTCTCACTCTGTTGCCAGGCTGGAGTGTAGCAGCACGATCTCGGCTTATTGCAACCTCCACCTCACAGGTTCAAGCGATTATCCTGCCTCAGCCTCCCGAGTAGCTGGGATTACAGGTACCCACCACTAGGCCCAGCTAATTTTTTGTATTTTTAGTAGAGAGGGGGTTTCACCATGTTGGCCAGGCTGGTCTTGAACTCCTGACCTCGTGATTTGCCCACCTCGGCCTCCCAAAGTGCTGGGATTACAGGCGTGAGCCACTGCGCCCGACCGTCCCACTCTATTTCTGGTCTTTTTTTGTAGCTAAGACTGGTAGTATGGTACAATTCTAGATAGGAAATATAAGTTGATAGATGCAGGGGAGAGTCTATACATTCTTGAAAACAAAATTAGTTATTAATGATACCATTTCTTTACTCCATCACCAGGCTTGAACAAAGATGTGATACCTGGAGCTGTGGCAGATAATCTGGTAAAGTGGAGGAAAGGAGACAAAACTCTCAGGGCAGCTGGCCCTGTTAGCTGGAGTGCTGAACCGATGCCAAGGCTGACCAGCCCCTGACTTCTAGTTATGCTACAAAACTAAACCCTTGCATCTTTATGCTGCTCTTTCTTGAAGCTCATTCTTCCATTCTTCTTTCACAGAAGGGCACTCTTTTCCTGTTTTCTTTTTTTTTTTTTTTTTAAAAAAAAAAAAAAAAAAAAGAAAGAAAAAAAGAAAAGAAAAGAAAAGAAAAGAAAAAAGTGACTCAGAGCAGCTAATGTGCCCAAGGCCAAGCATTTGTTATATGGTGTCAGCAAAGCTTAAGAAATGCAGTTTGACTTCTCCATAAACCTCTATTCAAGTGTTCTAGATGATAAGACTGATACTCTGAACACTATGTATACATGTCTACCCATTGTAATTTTTGTAGGCAATGGATGTCATAATCACTCTTACTATTCAGTCTTACCTTTAAATCTTTCACTTGTAATGTTATTATATTTTATTTCTTGCTAACTTTTAAAATAATGTGGCTAAGCAATGAGTATTAGAAATGAATTTCTTTCACTTTGCATATTGTTTGTCCTAGTTAAAATAAAGGCAAAGTGGAAACCTGACCCATTAATGGAAAATCATGATGCTTGTTCTGGAAACTTCCCTTTCAAATAGCAAAAACCAATGTCTTAAAACAAAGGGTGGACATAACTCCGTAGATAAGGCCTTGCTATACAAAATGCTGTGCACTAATTTATCTGCAGCCAAAATGTTGGTTTTCACTCTTGAAAATGCTGCCCCAAATTCCAGTCATCTGAAAAACAATTAACCTGTCAAGTTTAAAGTTTTCATTCATAATTTGGACTGTATCCTGCCATTGATATTTATTTTAATCTTCTATTGATTTCTGTGGGAATTCTTCATGTAGAATGAAGGCAGGATATAGCCCTAAAGGAATTTCTGTAAGAAGGTTCCCACTTTCATCTCTTTGTGTTTGATTTTTATTAAGTTTAGGACATGACGTTTTACAGCTAAAAATAGCTCTACAGTCTAAAACTGTGACAAAGTCTTCTATTTTTTTTTTTTTTTTTTTTGCATTCAGGCTGAAAGGTCAATGAGAATGGTAAAGTCTCACAGAGAAGAATTATATTATAAATGATTTTTAACCCTATGTTTTTGTTGCCTTTTCTATAAAAAGGAAAGTCATTTTATTACTAAAAAAAAGTCTTTTTTACTTCCCCAAATGCCTGTGTACCAGGAAATTCATTTAAAAAAAAATGCCCATTCAAACCATGTTTAAAGTATCTTTTAAGGCACCAGATATCATATAATACAGTCGTTTAAAATTATAGTAATGATGACTATGGAATTCTGTGGATCTTGGAAAATTCTTTGGGAGGCTGTTAAGTTTAAAAAGGCAAAACTGAAAATAATGTATACAAATATTTTTCTACTGGGGAAGAATTGTCCTGACTCCATTCTTAGAAACTGCCTCATCATTCTGTTTCATTACCAGGCCACCCTTTTTCAGGATGACCTCAGGTGATGACTGAGCAAGGCTGAGGTACAAACTCTTCTCTATTTCTTCCCAACTCAGAACCTCTCTAACAGGTCGACCTTGCCCTGGAGCTCCTCATTGGTCTGGCAAACATTTTGTCCTATCTGCCTCATAGGCTAACAGTTCCTTCCACACAATCCTGCTTCCTTCCTTTTCCTTTCACAAAAATCCTTTTTCAGTTTTTTATCCCTGGCCCAGTATCTGTTTCCCAGAGAACACAACCGACACCAATAGTAGTCTGAGAAATTAGGCAGTAAAGATGCGGTTCCAGGACTGAATTGCTGGCCACTCCACTGATAATGAAGACATCATTCCATGTGGTACGTGAGTCATGAATAGTCAGTCTCTGGCACAAGGAGGCAGAGTCATTTCTAGCCATTCACTAGTAGCCACTTGGGAAACTATTCTTATAGAAGGAAACACTTTGGTGTTTCTAAAAGTACAGAAACAATGCATAGAGAGTGGAACTGGCTTGCTGTCATTAAGTCATAACAATGCTCTTCCTAATGAAAACTTAATGGCCCTTAATAAACAATTGAAATCCAAGTGTAAAGGGCAGAGTGCCTCCTTCATAGCAGAAAAGAAGTCCTTCTTCTATCATGGGAGAGCCAAAAAAATTTAAGACAAAACTTAGGTTGTAGAATTATAGTAACTAATCTTTAAAGACAACTGAAGGCTTAGCTGAAGCCAGTTTGTTCTGTCAACCTCAGGGCCCTGGTTGTGGACCCTGACACGTGCAATGCAGAAATGTTGGTAGATACCCCTTAAGATTTTGATTCCCCAGGCTCTCTCTTTTTTATTAATAAACTTTATTTTTTAGAGTAGTTTTGGACTCACAGCAAAATTGAGCAGTCACTACAAAGTTCCCATATACCAACTGTCCCCACACACAGGCAATGTCCTTCCCTATAGGGGACCCCCTGTTAAGAGTGGAAGCCTATAAGGTTCAAGTAATAAATGAAGGTGTGGACAAAATCCAGGTTACAGTGGGACTGCTTGGTCTTGCTTGGTCTTGCTTGGTCTATAGATCCCCACAATGGTCTTTTTCAAAGTTCGCAAATGTATAATTATGATTGACTTACTTGAAAATTGGGCTCTTGGCCTGTATGGTCATTGTCCCCCTCCAAATCTGGCAATTAAATAGAAAATATTATATGCCAGAAAGGATGACAGAGATTAATAACACTCTTAAAGATCTAAATAGGCTGGGCACAGTGGCTCATGCCTATAATCTCAGCACCTGGGGAGGCCGAGGCAGAAGGATCACTTGAGCTCAGTGTGGGTGACAAAGCAACACCCTGTCTGAAAAAAAAAATGTTTCTAAATAATAGAGGGTTGGTGGTGTGTCTATTATAGCTCCATTATATTTGTGAGTCTGGCCCCTGCCAGAAGTGACTAGACTTGAAGGATGATTATAGATTACTTCAGGTAGCAGGCTGATCAGCTGCCATGATAGAGGTGGTATCCTTGCTAGAGCAGATACATATGGCTGCAGCTACATGGCATTACATCTAGTTATTTATCTAGTACATACTTCTCTTTCCCCGTCAACAAAGACAATCAGAAACCACTGGTCTTCACTTAGAAAGGAAACCAATACACATTCCCAGTTTGCCCAGGGCTTTCTTAAATATCTCACTCTCAGTTGTAATATCTCAATCTCAGTTGTAATATAGTCTCCAAAGAGATCTGGACTGTCTATGCATTCCACAAAGCATCGCACTGATCCACTTTATGCATGGGATCATGCTAATCTGGCAGAATGAGCAGGAAGGCCCTGTTAAGACTATGAAGATTCCTAGACCTGCCACTTCAGGAGGGGTTTTACAGCTCCAGCTTCGAGGATATGCTGGAACTCTCCCTTCAGAGTAGAAGGCAAATTATTGCATCTTGAGTTGCCTATCACAGAGAGGAAAGCACAATTCTTGGCAGCTCTCAAGGTTATGGAGACAACACATTCCATACGCTGGGAAAACTGCTCTGACCCATCCATGCAGTGAATGAGGACTAGATCAGGAAGGTGTTCTGCAAGCATTGGAATAAACAACAGAAAGCACAGCTTAAGTGCCAGCTCGAGAGTAATAATACTCTGTGAGGATGGGAGCCCATCTTCCAGGATGCATTATGTAAAATGAATTAGAAAACTTTATATGGTACTATGGCCTCTAGTATGAAGAATACATCAATTTGGGTGCAGTAGAAGCAGGAGTAAATCATCATCATTCCTAATCATCCGTCAGGAGACTTTGTGCTTCCTGGCCCTGCAACTCTGGGTTCTGCAGGGTTACAGGTCCTGTTCCAAAAAGGACAGATTCTATTATTCTAAAAAGAACGATAGCCCTAAATAAAATAAGCATTACTAAGTGCCAGACACTACATGCACTAATCCACTGAATGCCCTAACAACATTGAGAGATATTTATTATCATTAACCTCTAGTTAATGTGGAAACAAAAACCAGAAAAGAAACTTACTGGCTGGGTGCAGTGGCTCATGTCTATAATCCCAGCACTTTGGGAGGCCAAAGTGGGAAGATTGCTTGAAGCCAGGAGTTCAAGACCAGCCTGGGCAACATAGTGAGACCCCCATCTCTACAAAAACTATTTTTTAAAAAATTAGCCAGGCATGGTAGTGCATACTTGCAGTCCTAGCTACTCAGGACGCTAAGGTAGGAGGATCACTTGAGCCCAGGAGTTCGAGGCAGCAGTGAGCTATGATTGTACCACTGCATTCCAGCTTGGGCAATAAAGTGAGACCCTGTTTCAAAAAAGGGAAGGGAAGGGAAGAGAAGAAACTTATCCAAGTTCACATATTTACTAAACATAAAACTAAACCACTATATATATCAGAATTTATAACACAATGAGTCAGATAATATTGAGTTGACATTGGACAGCTATGGTCTCGTGGTCATGTGAGATCTTTGACTTAAGCATTCACTGTTTGTTGATTCTGTTTCTTTCAAAACTAACGTGATCTTCTAAAAAATTCATTTTGAAGGGGACATACTTAGACCACAAGACCGTTATCAACCTTGTGGAAGTACAGCTTCCTGCACCCTTTGGAGCATTTGTTTTCCAGACCACGGCATCTGGGTGTCTTATCAAGGTAATAGGGACTCTGCTGTGTTTTCTGTCTACATGGTGTCATTAGCAAAGTGTCCAGTGTATTGTCCTGGGTGTTCACACATAGTTACTTGACCCTGATGAATGACAAGCGGACACAGAATTGGAGAGTTGAAATAACCCAGTGGCAAGTGAGTGAAGATGTACTACTATCTCTTACACATGAAAAACAAACTTCCCATGCTATTTCCTGCTTTGGGGGACAGATCAAAGGGCATTTTTCAAATCAATGTATACTTACCAAGGGCTATATGATTTGCTCCAATGAAAAGACTACATCTTCTACAAAACTGCAATATTGAATCTCTACTTAATTACACTTCTGCTAATCTCTTGTCATTCTCTGTGGTAACTCTGTCTTTCATCACTAGCCAAACTGAGCAATATATTAACTCACCTAACCTCACAACAGCCCTAAGAGGTAGACGATATTATCATTCAACTTTATATGGTCAAGGAACCGATGTGAATTTCTGTCTTTTGATGGAAACATCTACAGTCGATGCCCGTTATTTGTGGTAGTTCTGTTTCATAAAGTGCCAACACCAAATTATTGGAGATTGAATAATTGCTCTTAGGGAAAATATGCATGTACATATCTGACAGAGATTATAATCTTAAATTCTAGAAACAACTCATCCTGATAGATTCTGTTGTCTTTATTTTACAAAAGCAAAAACAAGGTTTAAAACTAAGAGACTTGCCTAAGACAACAGGTTACAGAGTTGGGATACAAACTTTCAACTAACTGTCCCCAGAGACATAGCTTCTCGCACCACTCTGCCCTGCCCCCCACCATCTCCACCCTCTGGTCAACTCTGTATGAGCTCAAATAAGGAAGCAGAGCATCAGCTGGTCAGACCACAGCTGGGAATGTGCGTGATGGGTGACTCAGTTTTTTGCTGCTCTGCAAATCCATGAGTGACCACGAAAATGCTGCCAGTATTGATTTCCAAGTTACAAATAAATTTTAGTGAGCAGAAAATTTGCAATACAGATCTTTGAATAGTAAGGATTGGCTGTATTTTAATTTTGCATTCAGTAACTGACAAAATAATTATGAACTAGATTGTCAACTCTTGTCAAAATTCTATTATCACATGAACCTCATTAACTCCACTCATGTTAGACCTGTAATCACTGGAGTTCTGTATCTCAGGGATTAGTAAAAAGCACGTATTGGGTAAACCACTGTCAAACAAGTAAGGGCAAAGGATCTAATAGCATATATACTAGGTCTTCTGAGACGGCATTTATTGGAGAAATGCACAGAGACAAAAGCAAGTGTATGATCATCTGTGGCCCTTTCAATTCTAGAACAATGCAGATGGACCTTTTAGGATGCAACATTTGACTCAGAGAAGCATCCTAACCTTTGGCTTTCAAGACTTTTAAGCTGCATGATTGGAGAATTGCCACCTCCTCCCCTGGGATGATCAAAAATTAGGGGTCAAGTCTTACATTTAAACTAGTAAAAGAAAGCAAATTCTTGGCCTCCAAGTTTTTCCTCTAGTTTGATCAGGGGCTTGGAATCAAGAACTTGTATCCTAAGTACACTCTCTCAGTATTCTACTGGCCTTGAATGTTTATTATAAACATGTGGCTATAGCAGTTTCTAGGGAGATTTGCAGTCACCTAGCCTGAAGGAAGAAACCTTAGGCACATTAAAACTAATCTTTTGACCATAAAGGTCTGAGTGTTTCCCTGTCCCTTTGCATAGTCATTAAAAAATAATAATAATAACCACAGAGCCCAGAGAACATTATTGGGCTGCTATTGCAATTTTTTTTCCTTATATCTGGACTTTTCTTCACTCAAAAGGCTTTGGAAATTGAATGAGGGGTTACCACTATTGCAGTGTCCAAAGCAGACCTTTATTCACCTGACTTGTCCTTTCCTAGTTATACAAATCAAGTAGGACATTAATGGGCTCACCATCTGTTTTCATCCTAGAGATCCCAAATTGTCTATCCACCATAAAAGGTCTTGCAGATCAGAACAGACCTCTCTGATTATGACAAAGTGCCTCATGTCAATTGTAACAATCACATCCATCTTGCTTTTGGTGATAGAGTGTAATCACTTGGCTTCTGTCACCCCAGGAACTTCCCTTATCCATTGAAATCAGGGAGTCATTTCAACTGCAACATCTCCTCCAGCAGCTCTAGCTCATAAACAGCCAGGAAAGATCTCTGACATGCTGGCACTTCTCTCAGCAGGATAGTTATCATGGCATTGATGAATGTTCTGTCTTCAGAGCCCTCTCTGGGTCAAAGTGAGGGTTAGGGGGAGAAGTCAACCACATATGGTAAATTTACTCCATCACATTTTATCTCCCAATATCTTTGGATTCCTTTACTGGTGTTATGCCAAAAAGCTTTTGCCTTCTCAGTTTGACTTAGCAAGAGCCACCTGAGACCATATTTTAGTCACTGAACCAAACAATTATCATTACTTCCAGCTGTTGAAGTCACATTGAACCCAGAATTCTGGCTCTCATCTAGAAAAATTCAGCCCAATTTAAAATTAAGGTGTTTTTTTCCTTTTTGCTCTAGAAAGCACAGTTATATTCCCCAGATTTTTGCTGATATGAATTAGAAAATTACTCCAATTCTTTTGGTGGGTAAGTCATATCCTACTAGTCTTGACTTGGTAAGTTCTCTCCCCCACCCCCACCCCCAGAGTATTATGAGATCTAATTTAGTTATAGATTTGGATACAAAACACTATGATGGGGTTAACAGGTTTCCCACTGAAATGTAATTCCCTCCAGCCAGTGATATTTTGAGTCTGTAAGCAAGGCAAGAACAGCTCCTTAAAAAGTGGAAAGGGGTTACTTTAGCTGACATAGAAAGTTCCCTGGAGTTAAATAACTGGGTTACTTTTAGTCCTCTATGTCATCCTAAGTAACTCCATTCCAGTTCTGGGAGTTCTGTTATTACCAACTGTTGCCCTAACTTTTTCATAAGTTTTCTGCTGAGGTTATAAAGTCATTTGATGTGGAAATCCACACTCCGCAGAAACATAAAGTACATTTGCTTTTTAGCTATTTCAATTCTGCAATTGAAAAGATGAGGATTCATTTAGCAGTCATAGGAAGCGCTTGATGTTTAGTCTGTCCAAGCTCATTGTGGTCTCTAATCTATTCAGTGTGAACAGAAGCAGCTATCTATCCCATGAACTTTAGGCTGTTCCTTGGCAGTGGCTACTCAGTCCCTTCAGCCCTTGCTATTGACTGATACCTTGGATGATATTTGATTTAGCTGTTTCCTGTGGCATGCCATGGACAGCTATACCCCCATACCTCAATACTATATGGACGCTACTGTTTCAACTCCAGATGACCAAGTCGTCTATCTCAAATACCTTCCAGTTTCCTGGGAGCTTTAACTGAACCTACTGTTAATATCAATTTCTATTCCATTAACATATTTGTGTCTAAAAGAAACAGGAACCCCTATAACATTGGTTCATGGTATCTCAAATACAAGAAAACCCATGGGGAGTACAGGCTTCAGAATCATTTAATCTCACAAAACAAAGATGTCTGTAAGGTCTGAGATGATTTGTGTTTCTTCTTCTTTACACTGTGTTGGATTCATCCTAATGTGATTTCACCTCAAGGCTCTAGGAAGGACAACAATAAACGCAGGTCAAGTGGGAGAAACAGGGTTGCTTTCCATGACTGTGTCATGAGCTAGGAATATCTCCTGGAAGCCTCTAGCAGATTTATTTATGTCTTTTTGCCATGTGAATGACTTTAAGCCTTTAATGTACATTCATAATTGTGGGTTCTGCTTAAAAATAATATTTTATATTTGAAACAACATCCTGGAGTAGGAATTTCTATCTCTTTTCTTTCTCAATTCTTTACTTTGTTATTATCACACAGCCAGTTCAGAGTAAGCCTCATTAAGGCAGGCACTTGACTTTATAATTCTTTTCATTGTGATATTTCTAGTGTTCAGTAGATACTCAATAAGTACAGATGGAATGAATGACAAAAACTACTGCTTGAGAATCTGGCCCTTTTAGCACCCAGAAATGCCAAAAGATGGATCATTGAAGCTGGTATCTGCTATCCTCTTGATTTTAGAGTATAAAACGTTCTCATTCTCTTGGTGTAATTTTTGTTAGGTTTATTTCCTTTGCCTCTTGTGATCTGAGTGGGTTGTTGGTGGCCAAGGTTTGAATGTAGATGAAAAGGAAGGAGTAAATAGAGACTACTTTTAGTCTAGACCTTATTCTGCCTCATCTGCACAAATGAAGTTACCTTGACTCTCGTGTTTTCAGCAAGTGAGAAGTCGATCCTATATGGGAGGGCTATTAAGAGAAAGACTCCAGGATGCCCCAAATCCCCTGATTCCTGCCTTGCCTGGCAACACTTCCTCCTCAAAAGGCCCTGTATACACAACTGTGGCTGAGTACAAAATATAGTATTTTTCTGTTAGCTGGGTTTTGTGCCAAAGCAGAACCCCAATGAGCTAGGTTGCATCATGTGGAAGGATTTTATTTTTCTATGGTAGTTAGATCTAAATATTCCTCAATCAGGGAAGCTGTAATGCCTGCTCTTTTTCTCCCAGAGCTCAAACCAGGTCTTGGAAATCACCATAGAATGAAATGTAAAGTCTCACCTGCCCAGATCAAAAATGGAGAATGTTTCTTTACATATAAGTCACTACCCCTAGCAAAACTGGCTTCAATTAGTACTCTGGAATCTGAACAATCCCAACCCTTGCCTTTCTTCCTTAGGGAAAAGATGAGTGTGAATAAAATAACAGGGTATCTATCTACCAGAAGCCAGCACAGCTTGGCTAACAAGATCCAAGAGCTCCACACAGGATTCGAGGCCAAAGACCCAAGATAATTAACACAATTTTTTGTATTGTTTCTTCTTTATATTTTTGTGCACTCAGAACTACTTTGGGCAACTGATAGAGAATTTAGAGGTTCAGGGTGCCAGCCAGACATCTTTTCCCTTTCTTTGTGGAGTCACATCTAATGGGAGATATAAATTCCCATTAAAATGAGTGTAAAAACACATGGTCATATATTTGGAAATAGAATGAAATAGCATAAGATAACAATTAAATGCCATGTAGTTTATCTATCTCCCTGCTTCTGAGAGAACACCCCTCAAGTCACTTTAAAAGCATTTTTACATATAATTTTTGCTACAGCTCTATCAGAAGAGGAGAGTGTTTTAGTTTAGGGTTCGACCAGAAACAGAAACTGAGAAAAGGATGAAAAGGGAAAGTTGTGGATTTGGGAGGTGATCTCAGGAAAGAACTGTAAAGCATAGAGAAATGAAACAGAAAACGGAAAGATGTTAATATAGGGCATGATAATAAAAATGTTACTTCTTCAGACCTCTGGGAGACAGTATAGAAAAGTGGAGAAAAGGGAATGCTTACACAGTCTTGGTAGATTGTAAATTAGTTAAGTCACTATGGAGAACTATATGGAGGTTCCTCAAAAAATTAAAAGCAGATCCTCAATATAATCCAGCAATCTTACTGTCGGGTATACACCCAAAGGAAATGAAATCAGTATGTTGAAAAAATATTTGTACTTTCATATTTATTGCTTCGCTATTCACAATAGCCAAGACATGGAATCAACCAAAGAGTCCAACAATGAAAACATGAATAAAGAAAATGTGGTATATATACACAATGGAACACTATTCAGCCACAGTAAATTATGAAATAATAATGAAATCCTGCCATCTGTGATAATATAGATAGAACTGAAATAAATCAGGCACTATCATACCACTTTATCTCACTTGTATATGGACTGTGAAAAAAAAATTGGTATCATAGAAACTGAGAGTAGAACAGTGGTTACCAGAGAGATGAGGGAGGAGAGGATGAAGAGAGGTTGATCAATGGGTACAAAGTTTCAATTAGATAGAATCTGGCATTCTATTGCTCAGTTGGGTAAAGATGATTAACAGTGAGGTATACTGCAACATTGCTAGAAAAGGGGCTTTTGAATGTTCTCACCACAAAGAAATGATACATTTGATTTGATCATTATATAACATAGATGTCAAAATATCAAACTGTACCCTATAAATATGTACATTATAATATAATCATTTTTAAAAAGTAATTAATTTTTAAAAGAAAGAAATGAACATAAATGATTTTATGCCAGAGATGAGGAAGCTGGATTATTTATTCCAATCTCCTATCCATCATCACCTAGGGACTGCTCCAGGGGCATCAGCTATCCAGACCTAGACACGCCAGAAAAAGCCTTTGCGCAGAAATTCTCATGAGACCATGGTAGGAAGGCTCCAAGATGTAGGTAGGAACTCCAGTAGCTCCTGCTGCAATATATAAACCACCTTTTGGTAAAGTTATCTTGGATTAACACTCTACCAGGAGAACATCTCCCTAAGATCTAACTTAAGTCCTTTTTGATAACTTTATGAGAACATCTCCCTAAGATCTAACTTAAGTCCTTTTTGATAACTTTATAAGACTCTTAAAATGAAAGTTATGTTTTTCAGTTTCATCAATAGATATAGTAACATTTCTTTATATACAGTTCTTGAAGAATATTATAAAGTCTGTCATCCTTGAAACATATATAAACTATGTAATAAGGACCATGTTTTCTCTTGCACCTATATTATTTTAAAACAGTTTTTGGAAATATGCCACGTTTCTATCCCCTTTTTTGGAAAAAAGTATTAGATAACATAAACTGAAAGTTTACTATGTTCCCAGTACTAAGTGCATCAATCTTTTTAATCACTAAATCATAACAATAATCTTGTCAAGTAGGCACTATTACTATACCTAGTTTACTGATGAGGAAAACAAGGAAATGAGGGGCTAATTCACTTGGCCTTGGCCACGGAGCAGGTAAAGCAGAGAACCCATCCAGACAGGCTGGCCTCAGAGCCTGCAATCTTATTCTCTGGGCTATACTGACAATAGATGCATAGTGCTACACAGTTTGCACCCTATTCTTTGTATCAAGTGTTCCAGTAGGAGTATCTTTTTTGTTACTCCCCAAAATTGCAAATTAGCCTTTCCGTGAATGTGGGCCACAGAGACCTGTATCTTCTGCTGACCGTGAAGCTTCAGCCCTGACACTGATTGTATTTGTGCAGCTTGGTGCACAGCAATTGACCTTTCACTTGTTCTTTTTGATCTGTATTCTGTTTATATTTGCCAAGATCGTCACCACCCAATCTCTTTCAGCTGACTTAAAAAAAAGTTACACATTAGGTCTTTCTGTTCTGTGATAAAAAATTAACAGGACTGGAGAGTCTTCTCTCACTATATTAAGTGCTCTTAGAATGCATAGTGCTGATATCTTGGCCCATTTCCTTTAGATGATAAGAGGGGTGGAACATTTACCAAATTGCTATTTCGTTCTTATGGATAAGTCCCAGGATTAGAAATGGTTTAGGGATCCACGGGAAATAAAAAGCATTATAAATCCCCACATTCAAAGAAAGATAATTGATACAAGACACAATAACATGATCTAAAAAGTTTTTGAACTATTGCATATGAAAAACTGGGACTGCATATAAAAAATCAAGGCGTCACCAATAATATATAGAGAGTTTCTCCTCAGGAATCATGTGCTCATTATATTTCATAAAATTTATTTATTTTTTTCTTGATCATATTACTTATACTATATCAAAAAACAAAATTGAATGTTTGAAAAATCAAGTTTAATTTAAAATGTATATGATCCTATCCACTAATCTATTTCTGCATTCTAATAATAAAATTTGTAAACGTTATGGGAAGTACCAGGAGTTTCAAATTTCAAATCTTTTCATGGGATGCCTTTGAAGCATTCTAAAATACTAAATACTGTCAGCATCCTTTTGTTTCCAAATGTTTTTGTTTGGCCTCCCTTTTAGACCAAAGAAGTTTATTAAAACTGATCACTCTTTTCCTTTTTTAACAAAATGAGAAAATTTTAAACATTTTAATGGTTATGGAACAGAGTAGTAGTACAGTATTTTTCCTTTTGTGACCATTTTCTAAGTATAACTGGAATCAAATTTCTGTTAATTACGGAAAAGAAAATGTGTCAAAAACAATTGCAGTTTGTCTTGGGGAGGAAATCAAGTAAAATTCTGAAAATTAGGGCAGCAACTGCATTTTCAAAATGAACAATCAAATATCTAGTCAATTTCATTCAGAAATCTTCTGAGAAACTTTCTAATACTACATACTGCTTTGATGAAACAAGTACAAGACAGCTAGGTTTACATACTAAGGTGATTGATTCTCCAAGTTGCAACCTACTGGCAGATCAATTTACACACCAGGTTTGGTTTTGACACAATTGTCTTTGGTGTAGTTCAAGTCTTCTAAATTACCAGCAATTCTTCAGCTGTTCATTAGCTATGATTCATATAATTTATGTTATCATAATTTTCCTTTGTTCTACTTCTAGTAAGTATTTTCACTATTTTCCATTTAAATTTTACCACTCATTTGAACAATTTGTTGTATTTAAAATGACAAGACCCCTAACAATGTTAGTACTAATAATGATTTCTATAAGGTAGGCAAAGTCTGGAAGAAAGTTTTACCCTCATGGGTAACTCTTCAAATCCCAAGAAGGTCAGCAAGCCAAAAAGCATTCATCAGTACATCTGGAAGGGAACAGGAACCTCCACCCACTAGTGTTTGACAGCCATGAATGAATAAATGGGCAATCAGACAAAGGAGAAACTTGCGCAGCCATCCTCGTTACAAACCCGTGAAATCCGAGAACATGACAGATTTTATAACCCTGACAAGCAAAGAACTTGAGATGTCAGTAGAAGGAAGGCAAATGAGAACAAGGATTTACTCCCTCCTCCACTTCGAGCATCCTGTAAATATTTTGGTGTAATTTTCATACAGTGTTTAGTTTGTTTCTGTACCCAGAGGACAAGAAGATATTTGGTAATATTAGATCTTGTTCATAGCAAATATCAAAACCTCAGTAATTGATTTAGAATCTAATGACATATAGAGAAAAGGCTAACTTTTATTTCCTCTTGATAATTCTTCTCAATAAAAATAAATTGACTCATCTATCTACCTGTCTGCATTGTTTAGCACTTTATTGCCACATTTTTATTAAGATTTGTTTCCAACCAACCAACATTTTTTTTAGTTGGTTTTAGGTTTTCTGGCAGTGGGAGATAGCCTCCTTTACTTTTTTTTCTGGTTTTATTTTGTAAGACATTGCATCGCTCCAAGTCAAAATAAAAAATAAACTTATTTAGAGAATTCTAGCTGCCATCCCTGCCTCTTAATCCCTGTTTTCTCCCTCCCCACATAGGTGAATATTTTTATTAGCTTTTGGATTGACTGTCTATTGTTTCTTTCTGACAATATAAGCAAGTTTACATACTCAAATATGTGTACACACAGATACATATAAATTGATTACATCGTAAGTACTATTCTGAACTCTGCTTTTTCTCATTAACAATGCATCTTGCAATTCCACATAGCAGTATATAAAGATATCCTTTATTCCATTTTATAACTGCTTAGTACACCACTGCGTGGATGCATCATAATTTATTCAGCCATTCTCACAATATAGATATTTGGGTTGTTTCTTGTATTTTGCTATTATCATTTATACTGCAAAGAATAGCCTGTGCATGTTATATTTTTCATTAATTTTCTGCCAGTTCTGACTTCTTTTAAAGAGATAAACACCAATTCACATGAAAACCATGTGATTTGCAATTTATCTATCAGAATGACCTCCACAAACCTAGTGGAAACATTTCGGGACTGGGGGAAGGGATTTCGTGTGAAGCCACAGAAGGCCTGTCCCACATGAGAAAAGTGAAAACAATGAACCAAGTGTAGGAAAGTAACCAAACTCTGCATGGTTTTCCTTGCTGGATAATAAACCCTGTGAAAAATGCATCATTGATAGCAAGCTGAACACTCTGAAGATCAAATAAGCAGTAAAAATAAGTATGCCAACACAGATGCTGAAAAGCTGTATTGTAATATGTTTTTTTTTAATTCACCTCACAGCAAAAATTGGGAAGTCAAACTGTGGTTTCTCTGATATAATGAAAACTAGATCGAGAGTATGGATTTAGGGAAGAGTGGTGATTTTTAGGACAGACTTTTAGTAAACCCATTTCATCATGTTTCATTTTTACTCAGTACCACATAAAATAGTCTTTCAAAGAAAATAACATGAACCTAGATGGTGCTGCTGGCTCTGTGTTTGGAACTCTCTAAATCTTTTGCTTTAATTTCAGGCCTTATGCATTTTAAAGGATGGAGATTTTAAAATGTTAAACGACATCTAATAACTTGGTTTTAAAAGCTTTGGAAAATGCTATAAATTGTTCTCTCCACTCCATTTCTCTGCTTCCTTTATTTTTAATGTCATGTGTTTGTCATTCAAGAGAATATACGCTTGTAAAATGGCAATAGATTACACAAGCAGGAGAGCTATGAAAAGCTGTGTAGTAATTAAACACAATTTATAGATGAGCCAATCTGCCCCATAATTTCTGTGAGTCAATACAGTGGAAAAATTATGAGCGTGGGTTTTCGAGCAGTAGTTACTGACGTCTCAAGGTGAAGACCTCCAATCACAATTTGAGTGACCTTTACCAAGTTACTTAACATTTTGGTATCTCAGTTTCCTCATCTATAAAATGAAAATAATAGTAGTGCTACCTCATGTTTGTTTTGGCAGTTAAATGCGCTAATATTTAAAGCATTTGTTCTTGGCACATAGAAAGTGCTCAATAGATTTTAGCTACTGGGATGTCTACTTTATTATTATGCATAGGCTCACATAGGAAACAGAAATTGGTAGGTTCAATTATGATCTTTATAGCTTCCCACCTTTCAGCATTTCCTGGTGGAAACAATAGTCCCCAATACCAAGGTAGGCATGTAGACGGCTAAAGACATAATGAGAAATTTCCTCAGGAAATAGTGCCAGAACATAACAATGCATTTTTGAAAAGAAAATAGGTGCTACAGACTCTTTTAAACTGTCCAACACATAAGATAGCCAAAATTACTTTGGGCCAGAAAATTATAAAACAGTGGTTTTGAATAACAAAGAAATCAAATGGAACTGCCATAATAAATTAACAATAAAAGTAGATTAAGTACCCTTCGGTAACCTTTTTTTCTACTATTTCCCTCTACACCCCCTCCTACAAACTTAACAAATTTTTCTATTACGTAATTCAGCATCAATGCACTTATAATATCATTTTATCAGTGCTCTGGTGATACTATTTTTATTTCTCATTCTTCTTTTCTGGATTAAAAGATCAATGAAAACAGAAATATTTATTTAGCTCACCAGTATTTTCTTCATTTTCTATTACCTACAGCAGTTATCAAATAAAAGACTTGATATCGACCAATGTAATTTTGGAGAATGTTTACAAAAAAGGGGCTTGGAGTTATTGAATTATTATTCAAGTATTTTTTGCTGACAATATTTAAATACTAGGATCAATTTTATTTTGTGACCCATCTGGATTTGTGATGATAAAATTGTATCATCAAAATAATGGACAACCTAATTACCTGTTCTTTGGATACACGTGGAAAATATTTAAAAAGCATCTAATAATTAATATAACTTCATAAAATAAAGGAATCAGAAAATGCTTTTTAAAAAAATAAATCAAATCTGATGTCAAATTATTAAGAGAATTTCTCTTGTCAGCTGTGACTCTTAGTGATACTAAGTAAAGAATTCTTGTTAAGCTCATGGGGTTGATACATTACATAATTTACAGAATAAAAAGGAAAATTATAGAAAATTCAAATTAAGCTGCAAACGTCCTTTTTCTGATAAATATAATCAGATAGTATTCTATAATATTAATTTCTGCACAAAATTATAGTTTAGCAGTGTTCAATAATGTGGCTATTCCTGAAGCATGTCTGCTTTTAGTGTAAAATATTAGACTAAGAAAATAAGACCTGCAATATATTATTATATATTAATGTATAGGGTATTAAATGAGACTTTTCCTGTCTTAGAATTGCATCTGAGGATAACACATGTTTAAGCACATCATAGTCTTACAAAAGATTGCTAAACCTATCTGCAAGATTTTCTTAAAAAGAGCAAAAAGTTACATAATCTATACCCTACCTCCAGGATAGGTACCATTAGCTACTTTTAGTTTCTATGCAAGAAATGGATCTGATGTGAGGAAGAGAGCTATTGATTGATTGTGTAAAGCTGCTTATTTAACCCCCTTCCCCATGTAAGGGGAGCATGAGCGAAATCACTCAGCCAGTGGATTTGCTACTGCAGGATTTGTCACGTCCCTGGGTGGATACTTGCTGAACTAGAGTAGCAAGGAGGTCTTGTGCTGTGCAGAAGCAGAGTGAGCTGTGAGTTCTTTTTTCTTTCTCTTTTTTGGTTACAGTTGTATTGAGTTGTAATTCACATATCATAAAATTCACCTATTTAGACAGTACCACTTAATGACATTTTTAGAGTTGTGCAACTATCACCACACAATTTTAGAACATGTTATCACCTCAAAAAGGAGTCGCACAACCTTTCCCTGTCACACCCCAAGCTCCCCATATCCCCAGGCTTAAGCAACCACGAATCTACTTCTGTATCTATATATTTGTCTATTCTGGACATTTCATACAAATGGCATTATATGTGGCTTTTTTGAGACTGGTTTCTTTCATTTCACTTACTGTTTTCAAAATTCATTCATATTGTAGTATGTGCTAGCACTTCATCCCTTTTTATGGCTGAATAATATTCCATTGAAGGGATATAATACATTTTGCTTCTCCATTCATTGTTGATGGACACTTGGGTTCTTTGCATCTGTTGGCTATCGTGAAATATGCTGCAATGAACATTGGCGCAAAAGTGTCTATGTGGGTACCAGTTTCCATTATTTGGGATATATACCTAGGAGTGGAAATTCTAGGTCATACAGTGGCTCCGTTTAACTTTTTGAGAACTGCCAGTGTTTTCCAAAGTGGCTGCACTGTTTTACATTCCCACGAGCACAGTATGAGGGTTCTGATTTTCTACATTCTCACTAACACTTGCGATTCTCTGAATGTTTTATTATGGTCACCAAAGGGGTGGGCAGTGGTATCTAATTACTTTGATTTACATTTCCTTGAATACTAATGATGTTGGGCATCTTTTCATGTGCTAATTATACATTTATGTATCTTATTTGAAAAATGTCTATTTAATTCTTTTGAAAAATGCATTAAGATTTTTAACTGGGGCGTCCTTGTATTATTGAGTAGTAATGGTTCTTTATATATTCTAGATGCAAGTCTTTTATGATATATACAATTTGCAAATATTTTCTCCCAATCCGTGGGTTGTCTTTTCACTTTTTTGATAGTTTTCTTTGAAGCACAAATGTTTTTAATGTTGATAAAGTACAATTTATCCAATTTTAATTTGTTGCTTATGTTTATAGTATCATAGTTAAGAATCTATCACCAATTCAGAGGTCATGATTTGTCTGTATATTTTCTTGTAAGAGTTTTATAATTTGGGCTCTTACTTTTAGATCTTTGATCCATTTTGAGTTAATTTTTCACATGGCTTAAGGTGGGGTCCAACTTCCTTCTTGGCTATCTAGTCTTCCCATCATGGTACAAGTTCTTGAGTGAACTTGAACCGTATATTCCTAAGGGTTTGAGAATAGAGTTTATTCCTGATTGCCATCTGGAAAAGTCTAAAGATAACTGTCTGGCATGAAGAACTGTGAAGTATCTGAGATTTTACCCAGTTTGCAAACTAACAGTCTAGCCCGCCTCAGCTTAATAGATTCTGGCAAAAGACAGAACACTTCTGGGTTGGTGACAAAGAACTTTATCACTTATGGAATACAAGACAGCATGATCTTCATAACCTTCATGAGTGCACCAGTTCTCAGTTCTCCATGCCCACAAATCCCACAAGGATGATGAAGAGCCAAGGAACCCAGAGCGTATAAAATCCAGTCTTTTCTAATGGGGTGCAGGCAAATAGGCCCACCCTTTTCCCTCTAGGAAGGTATCTATATTACACTGGCCAGAAGACAAATTTCTCCTCTGCTCTGGTGGGAGACACCATCTCTACCCTTCAGTGCTGTTCACCATACGAATATCCTTGGAAAGATAGTCTGAAGCAAAGATCGTTAGAGCCTCTCCTCACAACAAATGCAGGAACACATGAGACTCGAGGACAGTTGTCTCCCAACAGCTGAATGGTGTTGTCCCTCATGCAGGAGGAGGTGTCAAAAGCTGAGAAGTCAAAAAATGTTTAATTTTGATTGTCAGGATCAAGACAAAGCAGACATTGAATATGTTTAGCATGAAGTTGATTTTCCTAAGTGGTAGGAGTTGTATCATTTCCAATTCCTGCATTAAAGATACAAAGCTTCCCAAAGATGGCCTGTTCCCCAGTTTCCAATAGGAGATATGAGAAAATGGAAGATTGTAGCAGCAGTTTTATTTTCAAGCCAATATAAAAGGATCTTTTTCTACCAAAATATTTCTTTGATAAACAATTTAAAGCTTCATTCTACAAGATTTGAAACATCAACAGGCAATTTTCTTAGTTGAGTTTTTTGGATTTGAGTTATCTCTCTGAGAGACAGAAAGGAAATCTCTTATTTTTATTATTTTTAGAGACTAGGTCTCACTCTGTCACCCAGGCTGGAGTGCAATCATAGCTCACTGCTCCCTCGAACTCCTGGGCTCAAGCGATCCTCCCACCCCTGCCTCCCAAGTGACTAGTACTGCAGGTGCATGCCACCACACTCAGCTAATTTTTTTAAAATTTTTTGTTGACACAGGATGTTGCTATGTTGCCCAAGCTGGTCTCAAACTCCTTGCTTCAAGCAATTTTCCTGCCTTAATCTGTCAAAGTGCTGGGATTACAGGCCTGAGCCACTGGGGAAATCTTTGAAAGAAGGATAATGATATGGAAACCCATTTTGAGATGCAGAACAGCTCGAGAAAGCCATGGGTGATATGAGGGCCCTGGGCACTAAAGGGCCAAGGGAAGAGAGGAAACAGGGAGAGACCCACTGCAAACCAGGCAAGATTTTGTTGTTTGTTTGTTTGTTTGTTGCTACCTCTTGGCCTTTCCTTTTCTTTTTCCAAAGACTACAGTGAGCAATTCCATCCCAAGCAAGAGCAGTTACTCAGTTTTGTTTTCAGGTCCTTACCAAAAAGTGATGAAAATGAAAAGTTTAGTCCATATAGACGTTGTGGCGCCAGTCCTTTATCTACACCCGTAAGGTGGCTTGTTAGTGATGCTAAACTGGTTTTCCATGAACCTGAAAAAGAAACATTATCACTGGAGTTTATAGAAAACTTTTCAGAATTAACTGTTTCATAGCAGACCTCTGTCTGAGGCTAATTTATAGTATGCCCAAGTGTGCACACACACACACACACTGGAAGACCCTAAGCTCCTTTCATCTGGCCTCCATGAAAAGTGTTGTTTCTTTCAGATGTGATTCCTTCATCAGCAACCCCTATTTTTTGAAACAAAACAGCTTTTTACTTGTTACAGCTCATGCCTTTCTTGTCACGTATACTAAGTCTAGGATAATCCTGCTTGCTGTCTCTTTTTGTGTGTCTTACATGAGGACAATTGCTGCGAATGTGAGGTGTAGCCTCAGGTCTCACACTTGGACAAACACCAAGACCACAGGAACAAGCAAGATGCAGGACAGAATTCCTCAAATACTTCCTTCTGAAAAAGAGAAGGTAAAAAGAAAAGGAGAATAGAAAAAATGTAAAGGAAAATGTATGGTGTTTCGAGGGAAGGAGGAATATATGTTAATGGCAGAAGGAAATTTGCTAGTAATCGAGGAATTATATTTCACATTTCATATTTGTATACAGAGTTCATGATAGATGCAACTGCAAAATTTAATAAAAGAGGTAACTTGATTCATGCACTCAGAGTTCCTAATCTAGTTGAAAAGCAAGCTTTGTTTTTATTTATTTATTTATTTATTTAGAAAAGGGTCTCACTCTGTCGCCCAGGCTGGTCTTGAACTTGACTCAAGCAAACCTCCCACCTCAGTCTCAAGTAGATGGGACTATAGGAATGAGCCACCATGCCCAGCTGAAAGGCAAACTTTTGATACACGCAATTTCCATAAATAGACTCAAATCACCGAGAATCAAACCCACAAGTTCTGTTGAAAGAAAATAGGGTCAGACACCTTTAATCAAATAAATATTTTTGAAAAATATACACTTCACATGGCTCCAGAAAAGCATGAAATTGGAATCTGAATTTAGAAATGAATTGGAAACAATTTCAAGTGGTAGGAAATTCCTAAGTGCAGAAAAGCTCTGACTTAAGAGTACCCCTCTGACTTTCATCATCTCTGTTTCCCTCTAATTGTTCCCTAAATAGCTGTGCATACCTGACAATACCACCTGGCTGTTCAGGGATTACAAGCAAAATGCAATCATTTCCTCCCTTATAAGTGTATTCACAGAATTTTAGATAATTTTTGCTTAATATGTTATATGTCTCAACTTCCGCTTCTGCTTTTTATGTGGTCTTCTGAAGACAATTTGTCTTTTAGGTGAACCTAATGGAAGAATTACAGCATGGGGCCAGGCTGATAGGAACTGTGTCTCAGAAGGCAGGATGGAGTACATCTCCCATTTCACCTCTTCTACCTGTGTGTGGTCAACCTCTGAGGTTATGATTGTACATAAATGGGATCAGGCAATTATAACAACATGTGCTTATTGAAAATCAAAGCCAACCATTAAGTAAATATTAGTAGAAATGTTAACAAATCATTCTATGAAAAATGGAGAAAACAAACAGTCAAAATTTAGATGATCTCACCTTTTTTCCAACATGTTTAAAATGTATCTTATTGGAATATTATAGTTTAAATTGTAACAACCATGAATATTAGATAACAATGACCATTTCTCTTGGGACACTGAGGGTGTCTTCTGTTATCACTCTCATGTTAACAAAAGCATAATTTCAACTTTCATCATGATGAAAAAACAAAGCTAAGACAACCCTAGCTCCCAGATCCGTAATGGACCTTTGAATTAACTTAATAATCAAGTCACAAAAATTTACCCTTATAGAAAGCCAAGTCTTCTTAGCATTACAATTCAATTTTGCCTGCTTTGTTCTTCATTTAAGTGGAGTTTACTTTTTGACATTTTACCCTCAAAACTTTCTTTAGGGAAATTGTTTTGCTGATATTGTATACGCTGTTATTGTCACTACAGGAATATACTACATAGATATAAATCATCATCCTATGCAAACATTACTTACACTCAGCTCTGTCAAGAGAAGAGTTCCCAAGTCAAATACTTCAATAGTAGCAGGTAAGAGTTGATTAAATGTGTAGTAGAAGTAGTAAATTTGTACCTATCCTCCTGATATAACCTCACTGGCTAAACTCATCTCACTGATGAGAGAGGGGGAATCACAACTCCCAGTGGACACATTCTCTGAGCGTCAAATATCCATTATAATTTGGAATCATGTTTTCAAGCAATGTATATTAGAAAAAAACATTCACCTACATTTTCAGGATATCCATACCTAGATTAGTTTTTCTTTCAAGTCCACTATATTATACAATCAAAATCAAAATCAAATTAGGATTCAATCTATTTTTAGTTAAAGATGTTTACAATGTGTTCATGAAGATATTGGTCTTTCTATTGTTATGTCTTGATCAGGTTTAATATTAGAGTTATGTTGGGCTCCATGCAATCAACTGGTGAATGTTCTCTTTTCCTCTGTTTTCTCAAAAGTTTATGTACTATGGGTATTGTTTTCTTCTAGCATGTTTAATAGAATTCACCAGTCAGTGAAGCTATCATGGCCTGAAGTTCATTGTGGAACTGTTTTTATTTATGAATTCAATTGATTTCATGGATATAGGCTTTCTCTGATTTTTCATTTCTTTATGTCACAATTTTGTCTTTCAAAGAATTTGTCAATGTTTTCTAAGTCATCATATTTATTGATATAAAGTTGCTTATAATATTTTCTTATTTTCTTTCTATAGAACTGGTATTATCTATTGCTGCATAAACAAAACCTTAGATGTTTAACAAATATTTAAAAGCTCACTCAGTCAATGCGTCAGGAACTGAAGAGTAGATTATATGAGTGGTCTGGCTCAGGATCGCTCATGAAGTTGTCATCAAGATGTCAGCTAGGGCTGCAGTCATCTGAAGGGCTGACTGGAAGGAGGGTCAGCTAGGGCTGCAGCCATCTGAAGGGCTGACTGGAAGAAGCCTTAGCTTCTTGTTTGTGGTAAGGACATGACAGTTGGCTTCTCCCAGAGTGAGTGATCCAGTGGAAAACATCTTTAAGGCCTAATGTTGGAAGCGACACTTGGTTATTTCCACAGTATCTTTTTGGTTATATTTCTTCTCTCTCTCAATGTGGAGTGGAATACACAAAGGCATGCATACCAAGAAGTGGGAATCACTGAGGTCATCTTAGCTACAACAGAATCTAGAGTGATGTCGACTTCTCTCATTCCTGATATTTGTAATTTGTGCTTTGTGTGTGTGTGTGTGTGTGTGTGTGTGTGTGTGCGCTTAACTGGTCTAGTTAAAAGTATTTTTAATTTTATTGATGTTTGGAATGAGACACATTTTAGCTTTATTAATTTTCTCTATGGTTTATCTGTTTTCTATTTTACTGATTTCTTTATTACTTTTATGTTTATTTCAACTGCTTTGTCTAACTTCTTTAGATGGCAATGTACATCACTGATTTGAGAACTTTCTTATTTTCTAATATACACATTCAAAATTCTAAATTGTTTTAAGGATGCTTTAGCTGCATCCCCCAAATTTTGTCATGCTGTGTCTTTATGCTCATTCACTTCAAAATATATTCTGATTTTCCTTATTATTAGTTAACTGATTTATTGGTTATTTAAAAATGTATTACTCAATGTCCAAATATTTGGGGATTTTTACAGATATCTTTTTATTATTTATTTCCAATTTAATTTCATTGTAGTCAGAAAACAGTCTGTAATACTTAAGTCATCAGCTTTCTAGAGACTTGGTGAATTTATTATGTACACCTGAAAAGAATACATATTCTACTGTTGTTGAGTAACTTGTTCTATAAATATCACATGTCAAGTTGTTTGATAGTATTGTTTAGGTCTTTTACATTCTTCCTGGTATTTTTGGCCACTTGTATCATTTACTGAAAGAGGATTGTTGAAATCTCCAGTTATAATTGTTGATTTTCTATATTTTCAGTTGATGTATTTTGAAGCTCTGTTATTTAGCACATACTTATTTAGGAGTGTTACTGCTTCTTAATGAATTGACTCAAAATGTCCCACTTTATGTCTGGCAATAATGCTTGTCCTGGGCCTACATTTTCTGGATACTAATATAGCCACTCCTATTTCTTCATGAATAGTCCTTGCCTGCTACATCTTTTTCTGTCTTTTAAATATGTCTTTATATTTAAGTAGGTTTCTTATGGACAGAAATAGTGAGTTCTTTTTTTCCAGTCTGACAACCTCTGGATTTTATTCAATTAGTGCCATGTCTTTATTAAAGAAAGATAGAGGCCAGGTGCAGTGGCTCACACCTGTAATCTCGGCACTTTGGGAGGCTAAGGTGGGTGGATCACTTGAGGCCAAGAGTTCGAGGTCAGTATAGGCAACATGGCAAAACCCCACCTCTACTGAAAACACAAAAATTAGCCGGGTGTGGTGGTGCGACCTGTAATTCCAGCTACTCGGGAGGCTGAGGCAGGAGGATCACTTGCACCCAGGAGGTGGAGGTTGCAGTGAGCCGAGATCACACTGTAATTTCAGCTACTCAGGATGCTGAGGCAGGAGGATCACTTGCACCCAGGAGGTGGAAGCTGCAGTGCAGTGAGCCGAGATCATACCACTACACTCCAGCCTGGGTGACAGAGCAAGACTCTTTCTCAGAAAGAGAGAGAGAGAGAGAGAGAGAGAGAGAGAGAGGAGCTAAAATTGCAAACTTGGCAAACAAGAAGCAAAATGCTGCCCACATGGGGGTTCTGCCTCAAGAGATTTAGGAGCGGGCTGATGGTCCAAGAGAAGTCAAGGAGGTCAGGACCTTGCAACATCTCAAAAGGGTTTAATGTGAGATTTCAGGCCCTGAGCCACCAGCAGCTTGGCAAAGGGTGCAGCAAGTGTGGAGATGCCCCAGGGTTTCCTTGAGGCAACTTTTTTTCCTTCCCTCTATACCAGGAAGCTGCAAATTTTTCTGTAAAGGGCCAGAGAGTAAACATCTTAGATTTTATGGGCTGGATTGGACCCATGGAACCTAGTTACTGATACCTGTCCTAGATTATTCCCTGGTCCTGGCCCAGTTATTGGCCTTCCCTGTCTACTGTATTATCTTCTCCCTCATCAAGAGATTCATTATAATTGTTCATCTTATGCATATCTTGCATATTGCAAATCCTCCTCTCCTCCTTGCAAACCTTATAACCTTCACCATCTATTTCCTCCCTATCACTGTAATACTTACTGGTGGTACTGGTAGTTCTAGTGGTGCTTGTGACACGGTAGAGAACTTGTAAATCCTGCAGATCTCCCTTCACAATGGGCTTTTTAATAGACATGACATTACTATTTCTACAAATCTCTAAAGCCAGCTTGGTGGCTGCTATTTCTCCTACTGTAGCTCTGTCTCATGCACTTAAATTTGATTCAGATTAAACCACAGCATATCAGTGATATGAGGGAAAAGTGGGGAAAACAAAGTTAATATGACTCCTGGAGCTCTGGGAGATAATACAGTCTATGGCAGTTACCTATCTGCCTTTTAACTATAGTATTTAGGCCATTTATATTTAATTGATTATCAGTATGGTTGGACTTCAATCTATTATCTTGCTATTTATTTTCTATTTGTCACGCTTTTTATTTGTTTCTTGTGCTTCTGCCTTTTTTGCGTTCAGCATATTTGCATATTATATTATACTTTTTCTCCATCATTGAATTATTAGCTGTTCTATTTCTAATTTTTGTAGTGATTGCTTTAGAGTTTACAATAAGTATCTTTAACTTATAACTGCCTGCATTCAAATAATATCATACCACATTATGTGTAATAAAAAAGCTTTACAACAAAATACTTTCATTTTTCATCTTCTATCCTTGTGTTAGTGCTTCTAGTACATACTTTTACTTCTACATGTGTTATAAATTTCAACATACTTTTTAAAATTTAGACATTTAATTATATATTTTTAAATGTCAGTATTTACCCACATATTTACTACTTGTGGTGGCCTTCCAAGTTTCTATTTGTTCTTATTTTTCTTCTACCTGAGGAAAACTTTAATATTTCTTACAGTACACATTACTGACAGTAAATCTCTCAGGTTTCTTTGTCTAAAAATATTTATTTCTCCCTTATTTCTAAAAAATATTTTTATTAGATGTAGAATTTCACATTGAATTTTTTTATTTCAGAACTTTAAAATTATTACTTCACTAAACTCTGGCTTCCATTGTTTTCTTAAAAGCATGTGGTTAATTTTAACTTTACTTGCCTGTAGGTAATATGTCCATCTTTTTTACTCTGCCTCTTTAAGATTGTCTCTTATCTCTAGTTTTTAGCCTTTTGATTGTGATGTGACTCAGTGTTATTTTATTTCTTTATTATATTTGAGATTATTTAGCTTCATGGGACTATAAACTTGCAGTTATTATTTCTTCAATTCTTTTTCAATTCCACTTTACTTCTGGATCTCTTTTTTTTGTTTGTTTGTTTTTTTGTTTTTGTTTTGGTTTTTTGAGACAGAGTCTCACTCTGTTGCCCAAGCTGGAATGCAGTGGTGCAACCTCAGCTTACTTCAACCTCCACCTTCTGGGTTTAAGCGATTCTCCTGCCTCAGCCTCTGGAGTAGCTGGGACTACAGGTGCATGCCACCACACCTGGCTAATTTTTTGTATTTTCAGTAGAGATAGTGTTTCCCCGTGTTGGCCAGGCTGGTATCAAACTCCAGACTGCAAGTGATCCACCTGCCTTGGCCTCCCAAAGTGCTGGGATTACAGGCGCGAGCCACTGCGCCTGGCCTATGGATCTCCATGTTCTACCACTTGATGTCACAAGTCATCGAGACTTAGTCACTTTTTTTTAAACCTGTTTCTCTCTGTTTTCATTTCAGAATTATTCTCTTGTCATATCTTCAGTTTTACTGTTTTTTACTTTTCCAATGTCTAATCTTCTATGAAGCCGATACAATTAATTTTTCATTTCAAACATTGTGTTTTTCTTTTCTAGAAATTCCACTGATTTAAAACGATGTCTTTCATTTCTCTTCTTATCCGTATTTTTTTTCTGGAAATCCTTAACCATATTGTAATATTGTGATATTATATATATACACACACACACACATATATATTTGGTTTCTGCCCCCAGTTCCTGACACAGAGCTTCAAAAACCCCTGTCGATAGGGGCGCTAGGACACTCTTCTGTTTTCCTATTTGGTCTTTGATTCCAGTTCCTGGTGCTGAGCTCCTAAATCCCTTGAAATTTGCTGGGTGATAGAAGCATCTTTTGTTCTAATGAGGTGACTTTTGGCAGGCTCCAGCATAGCTCAGAATAGGGCCCGACCTCCGGGGAAGAGAGCGTGGCTGAAGGTTAGGTTGATAACTCACGTTAGTGATGTAACCAATTACATCCATGCAATTAAACCTCCATAAAAACCCAAAAGGGGCCGGGTGCGCTGGCTCACGCCTGTAATCCCAGCACTTTGGGAGGCCGAGGCGGGAGGATCACAAGGTCAGGAGACCATCCTGGCTAACACGGTGAAACCCCGTCTCTACTAAAAATACAAAAAAATTAGCCGGGCGTGGTAGCGGGCGCCTGTAGTCCCAGCTACTCGGGAGGCTGAGCCAGGAGAATGGCGTGAACCCGGGAGGCGGAGCTTGCAGTGAGCCGAGATCGCGCCACTGCACTTTAGCCTGGGAGACAGAGCGAGACTTGGTCTCAAAAAAAAAAAAAAAGAGTGGGGTTTGGGGAGCCTCTGGACAGCTGAACACTTGGAGGTGTCTGGAGGGTGGCGCACCTAGAGAGGGCTTGTAAGTTCTGGGTCCCTTCCCACATGTCTTGTCCTATGGATCTTTTCCCTCTACGTATCCTTTGTAACATCCCTTGTAATACATCAGTAAACATAAGTGAAGTCTTTCCCTAAATTTTGTGAGGCACTCTAGCAAAGTAATTGAACCCAAGAAGTGGTTTCTGGGAACGCAAAGGTTATGGATGGCTTGTGATTGGCATCTGAAGTAGGGACAGTTTTGTGGAACCAAAACCTTCACCTGTGGAATCTGACACAGTCTCCAGGTAGGTAGTATCAGAATTGAATTAAATTATAGGACATCCGGTTAGTGTCCGCTGGAGAATTGCTTGGTGTGTAGGGAGAACTCCCAACACGTATTTTGATGACCAGAGGGGAAGTATTGTATTGAGTGGTGCAGGACATTTGTTTTTCTTCTTTTATTTGTGCACAATAGCTCTTGTAAAGTCCCTGTCTGCCACTTCCTGTATCTCTGTTATCTCGGGACCTGTTTCTGCAGAATTTTTCTCCTGATTATGGTTCATATTTTCCTTCTTCTGTACATGTCTAGACAATTTTGATTGAATTATATGTATTATTGGTAAAATAATAGTGGGAATCTAATTTTTTTAGTCTTTTTTAAAGTGTGATGAATTTCATATTGCAGGCCAATGAGTGCTTTTGAGCAGAAAGCAGGAGGAATTGTTGAGCATACCTCATTTGTCCTTTTCTCAGATCACAGATACTATCCATTGTCGAATATCTAAAAAACAGCTCTTTTTTCTATATTTTTTCCAGTTTTCTAGTTGCTTGTGGTGGGAGGTCAAGTCCTATACCAGTCACTTTACTATAGTCCAAAGCAAAAGTCCTAAATCCACGACTGAATTACAATATGAGAAAATAAAACCAATCTAGAAGTCTGGCTTAATATTTATATATATATTTACATATATATATACGCACACTCTGAAGTTTGAAGATACTGCTTCATGATTTTTTAAAATCTGTATGCAATGAGAATTAAAAGTTCCATTTGTGTTTACTTGTAACTTTCCATTCAGTCAGCTATATGGCAACAATGGCATAATGGTTAAGCATATAACTTTTGAGCCAGGACATCTTGGTTAGAGACCCATTTCTGGCACTTATTACCTGCATGACCTTGCATAAATTACTTAATTTCTCTATGCTCTAGTTTTCCATCTGTTAGCCTGGAATAATTATAGCGCATATTTCAAAGAATGGTTTTGAGAATTAACAATGTCATGGGGATGAGTGTCAACATATAAAGTGGCTAGGAAGATTAAAATCTTCATATCTTAGTTACCCATCTGTGAAATTGTGATATCATATTACCTATATCATAGGGGTATGTTGAGGGTTAAATTTTACTTATTAAAAGCATTCATATTTCTTGGAACTTTGTGAGTCTTTTCCAATTTGAGAATTTATTTATTCGATTCTGAGATGAATTTTTCTCTCTTCTGGTATTTCTGATAGTATAACTTTGGGATCTATTTTTACATCTCATTAACCTTTATCCTACTGTCTTCTTTTTAAATTTTTTCCGTAATTTGTTTTCTAAAAACTTATGCTTAGTCTTCTAGGTCACTAACTTACTCTTCAGTGGTATCCATCCTGCTTTTCCAGCTCTTTGGTGCTTTTGTATTCTTTAACTCCCCACTTACATATTTCTAAGCTCCAATTTGGAGGGGTCATGATGCTCAGGGTTCAGATTGGATGATCTGCTTCTCAGAAGATGGCATTAGGAAGCAATAATAACAAAGAACCAGACCGACATACTCTCCTACTCTCTGCCCACTGTCTCTATGTTATATATTCCCCTGTACCCGTTGCCTATTACCAAAATTACATTGCATAGCAAATAACCATAAGCTCTCAGTGGATACAATGATAAACATCTATTGTTTATTTTTTTTCTGGACTTTTTTTTACTTGTCTTGAAATCAGCCGGCTGTGAGTTGAAGCACTGGAGGTGACTTGGCTCTGTTTCACATGTTTCTTATTTTCTGCTGTTTCTACTGCCATGAGAATACGGCTGAGTAGCAGAGGAAGAAGAGAGGATAAGCCTAGTCACTTGAGGACTGTCCGTTTCTTTCTATCATGTCTGCTAATATCCCACTGATCAAAAAAAGTCACAGAGCTGTGTCCGGAGGAGAAATACACCCCATCACAGTCAGAAATACACTGTAAAGTTATATGGTAGAGGGCCAGGATACAGAAAGGGTGAAGGTTAGAACCATGGTTATCAATCTAGCACAGCCTTGAGAACAATGATTAAACTATCAAATAAAGAAGAGGACAAACTTTGAATTGGCTCTTTTTCTAAAACTAAACAGGATTCTGCAAACAGGAAAAAGAAAATACAAGGGAGAATTTAATTCGGTTATAGAAAGAAAAGAAAATTAATTCTTGAACACCTTGATATGAAAATTGACAAAGACATATCTGTTCCTATTGAATATGTACAGCTCTTGTCTACAGAGGGTATCAGTTAAGAGCATGGGCTGTAAAAATCGGAATGTATGGTTTCAAATCCATATTGCTCATGTGACATTGAGAACTTAAAGTATTTAATGTTTAAGCTACATTTTTTAATCTCCAAAATGTGGGTAATATGGTAGTTACCACAATGGACGTTGGTACACTAACTACAGTAGTGTTCAAAAAGTGTTTACTTCCATGTATGCGACATTAATGTAGGCTACATACCTACTGTCCTAGCTACAGGGACATTTATGTAAAGTACCAGATATTAAATATTTCACACTTTGGAAGCCATAGGGTCTCGGTCTCTGTTGTAACTATTTAACACTGCTGTTGAAGTGTAAAAGCAGGCACAGACAACATATAAATGAATGGGCAGGGCTGTGCTCCAATCAAACTTTATTCACAAAAACAGGCAGTGGGCTAGATTTGGCTCATGGGCCATAATTTGACAACCCATTCTTAACAATAATTAGTGTATCTATCACCTCCAATTCCATTTTACATTCCTGGAGTTCAGAAACCATGTCCTTATTTTTCTTGTATTTTGTATCTCCTAACCAGTGCTTAGCACATATTAGGTCCTTACTAAGTGATTTTTTTAAGAATAAAATTATGTATTGAACTCCTATCAAGCACCAAAGCACCAGTATAATGCCTTGCTTATCTACTGAGGTCATTTCTGCCCACTCTTGCTTTTCTGCTCAAAGAGTCAAAAGGAAATGCTACCTATGAGTTAGAAAAGAATGAGCCTGTTATTATAATATAAACAAACCTTCTGCTGCTAAGCTGTGTTTTCTTCTAGGATTTGGATCATTCATGTTTCCTTTGCACCTTGCAGTAGTACTTTAACCTCTTCACAGTGCCACCAGGCCATTTTTTAATCTTCATTATCCGGCTACATTATCTATCTAGACAGGACATGACAAGTTTCCTTGTGTAATCATTTTCCTTTGAACCTAATGGAAGGGTGGGTTCAGTTTATGGCCCTCTAAGTGTTTGGACCAGGATAATTTGTGTGACTCTGCCACGATAATGATGAGAAAAGCAATGTATAATGCTAATGAAGAGGATATCCTGCCCTGCCCTGTCCCCTTCTCTGCCTTCACAAACCCAGCACGCAACTCTGCTTACCTCAATGCATACACCCCAACAGAATTTATGTTCCCAGGGTTCAACCTTTATCATAGGCTTCTATTAAGTTCTTCACCAGGACGTTTTAGAGGGCATAGTAGAAAGTTATCCTCATATTTAATTCTCCTTACAGATCAAGTAAGGTAATTATCATCTTATATAACGATCTTATTACACAAGTCAGGAGAAAGAAGGCGTCAACGCAAAACACCAAATTAGTTCCATTGCTATCCTTGCCAATAAAGCAAAGGCCTTTTAACCCACAGAAATTTTTCTGTGCATGTTCCTTAGGGGAAAAAATATAGATGCCTACATCACAAACACTAAAGGCCCAGTGTCTAGAAGTGTGTGTGTTTGCTTGCGCATGAGAGTGAGAGAAGCTAGAATATAAACACACTTAAAAACCAACCCATTTAAATTGAGGCAGGGCTGGCACCCTTTAACTGATTTGGACCACATGGTAAAAATGACTGCTTGCCTTGTTTAAAGTCAGCGCTTCTGATACTGGCTGTCGATGCAGATTCCACCCCAAGAAGCCAAAACAATGACCTGACAGCTGAGACATTAGGGATGGGTGTTGATGAGAAGATTTCCTTGTATTATTTTCATTAGGTTTCCTGCTTGCCTCATCAATGCTTGACAGATTTGGATGCCAAAAAGTAGAGATTACTTTTATGGAGCATCTCGTAGATTTATTTCCTCTAAAACTTGATGAGGTTTCACCTCAGTGATATAACAGATCCTGGTCTTTATTGCAATTAGCAACAGATGGGCTGGGATGTGCGTAATCACCAAATGCCCTGGGGAAGGTAGTTTGAGGCAAGCTGAGATAAGCTCCTGATCATCTGTGGTCATTGTCTTCCAAGTTCACGCACGATGCCACCCACCACTGTGTTGATATTCCTGTTATCCGTGTTCCGAAGATAGCAATCTTTGTTCCAGGATGTGAATAGGACTTTTTTCTCTTTCATATGGGTAGCCCATGTCTTCAAGTTCTCTCTGTTTGAGCTGTGCTTCACTCTTGCCCTCATCCTAACACCTGTGCAGCTCTATGTGTTAGAGCTCAACCTCAGCATTTCTGACATTTGAGCCAGACAATTTTTCGTTGTGGTGGTGGTTCATGCCTGTAATCCCAGCTAATCAGGAGGGAGGCTGAGGCAGGAGAATTGCTTGAACCCGGGAGGTGGAGGTTGCAGTGAGCCGAGATGGCGCCATTGCACTCCAGCTTGGGCAACAAGAGTGAAACCCCGTATCAAAAACAAAACAAAACAAAACAAAATGTTAACATATTTAAAGCACTAAGAATAGTTCCTACAATCACTACAAGAGGTTATCAGTTAGGTTATTGGCTTAAAATGATCATTCTTACTGCTGAGTATGGAATAGATTGGCAGAGGGGATGCAATGATAGAAACAGAAAAGATAGGAATCTGTTACAATAATGCGGAATCTTGGGCCACGACGTTAAAAAAGAGGTTTGGAGAAGGGGCCTGAGTATTCTGGATATAGTTTAAAGACAACATCAATACAATTACAGATTGCTTGGATGTGGGGTTTAAGAGAAAAATGAAAAGACAAGGATGACAACAAGTTCTTTAACCTAAATACTAGAAGAACAGAATCACCAATAACTAAGTTCGGAAAGACTAGGAAAGTAACTAGTTTGGGGTATTAAGGATGAATGTTTGAAATCCAGATAAAGATGTTGAATAACCATTTTGGTTTGTAAACCAGAGGTTGGAGGTCAGAAGAGAAAACTGAGCTGGACATAAAAATTTGGAAGTTATCAGCACACAAAAATTCTTTTAAACCATGAAACAAGGTGTAATGAGTGTGGATAGAAGAGGAGGGTGGGGAATGAGCCTAATAAATCAGCATTTATAAGTTAGCAAGATAAGGAGAAGCTGCAAAGGAGAGAGAGAGAGGAAGGGGTAAGGTAAGAGCTTTGAAAAAGTGGACCGCATGTTCTCACTCATAGGTGGGAATTGAACAGTGAGAACACTTGGACACAGGAAGGGGAACATCACACACCAGGGCCTGTCGTGGAGTTGGGGGAGCGGGGAGGGATAGCATTAGGAGATGTATCTAATGTAAATGATGAGTTAATGGGTGCAGCACACCAACATGGCACATGTATACATGTGTAACAAACCTGCGTGTTGTGCACAAGTACCCTAGAACTTAAAGTTAAAAAAAAAAAAAAAAAAAAGAAAGAAAAAGTGAAGTGCTTCTCTAGAGCTCAACAGAAGAAAGAGTCCCAAGGCCTGCAAGGACTTCAAATTCTAATGGTAGACTACATGTGTAAATGAGAACAACCTTACCTCTGAGAAAAACTCAAAGCTCCACAAAAGATAAAACAAAACAAAACAAACAAACAAACAAACAAAACTGTCTTCTTGGGCATCAAAAAGCTAAAATGAAAAGGATAATTGTTTAATCTGAATAGATACTTGGAATCTCATTGTATTCTTCTTTTTCATTCTGAATGTTGGAATCTTTTTTTTTAATTACTGAACCATAGTCTGGGAAGAGACAAGAACCCTAAATAATGAGCCCAGAAGCTGAGACTTCTTTTATCCTGGGAATATGTGCAGATTCTGGAGAAGGTGGCTGAGAAGTTAAAAAGCTGAATAGAATAGAATTATTGGAAATTTACATGCCTAGTAAGATACAAGCAGGAGTTCAGAGCTATACATATGGGAATCAGGCTGCAGAGAGAGTCTCCGTGTTTAGACTGGCATCCAATGAGCCACATTCTAAAAGTTAGTATGAACCCCCACCAGGAATTTTCTCAATTTCTAAGACAACTCTCAATTTATTGTTATATTTAAAAAATACCATATTTGGCACACAATAAAAAATAACCTAGTTCCTGAAAGTATAACATTTTATAAAGAGCAGAATTAAATGACAGTAGAAACAGACCCATGGTGGTTGTGGTACCGAATTTAAAGTAATTATGCTTCTTATGTTCCAGTAAACAAAAGATAGAAATGAGAGAATAGACAGATAATGGAAACATATAAAGAAGGGAAGGCAGAATGAAAAAGAAACCATAATAGCAATACTAAGAAACTAATAGATGAGTTAATAGCAGATTAGTAAGAGTTAGAATTAGTGAATCAAAGGATAGTTTAGAAGAAACTATCCAGGAGGAAACACAAAGACACAAAAGATTGAAAGTATGGAAGAGAAGGTAGCAGACATAGAGAATACAGTGAATAGGTCTAATGAATAGATATGGTAATTCCAGTGGGGAAGGAGAGAATAAAGCAGAAGAAATTTTGAAAATAAAATGTCTAAAAATTTCAAAACTGATGAAACACATAAAAGAGATTCAAGCAGGAAACACATATACAAGTTTTTTTATGTATGTATAGGAATATTACACAATTTTAAAATAGGATACAAATTATCCTATTTTTATTGTATTTATTAAAATATTAAAAGCAGCATGAGAAAAAAGTTGTCTTTTTTATTTTATCCTTTTGAAAAAGGATAAAATATTCAAGGCAGCATGAGAAAAAAAGGCAATTTACCTTCAAACGAGCAAAAGTTAAACCAAGAGCTGACTTCTCAAGAGACAAAATAAAAGCCAGAGAAAGAAGCAATGCTGAAATTAAATGACTGACAACCCATAACTTTTCAGTGAAGAAATCCTTCAAGAATAAGGATAAGTAAATACAGAGAATTTATCACCAGAGAAGGAAGTACACTAAAGTAATACTAAAATGAATTAATCAAGAGAAAAAGAAAATATAAGAAAGAATACAGAACAAGTCAAAGAATAATTATGTTGTAAATGACAATATTAATTGTATAAAACACTAATTGTAATATGTTGTAGAGTTTTATACGTGTATTATTAAAATACTCTTTTAAATGTGTACAATTTGGAAGCAGTAAATGAAATCAAAGACACGAAAAGTCCTACCTTGTGCACAAAAGGGGTAAAAATACAAGTGGAATTTCACTTTGATTAGTCAGGAATGTATCTTGTAGTCTCTAGGTGGCCCTGAGAAATAATTAAATATTATATAACTGAGATTTTTACCTAATGAAAAATTTTAAAACAAAACTATTCCCCCACTTCCCCAATCTTCCATTTCCTAGCCAATTCTCACTCAACATTTCCACTAATAAAAGTGTTTCCAAAAGAAAGTTGTGATCAACTGTTTCAGATTAGGCAACTGTGTGAGTAGATAAAGATCAATAAATGACCATTGGATCTGATAATTTAGAAGTCACTGACAGAAGCTGTTTTAATGGCATAGTGGGTGCTAAAATTTTAATCGGAGTGTATTCAAGAGAGAATGGAAGGAAAGACAAAGGATGCCACAGATGCAGACAACTTTTGAGGGGAAATTTCTCAGAAAAGGGGAACAACATGAAAATATAGCTAGAGTTGAATGCCAGATCAATGAAATTATTTCTTTATTTTTGCTGTGGAGGACACTGCAGTATGTTTTTGTATTGACGAAAATGCTTCTACAGAGAGAAAACTTAATTAGATGGAGAGGGTGGGAGGGGGAATTTCTGAGCAATGACTTTGATTATGAGCAGTGATGTAATGGAGTTCACAAGGAAAAGGCTCAGCCTTGGATAGGAAGAGACAACTCATCCATCAAAACTGGAGTGAAGACAGATGGCTGAAGAGACAAGCAAGTTAGCAGAAGTCGGTGGTACCATGGATGTTCTTTTCTGCCTGTTTTTATTTTTGTGGTCAAATAGAAAGGAAACAAGCAGAATTGTTAGCTAGCACTAAAGGTTCATCAATATAGAGTAAGGCAAGCCAACAATATCGCATGTTTTTCAACAGCCTGAATGCAGGTGTAGCAGAGAGGTGGCATTAAGCAGGTTTGGAATTATTTCTCACAGAAGGGAAAGGATGGAATGGCTATATTATATAATATAAGGTAGGCAAGAAGAGAAGTGAGAATATCAGAGTGGTGATGGATGATGAAAAGCTGGTAGAATCAATAGATTATTGATACTGATGACATCAAAGATCACTGGGGTGCAGGTACTTAAAGTAATTACCCAGAAACATATGAAGTGATGCAGGGATAGTAGGACCCTTAATAGGAAACTATAGCAAGAATGTAGCTAATCCTAACGCTAGAGGTGTAGTATGGGAATCAGTAGGTGGCAAATCAATCAATCAATCACTCGCAGAATTAATCAACTCATATTCATTTAACAGGTTTCAAATCATTGTAAAATTCAAACCTGATCATGCCATTATTGAAAATCCTTTAAACTCTACTTCTCCCAATCCCTGCACTAATGTTCAACATAAAATTCAACCACAAGAAAACAGCATGAACATCCTTTTATTATCTGCTTTGTTATTCTTTCTCCAGCATCAGAAATAACTTAATCACCCCCATACCCTTTGAGTATTAACTCTTAGCAAAGTGTATCTCAGAAGCTGCTTTCACTAAAACAAAAACCTGACAACCATACCCCGTTAAATTGGGGTTAGAAAGAAGATCTGAGTTTGAATATTTATATCTACCATTGCACTTATGTTGCAATTTCATTATTTAGTGGCTTCCCACAATGTGGAAACTCTTTGAAGATGTGTAATTATTAATCTGTAACCCCAGATCTCTTTGCAAAAAAAAAAAAAAGATTTACTATTTCTTTGTTTCTTCAAGAAAAATGGAGAAAATGAGAAATACAGACTCCACTATCGCTTTTGTATATATGTAATTGAATTATTACATGAATGATTACATAAATGAATTAATAAATGTGCCTTGTACCTGAGGCAGAAACCAAGCTAACAACTTAGTCTTGAGGCTCCAGTTAGAGACATAGATTATATGGTGAGGAGGTGTCTATGAAAGAAAAATAATCACAGTTGTAGGAAGAAAATAACTTATCAGTGAATCCTTTTTCTTAAGAACGTAGTAAATAACATGTTAGTAACCCAAGACCAGTGAATATAATTGAAAATTTATGGGTTAATTTCAAAAAAATTTTACACTTCAAGTTAAAGAAGAGCTAGAAGATGGTTTCAGGATGGAGATTCTGTACAAACGCCAGTCATCTCTGATAGCTGTGCCAACAACTGGATGATTTAACACTTCTGTTAATTTTTTCCTCAATCTTAAAATGGCTGTATTATCACCTCAGTTGTTTATATAAAAAAAGTCATTAATGCTTGACAAGTAGCTGGAAACAATGACGCTCAATTGTAGCTTTAGTTAAGTTCTGCTAAACAACTTTGGTTTCTATGTTCAGCTGTTTATTGGTATCTAGGTACTTATTTAATTAGCTACTTGTTTAATGAAGTCATTTATTACTGTCAAGATAGCCATAATCAAGAGTATAATACAAATAAAGTATTAAAAAGATTAAAATAGATTCATCAGCCAAATACAAGCTTCTATACAATAGAGACACATAATTGTTTCAGGTCTGGTACTGAGATTAGCCTGATTGACTTTCTGGCTTTGATTCAATAATCTATTATCTCATTTTGAAATGAAATAAGTCTGGTAACAAATAGTCATTGTATCATGTGTTATGCAGGCACAATCAAAGAAAGATATGTTCATTTACCTACCACATCACCTGGCAAAACAAAATACTGAAGCAAGATAGATTGTACTATTGTTTTTACTCATTAAGCTTCATTCTATACTAAGTGTCTGTGCATCCAGGTTTTAGGAAGTGCAGACTTTGTCTGAGAATGTTACTTAGATACAAGGTGATTTCCTTTACATTATGGCACACCCTAGAAAACCATGACGCTTTGGAAAATGCTTACCTATAAGTTGCAGGAGTAAAATTTACTCTTTTTTTTTTTTTTCAAAAATAAAGACAGATATACACTGAAAAGTTGCAGGAGTAAGATTTACTCTTTTTTTTTTTCAAAAAATAAAGATGGAAATACACTGAAATAAATTAAAATATTACAGTTTTTTTGTCTTTTACAAGACTCAAACTAATATAGCACACGAACAATCATGATGCCTGTATTTAAATAATGGATACTTTAGCAAATAATTTTAAAGTTAAAGCAAAGTTATTTCTATATCTCCGGCTTCCCATCACCTGCAAGATAAAGTCAGACCTCCTTCCTATGACATCGGTGCTTGTGTTTCTTTTCAACAACCCTTCTCAATATTTTTGCCCCTCTGGGCATGCAAAGCACTCCAAACCCTCCATCCCGTGTCAGGCATCTTCTACGACAGGACTGGCTTCTACTGCCCCCCACTCAGAATCTAAGTCAGTTTTTAAGAAGAAACTGCCTTTCCTAAGGAAGAAAAGCATATGAGTGGAAGCAGAAGTAATTAAGAAATAGAAGTACATGTGGAGAAATAATTCGCATACGCTTTAGTTGGAAACTAAATGGCAAAACTCAAAGGCGTTTAATTTGATTTTAGCAAATTTTATTTTATGTCATTTTCTTAATCAGAAAAATTTGATACCTGGATATATAGTGTTATAAAAATCAAATTATGTAGCATAACCTAAGGCTTGGTGAACTCAGAGCGACTATTTTTCACATATATAGAAAACTGTTGCCTTTTTATGTATTGCAAATGTAGGTAGACAATTAAGTGTTCACCCCATGTATAGTTAGATTAGTTTGCTAAATTTAGTGTAAAATAATGTCACTTATTTGGAGATGATTGGGTTTTCCTGGTGGTAATTTTCAGTAAACTGTTAGACCAAGGTATAAGTCTAACCAGATGATTGGATTGACAGTGTTGAATCTCAGGCTTTTATTTTCTGGTAATGGTCTTGGAAATGAAGAATATTCCACAAATTCTGTCAGGAAAATTTGTAGCAGATTGATACCTTTACATGGCATGTTTTTATAATCATAGTCTCACACAGCTGCTATAAAAGTGAGGCAGCTCACCGTTTTATGTCTTTCTAGCCCATTTAAGCCATTTTCAAAACTCAAGTAACTGAATTTCATTCAAAATATACAATGTGTTACCAGAAAATCTTATTTATTCAGATATATTGTTGTATGACAACTTAGTAGGTGAGGATAGGCAAGCCTATATTTTCCATAAAAACCATTGAACAAAATAGAAAAGTAATTGATTTTTATTTTTGACTTTTACATTTAAGATAATTTATTTCACAGTCATTTAAGTTTTCATTGATACTTACCAGCTGAGAAAGCTGCCCCAAAGTAAGTGCTGCAAAGTTTTGCTACAGAAGTACTTCAATTAAATCCAACTAGACTTTATGGAGCAACTGTTTTGTGCTGAGCCCAGCGCAGGATACTCTGGAACAATACTAGAAAAATCACAAGCCTGGCTCCCACCCTCAAAGATTTGTTATCTAATTGGAAAGGCAAAAACATATATATGTAGCTGGGCATGGTGGCTCACACCTATAATCTCAGCACTTTGGGAGGCCGAGGTGGGCGGATCACCCGAGATCAGGAGTTCAAGACCAGCCTGGCCAACCTGGTGGAACCCCGTCTCTACTAAAAATACAAAAATTAGCTGGGTGTGGTGGTGGGTGTCTGTAATCCCAGCTACTCGAGTGGCTGAGGCAGGAGAATCGCTTGAACCCGGACAGCAGAGGTTGCAGTGAGCCACGATAGCCCCAGTGCAGTCCAGCCTAGGCAAAAATGAAATAAATTAAAAAATATATGTATATGTATACATATATATATGTGTGTGTGTGTGTGTGTGTGTGTGTGTGTGATTATATTTTATATGTTTTATGTATTCGGCACCACGTATGCTGCTGTAACATAAATTCATGTAATGCTATGCTTCAATGGAGGGTAAATGGACAGGAATTAATTTAAACCTGGGGGAATTGTTAACCGAAGAAAAGAGAGTTATGATTATTAAAAATATAAACCATAAAATAAAGTGCTCTATTTTTCAAAATTATAAGAGATTAGTCAAAACCAAAATAAAACTAGTCAAGAAAATGGCATGGCAGCTCCAGAAATTAAGAACATGCCACCAAAATAAATTTGTATATGTCAGCACATGAGGGTAAAATTATGGGTGTAATAAAATCATGCATTACTGATCTTGAGATGGGTAAATCTGAAAAATATATACGATCTTAACTATTAGGAGAAAGAAAGTTTATTGTGGAAAACAAAACACGGAGGATTGCATCATTTTACTATGCTATGATTTGCACTCATAAAACATGCTGAAAAAATGTTGCTTCTCTTAAAAATCCCTTTGTTTCCACCCACTAAGTAAGAATGTCATATTTCAGTGACTTTATTTGATGAGTCAGAATGAGATGTCCTATAAATGATTGTTTTTAGAAAAAGAGGCAAAAGAACACCCAGAGATCCTAGTTGTTTGGAGAATTGAAAAGATGTTATAGAAGGGAAAGAAATATATGGCCAAATACAGACTTATTAAATCAGAAAATTCAGAGTTTTCAACTTAGACTCATGGGTATAATAATAATAATGTCTATTATTATTCTCATATATATGATTCTAATATTCTATTACATATTTACTATTTTTTCTATAATATACAATTTATAAGATTTATGTCAGGAAATAATTTTAATGAATAATGAATTAATACATTTAATCCTAAATATTATTATATTAACATTGTATATTAATCTAGTTAATCAGTAATATATTATTTTATCATTATGAATGTATACTATCTACACTGTAACTCTCTGAGATAAGTCTTACACTTACCCCATTTACAGTGAGGGAATGAAGCCTAGAAATGAGAAGCGAAGTGCCCAAGGTTACACAGCTGGTGAGTGGTGGAGCTGGGATTGGAATCCAGGCAATCTGGCTCCAGAAAATGTGCTTTTAACACGTGCAGTCTCTCTCTCTGCACAGCAAACAGTCTCTGATAAAATGATCATTCTCACCAGCTTGCATCATGAAGTCAATGATACTCATGCCCTTCCTCTTACCGGAACTGTGGGCCCAACCCCGTTTATCACCAATTGACATCTATTTATTTTTCATATCTCAGGTCAAGTTTCATGTCAGGCATTCCCCAAACCCTGGTCTAAGCCTCTTTCCTCTGTTATATTTTACATAGTCAATTATTTTTCCTCAGAACACAGATCAGCTCATAGTAAGTCATGTGATCATTTGAATAATGTCTGTCTTCAACTCCAGATTCCATGATCCACTTGTGTAGCTCCTACCAACATAACTGTTACATAGTAGGAATCCCAAAGTATTTGTTCAATAAATCAATGGAAGAATAAATAAATAATACATAGATTAAACAGAGTAACTGAGCATACTTAAGTCCACTCATTCTTTAAAGTTTTGTAACTTTTCCAGGATGCTCTCTGTGGTTTCCCCAGTTGGAATCGATCATGTGGTCTCTCCTGAGCCCTCATTGCCCTTGTACCTGTATTTCCATTGTTCTCAGAGTCTGCTTTCTAGGACCTTTAATTCATCCATGTCCACCTCCCTTACAATAATATAAACCTCTGGAAGTCATGAGTGATGTCTTACTTGCCTTTCCGTTTTCCACAATGTCTACCTGGTATATTGAACACCAAAAATACTGAGATTTTTACTGAACTGAATTAGATAAGACTGAATTAGCATTACATGGTACCCTTCCTGTTTAATCTATCCCTTTTGGAGCCCAGACTTGGAAAGAGCTATGCTGGAGTGCCTAGAAAGAACTTTGTGCTTTGTTATAGCCAATTCAAAACAATGAAGTTCTGAATGTGCTTTGCCTGCACATGCTGTTCTACCATGTCAAATGTCCCATTTAACAGGGAAAATCTCTAAGGAAAAAGTGTTCAGATATGCAGACTAAATGCACTGTCTTATGTCTCTAAAATACAAACCACATGCTTTTTATGTTCTAACAGACTCTGGACTCCATCAGCAACTTTCAATACAGTGAACTTACAGTACCCTCAGTTTTGGAATTTAAAATTCATTGTTGCTCATATGCATGTCTTGATCCATACTAGGATTTCTGCTTTCCCAGGAGCGATGAAGGGGTTTCATGATTAATCTACACCTTCTCACCTCATCCCTTTGTGGGTAAAAGCATCTGGGAGATAACCATTTAGTTGTGCCTGTAGCCTGTGGCCATGGAACAAAAGTACCATCTACTGTTCCGCTTGCAGGCAGAGGCCAAACCCACCCCCTGGGTCTCATTAGCACCCATGTCCTTAACAACTGGACCAACCCATCCACACTTAGTTTATTCTGCTATCCACACAAAATACCACGTTAGAACATAAGCTCCTTGAAATCCCAAAAGGAGGCTGGAAATGATTGGCAGACCCTAATTGAAAACTACAATTTGAAATTATGGAATTAAGATAGCAAATGGTATGCCACATGCTGTTAAAAGTAGTGTTTTCAAAAGATAACTTCTTTTTCATTTTAATATCTAATTGCATAACATCAAAAATGAAAGTGGCTTGGTCATTGAATGCCTACTATCCAAGGAGCCAAGGACCACAGCCTGCACTAAGTCCCTTGTTGTTTCAGAGCCTTTTGGATGGAATCCACTGGTGGATTCGTCCTCAAGTGCTATGACAGAGAGAATTTCATCCCATTCATTTCATTGCGATCTGTGATCCCATATTCTTTTTTTTTTTTTAGATTTTTATTTATTTTTCTTCTCTATTACATTTTTTTTTATTATTATACTTTAAGTTCTGGGAAACATGTGCAGAATGTGCAGGCATAGGTATACACATGCCATGGTGGTTTGCTGCACCCATCAACCTATCATCTACATTAAGTATTTCTCCTAATGCTATCCCTCCCCTAGCCCCGATCCCCTTACAGGCCCTGGTGTGTGATGTTCACCTCTCTGTGTCCATGTGTTCTCATTGTTCAACTCTCACTTATGAGTGACAACATGCAGTGTTTGGTTTTCTGTTCTTATGTTAGTTTGCTGAGAATGGTGGTTTCCAGTTTTATCCATGTCCCTGCAAAGGAAATAAACTCATCCTTTTTCAAGGCTACATAGTATTCCATGGTATATATGTGCCACATTTTCTTTATCCAGTCTGTCATTGATGTGCATTTGGGTTGGTTCCAAGTCTTTGCTATTGTGAACAGTGCTGCAATAAACGTATGTGTGCATATATGTCTTTACAGTAGAATGATTTCTAATCCTTTGGGTATATACCCAGAAATTAGATTGCTGGGTCAAATGGTATTTCTGCTTCTAGATCCTTGAGGAATCACCACACTGTCTTCCACAATGGTTAAATTAATTTATACTCCTACCAGCAGCACAAAAGTATTCCTATTTCTCCACATCCTCTCCAGCATCTGTTGTTTCTTGTCTTTTTAATGATTGCCCTTCTAACTGGAGTGAAATGGTATCTCATTGTGGTTTTGATTTGCATTTCTCTAATGACCAGTGATGATGACCGTTTTTTCATGTTTGTTGGCTGCATAAATGTCTTCTTTTGAGAAGTGTCTGTTCATATCCTTTGCCCACTTTTTGATGGGGTTGTTTGTTTTTTTCTTGTAAATTTGTTTCAGTTCCTTGTAGATTCTGGATATTAGCCCTTTGTCAGATGAGTAGATTGCAAAAATTTTCTCCCATTCTGTAGGTTGCCTGTTCACTCTAATGATAGTTTCTTTTGCTGTGCAGAAGCTCTTTAGTTTAATTAGATCCCATTTGTCAATTTTGGCTTTTGTTGCCATTGCTTTTGGTGTTTTAGACATGAAGTCCTTGCCCATGCCTATGTCCTGAATGGTAATGCCTAGGTTTTCTTCTAGGGTTTTTATGGTTTTAGGTCTAACGTTTAAGTCTTTAATCCATCTTGAGTTAATGTTTGTGTAAGGGGTAAGGAAGGGGTCCAGTTTCCGCTTTCTGCATATGGCTAGCCAGTTTTCCCAACATCATGTATTAAATAGATCCTTTCCTCATGGCTTGTTTTTGTCAGGTTTGTCAAAGATCAGATGGTTGTAGATGTGTGGCATTATTTCTGAGGCCTCTCTTCTGTTCCATTGGTCTATATATCTGTTTTGATACTAGTACCATGCTGTTTTGGTTACTGTAGCCTTCTAGTATAGTTTGAAGTTAGGTAGCGTAACGCCTCCAGCTTTGTTCTTTTTGCTTAGGATTATCTTGGCTATATGGGCTCTTTTTTGGTTCCATATGAAATTTAAAGTAGTCTTTTTCTAATTCTGTGAAGAAAGTCAATGGTAGCTTGGTGGGGAGAGCATTGAATCTATAAATTACTTTGGGCAGTATGGCCATTTTCACAATATTGATTCTTCCTATCCATGAGCGTGAGTGTTTTCCCATTTTTTTGTGTCCTCTCTTATTTCCTTGAGCAGTTGTTTGTAGTTCTCTTTGAAAAGGTCCTTCACATCCCTTGTAAGTTGTCTTCCTAGGTATATTATTCTCTTTGTAGTGATATGTGTATTGCCTCAACGGTGGTGATGGCATCATGAGTTTGGCACATGTTCAAACTCATTAGATGTATGCACTAAATATGTCTAGTTCTGTGTATTTCAATTATACTTCAATAAAGCAACTAAAATTAAAAATAAATTAAAATTATTAATGGCATCAGTTTTCTTGAACAAGGTTTATCTTTAGGCTTAAAAGTTTTTAGATTTCAGTGTTACTAGGATTCAGATAAACTGGATACAATTTTCTGATACTGCTTGTAGGAGCAAAAAATGTGTGGCAAATACATCTTCTTTTAAAATTTAAAAGTGCTCATAGTATTTGAATAATTTTACTTTCCATTAGCTATATTTATATTAGTTGCAATGTAGCATTGCCTTTAGTGAGTCCTGGTTGGCAAACAAAAGATATTCAAGTTACATTTTTAAATTCTCACCAACGATGTACAAGGGTCTCAATCTCTAGCAGATACCCAGTGGGAGAACAGGGCTTAGAACTCAGATTTTTCTCATTCCTGGACTCCCTATTAAAACTGTGCTACTTTTTGTAACATGTTTACATAAGTAACTGCCTAGTAAATAAAAATCAAGTGAACTTCTGAGCATTTACTAATAATATAGAAAGATATATTGTTTTCAGCCGGCTTTATAGTTGAGCAAAAACAAAATTCCACGAGGCACTAAACCTATCACCTTATTCCTGTGGGCAGCATTCCTAACTCTCTTTGCAAAAGGAAACACCAGACAGGCCTCCATTTTTCCCCTCTTTTCTTTTCCTTATGGAAGTTGTAAAACAATAAAGATAGAGCAAAGAGTTTTGATAAAAGAAAAACTTCAGCTGAATTAAATTTAAAGGCGTCTAATTGAGCAATGAACTATTTGTAGATGGGTCAGCCCCCAGAATCACAGCAGATTCAGAGAGACTCCAGTGCAGCGACATGGTGGAAGAAGATTTATGGACAGCAAAAGGAAAATGAGGTACAGAAACAGCTGGATTGGTTACAGCTCAGCATTTGCCTTATTTGAACGTGTTTCTAAGGGTTGGCTACATTTGATTGGCCAAAACTCAGTGACTGGCACAGGTGTAGGCTACAGTGGGTTACATCTCCACTTGTTATAGTTCACCATGTACAGAATAAACTTTAGGTCGAACTTAAACACGTAAGGAGGCAGCTTTAGGCTAAACTTGATTTAACAAATTTGTAGGACAATTTGGTAATTTAGGAAATCCTCCTTAAGGATTATGTTCTGCTTTCTGGTTCTCCTCTCTTCTTTCTTCAATGGTTCTAAGGCACACCTAACTTTTCCTCTTTTTTTGGTAATACTCATGAAATAAGCAAACAAAAAAACAAAGAAAAAAGATGTAAAGGAGGAGAGGGAAATAGAATATAATACACAAATATTTCTGTGCTCATTTTCTTTTTTAATCAAGTGTAAGCACAAGAGGTAGTCTGTGTTTTCACCATATTAGCACAACTTGTTCAAAGTGAAAATTTCAGTCACATAATTCACATAACACACACAAGTGGTCTGGTTGGTTTTTGTTTTGTGCTTTTTGTTTCTTTGTTTCTTTGTTTGTTTTGAGACAAAGTTTTACTCTGTCACCCAGGCTAGAGTGCAGTGGCGCGATCTCAGCTCATTGCAATCTCCATCTCCCAGGCTCAAGCAATTGCTCGTCCTCCCCAGTAGCTGAGACTACAGGTGTGCACCACCATGCCTGGCTAGTTTTGGTATTTTTTGTAGAGATGGTGTTTTGCCATGTTATTTTTAATCTAACTAACCAGTGGATTTTCCTGTGTTCCCCATGTATTTTTCTACAGGGATACATAATAAGCTGTCACTATTAATAATTTACAATGTTGAATTACTTTTTTCATTATGTTACTTTTCCTGGAGTTCACTTTATCTTTACTTGGCTACATATTTTTTTCTCTCTTTCTGTTTTAAATTCCTCACCACAAATATAACCCTACTTATAACAATAGGTAGAGTTTATTCTATTTGACAAATTTCACCATGGTCGAATCAGGCAAAACTATTTTTGTTTATTTATAAATATGTCAATAATTGATGTTGGTCTGATTCATTTTGAAAAAAAATCATATTACTATAAAAAATTGTTATGTGTTATCACTTTGGCATAAAACTCACCCAATTGGGAAATTGCTTATGATGTCATAGATTCTTTAATCTATTAATTCAGCAAGAACAATTCCTACTTGTTACGCATCCAACATTTGAACATACTTCTTTTTGAGTCTTGAGAAAGATAAAAGTAATCAAACTTCTTTGAGTTTAAAAAAAAAGGAAAGCCATGTCAGTACATTTAGATAGTGAAAGCAATTAGTCACAAATTGTCACTCTGCAGTGGAGCAGGAAGGTGAAACTGAAAACAGCCTTTATAAACACTCTATGGACACATTGCTGAGAACTTTTCAAGCTTTGCTGGTCACGTTGCTATTTAAAGTAAATCTGCCCTTAACATTGACTCAAACATCTAAAAAAAAAGGGGGGGGGGACAATTCTTCATAACATTAAATCATCCTGATTTTTAAAACAAAAGTTGCCATTGTAATTTCTCCTTAAGCAACGGAGTAGAGATAACACTGAAAATCTTTTCCAAAGAAATGAGATTTCCTCTTATTGTGAGGATGAAACACTCCCTCTTAGTCACAGTGAGTGGAGGAAAAAAATCAGTCATTTGATTGTTTCTTGGTTTTAGGTGTGCCTTCTAAATTGGATGACATTCACAGACACTCAGGATGCAAGACAAGGACTTTCCCTAAACAGTTCATAAATACTAAGCTAATGTAGATCTCAGAACTCACATTGGGTCCTAGTGAGTTAAAAGATTTATGGACATAAACTACACCCACAGTCAGAATCAATGCTTCCAGTTCATTACAAATTCACTCCCAAAATGAAACATAGTTCTGGATACATGTGTTGGGAGAATCAACCCGCATACCTGAGTGTTCTCCAAATTACTTTCTGTTACTTTCCGCAGAGAATACAATTCCTTATTAAAGAAGACATTTAGAAACTGCTAAGACACCTCCCTATTTTATTACAACTCAACAGTAACTGTATCAATTTTTCAGAACTTAGAGCATAATTTTTTGCACAAGATGACTTTTATCACAGATATTATCTAACACTGCTTGTGTTTGGTGATAATAAAAAGTAGACTCAAAAAAAAAGATTTATGGTAAGGAGTAATAAGATTTAAAGTGGCTCCTGATTGTTCATAAGAGAAATGAGCTAATACAACTAGTCCCAAATGACCAACCTGAATTTTAGTATTCTAAGGAAGTAAGCTAAGTGACAGTATCAGTAAACTAGCATTTTAGTTTTAAAATAAGGTACTAGGTATCTTTGAAGTAGAAAGGGAATTTCTTTCACAATACAAATAAGTGCTCTAATGGCAGTGGAGAAATATCTCAATTTTAAAGAATAAATGATACAAGTATCATTTCCTAAGCACAAAACTCTAGGTTTACTTTCTGAAGAATCACAGAATATGCTTTAGAAGTGTTTAATCTTAGATATCTGTTCATCTGATGAAGAGTTGAGATGAAATGGCAAGATATGATTCTGTTTCAAACTTTAAAAAACTGGAACACCTGAGAAAGTTCAAGTATATATTTTGTTTTTCTAAAATAACAATTTTTTTCCTAACTCACAACATTGAGCAGTATAGACTCGTTAAAAATAGGGACCATTGATTAACAGCAGCTTAGTGATCAATTTTAAGTGGTAATATTTATTTTACCCATTAGATGATTTGAAATAATCATATTCTCCAGTTTTTGAAAGGCAGCCTGGAGTCATTGAGAGAACATCAATTTATGTGGCAGAAGCCCTGAATCCTGGATGTGGCTCTCCTGCTTATTAGCTGTGTAACCTTGGGCAAGTCAGTAACAACTCGGTGTCAATCTATTGAGCTACCCAATGAGTCTAACTACACATGCCTGACTTGTTCTGAGGAGCAAATGGCATACATGTGGAGAAATTTTTGAGCTAGTCCAACTTCACAGGCTTATCCAGGTTCAAAGACTGCTAGAAATAATAACTTGGATTTGTCTAAAGTTACTTTCCTTTTGATTTACCATGAAGCCGCAAACCAAAAGACCTAGATGACAAGGATGAGATCAAGAATGCACAGTGGTGTGATTGGATGAGGCAGGATCTTAACAGCCTTCCTGGAATGAGGGATCCACCATATCAGAGAATCACAGAGCTGTGGACCAGAACCAGAGGATGGCAGAGGTAACCAGGGATATATATATCAACATTCAAGGCTCTATCTCAAAACCATTAAGAATTTTTACTGTTCCTCACTAATATATTAATGCATCATGTCTTATTTCTCCCTGTATAATTAGGGCCATTCAGTGTTTCAGTGATGACTGCTGCAACATTGAAAATTATAACGCGATCGCACAATATTTACCAATAAGTGGCAAATAAGAGCTACTAAGTGATTCTCAATGGAATTAATTCTATCATTTTCAAGAAATTCTGTATACTTGTTTTTCAATCTATGGGGTTTTCTAACAATTAGCACTTTTTCCAACACTGCTAGAGGTTGCCCTATAATATATTCATTATATTTTTCTTACTTCTTAATATAATGAAGGAAGTCACATGAAGGAATTCAATGATCTATCTATCCATCCATCCATCTATTCATTCAGGAAATAGAGTACCTACATATATTAGATACTCTATATTATATATTATCGCCTCTGCCTGTGTTACAGAAAAAACATTTGTGCCTAAACTCCTTTGAAGAAATGTTAACGTGAAAGGGAAGTTTCTTCCACAATGTTAGGGATAAAAAATAAATCAGAAACCGACTAAGAAGAAGTAAGTGTCCCAGCCATGCTTGAGCCTTGGTTACACAAAAATAGGGATATAAATTGTGCGTTAGATTTCTTCTTTACCTTAAATATCTGAATGTGGGAATAACCAATTCTTGAGACAGTTGGAATATTTTCTTTTTTCAACACAGGACTTTTTATATGAAATATTTAAATTATATAAGGCATATAACAGTTTTTTAGTCTATCTTGATGGTTTTATTCTTATTGTTTTCTCTGTATGAAATTAATTTTTCCTACATATTTATTGGTCATACATACTTTAAATCCTAATTCCATGTCCATCTGGGAAAGCAACCCAGACAGTGCCAGTACCTACCCTAATGCTTTGTACATAGGCTGTGTATTATATACATCCCATCCCCAACACCCCATGACAATTCAACTTAAATATAAAGTCCTTGAAGGCAGGGAGGGAAATATACTATATTTCTTTGGTATCTCCATAGCAGACCCACCCCTTTTTTACAGGTGCAGGACTTACCCTTTACATGTATTCTCTGTTAATTGTTCTTCCTGAATTGTGCCATATATAGTCTGAACAGCCATACATGGCAGCCTGAGCACATGTTAGGGAAATTGTTCTTAATGAAAAGAAAGATCTTATCAAGAAAATGATACCTTCTGTGATCTGCCTTTATTTTGCATATCATCTTCTTATTGAAAGATACTTCATATAACAGAAAATTCACCCTTTTAAATAAGTAATTTAGTGTTTTATTGTATTCATAAAGTTGTACAATAATGACTGCTATTAATATATTGTTCTAGAGTATTTTTAGCCCCTAATAAGGAAGCCGCATACCCATTAGTAGTCACTCCCTGTGATAGGCAGAATAACAGCCTCCCAGAGACACCCATGTCCTGATCCCTGGAACTTGTGAATATGTGGCTTTACATGGAATTAAAGAATTAAAATAACAGATGTAATTAAGATTACTAGTCAGTGACCTTAAAGTAAGGGATTGTTCTGGACTATCCAAGTGGGCCCAAGGTAATCACCACAAATATTAAATGCAAAATGGAGAAGCAGAAGAGTCAGTGCCAGAGTGGTGCAATGGGAAAAAGACTAAACTAGTCATGGGTGATCTAATGATGGCAAAGCGGGCCACGGACCAAGGAATGCAGCCCCTAGAAGATGGTAAAGGGAAGAAAGTGGATCTCCCTAGAATGTGGTCCTGCTGACATGTTGACTTTAGCCCACTCAGACCTATCTCAGACCTTGAAACTCCAGAGCTGTAAGATAATAAATGTGTGCTCTTTTAAGCCATGAAGTTTATAATAATTTGTTACAGCAGAAATAGAAAACTAATACACTGTCAATTCTCTCCCTACCCCCAGGCCCTGGCTACTTTCTATCCCTATGGATTTGCCCATTGTGAACATTTCAGGTAGATGGAATCATGCAATCTGTAGCCCTTTGTGTCCAACCTCTTTCACTTAGAATAATGTTTTCAAGGCTCAAGCATGTTGTAGCATGTATTAGTACTTCATTCCTTTTAATGGCTGAACGGCCTTTCATTGTATGGATAGACCACATTTTTGTTCACTCATTCAATTGGCGGATATTTAGGTTGTTTCTATTTGTTGGCTGTTAGGATTAATGCTTCTATAAACATTTGTGTACAAGTTTTTGTGTGGATCTATGCTTTCAGTTCTTTTAGGTATATGTTTAGGAGTGAAATTACTGGGTTGGTTCTCTGTTTAATTTTTTGAGAAATTGCCAAACTACAGATGCTTCTTGATTTAGGTTGGAGTTACACCTGGATAACCCCATTGTAAAATCCAAAAATTACAAGTTGAACCATCATAAGTCAAGGGCCATCTGTATTTTCTGAACTGGCAGCACCATTTTACATTTCCACTAGAAGATCCCAATTTCTCAACAGTCTTACAAATACCTTTTATTGTCTGTCTTTTTGATTATAGACATCCTGGTATGTGTGAAGTGTTGTCTCACATTCACTTTTATTTGCAGTTCACTGTTGACTAATTGTGAGCATCTTTTCACATACTTCTTGGCCATTTGTAAATCCCTTTGGAAAAAATGTCTATTCAAATCATTAGTCATTTTTTAATTGGGTTATTGTTTTTTAGTATTGAGTCATTAAAAGTTCTTTACATATTCTGATGCAAACCTTTAATCAGTTATATAATTTGCAAGTATTTTCTCTAATTTGTGGGTTGCCTTTCCACTTTTTTGGTAATGTCATTTGAAATGACAAAAGTTTTTAATTTTAATGAAGTTCAGTTTATCCATTTTTGTGTTTTGTTGCTTGTATTATTAGTGTCATATCTAAGAAGCCACTGCTAAATCCAAGGTCATACAAATTTACATATGTGCTCTCTTCTGTGAGTTTTATAGCTTTAGGTTTTACATTAAAATTGTTTGTTAATTTTTGTATATGGTGTGAGATAGGGACCAATATTCATTCTCTCAGTGTGGATATCCAGTTGTATCAGTATCTTTTGTTAGGCTATTCTTTCCCTATTGAATGATCTTGCTTCGTGTTGAAAATCAGTTGATCATAGATGTATGGGTTTATTTCTGAACTCCCAACGCTATCCATTGACATATGTTTAGGCTTCTGCCAGTGCTATACAGTCTTGATTTACTTAGTTTTGTAGCCAGCTTTGAAATCAAGAACTGTAATTTCTCTAACTTTGTGCTGCATTTTCAACATTGTTTTCATTATTGTGGATCCCTTACATTCTGATATAAATCTTAGAAACAGTTTGTCAATTTCTGCAAAAAAAAAAAAAAAAGCAGCTGCAATTTTGGTATGGACTGCTTTGAATCCATATCAATTTGTGAATTCAAGTGATCAATTTGAAGATTATTGCTCTGTTAATAATATAAAATCTTCCAATCCATGAACACAGGATGACTTTCCATTTATTTAGGTCTTCTTTCATTTCCTTCAACAATGCTTAGTATTTTTCCATATATAAGACTTGCAGGTCTTTTGATTTATTGTTTCCTAATTATTTAATCCTTTCTTTTTTTTCTGAGACAGGGTCTCGCTCTGTTTCCCAGGCTGGAGTGCCATGGCAAGATCTCAGCTTACTGAAACCTCTACCTCCTGGGTTTAAGCGATTCTTGTGCCTTAGCCTCCCAAGTAGCTGGGATTACAGGTGTGTGCCACCATGCTCAGCTAATTTTTAGTAGATACAGGGTTTTGCCATGTTGGCCAGGTTGGTCTCTAACTCCTGGCCTCAAGCAATCCACCCACCTCAATCTCCCAAAGTGCTAGGATACAAGCATGAGCCACTGAGCCCAGTCTATTTTAATCTATTTAATAATATATAAAGAGAGAAGAGTGTTTAATTTTATTTTTGTTCATTGCTAACATACAGGAATGCAATTGATTTTTTACATTGATCTTATATTCTGCAACCTTGCTAAACTCATTTCTTAGATTTCATAATTGTGTGTGTGTGCATGTGTGTGTATTATTATACTTAGGATTGTCTATATACAAGATAAATGTCTTCTCTCCTTTTTTGCCTGATCAGTCTACCTAAAAGTTTGTTGATGTTGTTAACCTTTTCAAAGAACAAACTTTTGAGTTAATTTTTGTATATAGTGTAAGAGAGGTTTTCTGTACTATTTTTCTATTCTCCATCTTATTAGTTTCTATTCTAATATTTATTATTTCTTTTGTTGGGTTAGTTCGTTATTCTCATTTTAGTTTCATTTTTTCTTTTCCTTTTTTTTTTTTTTTTTTTTTGAGAGGGAATTTCACTGTATCTCCCAGGCTGGAGTTCATGCAGTGGCCCGATCTCGGCTTACTAAAACCTGTGCCACCCGGGTTCAAGCGATTCTCCTGCCTCAGCCTCCCAAGTAGCTGGGATTACAGGTACGCACCATCATACTTGGCTAATTTTGTATTTTTAGTAGAGACAGGGTTTCACCATGTTAGCCAGGCTGGTCTCGAACTCCTAACCTCTGGTGATCCACCCACCTTGGCCTCCCAAAGTGCTGGGATTACAGGCGTGAGCCACCATGCCCAGCCCAATGTCTACAAATTTTTGATTTCCCAAATTTTCTTCTGTTGATGATTTCTAATTTAATTCCACTGTAGTCAGAAAACATACTTTGTATGCTTTCAATCTTTATGCATTTTTTAAACTTTTTTATGGCCTAACATATCATGATCCTGGACAATTATTCATGTGCACTTGAGGAGAATGTGGATTCTGTTGTCAGGTGCAGAGCTTTATAGATTTTTATTAGTCTGAGCACTTCTCTGAATATATGTTAGATTTTCATAAAAAACAAAAATTTAAGAGCAAGAAAGGAGACAACACTGGTATTTCAATATTCAGAAAAATGTTTAATCTTGTTAATAAAAAATGAAAATTTAAACTAGATAACTATTCTTGCCTTTTAATTAGCAAGAATTTTTGCTAATTTCATAAGAAAACTCAGTCCTGCTAGGGGTCCAGCAAAACAGTCACACTCACACATTGCTGGTGGAAGTACCTTGGTACAAGTCTTACAAAAATAAAATTTGACGCCCAATAGTTTTACTTTGGGTACAAAAATATATTAGAGTGTATTTTATAAAAGCAAAAAAATAGAAATAATCATTATTAACCATTTACAATGATGTTTATGAAAAGTTCACAAACCATCGAAAGTAGTCAACAACTTATTTCAAAAGAAACCAATGAATGAAGAAAACAAAGAATTAGAAAATACACTCACACACACATAAATGCACAACAATTAAGTAGAGTTGACTGGAAATGTAATGATACCTCAACTTCAGAAATCCTCTCCATGTAACTTACCATATTGAAGACTGGCATTACTATGACAGAATATTTTTAAATGCTTAAATATTTAATTTTAGTGAACTTGACTTATGACATAATGTACCTAGAGAAATGGATGGTCTAATAATTTCCCTCTCCTTGGGGCCTAAACTACATATTGAGCAAGGTCATTGAGCAGATAAAGTAGGGTTGTGGTCCAACCTACGCTTATGTGCATGCATACTCATTCTTTCTTGCATAAAGCCTTAGCAAGTAACAGTCACACACATGGCCTTAAATAACCTTTAAGGCCATGATGCATAAAAAGCATTTGACGAATCTCTCTACGTACTTATAATTTTAAAAAAGTTCGGAATAGAAACGTGTTTGGTTATATTGATACTTCAGTACTCCTGGTAGATACTGTAAATTGGCTCACTTAGCATCTATTCAAATCCATTCTAGTAGAACTCTTTGAACTTTCAAGGTAAGAAAGCTAAAAACTACATTGTCTGTATTTTTATTACAGCTAGGATTCTGTGTGAGACCTGGTTTGAGCCAATCAGACATACTTAACTCGAGACTTGGAGATAGAATGGTAGAGAGATGGGCTTGTGGTATTGGAGATATGGTTCTTCTGAGGAAGCTAAGGCAGATTTCCGAGCATCTGGTCTCAAAATACATAGGTGCCGAGTGGCAGCAGCAACAGTGCTGGGTGAGGTCAGAAACTTCCCATTATAGATCTCTTCCTGATTATGTAGTATCCAAGTATGGATGTCTGACTTTCTTGGAGATAATACATTCTTTAAATACAAAATCTTTCTCTGCTTAAATCAGCTAGAGTCAAATCTATGATCTGTCACAGAGAACTATAAATAACCTAGCAATTAATCAAAAACATCAGCAAACAACATAATGAATGGAAGAATATTAGGCTTAGCCAGTTTTAATACTGGATGTATACTAAGCAACAACAAAATAGCCCTAAACAGAAAAAGTGAAAAAGAAATGGAAAATAGTAAAAAGTTGATAAAGACTTGTAGTCATCTATGTAAACTAAAAATTCATAGACATACACACAGGCACAAACACAATTTCATTATGACACATACTTTCAGCGGCGTATATCAAGTATGTCACCAACTGAAGGAGGTAGGGAGAATGTGATTTCACAAGAATAAAAACAAATGGATAGGTAAATGAGAGAAAGGCAGAGAGGGCATCAGTCACCTCTTTGGTGCCTCTTCAGGTCCTCTCAGCCTTACGAGTTTGGGGGCTTTGGGTCACTTTGTTCTGCCCCTGGTGCTGCTGCAGAGTTTGACTGTGTGACAAACTGACCACCCTCACACAGGCACAGCCTGCTAGTTCCTCGTGGCATGTCCACCATGCGCATCTCTAAACTCCTGTCAACACATAGCCAAACAAAATGTTGCAAAACCCAAGGAAGGGTGTAACACCACAGAGGATAAATCTTTGACCCATGGGAAATGTGAACCGGGGGATCAGATCTTTCCTTTGTTCCCCCACATGAAATGTCCTGAGAAATAACCAATTATACAGCGCCTTGGAAGATATATTCTACAAGATCAACCAGTCAGCCTCCCTTGATATGGATTCTTCCTCCTTTCCTGCCTCATTCCCCTTTATTCTGACTTCTGTTCCTAGAGATTGCATATGTTAATAACATTTTAGTGCGATGCCTTTTCCTCAGGCCCTGTTTTCTGGGGAACCTGGCAAGACAGGCAGACGAACAAAGGAGACTTGTGAGGCTCAGTGCTCATGTGTGCATTGACCTCAGAAACACAATGAACTCCATTCCTTGAATGGAGCTAAAAAATATTGCCAAAACAAAAGGCTTTGTCTTTCAAAAAACTAACAAGATAAACAAATCTCTAGCAAGACAGATAAATAAAAGAAAAAAAGAAAATGGAATAAATAATGACATATATAACAGTTATTTTTAACATTTAAAAAGTTATTGCACATAACTACACACCCCTAAATTTGAAAGTTCAAATAAAAAGAATGCCATGTCTGAAAAGACTTTTAAAATGTCAACAATCTAAAGAAGAAAGAGAAAAGTTGAACTCAAAATAATTATTAAGGAAATGGAAATAAAAATTAAAAATGTCTACTGCTTACACGTACCCCAAAATGACCTCTAAATCCAGATAAGAGTTCTGTAATTGGTCACTAACATTTGAGAACAACAAAAAAAATCCCTAACTTATAGAAATAAAGAATACAGGGGGAAAAAGAGAATTCCCTTTATCAATCCATGAGGTTAGTACAGCTTTCGTAACAATACAGATAATACAAACACACACACAAAAATAACATTAATTTATCTCATTTGAAATCAAAATCCTAAGTAAGTTGTTAATTATGCAACTTAAATAATATTTGAAGTGTAATATATTAATTTAGTTATTTTTATGTTAAATAAAGAGATTTAGTAGCAGAAAATTTGCCAATGCAATTCACTGCTTAATTGACTAAATGCGAACAACTATGTTACCATCTAAATACTGAAAAGAAATGTGTTTGATAAAATTCAGTACCCATTTATGATAAGAATTCTAACAAATAGACACAGAAGGGAACTTTCTTACCTTGCTGTAGACTATGTGCAGAATGAATCACGAAATATCACCACATTCAACGAAAAAAATTTTAATCATTTTTCTTTAAGGTCAAGATCAAATCAGAAACACCAGTTATCACTGTTATTGCACAATACATTATTGGATATCTTGGATAATGATTGAGGGCAAGGAAACATAGAAATGTGATTTGATTTAGTTAGAAAAAGATTGAATTGTCCTATTTCAAGTGATGTCATTGCCAAAGAAATTCCACGCACTCCTGAGTTTTTCAAAAAATAAACTTTTAGATTGAATTAATGCAATAAACAGTTTAACTGCAATTTTTGATGTTTGAGTGCTGACAACTTCTGTTTTTAGTATTATTCTTAACTGTCAAATAATTGGTTGCAAGGTGACATTTTGCTATATGTCTACAATGTGGAGTGAATAAATCAGGCTAACTTTTAAATCCATCACCTGACAGAGTGTACTTGTCATTGTGCCTAACCCCCAGCCTCTTTCCCTTGTGCCCACTTATAGATATTATTTCTGTAATAATTGCTAAATTAATATATTTCATTTATAATAATATTTAAATTGCATAATTAAGAAATACAATAAAGCCCGGTACTCCCTCCTTGGGTGCTGGTGGGAGATCCAAACCAAGCAAGCCCCTGCCCATGTGTGAGAACCTTCAACCCAATCCCACCCCTTAAACACAAGTATTAAAATCCTAGCCAGCCTCCTTCCCTTGCTTTCTCTGTCCCTGTTGGAGCTACTCATAAAGCCTGCCTTGCTTTCCCCAGAGACCTTGATTTCATCTTCTCTTGCTGTGTATATGGTACTATCAGTCTAGGCATTTGAACCAAATTTGGAGTGAAGGGTCCATCTTATATCTTGAAAGTGGTCACAATAAGTGAGATTGCCAAATACAAGATCATTTTACTAAAATTAATAGTGACCCTTTGCACCAGCAACTGTAGATAATGAAACAGAAAATAAGATGAACAAAAAAACTATAGAATATCAATCAATTAAATTTAAAGGATGCATACAATTTTTGAAGAAAATACAAAAAATCTTTTTTTTTTTTTTTTTTTTTTTTTTTTTGAGACAGAGTCTCACTCTGTCACCAGGCTGGAGTGCAATGGCGTGATCTCAGCTCACTGCAACCTCTGCCTCCCGGGTTCAAGCAACTCTCCTGCCTCAGCCACCCTAGTAGCTGGGACTACAGGCATGTGCCACCACACCCAGCTAATTTTTGTATTTTTAGAAGAGACGGGGTTTCACCATGTTGGCCAGGATGGTCTCAATCTCTTGACCTTGTGATCCGCCCACCTCGGCCTCCTAAAGTGTTAGGATTACAGGCGTGAGCCCCTGCACCTGGCTGAAATTTCTTTTTAAAATATAAAAGATCATGGTATACGGATAAGTACTGTTTGTTTGGTGCCATTCTATTTACCTAATCCTAACAGGTGTTACCCCTACCACATGCAATGTGAATGCTGCTCCATAGAGTTGGGTTAAGTGTGAGTCCTGATCCTGTTCATAGATGAGATTAAAGATATTAATTCTTACTAAATCTAGAAATTAAATGCAATTCACATAAAAATCCCTGCAGGATATTGAGGAGGGATATAATGAAATTATCGCAAATTTAATATGGGAAAATAAAACTACAAATGGAAGTCTGGGTCTGCATAAAATGGGACACTGCCATTATAATTAAAATGGCAGAAGAGTTCTTCCATGTCAGCTCAAGATAGAGTAACAGAGAACAAATTTAACTTTCTGCCTGACACAAGTATAAAAGGCAAAATATATGAAATAGTGGTTTTCACATCATTGGACATCAGGCACTAAATCTCTAAGAGTTGGCAACAAATTAACACTAATTTCTCCAGCTTACTGTCCTGAGAGTGTCCAGTCCAGGGTAAAAGGAAGGGTAGCCCCGGTTGAGCCCAGCATTCTTCAGATTGAGAACACAGAGCTGGGAGTCCCAGAGGCCAAGGCAGCTGGCATTTCAGGGCATAATACCAGAAAGGAGAATGCTACACAGATAGAACTCCCAAGTTCTGCAAAGCATTGCCTTTCATATTCAGCTCAGTAAGTAACATCCTGTTTGTGTGAGGAAGCTCTCTAAATCCAGGGAAAGATCATCCAATGGAATTAGAAGGAACCATACCTGGGGCTGGAGGCAGAGCCTATTCTCATCAGCCCGAATGGAAACTTCATAATTCATAGGGTTTTCAGGAGAGAACTCAAAAGAGTCTTGCCTCAGTTGCAGGAAATCATTAGCCCTAGACTAAATGTCACTCTGCTTCCACCCAAAATATTATAAAAGCAAGGCCTGAAAAAGGTCACTTTCTGCTAACTTAGCTACATTCCATAAAAAAGGGTAAAAAATTGTTATCAGGGAGGAGGACTTCCTAATACTAATGAGAATTAGATTTATCCCATTAGTCCCAGAATTTGATTTATCCCATTAGTCACCAGCAAGCCTGGAACATTGCAACTTCCCAGGTACACACAGTAGCTCTTCCACAACCTAGAGCAGTATCTTAGACCTAGCCTGCATAAGAATCACCTTAAACATTCGCAAATCATTACACTGCCCAGTATTCTGGCATTACACCAATATTCTGGCTCAGTAGACTTTTGGTGGGGCCCCCAGATGTGGATTTTTATCAAGATTGGTAGTGCTAATGCTGCCTTCAGCAGAGCACTTTTTGAGAAGCACTGGACATTTTCTTTAAGCTAGCAGCCGTGACCCTAACCAGACATGCAGGTAAAGGGCCAGGATGGCTATGGGCACTTTTTCCTTCCAAATGCTTCTATCTAGGGTGAGAGAGAAGTTAGTGAGTGCAGGGAGAAAGGCCATGCAAACAGTTCTTTCTTTGTGAAAGAGAACGACAAAATTGGAAAAGAAGTGTCATTTAAACATGATCCAGCTTTTGGTTCTCTTAATCCTTTTGGCTTCACCATTAAGCTGATGGCCAATCTGAAGCAAGGCTTTCTCGCACATGGGATGGAAATAGCTGCCCATTAAGACTGCCCCCACCCACCCCCAGCAAGTGGATTTCCTGACACCATACTGATTCATATATTCTCCAGACGTGTTTCATTTAAAAAAGAAAAAAAATCCGCATTTTGCCCAAACAGGACTCTGGAATGGGTCAGAACAGTATGTCCAGTAAATTCACTTCAAATCCAATCTGTTTCCCAAACCAAAAGGTCATTCCCTCTTTTATGTCCAAAGTATGTACAGCCACATTTTCCAGCATAACCTTTCAGAAAGGGTAACCAATCGTTTCAGTTTGCCTGGGACTGACAGTTTCTGAAATGTGGGGCTTTCCATTTTAAAACCAGGGCAGTCCCAGGTAAACTGGGACAAATTAGTCACCTTCTGCAATATAGCAAATGACAACAGTAAAATGAACATGCCTCTGATTTGAATATAAATCTGCTCAATCAACATGGAGGAAAAATTTAAGTCAAAAAATGAAATTAGTTGTTAGGGCCTACAGAAAGTGCAAAGTAAAAAAAAAACCGGCTGAAATAATAATAATTCTTCTTCTTCCTCTTCTTCTTCTTCCTCTTCTTCTTCTTCCTCTTCTTCTTCCTCCTCTTCCTCCTCTTTCTCTTCCTCCTCTTCCTCTTCCTCCTCTTTCTCTTCCTCCTCTTCCTCTTCCTCCTCTTCCTCTTCCTCCTCTTCCTCCTATTCCTCTTTCTCTTCTTCTTTCTCTTCTTCCTTCACAAATTAAAAGTTTAAGAAAACTAAAATTCAAAAGGTATCTCTACCAAAATTTCATTCTGCCCCGTTTCAGCCAGAGGAGTTCTCAGTGAAGCTGTCATTTCCTCAGTAAATATATGCTAGGAAGCCTCCCACTGGAAAGAATGCTCTTCTTTCAGGGCTTCAGAAGTCATAGTATTAGTTCTGTGCTAAGGCTCTCCTGAGGCTCACTTGTAAGGAATCCAGAGTTACTGGGATTCACATGATTCTTCATAAGTATCATAGCTATCACCTCACACCTATAACATTTAGAAAATGAGATAATCCTCAGACTCAAAAACAATTATCCAAATAAAAAATCATATTCCCAGAACCCATGATATTTCATTGATGAACACCATAGCAGAATCCCAGGCTTACTCTAGGCAAGCATTAAAGCCAAGCCCACTCTGTGGGACCTGCATAAAGGAAGGTATATGAAGAAAATCTGTTTTAGTTATTCCAGAAGGCCAGTCATTCTACATCAGCTGCCCAGAATCCATGATCTGTGAACTTTAACTTTACATGGAGGACTCTCTGAGCAAGAGGAAAATTCTGGCAGTCTATCCTGATCATCTCCCTAGGTTAAAATCTACATATGCTTACTGCCTTCCCTCTCAGAGCAAAGGAGGCCATTGCTGCCATCTTGAAAAGTTTAGAAATTTACACAGGAGGAAGTACAGTCACCTGTTCTTATTTGAGGGGCCTTTCTTTCACATGCATTGCATTAAAAATTGCTTAATTTCAGTTTCCCTCCGAGTCCAATGTTTCTGGCACCCCAATGGTATCAGCATCCACATTCTTCTTACAGTATTTTTCAGACCTGTGCCATATAAGCTATTTGCACTGCCTCATGGTGCTATTGCTGAAGCCTAAGCAAGCTGTCTTTGGGATGATTACTCCCTCACATGCAATCCATTGTCTATCTTTAATTTGAGAGCACACAACAATGCCTGACTCTAGAGCCACTGTGTAGCCACACGAAGCTGATGCTTTCTTCTTCACAGCCCCCTCCGTGACCCTACGTGCAGAATACATTTTGTTACAGCTAATCTGGCACTGCTTACCTAAACCTGGCTCTGGTAATTTAAAACTAAAACCTCACAAAGGCTTTGTTCCATGAAGGTCTGGTTTCTGCAGTTCTCTCTGTAAAACAGACACTTTCCTGTGGACAAAGCTGTCATAAACTGCAGTCACTTGCCAAGATCAAAATCTTACATAGCTTCGGAATGAAAACCATGCACCCAGGCTTCTGCTTACAAGAAGCCAATCTCAGCACTGCAGATACAAAGTTGCACTGCAGAGAAATGCACTCCAGTAAAACCCCTGGTTCAGCACTCAGTCCAGGCCAATGCCCCGGGCTACTTTGCTCCCTGATTTCCTCCCATCTACTTCTCCAGGTCTCCTGCCCCAAATCCAGGAAATCCTACCAGTTTCCTGAATTGAATATACCCCTCAAAAAGCTGTGAGCTCACCCAGAGTGTCTATCACTGTGAAGTTTACTGCTTAGAGAAGCAGAGCAGAACCAGGAAAGAAAAGGTGCAAAAATATTTTATTGACCTCAAATGGAAAAGTATTTCTTTCAAATGACCCAGACTGTCACCTGAGGAAAGTGAAAAGAGAATTTAAGGAGGGGAAAAAAACAATGAAGGAGCTACATCTTTTTTCCCCCAACTTCATTGAAAAAATAGACAATTAAAAGTTATATATATTCAAGGTATACAATATGGTGTTTTTATATTTATATATACATTGTGAAATGGTTACCAAAATCAAGCTGATTAGCATATCTAACACTTCCTTTAGCTACTGTGCCATGTGTTTGTCTGTGTGTGTGTGTGTGTGTGTGTGTGTGTGTGTGTGGTGAGAAGACTTAAGATCTACCCTCTTATCAAATTTCAAGTATATAATGTTAACCATATTCACATTGTTGTACATTAGATATCCAGAGATTATTTATCTTCTATATCTAAAACTTACACCTCTTAACCAACATCTCCTCACATCCCCTTCCCCAGCTCCTGGTAGCTACCATTCTACTCTTCAGTTCTATGAGTTTGACATTTTTAGATTCCACATATAAGTGAGATCATGCAGTATTTATCCTTCGATGTCTGGCTTATTTCGCTAAGCATAATGTCCTCCAGGTTTATCCATGCTGTCTCAAATAGCAGGATTTCTTTCTTTTTAAAGTCTGAATAATATTCCATAGAGTGTGTGTGTGTGTATATATATGTGTAATATATGGAATATTATATGTATATATATACTACAGCTTCTTTATTCATTCATTAATATTTAGGTTGTTTCCATATCTTGGCTATTGTTAATAGTGCTGAAATGAGCATAGGAGTGCAGGTATTTCTTCGAGATACTGATTTCAATTCCTTTGGATAAATACTCAGAAGTGGCATTGCAGGACTGTGGGCCCTTGGTAGTCCTATTTTTAGTTCTAGTTTGAAGGAACCATTTTTAGTTTCACATGGTTTCACATAATAGCTGTATCAATTTATATTCCCACCAACAGCATATACAAATTTATTTTTCTCTACATTCCAGACAACACGTTATCTTTTGTCTTTCTGATCACAGCCATCTTAACAGGTGTGAGGTGATGTTTCATTGTGGAATTGATTTGCACTTTTGTGGTGAGTAGTGAAAGTGAGAGATGAAGCCAGCTGGACTTCCTGGGTCTAGTACTTGGAGAACTTTTCTGCCTAGCTAAAGGATTGTAAACGCACCAATCAGCGCTCTGTGTCTAGCTAAAGGATTGTAAATGCACCAATCAGCACCCTGTAAAAACGCACCAATTGGAACTCTGTGTCTAGCTAAAGGATTGTAAACACACCAATGAGCACTCTGTAAAAACGCACCAATCAGCAGTCTGTGTCTAGCTAAAGGATTGTAAACGCACCAATCAGAACTCTGTAAAAACGCACCAATCAGAACTCTGTGTCTAGCTAAAGGATTGTAAATGCACCAATCAGCACTCTGTAAAAACGCACCAATCAGCACTCTGTGTCTAGCTAAAGGATTGTAAATGCACCAATCAGCACTCTGTAAAAACACACCAATCAGCACTCTGTGTCTAACTAAAGGACTGTAAATGCACCAATCAGCACTCTGTAAAATGGACCAATCAGCACTCTGTAAAATGGACCAATCAGCTCTCTGTAAAATGGACCAATCAGCAGGATGTGGGCAGGGCCAAATAAGGGAATAAAAGCTGGCCACCTGAGCCAGCAGCAGCAATCCCCTGGAGTCTCCTTACGCACTGTGGAAGCTTTGTTCTTTCGCTTTTATAAATCTTGTTGCTGCTCACTCTTTAGGTTTGTACTATCTTTATGAGCTGTAACACTCACCGCGAGGGTCTCCCGCATCACTCCTGAAGTCAGCGAGACCACAAACCCACCTGGAGGAACAAACAACTCCGGACACACCATCTTTAAGAGTTTTAAAACTCACTGTGAAGGTCTGTGGCTTCACTCATGAAGTCAGCGAGACCACAAACCCATGGAAGGAAGAAACCCCAGACACATCTGAACATCTCAAGGAACAAATTCCAGACACATCATTTTTAAGAACTGTAACACTCACTGTGAGGGTCTGTGGCTTCATTCTTGAAGTTAGCGAGACCAAGAACCAAACTGAAGGAATAAATTCCAGACACAAAAGCATCTTTTCCCATACCTGTTAGCAATTTGCATGCCTTCTTTTGAGAACTGTCTGTTCAGGTCCTTAACCTATTTTTTCATTGGGTTATTTGTTGCTTTTTTTCTTTTTTACTATGAAGTTGCAGGAGTTACTCACGTACTTTACGTATTAGTCCCTTTTCAGATATATACTGTTTGAGAAAATGTTTGCTCATCCCATAGGTTGTCTTTTCATTGTGCTTATTGTTTCCTTTGTGGTGCAGAAGCTTTTCAGTTTGGTGCATTCTTATATGTCTATTTTTGCTTTTGTTTCCTGTGCTTTGGGGGTCATATCCAAAAAAATCATTGCCTAGACCAGTGTCATAAAACTTTTTTGTATATTATCTTCCATTAGTTTTATGATTTTAGGTCTTTAAGTCTTTTTAGTTGATTTTTGTAAATGGTGTATGATGCATGTATATGGTATGAGATAAGGGTTCAATTTAATTCCTCTGCATATGGCTATCTGGTTTTCCCATCACTGTTTACCGAAGAGACTCTCTTTCCACATGATGTGTTTTTGGCATTCTTGTTGAAAATCAGTTGACCATAGATGTGTGGATTTATTCCTGGCCTCTCCGTTATCTTTGATCTACATAACTGTTTTTATGCCAGGAGCATACTGTTTTGAATACTGTAGCTGTGTAATAGATTTTGAAATCCGAGACTAGGATGTGTCCAGTTTTGTTCTTCTTGCTCAAAATAGCTTTGGCTAATTGAGGTCTTTTGTGGTTCCATATCCCATACGAATCTGAGGAGTAGTTTCAGTAAAGAATACCATGGTGGTTTTCATAGGGGTTACATCAAATCTGCTGATCACTTTGGGTAATATGAACAATTTAATGGTATTAATTATTCCAATCCATGAACATGAAATTTCTTTCCATTTATTTATGTCTTCTTTAATATCCTTCATCAATGTCTTATAATTTTCAGTATACCTCTTTTGTTTAGGTTATACCTCTTTGGTCTAAATATTTGATTATTTTGTTGCTACTATGAATAATATTGTTTTCTTGATTTCCTTTTTGAATAATTCATTGTTTGTGTATGGAAATGTGACTTATTTGACTCACATCTGTAATCTAAGCACTTTGGGAGGCCAAGGCAGGCGAATCACCAAGTCAAGAAATCGAGACCATCCTGGCCAACATGGTGAAACCCCATCTCTACTAAAAATACGAAACTCAGCTGGGCATGATGGTGTGTGCCTGTAGTCCCAGCTACTCAGGAGGCTGAGGCAGGAGAATTGCTTGAACCTGGGAGGTGGAGGTTGCAGTGAGCCAAGATTGCGCCACTGTACTCCAGCCTGGGCAAAAGAGTGAGACCCCATCTCAAGAAAAAAAAAAAGAAATGTGATTTTTTTATGTAGATTTTTTTAATCCTGCAAATTTACTAAACTTGTTTATTCTAATAGGCATTTTGTTGTTGTTGAGTCTTTAGGGTTTTCTATGTATCTGATCATATCATCTGCAAATAGATTTAATTTTACTTCTTCCTTTCTGATTTGGATTCCTTTTATTTCTTTTTCTTGTCTAATAGCTCTGATTAGGATTTCCAGTAGTATGTTAAAGAAATGGCAAGAGTGGGCACCCTTGCCTTTTATCAGATCTTAGAAGAAAATCTTTCAGGTGTTCTTCAGTGATTATGATGTTAGCTGTGGACTTGTCATATATGACTTTTATTGTATTGAGACTTTAATCATGAATGAATGTCAAACTTTGACAAATGGTATTTCTGCATCTATTGAGATACTCATGAGTTTTTCTGAATTATATATTTTGTTAAAATAACAGTAAATTGTTAATGTAAGCTTTTTAGAATGCAGGCTTACATTAAGCTTACTTAGAAGTGATAATTAAAATATCTAAACAGGCCAGGCGCGGTGGCTCACGCCTGTAATCCCAGCACTTTGGGAGGCCAAGGCGGGCGGATCACGAGGTCAGGAGATCGAGACCATCCCGGCTAAAACAGTGAAACCCCGTCTCTACTAAAAATACAAAAAATTAGCCGGGCGTAGTGGCGGGCGCCTGTAGTCCCAGCTACTTGGGAGGCTGAGGCAGGAGAATGGCATGAACCCGGGAGGCGGAGCTTGCAGTGAGCCGAGATCCCGCCACTGCACTCCAGCCTGGGCGACAGAGCGAGACTCCATCTCAAAAAAAAAAAAAAAAAAAATCTAAACATCTTCAGTTTATTGATCAAATGATTAAAGCATAAAAGAATGAATATATATGTATATATCTTATGTTGACTGGAAAATGATAATCTGAATTCAACTGAGCAGAGTTTAGTTGGCTTTATATGTGTTTCAATAACTGGAAAGAACGGGGAAATAATCTAAATGAGAAAGACTGGTCTGACCCCTATCATTTCTCTCAGAAGATGAACAACAAGAATAGTTATCAGGGTCTAGATTGACCAGAATTAGATGAAGCAGGCAATAATTTACAAGTCATTGAGAGAAGAAAAGGAAGAAGAAAAAAGCCTACAATGGAATAAAGAACAATGGCATCTTTAGGGTTTGGATTAAGAAAGCTTCATGGCAACATTCCAAAATTGAAAGAATTTATGAGTTAATAGTTCTAAAGATAATGTTTTTGTCCCTTTACCAGTGTTAACCCAATTTAAAACTGTCTCTTACAGGACTCTACTCCAGCCTTATGAGTAGCTTTGTCTAGGGCAGTCTTACGTCATCTGAGGCAATAACCATCGGCATGAACATTTTTCACATGTCTATGAAGCAGTGGTAGAATAGGCAATGGAAACAATAAATGTATTAAATAAAAATATTTCACTGAACTTCTTTTGATAGCATAGATTTTGAAATGTTGTAAAGCTCTTAGCATAGAACAAACAGGTAAGAACTATTTTCCCTTTTTCAGTAGAAAAAGAATTAATTTTAGGTCTTGGGACACTGGATAAAGTACTGAAACAAACTGTTTAATTGGCTGACATCTTAATCTCTTTCACTGCTATACCTCTGTGATGTCTTCAGAATTGATCTACCAAGTTTTATTTTTTAAATTTCTTATTGCTGTACTTTATTGATCACTTGTCAATGTTCCAGGCATACATGAGCTAGTACTAGAGAATGCCCTGAATTGGATGGCTTCGAAAGCTGTATGCTTGCTAATGTGTATCTTTTAAAGTAAACATGCCTTTTGAACATGGAACCATATACAATACATATTCTAGAAAGGGAGCAACTGAAAATAGGAAATGGGATTAGGCAAGAAATAGAGCTGAAACAATTGACTGTTAATAAGGAAAAAAATTAAATACCTACATCACACCATAGATGTGATGGTTAATATGGAGTGTCAACTTGACTGGATTGAAGGATACAAAGTATTGATCCTGGGTGTGTCTGAAAGTGTATTACCAAAGGGGATTAACATTTGAGTCAGTGGGCTGGGAAAGTCAGACCTACCCTTCATCTGGGTGGGCACTATCTAATCAGCTGCCAGTGTGGCCAGGATATAAAAGAGGCAGAAAAACGTGGAAAGACTAGACTGGCCTAGCTTCTCAGCCTACATCTTTCTCCTGTGCTGGATGCTTGCTGCCTTCAAACATCAGACTCAAAGTCCTTCAGTTTTGGGACTTGGACTGGCTCTGCTCACTCCACAGCTTGCAGACGGCCTATTGTGGGACCTTGTGATCATGTGAGTTAATACTTAATAAACTCTGCTTTATATAAATATATATCCTATTAGTTCTGTCCCTCTAGAGAACCCTAATACAATACGCAAAATAAATCCCAGGGAAACTAAAGACTTAAATGCACAAAGCAAAATTGAAATATTTTAAAATATAGGACAGTATTGTCATTCTTTAAAAGAAAGATTTATTAGATAAGATATGACATTTTAAATGAAAAAAAGATGAGTAAATCTGATTAAGTCTTTAAAATTTTAAAAATTGCCAAACATATAGCTGACGAAATATTGACAACTAAAATTATTAAGCTGTGAATACTAAAATTTAAAAATACAAGTGAAAAGAGAAAACTTTCAAAGGCTATAAACAGAGATGCTATAGAAGAGGAAACCCAAATGGCCAATAAACATATAAACAGATGCTCCAATTTGGAAAATACCAAATACTGGCAAAAAATGGGGGAAAGGAACTCACAGACAACTGGCAAAGTGTGAATTGGTATAACTATTTAGGGAAGCCAATTTTTAGTATTCTTAATTAAAATTTTAAAATTTTCATTCAGTAAAGTTGAAGACATAGGCCCCCTAGAACCTAGAAACCCACTTCTTCAACTATACACTCTAGAGAAATTAGATATATGTGCCAAAGGGAATATGTAGGAAGATGTTCAATACAACATAATTTCTGCGAAAAAAATGGGAGAAAATTAAATAGCCATCAATAGAAAATAAATAAACATATATTTATACAATGCTACTCTCTATAATGAATTTTTGCTTTCTGTAGCTATGAAAATTAAACTGATTTACCCCTATTGATAACCAACTTGGCTAGATTTCTCTAGAATAGTGTTGAGTTAAAAAAAAAAGTTGCCAAATGAAACATTCAGTATAATACCTCTTATTTAAATTGCAATCTGCAAACAATAACTCTTATTTATGTATATAAATTATTAATAGTACTAAAACATAAATATGAAGATATTAACTTTAGAATAATTATTTCTAGTGATGAACTGCTGAAAATATAATTGAAGAGAAGTGCAAAAGTTTTATTTAATAAAGTATTATTTTTTAAATTATAGGTTCAAAACAAAAAAAGATAGATTAATGATTACTAAATATAGGTGTTCAATATATGCATATATCTTTACTATATGCTCGAATTTTTAGTGTATTTTTAAATTCTCATACTAAAAAGAGTGGATGTTGAAATTCTAACAATTCTATGGTGCTTTAATCTTAATGGGAAAAAGCAGGACATTGAGTATATTGTATGATCTCAACAATGTAAAACAGCAATGGTCAACTGGCTGCCAACGGTCTGATAAGGACCCCAGCCTGTTTTGTTTGGCCGTGCTATAAAGTTGGCCCACATACTGTTTAAAAAAAAAATGTGAAGGATTTACTAGCACTTAAAAATTGGGATATAGCAGAGAAAAATCCTTATTTCTGGCTTCTCTTGCAAAATCAAGATATCTGGCAACATGGGCACCGCAACTGTGTAGGGTAAAATGGATGGAGCTGCCAGCTCCTGTGAATGGGGCAAGTGTTGTCCAGTGACTGCCTCCAGCACTGCCCACTCAGGACCTAATCGGAGTCTTTGCTGTGATTTACCATTGCACTTGCTCTTTTCTCTTAGACCAAGAGGAAAGCTAAATATTTCACCTGGCCTACTTCATTCATTTTCATTATCTGCCTGCTTTTTTTGCCATCTAAGTTTATAATCTCTGAATTTTTTTTTTTTTTTTGAGTGGGTCTTGCTCTGTCGCCCAGGCTGGGGTGCAGTGGTGCGATCTAGGCTCACTGCAAACTCCACCTCCCGGGTTCCCGCCATTCTCCTGCCTCAGCCTCCTGAGTAGCTGGGACTACAGGCGCCCGCCACCACTCCCGGCTAATTTTTTGTATTTTTAGTAGAGATGGGGTTTCATCGTGTTAGCCAGGATGGTCTGGATCTCCTGACCTTGTGATCCGCCCACCTCGGCCTCCCAAAGTGCTGGGATTACAGGCGTGAGTCACCGCGCCTGGCCTATAATCCCTGATTTTTTTAAATAATTATTTGAAAAGGATTGGAAGGAAATTAAAAAATATATTTTTCCCTGCTGCCTATGGGTTATTGGATGGTCAGTGTTCAAAGGTTAAAAAGCAATATGTAAAACTGCAAAAAGAGCTAAACTAAAAAGAATCTTCCATATTACTATGTCAGGTGCTTCTAGGATTATTCTGTGCTCCAACCTTTAACTACTTGCAGCTCTAATCATAGCAAAGTTCCTGTCATAGTTCCCAAGTACATAAACCTTTTAAGATCCACAGCTTTTTTTTCTGAGGCCATTTCTTTAAAAAAAAATTCCTATCCTTCATTTCTATAATTTGAGCACCTACTCATCTTTCAAATATTTTACTTGTAAGTTCAAAACCTAAGTCCTCTGTGAGGCTTTTCCTGGTTTCCTCCAATTATAAAATGTTTCTCTTTGCTCACACACCCAGTAATTCTTTCTGTCTCTTGCAGCAATTACCAATGAGCACAAACATCATCTATTTGTCTGTGTCACTATACAGAGGGGAGGACAGATCTCACACACCTCTTCCTTAAAAGGCAGAGACCAGAAAATATTAGACACTCAAAAATATTAAATGAAATACAATTTTTAAATCATCGTTCTAGATATACTATATTTATGAAATAGAGGCAACTAAGTTGAATCCACACTTTCTATGATATGTCATGAAAGTTTCTTTTTTGATTAAACAATAGCATGTACTTGTTTATTACATAAATCCAAGTAGTGTAAAAAATAAGATCATAATGAAGTAAACATGAAAATATTCTTACTCTATAGTTTCCAGACAAGTAAAATTTATTTCATTGTATTGCATTTTCAATTTTTTTACCATATTTATTTATTTATTTTATTATACTTTAAGTTCTAGGGTACATGTGCACAACCTGCAGGTTTGTTACATATGTATACATGTGCCATGCTGGTGTGCTGCACACATTAACTTCTCATTTGCATTAGGTGTATCTCCTAATGCTATCCCTCACCCCTCCCCCCACCCCATGACAGGCCATAGTGTGCGATGTTCCCCTTCCTGTGTCCATGTGTTCTCATTGTTCAATTCCCACCTATGAGTGAGAACATGCGGAGTCTGGTTTTCTGTCCTTGCAATAGTTTGCTGAGAATGATGGTTTCCAGCTTCATCCATGTCCCTACAAAGGACATGAACTCATCCTTTTTTATGGCTGCATAGTATTCCATAGTGTGTATGTGACACATTTTCTTAATCCAGTCTATCATTGATGGACATTTGGGTTGGTTCCAGGTCTTTGCTATTGTGAATAGTGCCGCAATAAACATACGTGTGCATGTGTCTTTACAGCAGCATGATTTATAATCCTCTGGATATATACCCAGTAATGAGATGGCTAGGTCAAATGGTATTTCTAGTTCTAGATCCTTGAGGAATCGCCACACTGACTTCCGCAATGGTTGAACTAGTTTACAGTCCCACCAACAGTGTAAAAGTGTTCCTATTTCTCCACATCCTCTCCAGCACCTGTTGTTTCCTGACTTTTTAATGATTGCCATTCTAATTGGTGTGAGATGGTATCTCATTGTGGTTTTGATTTGCATTTCTCTGATGGCCAGTGATGATGAGCATTTTTCTAAGTGTCTGTTGGTTGCATAAATGTCTTCTTTTGAGAAGTGTCTGTTCATATCCTTTGCCCACTTTTTGATGTGGTTGTTTGATTTTTTTCTTGTAAATTTGTTTAAGTTATTTGTAGATTCTGGATATTAGCCCTTTGTCGGATGGGTAGATTGAAAAATTTTCTCCTATTCTGTAGATTGCCTGTTCACTCTGATGGTAGTTTCTTTTGTTGTGCAGACTCTCTTTAGTTTAATTAGATCCCATTTGTCAATTTTGGCTTTTGTTGCCATTGCTTTTGGTGTTTTAGACATGAAGTCCTTGCCCATGTCTATGTCCTGAATGGTATTGCTCAGGTTTTCTTCTAAGGTTTTTATGGTTTTAGGTCTAACATTTAAGTCTTTAATCCATCTTGAATTAATTTTTGTATAAGGTGTAAGGAAGAGATCCAGTTTCAGCTTTCTTCAATCTAGTAAAAGGTATTTACTCTAATTTCTTTAAATTCTCATTAAGGGCTTCTAAATTTATAAAGTTGGACATACTGTGGAGTGAAAATTAGATTACTTCTTGCCCACCGTATTCAGTGAGTTTTAAGAAAACTGCCCAAGTGAAATATACAGCAACACATATTTCAGCATCTATAGTTTTTCCAAATCTCTTTTAGATGCAACTTAAAGGACTGATTTCTGTACATTTTCCTACCATGAGGCAGTTTCTTCTAATTGCCCTTCATGAAGATTAAAGAGTGCCATTTTATGTACTCTCTAAACTGAAATAACCTGTCATGGAATTCTCTCTCCACCTAGTATCAGTGGCTGTTGTCACTACTGACTTCTTTTTAATAGCTGAGTTGTTTCAGTTTCTCAAGACACATTTTACAGAGAATTTATCTGTTTAGCAAGCAATGTGGACAAGAAGGGATAGAAGACTGGATAAAAACCAGTAAAACTACAGTTTTATCTTTGACCACATGGGAATGATGGCACTTTCCCCTTCCTTTTCGTATCATCGGAGGCTTGACAGACATGGACTCTTACCTTTAAGTTTACGTTATTTAAAACCTTTAGAATTTAATACTAAGCAACTTTCATTACAGTTGCTTTAAATCTGGCAAAGGAAAAATAAGACCTATTTAATTCTCACTGATTGCCTACCAGTATAAAGACATTTTGCTCACATTTTGCAGCTCTCAGGAATTCATTGTAAAGCAACCTTACCGGAACATGGCAGATGCCTTGCTAATGAGCATTCTTTCTTGAAAGCGGATTCTAAAATGTTACAAGTATAGCTAGAAGAATGCTATGCCTGACCTCAAAAGCCAAAGATGATCACTATGAGGGCCAAAAATTGTAAAACTAGCATCTATGTTGCATGAACCAAGTATGGTCCCTGGCGAGCATCCCACGGTAAAATTCTCTACCATGACTGAAGCAAAACATAGAGTAACTCAAAACCTGGAGCATTTGTTATTAAAGGAGGGAAAAACGCATTTCACCAAATGTGGCAACGACACTGATGAATGATTTACACTCAAACATCTTCTAATCTGAAATACCATCTTCATACCAACAAGAGTGAGGGGGAAAACACAGTCATTCAGGGATCGCTCTTGCAAGTTACTGACTTTTAAATAACATGTTGGGCACACAGACTATGCTGATTCAAAATTTTTCAACTAACTTTTTGGTATTTTTTTCCTATATTTATTGAGTTATCATTGACATACAAAATTGTATATATTCTAGGTGACTTTATATATGCATGTACTGTATAGTGACTACCAGAGTCAAATTAATTAACATATCCCTCATCACCCATGGTTACCACGGGACAGTCTTGTGGGGAGGGAGCTGAGGACACTTAAAATAGGCTTTCGTCAAATTTCCAGTAAATAATACAGTACCGTAGTATTAACTGTAGTCACAGTGCTATACATTAGGTCCCCAAAACTTATTTATTTTCTAACTGAAAGTAAAACTTCTTTTTGAAAGTGTGATAATTCTTAGTTGTCCTCCAAAAATGGGGTGCTGTTAGTTAATAACACTCTTGATAATCTTAACTATCTAAAAGTTATATGAAATATGCAGCTGGCATGCTTTTTACATTGGCAGCATTCTCTTGTCTTCTGTTTAATATACTAGGGCAGAAGTGCCTAGTGAACAAATACATATGAACAAGTGATATGGACCACAGGACATCTGAAAACCAACAGTCTCATATTCGTAGAGTATTCAGAAGACAGTGAGAACTAACAGCTCAGTTCTGGAACCAGATTCCTTGGTTTCAAATTCTGGTTCTGATACTTCTTTGCTGTGCTATCTTAAGAGAGTTATGTGTTTGGCACAACATCAAAATAAACAAATGTTCAATTGAATCCTATACAAATAATAGGCTAAAAGTATATATTTTAAAATATAAAACTCAAAAATATGTCATAAGCTAAAAAATGTTTGAGATTTAGATTCTTTTCATTTATAAAAAAATTATATTGATACGAAAATTTCTAATAAATAATCATAAATTTTATCAAATATGATATATATTTTTATATATTATATTTATTTCATCTATTGCTTAGCTGGTCATATAAAATATATAACTTAGCTGGTCATATATTAAATAAAATCCTGACACCAAATAATTTTATAAACAAATTTTAAGACTATTCCACAGCAGAAATATTGCTTTTAATGTAGGATATGGAAATATTTCAATATGGTTTGGTTTATATGATGGGAATTATGGACTCTAAAATTAAGCCTGCCTAAAGCTTATGAATGTCTTACAATGGTTTGAGGGAAGATTTGTTGAAAAATAGTTGCAGGAATCCAGGTGAGAATGATAGTTACTGGCCAAAGGTGATGATGACAGAGAGAAAGAATTCAACAGGTGAAGATATATTTTGGATATAGAAACACGGAATTTCATTAATGCTGGACTGAATTTCAGGAGTAAAGGAAATGCTAAATGAAATATGAATTCCTCATTTCCAGACAAGGCAATAGGTAGATAGTGATGCCATTTACTGGAAATAGAGAAAACTAGGATGAAAGACAAGTTCCGTTTGAGATGAATTGTCTGCAATTCGTAAAATTTCCAAAGCAAAGGTCAAGTGGGGAGTGAAAAATGGGAATCTGATGCCTAGAAGAGGAACCTGAGCAAGACTTGGAGATCAACAGCCTATGGATGTAGCATAAAATGATGGAGTTAATAAAATCGTGTAGGGAGAGAACAAAGAGAGAAGAAGGTAAATGCATTAATAACTATGTAAGGAAGATTAAATCTGAGGCAGAAAAGGAGCTGTTAGGGAAGAAGGCCGAGGAGGAGCTAATGAGGTAACAGTATTTCAAAAAGGAAGAGTAGTCAAAAGTTTTACTGTTGATAAAGAGGAACACTGTGAAAACAGAAATTAACTTCAGATTAACCAACGTGAATATTAGTTTTAGACTTTTAACAATGGCAGTTTCCACTGAGTGAAGGGCTCAGAGCAAGATTAAAGAGATTTGGAGAATAAATTGGTTATAAAGAATTTGCAACACCTGTAGGCAACTCTTCAGCAGTATCAGTGTAAGAGGGAACAGAGAAAAGAGGGGGTGGTTGCAAGGCGATCTGAGGTCCTGATAAGTAATTTCTGTTTCATTTTGTTTTAAGGTGAGAAGTATTACAGTACTTTTGGTTCTAATATCTTTAAGCAAATGTAACTAAAAAATTAAGTTTTCATGCCTTCAGATGAGAGGTGAAAACAAAAACTATATTGTCCAGCTGCTACATGGCTGTTCAGTCCTAAGACTTTAAATTCCATTAGGACAGAAACTTTTATTTTGCCTTCCTTTATATACCCTCAATTTAGTAAAATTTTGAGAATAGAATAAATGCTTAATTAATAAAATATAGGTTTTATAAGTATTAAGAACATAATGCAGTGATACTTGGGAATAGTCAAGATCAGCCTACAAAGCTCCCATACCTAATCTCTGAGAACCTTCTAGGGCAGGAGTCCCCAACCCCTAGAAACCGGGCCACACAGCAAGAGGTGAGCAGAAGGCAGGTGAGCATTGCTGCCTCGACTCCACCTCCCGTCAGATCAGCATTAGATTCTCATAGGAACGCGAACTCTATTGTGAACTGTACCTGCAAAAGATCTAGGCTGTGCACTCCTTATGAGAATCTAATAATGCCTCATGATCTGAGGGGGAGCAGTTTCATCCCGAAACCATCCTCCTGCTCCCACATCTGGGGGAAAATTGTCTTCCAAGAAACTGGTCCCTGGTGCCACAAAGGTTGGGGACCGCTGCTCTAGGGTGTGAAAGAAATACCTAGAACTCCAAAAAGAAATACCTAGAACTCCAAAAAGAAATAATGGCAAGTAGAGAGAAGCATTTTATCACTGAATTTTTAAAACAAACTAAATCCGTACTTAATTCAGTTTTCCTAGGTTTTTACGGTATATGCTTTTTCTGTTAAATGTTCCCACTCAAGAAACCATATCACATTTAGTCGGTATGTCGTCTTAGGCAACTCTTGCCTGTGATGGTCTCTCAGCCATTCCTTGTTTTTCCTTTCCTCGTTTTACCTTGTGTCAGCCTTTCAAGGCCTTGGCAGTTTTTGAGGAGTACTGGTCAGGCATTTTGTAGAATTTCTATTGAGATTTGTTTGATCATGATTAGACAGGGGTATGGGTTTGGGGAAGAGGATACCAGAGGTAAAATGCCATTTTCATCACATATTAAAGGTATATATCATCAACATGACCAGTCAATTTCGATGTTGACAAAGATCAACTGGCTGAGGTGTTTGTCAGGTCTCTTAGTCTTTTTCCCGCGTTTTCACACTGTAGTCTTTAGAAGGAAGTCACTATGTTCAGCCCACATGTAAGGAGTTGGGAATTATACTCCACTTTCTAGACGGTTGAGTATCTACAAAAAATATTTGGAATTCTTCTGCAAAAGAGATGTTCCACTCTCCCCCAATTTGTAAGAACATACATTTCCAAGTCAGGTGGATAATTACCTAGCTTTTAAAAAATACATATGCTGGGCCGGGCGCGGTGGCTCACGCCTGTAATCCCAGCACTTTGGGAGGCCGAGGCGGGCGGATCACGAGGTCAGGAGATCCAGACCATCCTGGCTAACACGATGAAACCCCGTCTCTACTAAAAATACAAAAAATTAGCCGGGCGTGGTGGCGGGCACCTGTAGTCCCAGCTACTCCGGAGGCTGAGGCAGGAGAATGGCGTGAACCCGGGAGGTTGAGCTTGCAGTGAGCCGAGATCGCGCCACTGCACTCCAGCCTGGGCGACAGAGCGAGACTACGTCTTAAAAAAAAAAAGAAAAAAAAATCTCATTGTTGTTTTAATTTGTAATTCTCTAATGAGAAATGTTTAGCATCTTTTCATATGATTATTTTCCATTTGTAGTATTTAATAAGGTGTCTTTTCAGATCATTTGCCCATTTTTTAATTGAGTTGTTTGTTTTCCTTTTGTTCAGTGTTAAGATTTCTTTGTATATTTTGGACACAAGTTCTTTATCAGATACGTGTTTTGCAAATATTTTCTCCCAATCTCTGGCTTGCCTTTTTATTCTCTTAACAGTTTCTTTAATGGAGAAAAACAGTTTTTAATTTTAATGTAGTCCAACATACCGATTTTTCTTTCATCGTGCTTTTGCTGTCATCACTAAAAATCATCACCAGATGCAAGTCATGTCAAATTCATGCTATGTCTTTTTTAAAATTTTTATTATAGGTTCAGGGTGTATGTGTGCAGATTTGTTACAAAGGCATATTATGTGATGCTGAGGTTTGCAGTACAATCCATCTCCCAGGTAGTGAGCATAGTAGTACCCAATAGATAGTTTTTCAGCCCTTGGTCCCCTCTTCTCCCTCCTCCGTCTTGCATGTCCCGGTGTCTATTGTTCTCATCTTGGTGTCCTGTGTATTCAATATTTAGTTCCCACTTGTAAGTGAGAACATGCAGTATTTGGTTTTCTGTTTCCGCATTGATTCGCTAAGTATAATGACCACCAGTTGCATCCACATTGCTGCAAAGTACATGATTTCATTCTTTCTCATGGCTACGTAGTATTCCAGGGTGTATATGTACCATATTTTCTTTTCTTTTTTTTTTCTTTTTTTTTTTTTTTTTTTTTTTGAGACAGAGTCTCACTCTGTGGCCCAGGCTGGAGTGCGGTGGCGCGATCTCAGCTCACTGCAAGCTCCGCCTCCCAGGTTCATGCCATTCTCCCGCCTCAGCCTCCCCAGTAGCTGGGACTACAGGCACCTGCCACCACGCCAGGCTAATTTTTTTAATTTTTTAGTAGAGACAGGGTTTCACCGTGTTAGCCAGGATGGTCTCGATCTCCTGACCTCGTGATCCCCCCGCCTCGGCCTCCCAAAGTGCTAGGATTATAGGCGTGAGCCACCGCGCCTGGCCTATATGTACCATATTTTCGTATCCAATTCAGAGTTGATGGGCACCTGGGTTGATTTCGTGTCTTTGCTATTGTGAATAGTGCTGCGATGAACATACAGATGCATGTGTCTTTTTGGTAGAATAAATTCTTTTCCTTTGGCCACATACATAGTTATGGAATTGCTAGGTTGAATGGTAATGCAGCTTTTCGTTCTTTGAGAAATCTCCAAACTGCTCTGCACAGTGAGTGGACTAATTTACATTCTCACCAGCAGTGCATAAATGTTTCCCTTTCTCCACAGCCTCATCAGCATCTGTTGTTTTTATACTTTTTACTGAAGGTGGTTTTTGACTGGTGTGAAATGGTATCTCATTGTGGTTTTGATTTGAATTTCTCTGATTAGTACTGATAAGCATTTTTATATATTTGTTAGCTGCATGTATGTCTTCCTTTGAGAAGTGTCTGTTATGTCTTTGGCCCATTTTTTAATGCAGTTGCTTTTTGCTTGTTGATTTGTTTGTAAGTTCCTTATAGATTCTGGATATTAGACCTTTGTTGGATGCATAGTTTGCTAATATTTTCTTTAATCCTATAGGTTGTCTCTGTTGATAGTGTCTTTCGCTGTGCAGAATCTCTTTAGTTTAATTAAGTCCCATTTGTCAATTTTTGTTTTTGTTGCAATTGCTTTTGAGGACTTGGCCATAAATTATTTGCCAAGGCTGATATTGAAAACGGTACTTTATAAGTTTTCTTCTAGGATTTTTATAGTTTAAGGTCAAACATTTAAGTCTGTAATCCATTTTGCGTTAACTTTTATACATGGTGATAGGTAGGGGTGCCATTTCATTCTCTGCATATGACTAGCCAGTTGTCCCAGCACCATTTATTGAATATGGAGTCTTTCTATATTGCTTATTTTTGTTGACTTTGTTGAAGATCTGACGCTTACAGGTGTGTGGCTTAATTTCTGTGTTCTCTATTCTGTTCCACTTGTCTACATGTTTGTTTTTGTACCAGGATTATACTGTTTTAGTTGCAGTAGCCTTGTAGTATATTTCGAAGGCAGGTAATGTGATGCCTCCAGATTTGTTCTTTTTGCTTAGGATGGCTTTGGCTATTCCAGCCTCTTTTTTGGCTCCATTTGAATTTTAGAATAATGTCTTTTTAAATCTGTGAAAAAAAGACATTGGGTACTGATAGCAATAGCACTGAAACTGTACATTGTTTTCAGCACTATGGCCATTTTAACAATATTGATTATTTCTATCTATGAGCATGGGATTTTTTTTCATTTGTTTGTGTCATCTCTGATTTCTTTCAGCAGTGTTTTATAATTCTCCTTGTAGAGCACTTTCATCTTCTTGGTTAGCTGTTTTCTTAGGTATTTCATTTTTCTGTGTGGCTATTGTAAATAGGATTGTGTTCTTGATTTGGCTCTCAGTTTGAATGTTATTGGTATATAGAAATGCTACTGATTCTTTGCATTGATTTTGTATCCTGAAACTTTACTAAACTTATTTATCAGTTCTAAAAGTTTTATAGTGGTCCATTTTAAATTTAAGTCTATGATATATTGTCATGTGTAAGGTCTGTGTCTAGGTTCATTTTTTCTGGGATGTACAATTTTCCTAGCACCATTAGTTGAAAATTCTATCCTTTCTCCATTAAATTGCCATTTCTTCTTGGTCAGAGATCATTTGATTCTGTTCCACTGATAAATTCTCTGTTCTTTCATCAGTACTACACTATCTTGATTACTCTTGCTTTACAATAAGTCTTGAAATTGGGTAGTGTGTCTTCCAACTTTGTTCATTTTCTTCAGTATTGTGTTGACTATTCTAGGTCTTTTGACTTTCCATATAAAATTTAGAATTTGTTTTTTAACATCTATAAAAGAGCTAAGCTGTTATTGTGGTTGGGATTGCATTGAATCTCTTCATTAATTTCAGAAGAACTGGCATCTTAACATTTTGACTCTACTGATTCAGGTAAAAGGAAAATACTTCCATTTATTTAGATGTTTTAAAATTGATTTCATCAGAGTTTTGTACTTTCCCACATATAGATACTGTACATATGCATCTAGATTTATATCTAAGTATGTCATCTTGGGGGATGCTATTGCAAAGTGTATTGTTTTAATTTCAAATTCCAATTGTTTGCTGCAGGTATATAGAAAAACAATTGACTTCTGTATATTAATCTTGTATCCTGTGACCTTCCTATACTTACTTGTTAGTTTGAGGAAATTTTTTATTTGTAGATTTGTTCGAATTTTCTACATAGATAATTTTTTTGCCATCTGTCAATAAAAACCATTTCATTTCTTCCTTTTCAATCTGCACAAATTACAATTCCTGTTGTAGTACAGTAGCTAAGACTTCCAGTATGATGTTGAATAGAAGTAGTGAGAAAGGACATCCTTGCCTTATTCCAGGTTTTAGGAGAAAACATCTAGTCCCTATTTCTATGTCTATGTGTAGCTGTTGATTTCTTGTAGATGATCTTTATTAAGTTAACGATGTTTCCCTCTATTGCTAATTTGCTGTGAGATTTTAAAACGAATGGGTGTTGGATTTTTTTCAAATGCTCTTTCTACATCAGTTGATATGATTACATGCTTTGTCTCTTTTAGGATAGAGATGTGGTGGATTACATGATTGATTTCAAGTTTTAAATCAGCCTCGCATACCTGGAATGAATCCCACTTAATTGTGGTGTAAAATTATTTTCATGCATTCTTGAGCTTGATTTGCTAATATTTTGTTGAGGATTTTTGCATCTATGTTGATAGATATTTGTCTTTAGTTTTCTGTTCTTGTACTACCTTTATCTGATTTTGGTATTAGGAGAATACTATTCTCATAACACTTAAAGTCAACTGTATCCTTATCAATTTTCTAATTCTCAATCTATCAATTATTGAAAGAGGAGTGTTGAAATCTCCAACTAGGGCAGTGGATTTGTTTCTTTTCCTTTCAGTTCCATAAGTTTTTCCTTATGTATTTTGACACCTATTATTAGGTGAATATGCTTTAAGGATTGTTGTGTCTTCTTGGAAAATTAACAGTTCTATCATTATGTAATTCTTCTCTTTAACCTTTGATAATTTTCCCTCTTCTGCTTTTTGTTAAACTGATACAGCTACTTCATCCTTTTTTTATTAGCGTTAGTAAGGTATACCTTTTTTGCTTTTTATAACCTGAATTATGCTTAAGTTGGATTTCCTATAGAAAATATATAATTAGGTCTTTTCTCTAACCCCATTTTGATATTCTCTGACTTTTAATTTGTATATTAAGACAGTTAACATTAAAAGTGACTATAAAAACATTTGGTTTAATATCTACCAGATTTGCAACTATTTCTTATTCTTTATTTTTTCCTTCCCCTCTCTATTTCTGCCTTCTGTAGTTTTAATTGAATATTTTATAAAATTCTATTTTAATTATGTCATATCAATTATACTTCTTTCATTAAGAGTTTTTAGTGGTTGCCCTACATTTTCCAATATATCTTTAATCTAAGTCAACCTTCAGGTAACACTCTACTGCTTCAATTGTAGTGCCATTCCCTTGGAGTATTTCTATTTCCTTCCTCCTGTCTTCTATTATGTTACTGTCATTTATTTGATTTATCCATAATTCACAATCACAAACCCATTGTTAATGCCATTACTTTATATAAACATTTTCTTTTAAGTCAATTAAGAGTTTAAAAAGTGACATTATTTTGTGTTCATTTATTTCTTCTCTAATTCTATTTGTTTCTTTATGTGGATCTGAGTTTCTCACTTATATAATTTTCATTCTTCCCGAAGAACTTTTTCTAACATTTCTTTTAGGGAAGGCCTCTGGCAAAGTTTCTCAGTTTTTTGTATATTTGAGAAGGTTTTTGTTCTCCTTCCGTTTTAAAGGATAATTTCACTGTATATTGAAATCTAGTTAGTGAGTTCTTTTCTTTCAATACTTTAAATATTTCTCACCACTCTCTTCTTGCTTGCATAGTTTCTGACAGTAACTCCACTAGAAATCTTGTTCTTGTTTCTATATAAATAAGGTGATTTTTCTCCCTCTGGCTTCTCTTAAGATTTTCTCTTTGTTTTTTGCAGTTTGAATATGATATACCTGGTGTCATTGCTTTTTGTTGTTGTTTGTGTGTGTGTTTTATTATCCTGCTTTTTGTTCTCTGGCTTCCTGGATCTGTGGTTTTATACCTCGTAATTTTAGAATGTTCTTGGTTATAAGTATTTCAAATATTTCTGCTGCTACTTTCATTCTTCTCCTTCCAGTACTCCAATTACATCTGTATTATAAGCTTGGTAATTTATCTGAGTTCTTTTCCACTTTTTTCATTATTGTTTCCTATGTATTTCAGTTGGAATGTTTCTATTGATCTCTCTTCAGATGATTTTAGTGATTCTTTCCTCAGCTGTGTCTGGTCTGCTGATGAGCCTGTCAAAGGTATTCTTCAATTATGTTACAATTACTTTTTAAATTTTCTAGTATTTTCTCTTTTTAAATTTTTTATTTTAGTTTAGATTTAGGAGGTGCATGTATGTTTGTTACATGCATATGTTGCATAATGGTGAATTTGGGGCTTCTAGTATATCCATCACCCAAATAATGAACATTGTACCTAATAGATAATTTTTCAAACTTCACTCCCCTCGAGACTTCCCCCTTTTTAGAGTCCCTATTGTCATTTATTTCTATTTTTATGTCTATGTGTACCTATTGTTTAGCTCCCACTTATAGGTGAGAACATGTGATATTTGATTTTCTGTTTCTGAGTTATATATTCTAGGATAGTGGACTCCAGTTCCATCCATGCTGCTGCAAAAGACATGATTTTATTCTTTTTATGGCTGTATAGTATTCCATGGTGTATATATAGTACATTTTCTTTATCCAATCAATTGTTGATGGACACAGGTTGGTTCCATAACACTGCTAATTTGAATAGTGCTGTAATAAACGTAAGAGTCCAGGTGTTTTTTTTATGTATGATTTTTTTTTCCTTTGGGATTCCTGAGTCGAATGGTAGCTCAATTTTTAGTTCTTTGATAAATTTTCATACCTTTTTCCATTGAAATTAAACTAATTTAGGTTCCCACCAACAGTGTATAAACAGTCCATTTTCTCTGTATCCACGCCAATGTCTATTGTTTTTTGACTTTTTAATAATAGCCATTCTGACAGATGTGAGATGGTATCTCATTGTGGTTTTAATTTTCATTTCTCTGATGATGAATGATGTTGAACATTTTTTCATTTGTTTTTTGGCTTTTTGTATGTCTTCTTTTGAGAAATGACTTTTTGCCTTTACCCACTTTTTAATGAGGTTGTATTTTTTCTTTCTGAACTGTTTGAGCTCCTTATAGATTCTGGGTATTAGTTCTTTGTTCAAAACATAATTTGCAAATATTTTCTCCCATTCTGTTCATTGTCTGTCTACTCTGGTGATTATATTTTTGGTGTGCAGAAGCTTTTTAGTTTAAGTTCTATTTGCCGGTTTTTGTTTTTGTTGCATTAACTTTTGAGGTCTTAGTCATAAATCATTTGCCTAGGTCAATGTCCAAAAGTGTTTTTTTTTCTAAGTTTTTGTCTAGATTTTTTATATTATCAGGTCTGATGTTTAAATCTTTAATCCATCTTGAATTAATTTTTCTATATGGTGAGAGATAGGTGTCCAGTTTCATTCTTCTACATATGGCTAGCCAATTTTCACAGCACCATTTGTTGAATGGGGAGTCCTTTCCCCATTGCTTATTTTCGTTGACTTTGTTGAAGATCAATTGGTTGTAGGAATGTGGTTTTATTTCTGGGTTTTCTATTCTGTTCCATTGATCTATGTGTCTACTTTTGTCAAAGTACCATAATGTTTTAGTTACTATAGCCTTGTAAAATAATTTGAAGTCAGGTAATGTGATGTCCCCAGATTTGTTCTTTTTGCTTAGGATTACTTTGGCTATTCCAGGCTCTTCTTTTATTCCGTGTGAACTTCAAGATTGTTTCTTCTAATTCTGTGAAAAGTGATGTTAGTACTTTGATAGGAATTGCACTGAATCCATAAATTGCTTTGGGAAATATGGACATTTTAATTATATTGATTCTTTTAGTTCTCCTTGTAGAGACCGTTCACCTCATTGGGTAAATATGCTCCTAGATACACTTTTGTGGCTATTGTAAATGGGATTGAGTTCCCGATTGGATTCTCAGCTTTACTGTTATTGGTATTTAGAAATGCTACTTATTTTGTACACTGATTTTATACCCTGAAGGTTTACTGAAGTTGTTTATCAAGTCTAGGAGTCTTTTGGAGTGGTTTTATGGGTTTTATAGATATACAATCATGCCATCAGCAAACAAAGATAATTTGACTTCCTCTTTTCCAATTTGGATGCCATATATTTCTTTCTGTTGCCTGATTACTGTGGATTTTCACTCCTAGGATTGTCACTTCTATGTTGAACAAGAGTGGTGAGAGTGTACCTTCTTGTCCTGTTTTAGCTCATAGGGGGAATGCTTTCAACTTTGTCCTAAGTGGCTCTTATTACTTAGAGGTATGTTCCTTCGATGTCTAGTTTGTTGAGGTTTTTTATCATGAAGGGGTGTTGCATTTTATCAGTTTTTTTCCACATCTATTGAGATAATCATATGGTTTCTGTTTTCAGTTCTGTTAACATGGTGAATCATATTTATAGATCTGTGTGTGTTGAACCATTTTTGCATCCCCGGGTTAAAACCCACTGGATAGTGATCAGTTATCTTCTTGATATGCTGTTGGATGGGATTTGTTGGTATTGCATTGAGGCTTTTTCCAGTTGTATGCACCAGGGATATTGGCCTGTAGTTTTCTTTTTTTGTTGTGTTCTTGTTTGATTTTGGTAGCAGGGTGATACTAGTTTCATAAAATGCTTTAAGGAGGAATCCCTCATCTTCGGTTTTTTGAAATAGTTTCAGTAATATTGGTACCAGCTCTTCTTTGTGTATCTGGTAAAATTTAGCTATGAATCTCTCTGGTCCTGGGCTTTTTTTGTTGTTGTTATTTTTGTTAGAAGACTTTATTACTGATTTGATTTTATTACTCATTATTGGTCTGTTGAGGATTTTTATTTCTTCCTGGTTCAATCAGGGGAGGTTGTATGTTTCCAGGAATTTTTCCAGTTCCTCTAGGTTTTCTAGTTCAGGAGCATAAAGATATTCATAGCAGTCTCTAATAATCTTTTGTACTTCTGTGATATCAGTTATAAGGTCACCTTTATCATTTCTGATTGTGCTTATTTGAATCTTCCCTCTTGTTTTCTTGGTTAATCTACCTAGCAGTCTACCAATTTTGTTTATTCTTTCAAGGAATTAACTTTTTATTTCATTTATCGTCTGTAGTATTTTTGGGGGTCTCAATCTCATTTAGTTTTTCTCTCATTTTGTTATTTCTTTTCTTCTGCTAGCTTTGTGTTTGGTTTGTTCTTGTTTTTCTAGCTCCTTTATGTGTGATGTTAGGTTTTTAATTTGATATTTTCTTATCTTTCTGATATAGGCATTTACTGCTATAAATTTTCCTCCTTGCATTGCCTTCACAGAGGTTTGGGTATGTTGTGTCTCCATTTTCATCCATCTTAGATAATTTTTTATTTCTGCCCTAATTTTATTGTTTACCTAAAAGTCATTCCAGAGCAAGTTGTTTAGTTTCCATGTATTTGTATAATTCTAAGAGTTTCTCTTGGTTTTGATTTCTAATTGTATTCCACTGTGGTCTGAAAAGACACTTGATATAATTTCAATTTTTTCCAGTTTGTTGACACTTGCTTTATGGTCAATTCTGGAGGATGTTCTATGCACAGATGAAAAAAATATATATTTACAGTTGTTGGTAGCATGTTCTATAAATGTCTATTAGGTCCATTTGGTCTAGAGTCCAGTTTAAGTCCAGAGTTTCTTTGTTTATTTTCTACCTCAATGATCTGCCTAGTGTTGTAAGTGGAGTCCTTCTCTTCAAACATTATTTAACTTTTCTTGAATGTTCTTTACCATAGTTATGTAAATTTTCTTGCCTTACAATTCCAACACTTGTGTTCTATCTGAGTCTGGTTCTAATGCTTACATGGTTTCTTCAGATTATGGGGTTTTCTTCCATTTATCATGCTTTACAATTTGACGCATTGGGTAATTAGAACTGAGGTAAATGGGCCTTTAATGTGAAGATTTACATTCATGTGGCTAGAAGCTGGGCTTTGTTTAATGTTTGCTGTTGTTCTGGTGCCAGAGGCTGCAGCTATTATCCTTGATTTTGTCTCTCCTCTTGCTTTGGGCTCCTCTAAAAACCCTTCCTTAGACAGACTGTGTGTCTTCCAACTCTTTCAGCTGTAATTCATTCTTATTATTCATTCATATATTATGTTGGTGCGGTGGTCAGGTGTGTTGTGGGGGAAGCATTCTATAATCTTATGATTAAATCTCAATCTGTCTGCATCTCTGGGCTGTGACCTTCACAAGTGTTTTTCCAGTGATATATCTTGTTTTCCCAACTGACATGAGACCGAAGGCTAGAAAGAGTAAGAGTAGGAGGAAAGTCCTTCTCTGTGGGATAAGACTTAGGTAAAGTTTTTTTCTCCTGGAGACTAGGTCTGCTTTATACAGAACAGTCTGGGAGTATTTCACAATGTTTTCTCTTCCCCTTCCCCTGCCAAAACTGTAACAGGAATTTTTTTGGATTATCATCATGAGAAGCTGACAAAATTTCTAGAAGTAAACCTAGGACAGTTTGGGAGTTTCCTCAGATTGTAGCCCCCAGGAGTTTCTCACTCTCAAGTTAGTCTACTCTTGGCCTCCAGCAATTCATTAGAAATGCCATTTCAGTGTTCCTCCCAGCTTATGGATCTAGCTGCTTCTGCTCTGTGTAAATAGATCTCACCTGTGACTCTCTAGACTTACTGCTTTCTCTGGTTTTCAAAGTAGCAATTTGCCCTGCAAATCCAGTTCTCTACTAAGGCCAAGAAAAGCCATTGATTTTCCTTTGTTCAATTTTTTCTTGTTTTAAGTATGGAAGTGACAACTTCCAAGCTCTTTAAGTGTTGGGACTGAAACTGGACGTCTCCATTCAATGTTTTAGAGAAAATTTTCAACACCAATTTGACCAACATAGTTTTGCTTTGTTTTTGAGACAGACTCTGGCTCTGTCACCCAGGCTGGAGTGCAATGGCATGATCTCGGTGCTCTGCAACCTCCGCCTCCTGGGTTCAAGCGATTCTCCTGCCTCAGCCTCCTGAGTAGTTGGGATTACAAGTGTGCACAACCAGGCCTGGCTAATTTTTGTATTTTTAGTAGAGACGGGGTTTTGCCATGTTAGCCAGGCTGGTCTCGAACTCCTGACCTCAGTTGATCTGCCTGCCTCAGCCTCCCAAAGTGCTGGGATTACAGGCATGAGCCACTGAGCCTGGCCTGACCAACATCTTCTTAACCTGTAGTCCATGGATCATCTGAAACTGCAAGGAAATTTGTACAGCATACATATGTGTATTTCTCATAGGTGTCTAGAACTTTTATTAGATTCTCAAAGTAGCTGATGACTTTAGAAAGCTGAGAACAATGTAAGAGAAAATAATCCTTTTGTTCTGTGTGTAAAAATACAGCTCAAGTCCCCAAGACAGGAGTAACAAGTAGACATAAGGCACATCACTTATGCTTTCACTAGGATATCTTTGATTAATGAATGTAAATTCTAAAATAAAAGGCAGTATCTGCCCTACATGTTTAGTTTGTGAAAAGTTACCTTTTCATCAAATAATTTTAACAATACAATTTGCAATTTTGTTTTAAGTAAATTTATCCGAACAGAGGCAAAATATGTTTTTTTAAGATATGGCATTTGAAAAGCAAACTTGTGTAGATGTAGGGATAATGCATGATCTAAGACAAAGAATGATGATTTTTAAAGAACCTTTCTAAGAGACAAAGACTTAGCTGCTTCTGTTCACATAACAGAGGAAGCTAACAATTAATTTCAGATTCGATGCTGGAAGTACCTCTCATGCTATATGCTATATGCTATACAAATACTATTAGCAATAAAGCATCAAGATAAAAGATTACTTTTAATTTTGTACCACTGTGTAAATCATTGTACTTATTTTCCAGGCTGATTAGATAGCATTGTGAGAGAAGGTGAAAAAGAAGCCTATATGTGAACATTAAATTAATGTAACTTTTTTTGTAAAAAGAACATTATGGTGGTAATATTACATCCCCAACTCTGCTCTGTCATCTCTAGCAGATAAAAAGGAAAAGAAGTCCCACTGTTTACAGGGAGAAGATCCTGTGGATAGTCCATCACTATTTTGCTTTTGCTTAGTATTTTACATTATCATCAGACTTCCTAACAGTAGTTTCTGAAAGATGAAAGTGGACTCTCACTGAGAATTTCACACAAATGGATTAATTTGCGCCGCCATTTTTGGCACGTTGCCATGGATACAGCCATCCGAAGGCCTCAGTGCAGCTGCGAGTTGATTGACGGTCCATTCACAGTGTAAGGCTTTACAAAACCAGTCACATAAAAGGACACTCATTAGTGGACAAAGGCCTTATATACACATTTTGGTGATGCTTCCAAGGCTGAACATTACCTCTCAGTAAATCTGACTTTCATATCAATATCACCAATGAAAGTTGGAACTATACCATGAAAAATATATATTCAAAAATACTGTGGAGTTAACATATTTATTCAATACATAGCTTTATTTTGCTTTCATTCAAATCTAGCTAAAAGAAGGTGGAATAAAACACAAACCAAAAAGGGTTTGTCTTATAAATTCTATATTTTGTTTAAAAAAATCAAAGAACAAAAAGTTATTTCTCATTATGAACCTACAGACTGGTGTATGCTTAGATTAACAAAGGGAATAATTTCTGCTATTTACTATGGAATGGGAAAAAAAAGAACAGGCTTTTGACTTCTTTCTGCCTTCTGCATGGCATAGTCCATTGGGAAGTATAATGTTGACATTTTACATTGTCACACACCCAAGTGTGTAAAGATATAACTTTATTCCTCTGTACTTAAACTTAGCCCATGAGACTGTTGGTAATAAAATACCTTCTTCTTATTTATTCAAGGTAATTCTGTCAACTCTGGTAGAACACTCTGGGGTATCTCCTCTACCAATTCAGGATGCATCCCACCTTGTACCTCTGATTTTCTTCTCCCTGGTTGTAATCTGAGTTCCTCAGGTGCCTTACGCATTGTTTTGCTATCAAAGTAGAGAAGACTGTCTTCTATGGTCACCGCTGACCCACTGGCCCCTACAAACCTGTTTCTCTGGCCTTGAGCAGTGGCCCCGGTCTTGTTGCATCTTCTGCTGATAGTGATATCACCACACGGCATCCAGCTGTTAGGTCCATGCTCCGCTGTGATCCTCTGCCTCCATGCCAGACCTTGTGTCTGTCTGCTCAGCCACTTTTCTGCACCTCTCAGAGTGTTCAGGAATGCCTGTGTGCTTTTCCCCGAAACTCTGGGAGGCTAACCTCAGACTTGCCTGCATAGACATCTCAGCACCTGGGAACAGAGAAAGAAGGCTTTTAGCTAAGTGGACACAGAGAAATTTTGTCAAACTCCACTGAATCATGACTAGCTTTGACTCTTCATATTGTGTCTCACCCAATGAGTAAACTACATGTGAAGTTGATTTTGAGACTTTGGTGTTACTTTAGCTATGAGTCTCTCTTTACTTCTATCAAAGGACCAGAAATAACAACTCTTTCAGAACTCTCATCATTCAAGATTCCTGCTGTTTTCCTTGAATCCAAATCAAAAGACATTGTTTGGCACATAACCCATGTATAATAAAAGCTAATCCATCAACCTGACAGACAGCATAAATGAAAATTAGACCCTACTGTCCTCTCCATTGCTGATAGATTCAGGAGGATTTACTATTCTTCCTTCTCTTTTTCAGTTAAGTTGGGCCAAAAAAATTTTTAAAAAATCAAAATTTCAAAATTTTGGAACTGCTTACTTAGAAATATTTTAAGACAAGTCAAAATCAAAATTTTAGAACTGCTTACTTAGGAATTTTATGTGAATTAAAACTTTAGCACCTAAACGAATCAGAACACCAATGAACTGTGGAATGAGGAAATATTTGCACACGTTTGTACAGGTGCATCCTACATGGAAATGTTCTTTGTTAACACAGTCTGGTTAATCTCTCCTAAAGCAATGAAACTGGGGAAAAATACAGTGCATTACATATGGGAATAAGTTGTGCAGGTAATATGTGCGGCTGGATGGGATCGTGTCATAAAATAAATCATCACATAAAATCTTTACATTTTGTGTCTATTTTCCATGTCATTATTTGCAAATTATCTATGCTAATTACTTGGGGGTACAGAAAGACCCTGTGAAAGGGCTGAGGGGACACAGCCTAGGAATGTAAGCCATGTAAGCTAGAAGGAAGAACAACTAATAAGGAAAAAATAACAGAGAGCCCCTCAAATGGCAAAATAAAGAAAGATACTTTGTCAAAAGAGAGCAATTACCAGGCAGTTCAGAGAAGTATAGAACTTAGTTTTTAATTGTCTTATTTGTATCTGTTGTAAAGGCCTTTCTAGTTTCCTTTTGGATAATAAAGATAATATTAGATTGACTTTTCTCTGTATTTGTATTTGAAATTTAATTGTAGCTAATTTTCAGATGATGCTTTGATCAGGAAGTAATAGAAGTGCCTTTGTATTCAGTTTTCTGTGAAGTCTCAACTCAAAACCTTCAAAAATGAAAAGTAGACAGAAAAAAATCTAAATTCTCAAGCCTTAAAAGTATTAAATGACAATAAATAAAGGAAAGAATAAGCAAACATCAGTTTGGAAAAAGTCATTTAATTGACAAGAAGCGTTGTTATAGATGGAGCGGTAGTGGCACAGGGCGTTTCTTGGGTCTTATTTGGGCAAATATATGCAATTAGGAAATGAACAAATAACCAAATTGTTCTTAGAAAAGGTTTAAGCAGTCTTTCATCTTAGTAAACCCACAGTTTGAAAACATCTATGTGTATCTTTTTAAAGTCTTGGTTCCTTTTTCTTTAGTTCTTTTCTTTTCTTTTCTTTGGAGACAGCTCTCACTCTTCACGCCTGTCACCAGGCTGGAATGCAGTGGCGCAGTCATGGCTCACTACAGTCTCAACTTCCCCAGGCTCAGGTGATCCTCCCACTTCAGCCTCTCAAGTACCTGAGACTACAGGCATGGGTCACTACACCCAGCTAATTTTTTAAATTTTTTGTAGATACAGGGTTTCGCATGTTGCCCAGGCTGGTCTTGATCTCCTGGGCTCAAGTGATTCACCTGCCTTGGCCTCCCAAAATGTTAGGATTATAGGTGAAAGCCACTGCACCCAACAGTCTTAGCTCATTTTTCTATTTAAGCCATAAAAACACTTCAAGCAAAATAATAAAAAAAATATAAAGTCCTGGGGGAAACGTTACACATTAAAGATAGAAATATATTGATCTAGATTATTGTAAGCATGTGGGTATATAAATACTGATTTTACTTTTGGAAATCTCTGATTCTTTTCACCCCCAGTAAAGCAAGATTTTAGTAAATATGTTTTTAAATCTATTTTTCCAAATGAAAGTTATGATACCTCTTTTTCTAAGACCCTGTGTGTCATTTATTAATATAAAACTTATTGGTTTTTGGTTGCACTCTCAATCTTGACTCTTCAGCATCATTAATTTATTAAGAATGAACATAACCATGTTACTGGCTGTCATTATAATTTTAGAGAAAATTATAAAATGTTAGCCTGGCTAGATGGCAATACACTCATAATTTAACAGCAAAGTCTAAAAATTTGTGTCAATAATACAATACATTGTAAATTAGCTAATACAACTTTATAGTAACCAATTTTTATGAAAATCTTTAAGTTAAAAAATTAAAAATAGCGATATTAAAATGCCTTCAGCCTTAAAAAGTTAAGAACAACAAAATCTTGTCAGAAATGCCAAATTTATATTTCAGAGTACAATAATATACACACAACACATATAAGTGGAAAATTTGACATTGATTATTTAAATGTAATTATCTGTAAATAATTTGAATCTTTATCTTGGAGCTTATGTTCTATATATAATTCTATTATCTGCCACAATTTATTCTTAATTAGTTGGCTTTATAACATTGAATTACATAGTTTATTTTTTTCTATACCAGTTCTGTTTTTCTTCTTATTGATACAGTAATTAAAAAACAAACCAGCAAATATATTTAGTCCAGGTATAGTAATATGAGTTAACTTCTCCAGAGTGGTTCCCATGTACCAAGCACTTTGCTACACGCTTTATATTCCTTATCTCATTTAAACCTCACAGCACAACTATAACTAGGCACTGTTAAGTAACATTTTGCAAATATGCAAACTGAGGTAATAGGTTAAATAATTTTCCCAATGTCTCAAGGCTAATAAATGGCAGCATAAAGACATTAATCCAATTTTGATTATACTCACCACTTTCAGACAGTATTTTTCAATGTTTTTAGAACCTTCTTGTATTTTTTATTTTGTTAATATGGGTTTATTGCTTTTTGATGAAGTTTCTATAAATCTGATTTAGACTAAACTAAATATGAAAGTTGTTTTCTAGTCAATTAAGATCAAAAGGCAGCAAGGAGAATTTTTAAAGAGGTATTAAGTATTTAGGAGCTGAAATTAGAAGAAACGTAAGTGTATAACACGTGGGCAGAGAGTGAACTAAATGACAATGAAGGAAACAAGAGCTTTAAGCTTCTCAGACAAGTTATGTACTGCCTCATGTTACTCGAATCCAGCAAAATGCTTATAACAACCCTCACTGAGGGAACTCTATGACAGTTTGCCCTAAGAAAATAGATACAAAAAACACAAACATAATGTCAGCCAATAGAAAGTAATAAAATATTTTTAATCATAATAGCAAAAGAGGAGAATGTATTCGAGGAATAAAAAGATAATTCAATACACTAACCTAATTTTGAAAATAGTAACAAAATCAAAAGAAAAAACTCTAGAAGATCATCTTCACAGATTTCACAGAATAAGCCACTGAGAAAATGTAATATTTTCTCATAAAAACTATTAGTAAACAAATTTTAAAAATTTCTGAACATGATTTTTAAAATCTGTCTCAAAGCAGCAGAACTATTTTTCTTAAAAATAGAATCCAAGGAATGATGCCATTGAAGTATGAAAAAGACAAGGACCATCACTATACTCACTCTTACCTTAAATTACTCACAATATGCTGGCCAATGCAGAATCAGGAAAAATAAAGGTCACATAAATATTTGAAAGAAGGTGATAAAAAGTATCATCATGTGCGTATTATATTATGTGCTGCCAGGAAAACTCAAGAGAACCCATTGAAAAACTTTCATAAATAACTAAAGAGATTAGCGACCAACAAAAAATTGCATAGAAGTGAATTTTTTATGCTAATTTATTTAAAAATTGTTCTAAAAATTTAATGGCAAATAGTCCTGATAAAAGTAGTGCCTTAGTTCAATCGAGCTTGTATAACAACATGCCTTAGACTGAGTAATATATAAACAACAGCAATCTATTGCTCGCAGTTCTGGTGGCTGGGAAGTCCAAGATCAAGGTGTCAGCAGATGTATTGTCTGATGACAATACGTCTTTTTTGTAGTGACAGGGTTTTCCTGTGTTACCCAGGCTGGTCTCAAACTCCTGGGCTCAAGTGATCCACCCACCTCGGCCTCCGAAAGTGCCGGGATTCAGGTATGTTGTGAGCCATCATGGCCAGCAGTCTTAGTTCATTTTTCTGTCTAAGGTGTCAAAAGTACTTCAAGGAAAAGAATAATTAAAAACATAAAGTCCTAGAGGAAAAGTTACACCATGTTTTCTCACATATCAGAAGAGAAAAACAAGCTCCCTCAGTCCTCTTTTGTAAGAACACTAATCCCATTCATGAAGGTTCTGCCCTCATGACCTAGTACCCTCCCAAAGACCCCCCCACCTCTTAATACCAACATTGGAGATTAGATTTCAACATGAATTTTGGAGGGACACAAGCATTCAGACCATAGCAAGTAGCAACAAGAGACGAAATACGTAAGTAGAAATGTGTAGGACTTAGATGAAGAAAATTAACTTTATGGAGGGATGAAAAATGCATTGAGTAAATAGAAAGACCATGTTTATAAAAAGACAGATCATGTTTATATGTGAAAATATTCAACAGTATAAAAAGGTATGATTCTAGAATTGTAATGCAGTATATCAACTATTAACCTGAGGGTTTTCTGGTATTTTCGTTTGTTTTTGTTTCCTTTCTTTTTTATGCCAATTAAAAACACTTGATAATTCTTTGTGGAAGAAATAATTGGACATACATTTATGTGAACTGCTATACAAGATACTGAGAATAAAATAATAAATAGAAAACATACAGTCCCAGCTCGTGGAGTTTTTCTTTATGGTGTGAGAGAGAAAAATTTAAAAGTACACCAAAAACTTACAGAATGTAATGCATAATGAGATTTCTATTCTAATAGGCCAAACCTAATTAGATAATTAAGGTCTCTCCGGGAAGTAATCCTTAAGCTATAACAAAGACATTTTAAAGATAGATGCCTACATCTGAAAGACTGAAAATCTGCATAACATGAGTGATGAAGGGGATTGATAATGTTTTCCTCTTTAGTCTACATGTATTATTTAAAATTTCTATAATAAAGATATAAATTTCTAAGAAAATAACACATTAAATTAGTTTTTAAAGCAACTTGAAATTAAGGACCATAGCTTTAACATTGGTGAATTTTTCTAGAATGCCCTATATGTATTTAAGCCCTGGGCTTAATCATCTGTGCATTTCTCCAGTGTGAAAAATGTATTCAGTCAGTGAATGAATATAGATAAAGACAATTGAAACATATTTTCTCATAGTCTATGATTAATGTTCCTTTGTTCTTTATTCACAAACATATCCAGAGTACTTTGAGTAAAGAAATAGCTACAATCTTTATTTCAGCAATTTATATAATCATGTTTTATTTATATATAAATGGGATGAAAAATGCAGAACATTACTACTTATCTGACTTTTACAAAATATTCTATATAACTGCTTGACGTTAGTCCAAAAGTAGTCTCTGATTCAGTCTGCCAGCAGAAGAAATGAGTCAGATTGCTCTCATAATTATAGATAGCTTTTTAAATAAATGTCTGCTGGATAGCATTCCTACTTACGAAGCCACAAACATGCATAGAAAACCTTTTGAATTCATTTCTCTAAAATTTCAGGAAGATATGGTCAGTGGAATAAACCTTTCACAAATTCGAATACATTAAAAATGAGTATTTATTTCTAATTTTTTGACCAATATGCCCATTTGTCTATTTTTTTCCTTTTAAAATACGGAGAATTGAACATATTTCCATGCAAGAAATGAAGATAATTTTAATAAGACTTTTGATACTTAAATATACTTCATACTTTAAAGCTTTACAATGAGTAATCTTAAAATCAGTGTAACTATCAATAGATTTTTTTACAATTTACTTAATACACAAAAACATCCTAAATCTGAAAAATATACTTTTGTAAATATTGTATTCTAATGCCTTTCAAAAGGTGTAGTTAAGTGATCATTTTTACAGATGGTGAATTATTTAGATTTTCATATTATATTAACTCTTCAAATATAATCTCCCATTAAATAGCACATAATGCTTCTAAATGAATTTGGTGGGTAAAATCCATGAGACACTACAGATCAAATGAATTTCAGCATTAGAAATGCACAAGCCCATCAAAGTTCTACTTCAAGGACTGTTCTTAAGAGCAATAATTGGCAAGTGGTATGAAAGTCAATTAGAAGCTTCATGAGCAACTAGGAGCCAAAGCCTTGTGGTTTTGGCTCAGATATCTCCCAATGGAATGTCCATTCCAATCCATCATGAGCAGGATTCAGTTTGTTTTACCTGACACTTGTATACTTCATCAAGGGAAGTGCTAATGAGCAAGCAATCGCTTTTATTTCAAAATATAATGCTTATAAAGGGTCAGTCACTGGTAGCTCTTCCAAATGATCTCCAGTACACGAAAAGAGAAGCCAGAATAAGCAATACAAACCTGTTGCCCCTCCAGTGACCTCTATCTTGAGTTAGAGTTACTTCCTGATGTAGATGTTGGAGATGGCTCAGTTTGTATGTGACTTTAATCCAAACCAGCTCCCTAAAATGAGGTGAAAAAAATGACGCTTTAGATCCCAAAGAACCAAAGGAGGGGTAAGATAGAATGTGTGCTGCTGCTCAATGTGACTCACTAGTACCTTGTGTGGAATTTTAGTTTTCCTCTCTTGTATATCATGGGCTCACCTTCTGATAGTGAAGTAGAGGAAAAGACTACATGCCCTTTATATCCAGAGTCAAATATCTTCCATTCACACTGGCAGTAAGAAAGCTGAACAAGGAGCAACTATTTTAGTGGACAAAAGAATTTTATATATGAAAAATTTACTGCCAGCAGTTATCCCTTAAGGTCTGGAACAAAATGTGTCTTTAAAAATCTTGGTGCCAAATGGGATAGAAGGAAACAGCTGGCAAAATGAGATCATGAGCATACAAGAACTTGCTTGGGGTGTGTTATTAAATTTAGTGATACCTTGGTTTTCATCTATGATATAGATGCCAGCTAGCCTATCTTAGCCAGTGTCCAAATAAATAGATTCTCTGACGGTCCTGGCATACAACTTGTACCTCATCTGCCTAAGCTTTCCAGAACACTGGGAAATTCGACACTAAGCCTTCAACCACAAAGATTCATAGAGGGTGTGAACATAACAGTCATGTCATAGGTATTTGTTCAGTAAACTTGGACCGAAGTTTATCCCCATTCTATTTTTCATTTCCTCAAAGATCTGATGCAAAAAAAATGGGGATAGGAAAAAATCTCTAGCGGCATTCATTTGAATCATCAAAAATGCTAAGATAATGGAGAAAAATAGAAAAATTCTAAACCTATCTCAGTCTTTTTTTTAGAAAAAGAAAGGTTTATCACAGTTATTTTATTAAGTGAAATATTTTCAAAAGCTATATTCTGAAAGAAGTCACAATTTCTCTTCCTATCCTACATGATAGAAGACTAGCTGTATAGGATAATGAAGAAGTAAATGCTTTGCAAGTATTGTAAAGAAGACTTGTAAGCCTGAGAGAAGGTTTCAAAGCAAGAGATGAGTGCTTTCAAAAAATAGCCAGTGAATCCATTTTGATAAAGGAAGGATAGACAAATGTGGACAAGAGTAGTAAAACAGTACAGAGAGCTTGAGGAAAATTTAGAAAGAATGAGAAGATCTTTAGTAAGTACTATAATAGAAAGTATTAGAGGTTTGTGGAATTTGAGCATTCTCTTAAAAACAACTGAGGAATCGAACTAGATGAATCTGCATTGATCCCTTTCTGTATGCCAGCTGCTCTGCTAGTGTCCATCCCCATGAGGTGTGGATTACTTATTAACCCACACTGTGAGATGTGGATTTAATTTTCACAACCTCACCGTGATATACGAATTTGTAACCCATTTTACATGTGAGCAGATCAATATTCAGAGTCAGTATCTTGCCAAAAATCATTGTTATTAAAGATTAGATTGATAACCATGTCAGTAATGGCCAAACAAAGCAGTATGGATCCAGAAGAAAGGAAGGTTAAGAAAAATGTGAAGGAGTAGAAGCAGCACCAAAATTTGAATTAAATTAAGGCACTGGGCTCCAATTCAAGTCATGCTGAATTCCCTTCCTTCTCAAGAAAGCACTGTGCTTTCTGGCTTCCGGACTCTCCCTCAGGATTGCTCACCTTGCCTGGAAAACCTGCACCTTGCCACTTTCTCCCATGCAGTTGTCTTTGCCTACTAACTCATACTCACCACTTTCTTCAGAAGGCCTAGGCCAGCGCCCTGAGTAACGTGGAGCTCCCTTAGGCTCCCCCAGCACTCTCTCTATGCTTGTCTCAATCGCCACACTCACGACTCCATGGCTTCATGTCTCCTATGTGTCTATTTATCCCTCTGGGCCATGAGCTTCTTGAGATCAAGAATTGTCTTTTTCACTTTTTTAACTGTGAAGCTTAATGGGGCACCTGGGACATTTCCTCCATGGTTTCCTGGTAACACGATGGCTTTGCCCTTTGAAGGGGAATGGAAAAATATGAAGAAACCAACAGTTCAGGCAAGTTATATTGGGGGCTTGATGACACGGTGAGGTAAGTGAAGAAGTTTTTGAAAGACTGACTGACTGTGCCTCTTAGATCTTATTCATTTGGAAGGGACTTTCCATTACACTTGAAATGAAATCCAAGTTTCTTACCTCCCCTATCTAGCCCTATGTGATCTAGCCCCTGCCTGTCTCTCCAGCCTTATCTACTATTTCTCTTCCTCTCATTATCTGTCTTCCAATCCCAGTGGCCTCCTGGCTATTTCTGGGACATACCAAACTTTTTCCTACCTCAGGCCTTTATAGGGCTGTCTTCATTTTAACATTTAGGTTACTGTGTCTCTCAGGAGGAATCCAACAATGACAACAAGTGAAGCGTCTCCTGCCCACCTTCAAGCATTTTCCTGCTCTTTCAATGTCTATTAGTCTCTAAATTTACACCGCTGTTTGTGTGATGATTTACTTTCTTTCATCTCAGTATTGGAATTTTAAGCACTGTGAGGGGAGGTTATGGTCTTTTTACTTTGGAATCCCCAGTATCTGGCACATAGTACATGCTCAATAAATATTCCTGAATAAGTGAATACATTGATCAACCACCCTGTGCTTTTGCTATGCATTATCAGTGGGAACGGATAAACATGAAAATAATAGCTAATATAATAGTTAATATATATTAATTTGCTGTATTCTTAGCACTTTCCTAAGTGTTTCATATGTACTAATATATTTAGTCTTCAGAAAAACCTATCATTATACCAATTTTACACTTAAAAAACTAAGGCACAGATAATCTATGTTGTATAATATGCCATACAGTGTAATACAGATAAAATATAATGTGAAGATACATAAATAACAGCCTTTGGTTTTCTAGTTTGTCATCTAGCATATGATGTCATTTCTGAAATTAATTCCCTTTTACTTCCTTTTAGCCTCTCATCTTGTAGGAAATTCTTACTCTTCCTTCTGGATTTAGTGTACATCTTGCAACCACTGAGTAGTTCATGTAAAGTGTCACCTACAATATTAGATGTGCAACCTCGTTGCCCCCACAGAGCTTTCTACATAATTGTGTTAAAGCTCATAGCACATTTAAATTAAAAATGTGTATTTACTTGGCTGTCTCTCTGATTAGACAGAGCTCTTTGAAGGGAGGAATATTGTCTTTCTGCTTCCACTATCATTAATGCCTATCACAGCATCTAATATAGAGTAGATTCTCAGAAACTGTTTATTAAATTAATTGCTACCATTGTTCATATGCTGAGAAATTTTTTAAATTGCTTGTTCCTCCGAGCTTAAGAATCCAAGTTTTTACCAGTTAAATAGGTTTTTTAAATAATTCATCTTGAAATAAATATAGCTTGGTAAAATAATCAGATTAATTCAGACACGTTTCATATATTAATCATGTCAGAAACAAGTGTCCTGCAAACCGTCTATTGGCCTTAGAAATGTACATAAACTCAACTTGTCCTTAGCCATGTTATGAAGACATACCAATTGGGTTTTGGATTCCCTTCACATATAAGCAGTAGCTCACTTGCCTACAACTTAGGTCACTCTGTAATATTCACTTAGTTCATTCTAGATAAGAAAACCTCTAGCAGTTCAGCGTTGGGATTTAATTAAGCAGATAATCTAAAACATTGGATGTTTTATTCAATCTTAACTGAATAATCCAAACCTCTGGAGTCTACTATATATATTGGGCTCAAAACTTAGCAGGAGAGGTATTCTCATAATATTTTTCAACACAATTTCTTTCTGCCTTTAGCCAAAAATAATGTGAAAGAGATCTGTTGACAAATTAAGGTCCAAGCTTGGAGATTTAAAAAAAAAAAAGACAAAGGGGAAAAATAGAAGTCTGAAATTTTAAAAAGTTCCAATTCGGGCTCACAGTTAAAACAACACAACAATAAAACCACAACAAAAGTGGTAAACACATTGGATAGTCATGCTTTATTTTAGTATACTATGGTGTGGTTCCCATTCAAATATGAACAGAGCTCGTTCAGTTTTCCCTGCCTCTGGCAAATTCACCTCAACTAAAAGGACTCAGAGATGATGAGAAGATAAGAGTTCCAAGGAGGGCAGCCTATCATAAGAAACACAATAACAGGAAATAGGTGGTGGTCACAGGCATTAAAATGTGCCTTAAGTGTGAACTTAGGGAAAAAAAGTGCAAACAAAGCAATGACTGAAGCCAAGAAGCAGAACAGTGCTTTTGCTATGGAAGAAAGCTTCGCCTGCATCTTAGAATAGGTTGATTTTTCACTGTCAGGCAACTTTAATTGAATCCATGCTCTAGGAGAAGCGCCCCTCCGCCCCCCAAAAAATGTAAGGTACCACCTGGGCTTGAATTTAGAACAAGTTTGCCCACCTGAAGATAATTTAACACTTCCAGAAGCATTTCAAATATTTAATTTATTAATACAGGAGGTTTTTTCTGTTTTTTATTTTCTTCTAGTATTCTTCTGAGGAAAAGCACAATGTAATTATCTTAATTAACTACATTTGATGTAATCAAATACTTGTTTGAAGTGGACCAGAATTCCAGGATGCTTGTGAGATCCAGCTCCAGCTGCACTATTTAGGTACATAATTCCAGGTAAATGAGAGGACAAATAAAAACACAATACATATAGCCTCTATGAGAAAAGAAAAAAGCATGCCAATCTAGAGTCAACCTCTTAAAAGAGTCATTTTCAGAGATTACGGTATTTATTAGCCTTCACATGCTGCAACGTAAAATCCATTTGGAGAAAATCTTTTCCATTTCCATTTATTTTTTTCAACTAAATTGATATCATCTACCATAATCATCTACCTTATTCATTGGGCTATTTCTGTCCTTTGGGCAGCCCCCTAAATTTAAAGTTCACCCTCAAAGGCAAACTTCTATCACCACAGAACATATTCAAGACTCAAAGTAATTTTTAAAATGCAGCTCAAAAATCACCTGAGTAGAACAAAATGCATAATATTCCAAGGCAGAGGAGAGTAAAATAACTCTAGAATGTTGCTAGTGAGTGTTTTTATTTTAATTTTTCTTAGTCCTCCATATTCACTTTATAATTGTAATGTGGTGTTTATCCCCTCCATTTCTAAATAATTTATTTTCCAGAGTTCCTGAAAATATTTCAAAATGAAACCGAATACAGTTACAAAATGTGCATCTGCACAACTCACGGGCCCATTTGTGAAATATGGTGCTCATTACTGATAGTGGAACTGGTGGGGAATTTGAAACCCATTTAGAAATGTTAGGAATTATCTCAGGAGGAGTAAGAACCTTATTTGGACTGAAGCTGTCTGCAAAAATATGAAAAGAAAGACTCAAAGGCTAGGCTGCTATTTGTGCATCTTAATGTGCTCCAGTCACAGCACAGTTGGGTGGAGATGGCTCATTCTCTTCTCACTGAGGGGAACAAGCAAAAGTTAATTGAGAACAGTGCAGAAATGTTCTACCAGCTGCCTGCCTTTCTTTTCCAGGAGGAGCAGAGAAGGTTAAAAAACCTATTTATGGTTGAAGATTCCTTCCCATTCACACTGTACTACAGTTATGGATCCCACAGAAGGGTCGACTGCCATCTTATTTTGAATCCTAGGAGAGTTGGATACAAGAATGAAAGACAAAGACCTATTCCATTGAAGACAGTGAGAAATTTCGGAGATATGGTGCTGCATGGAGCTACTTTCCAAATGTTCAGATCCCTTATTTAAGCAACAGTTAACAAACTAGAGTTTGGGAACTGCTTGAGAGTTCAGGCTGCCATCATGCCAAACCCATGGAAACTGGATATGTTTCTGTGGTGACTTTAATCTGGACCACACATAGGAACAGGTTAAGCCAGATTATATTGGCCATCTGTCCAAGTCACACTAGGATGTGAGGCATCCACTATTTCCTGACCTAACAACAGTTTGGAGATCCCCAGATTGAAAAGTATGTCATTGAAGTCTTGTGGTGTAGACCAAGGCTTAGGACCACCTGACTAATCCATAGCAATCTTTGGACTTTCCCTTTGCTAGAATTGAAGTACCTCTGGGAAGCCTTCCCTAATGGTCATGGTTGTTAAGCCTCACAATGGACAGCGACTGCTCACTTTTCTGAACTTCTGAACCTATTGTGTTCCTCTGGGAATACAATGGTAAGTAAAATCAAGCCAGGACCCTGCACCCAGGGGATGTGAAAGGGAAGGTGAAAGAAAAGGTGAAGGCAAGATGTTAAATAACATCCAGATAATTAATTTCATTACAATTGCAATAAAAGCTACCAAAAAAGGAAGTACAGGATACTGGGACAACAAAGATCATATATTCTCTATCACTCATTCAGCACTTTGTGTCCAACTCTTGCTTGCTTTCTATGGGCAATCTATCACTCTGGTTCTGGTATATCTCTCTAACCTTTCTGGGTAGGTCGTAAGCTCAGGTTAGTCAGGGACACGACCCGAGAGAACACTTATCTAGCAGAAATCGTTGTCAATAGCCATTTAAAGATACATGATGGCTAATTTTTGGTTAATTGAGTCATATCAAAGAACACACTTACGTAGCAAAGGGGAAGGGAGATCATCGCCAAGCTCACCGTGGCTGATGCTTGTGTCAGGTGGGGTTGTTGAGGAAGAGAAATTCCTAAATTTCTATGCCATGTTCAGCTACTATCTGAAACCTGTGGGAAAGGAAAATGGAAAGACTCAACTTTCAAATCCTCCCCCTTCTATACCTCCAAAGGTTAGGACATAGAGTGGATAGCTCATTGTGAGGCAGAAACCATTTGTGAGTCTTCAGTGATGCAAAGGTAGCTATGGAGCCAAGAAGAAGGTAGAAAGTTAAATTTTTCGTCAAAATTAAGTGGAGAGAATTAAGTTGGGATCAAGGAATGCTGGAGATGTAGAGAAAGAAGACTTAGTATCCCCACTCTGTATGCTAAACACTGTATGTTTAAGTGATGCTTTGAAGGAAAACAGGATGTGGTTAACATCTAGGGAGTTTCCGTGAAACAAAAATATCCAGATGGCACAATGATGCTGTACACTCCTTACTTTGGTGGAAGTAGGAACTGAGTCAAGGCTGAATTCATCCCACAGTCATGTACGTGGCCCTCCCCTGTGGCCCTCCCTGCTAGCTCCACTGGATCTCCTCACTTAGTCCTGGCCCATCTTTGTACTCTTAACCAAAACTGGCCTCTGTGAGTACCATTCATTCAAGATCCCACTTTCTGAGACTTTATCTGATAAGCTGACTGTTGCTAAGGTAGCAGTGACTAATACACCTCCCAGATAACTCATTTTCATGTTAATAGGAGCATGTCAGATCTTATCTCAGAGGAATGACTATAATGTGATGGATACTGGAAGTGTGGTATTTGATCATGAAGACCTTCTTACACATTCTCAAGTCGTATCACATAAGCCAACACCTGCTCCATCTATAAAATGCCAGCTCTGTCTCATTCACCAAAACTCTGCACTGACATTCCCAGGTTCATGCGGAGCATCTTGGCAAGGCCCCAAATGGTACCTTAAATCCCTGAGCCATCCCAGCTGCTAGAAATAATGCTTCACGTCTCTTCTCCCACAGCATAAAGAAAATTCAGTTCAGGAATCACTGTCAGTGAATACTAACACTTCATGCAAATCAGCCAAATTTATTCTTCACTTTGCTGCTTCTTCAAAAAAACATGACAACCACGACAAGAATTTTCCATTATTCTGCATACAGAGCTCTCCAGAAATAGAGTATCTATTAAGTTGCCTTTCAGAATGTAATATTAGAAAGATCAAGTCTTTTTAAAACCACAAAGATAATAAAGTTGCAGAGTTTGGGATTGTCAGGGCAGACCTCCAGACTCCCCACAAGGTTCAGCCCTGTAGTAATAGTTGTTCTCCTTTTCCAACTTGGCTCAACACTACTAAGTCCTTTGCTGAGCACATAATGTTTATCATTTTTCTCCCCCACTGTTATTCATGATTGAAACTGCTCTAGAAGGCAGGTGTGGGAAATGAAATATTATTGAAATATAAGGTGATGATAACCATTAGATTTCAAGCTAAATTTTCTAACCAGGAATTAAATCATTTAAACTTCATATAATTTTAGAGATCATTTTTTTCTCTTAAGAGAAAAAGAAAACACCTGGTACATTATTTGGCAGATTCAAACTGAAGGAGCCAGAGGAAATTATCATTGACTGGCCGCAAAGATAAGTGGTTATATATTTTAACTGTGGGATATGACTATTCCTTGTAAATCCTGAATGGCAACTGCTCTCACCTCCCACCATCTTCTGGTAGTCTCTCTCTCGCTCTCTGTCTCTGTCTTTTATGCCCAGATTAAAAAAAATAGAACATATTTCAGTTCTAGCTTGACTTGCTTGGATATAAAATAGAATATAACTATCCCTTGACACACCATCATTACTTGTTAGATAAAATTGGAACAAATGGTTAAGAGTTCCCTGGATGGTTGTGCAAAATAATGGTAACTCTTAGAACATCAGTGTCCTCTTTAGTGAGATAAAAATGAACAGGAACACAGAGCAGAAAAACTGAGACCAAGACAGCCAAAGATCTCATTAAAGTAAGAATGTGATCCATTTGCTTACTTCTTCTCAAAGTAGAGTATCATCTAGAAAGCGAATCAATGTAAGTGAAATAGGATGAACTTGTACACCAAGAACCTGATCATGGCAATCCTAGGTACATTTATGATGGCAGCTACTTAACGTGCATTATTTCTTTGTGGAATCATAGGTTATTAGAAAGAGAAGGAAAATATCAATGGATTTCAAACTGTGCTCTAGGACAACTGCCAGGTTCAAGGCATAGTCCAAGAAGACAAGATTCCTGCTACTCAATTCTATTTTCACCACATCATCATGTGCTTTGATCCTCTTTATGTTTCGTGCACCAGCACCTTGAACAGTGTCCAGCACATTGTTGGTCCTCAATAAATATTTCTCAAATTACACAATGAATGAATATTTGTGAAAATTTGAAATTCTTAAGGTCACATATTTAAAAGACCACCGCTTTAAAAAAAATGGAAGGAAGGAAGAAAGAAAAGAAGCAAGGAAGGAAGGAAGGAAGGGACAGAGGGAGGGAGGGAGGAAGAAGGGAAGAGAGGAAGGAAGGGAGGGAGGGAGGGAACAAGGAAGGAAGGAAGGGAGGAAGGAAGGAATGAAAGAAGGAAGGAAGGAATGAAAGAAGGAAGGAAGAAGAAAAATAAAAAGCTAGAAGCACTCCAACGGAGTTCAATAGCTGGAGGGGTGAAATATTTTGCCCAAGATGTATAAGAAGTTGCTGTCTAAACTTAATTCCTAATTCCTCTCTCCTTATCCTCAATTGTTTACAGCATACCCAGTTGTCCTTCATCTTCTCTTCACATGGCTATAGCTCAGATAATTACAACCCTCTGTCACCTTTGTTTTGCTAAGAAAGCTCCAGATATGCCGATACTGAAATCTTCCAAACCTTGACTCAAGTTGTGTTAAGTTAGTAGGCAAAGAAAGTATCTAAATACAGTTTTTATGTATGGCTGTTTGAGGATTATAATCCATAAACTTTTAGTTTACATGAAGCAAGAAGCTCTGAAAAATTAAAATCATGATTTAACCACATTTCTCTTGTTTTAGCTTCTTTTATCTCTTGATTCTCTAAGTTGTGGAAGCACGGGGCTAAATCCCCAAAAACAGAGCATATCGGGGATATTTTCATCCTGACTCAAACAGGAAATTCCAGAAAAATCATGATGGAGACGGTCCCTGAGAGATTTCTAGCCCAGGTGCCATATTCTAGAGATCAAAATGTGTGGAAAATACTCAGAAGAAAATGAATGATAAATTATGGGGTTTTACTCAATACATTCCTTTCAAAATAGTTCATTACTAATATTTGGATTTCAGTTAAAAACTATTTGCAATAAACCCTATATCTTTCATTTCTCTATCTCATTTAAAAAAAATACTTCCTAGTCTTGATTGGGCCATCATTCTTACTAAACGATCTTAAAGTGATTACCACTATGCTAATGTAAAATTAGTCACTAATTTGCATAAATTGTTATTAGTGTAATTAGTAACCCATATTGAACATGCTTTTCCTTGGTTACATCTCAAGTTATCACAATGCCAATGCAATTATTAGCAATTGACTTTAATGATTCTAAGAGAAATTGTGTTAAAAAGAAAAAGTTGTCATGACTCTTAAAACTAGAAATTAAACATTTTTTAACTGCTAGGAGGTTTAAATGCAGCAATATTTCTTCACAAATGTAATTTTTTTTTAAAAAGGGTCTACTCATGCAAGAAACACTCGCTTTAGTTGGTGCTTCCCAGATTTCTAAATATTCTACAATAAAATAAATTACCCTAGTCTGTAGTTGAAATTATATGAAAATAATATAAAATAGAAATAATGGTAAATATGAATGGGAGCCTAAAAGAAGTAAGGTTTTGGTACTTCAGGACATGAGAAAACAAGTTACTGTCTGAGTATGCACTTCACCAGTGTTCTCATCAAATTCCTCTTGTTCATAGATTGTGTACCTTGGCTAGAAAACTTTTGAGAAAAGGAAACTCCATTTTACCTCTGGATCCAATTTTCCGGTATAATGCGTTAGTACAAAGTATACCAATGTTGACCTCACTCAGTGCCAAGAAGTTAAAATTATGCTATTAAGGTTATGGCAGAAACATTTGAAATGGCTTAGCAAAGGATTCACTTGTTTCTCTTTTTCTTTTCTCAGCAGGAATGAGTACTGCTTCTTGCAAGTTGTTCTCTGAGTTTTTATTAAATATCAACAGAAGTGCAACAATATGAGACAGAACTTCAAACGTAATCACTGCTGTTAGCTAGAATAACAGGAACAACCCAGGAGCTAGACAATAGTTCCCGTGCCAGGTCCTCAAGTAATCTTGATGCAGAGCAGACTGCATGAATATCAGGACAATTACCTCACTGAAAGTTAATATACTTTACCTCTTCAACCCCATCACACACACACAAACAACACACACACGCACAAACACACACGTGCATGCACACACAGTTTGCTTCATTTCCACAGGACTATGAGAACTGAAAGAATTATAAACTCATCTGCAATGAGAAGTTTCTAATATTGATTAACTAAGCATTCCTCAAACAGGCTCATGCTAAGTGCTACAGATATAATAGTGAATAAGGCAGAGTCCAGCCCTTAGACAACCTAGAGTTCTCTCTGTGTGGATGAAATGAGGTTTGTGGGAGAGGGATGCACACTTAATAGTGCAGGGGTAATTCTAGTAAGAGAACAAAGTTACTCAGTTCTAGTTCTAAGAAGAAAGGTGGGTGCATGGTAGCACGTGCATGGATTGGAACACTCCACAGGAATGCAACAGCCTAAGAGAGGGTTGAAGGCTGAGAGAAAGCACAGAATTGAAAGTAGCTTAATATGACTACAGGTAGAATAACGCGTATGTGAGAGTGTGCTTTGGGAAGGGGAGGAGGACAAAAATACTGACGTGGGAATCAGGGAGCTGCGTGAGTGAGGGCCTTGAATGTTATTTAGGGAGAGTATAGACTTTGTCTTTGGGACTATGAGGTCATTTGTAAGAAAGAAGGATGGCCACATCCGTGTTTGAAAAGATAATTCTAGAGGCAGTATAAGGAAAGATTTGTCTTGCCTATGAGGCCCATTAGGAAACAATTAGGAGAGTGATAATCATTTAGGTAAAGTAAGGTCAAGATAGATAGAAATTTTTAAAAATGGGCCAGTTTAAGATAGATTAAAGATGCATATTCTGACAGAATTTCAGATTACCTGGACATAGGGATGATAAAGAAAGAAGGTTAAAGGATAATACCTTAATATATTTCCCAGGCTACCATGCAGATGGGGGTGCCATTCAATGAGATGATGAACATAGGAAAAAGAGCAAATTTGTGGCACAGGAAGTGACAGAAAAGTGGTAGAAAGTGACACACATAAAAGGGCAATTGACACCTTTAGAAAATATGGATAGGATTTAGAGAAATTGCTAAGTCTTTGCTGTCGGTAGAGCAGACAGAGCACATTCATAGTTAAATATTCTAGTCATTTTAATAGTTATAGTCAATTTCTTAAGAACAACGATTTGTTTGTAATAAATACTGTTTTCCCCACCTTCACTTTGTTCTTATTTCTATATTCTCAGCACTAATCACTTTGGATCTTTCCTATCATTCCATGATATCTTAAGATCCTCAAAACTCCAGCATAATCACCTGTTCAGATATGCAGAAAAATATCATATATTTTGGCATCTAAAATGTTTCAAAGGGTTACATTTATGCAAAATAGAATGGTGTGGTCAATAATTTTCTTGTCTTATATCTTAGCATCCTTTGAAATCTTCTTGCCTCAGTAGTGGGCTACTGACTAGAGAGACAGAATCTATTACATAGGGGTTTAGGAAGAAACCAAGCCTAGTAAACTTCAGTTGTTACTAGCATCATGTATAAGCACAGTGCTAGGTCCTCTGGAAAACAAGGCATGAGAAGCAATCTCTAAATAATCAGGGTCTACTATCTTTTTATGGATCAAGATAGATATAGATAAGATATAGATACATATCAAAAGACAACAATACAAGTTAGAAGCTTTTTAGTGCGTACAAGTTACATAGTGAAATGTAAAACACATTTCATGCAACTAGAGAGGAAGTCACTATCTCACTTAGGAGAGTTTGTTCCATTCTCCCACCCATGGTAATAAATTTTAAAATGTATATAAGCAACATATTCAATTTAAATAATATACATATATAGAATGTTTGTTATGTAACAGAGATTCTTCCAGCATGTATGATAAGGAAGAGACATGATTTTGATGTCCATTAAAAATTCAGTGCAGCTGCTACTAACAGGTACCCAGTTTGAGATCTCATGTAAAAGCAGTCCAGGAGTAGGCTTGCCAGAGCAGACCTCACACTCAAAAGAATCTTCCATTGCCCAGGCTTTTTTCTGTATCTTCTCTTCTATCCCTGAAGTCATTGGTTTTCCACTGGAGCTACAGACTTAACATCTGATTTCCAGCCAGGAATAAGGAGAAGGACAAGTGACAAATGTGACACTTCACCCAGCTAAGTCACCTTCTTTCAAGAGTTTCATGAAGTTTAAGGGAGAACTATCCCAGGTTTCTGCTAACGTCTCACTGGCCCTTCCTGTCTGTAACAGCCATGGAGACAAGCTGGTAGGGGAATAACACTTTTAAAATAATAAACAAAAAGAAGCACCCGTGCAAATTCTGAAGTTAGCAAAAATATTATGTAGGCAATCTTAGATGAAGGAAAACTCGGAGACTGTTTCCAACAACCATGCTCTAAAGAAATGGGAAAGATCAAAGGGAAATGATACCAAGGGGAAACCTGGACCTTCAGGAATTATGTCAGTCTTTTGGGGCTGCTATCACAAAATATCATGGACTAGGTGGCTTATAAACAAGAGCAATTTATTTCTCACACTTCTGGAGGTTGGAAATCCAAGATCAATGTGCCGTCAGATTCAGTGTCTGCTGAGGACTCGCTTTTGGGCTCCTAGAAGGTGTCTTCTCAATGCACCCTCACCTGGCAGAAGGGAAAAGGCATTTCTCTGGGCTCTCTGAGGTCTCTTTTATTAGGCCACCAACCCCATTCATGAGGGTTCCACCTCCATGACCTAATCACCTTGAAAAGTCCTCAGCTCCTACCGCCATCACATTGGATCTGAGGAGGACACAGCATTCAGCTCAAAGCAGAAATGAAGAAATCACCACAGAAATGATAAATATCTGCATATATATAACAAATTTTCACTGTTTGGTTCTTTAAAATATGTGTGATGATTGAAAACAAAAACTGTAACACTGTCTGATGGAGTTTTCTATGTATATAGTTGTAACACATTTGGCAACTACAACATGAAAGACAGAAGGTAAGGAGCCGATGTGGTGGAAAGGCTTCCATACTCGAGTGATGAAAAATTAATTCTAAGTAGATTGGGAAAGTCACATGTGTAAAACCCCAATAGAAACAACTAAAACAGTAAATATCTTAATAGATAAATTAAAATGAAGTCCCTGAAAAATATTAAGATTAGTTTATATTATGTATTGTTTTGTCTTCTGAAATATTTGGTGAAATTCTTTTTGTATTCTCTAGTGTCTGGTCAAATTTGGGTTTTGAGCTGAATGAAAGTAGGCTAACCTCTACTTAAACAAGTTCAAAGTAAATTATGCACACAGCAAAGAAGTTAATGGAGTTAAAGGGGTCATTCCTTATAACTAAGGTTTACAACCTGTGTTACCCAGAACTGGATCCATGTTTCTGCCTATTTTCATACATGACTGTAGCAAAGAAAATATGATTGATACATTTGGTATTTGGTTGATTTGTTTTCTCATGGCATAGCTCTAAAATTCTACATAATTTGGGGAATCACAGATATTAAGCTTATTACTGATGGAATAATCTTAATAAGCTCCAGAAATCGGTTCAATGAAATGCTCCATCTTCTAAGGATGCCTTCTCCATGCCTTTCCTCCTTCTCAAACTGACTCTCATCCTGTAACTCCTAGCTAGAACATATCAAATCCTCAGTGATTCTTTCCTAATCCTACCCCAATATCAGGGCCCTTTGTTGGTAGAATGCATTCTTATTGCTAATCGTAATTATTGGGTTTACTTTTCTAGGATCTTCATTTTAATCTGACTTTTACTAGAATAAAAGATCCATTAGAACAGGAACCAAGTATGTCTTTTTCTCCCTTTATCCTGAAACAACACAGAGGGTAGCACTTAGTAACACATATATTTGCCAAAAAAAAAAAAAACTCATTGAATTTTAACATTAAAATATGGATCTGACATTCTTTTACATGGAATTATTATAATCATATTAATCACTATGCTTTTAACTTTATATAAATTAGATATTCTTGCTAATAAGGCATTTCCTTCATTCTCAAACAAGTTAACAAATTTATTTTTCCTAAGATTAAAAAAATATTTATTGAACTCTAAGATATTCAATGGCACAAACTGTGTTTTATTTGTCTCTTTTCAAAGTTTGAAACAGCATCTGACACATAATAGATATGCAATAAACATTTATTAAAAAGACAAAAAACTGCCAAGATGGATTTTAGTTGTACTTCGTTTACCAAGGGTGTATTATAGGAAAAAATTTTTTATTTTAGTGACTTATTGATAATTAAAGAATTAATCATTAAAAATACCATTTAATAATGACCAACTAAGCTTTTACTTATAGGGGATTTTTAATCACCAACAATATTTGGATGGGGAAAAATGTGTTTCTGTGCTCAAATGATGACAAAACAATGTTGACATGCTCACAATCAAACAAAAGGTACCTCATGAAAAATAGTGTTCTACTTTCTCTTATTTTATTTTGAAAGAGGTGACATTTCTTAGTATTGAAATGCCTGTCACATTATTTTCAGGATCATTTTAAACTGTTTTGCAATGTTTATCCTCAATTCTTTATTAACCTTTGTCACTAAGCCATTGAAACGCATTTTGGATGCTGAGAGTTAATCCGGCTCTCACAGACTATAACCTACAGTGTCTAATATAGCTTGGAAGTGAGACATCAAATGAAAACATCAATCTTAAGTATCCTCAGGCTCAGTAAATTGGTGCCTCATTGTCTGCACCTTATGTCAAATTAGGCTGAACATATTGAACTTAACATATGTAGTGAGAAGAGATTCTAGAAAAACAGCACTTTTCTTTACCTAAATCCTTAGAATACCAAAATAACAGTAACAATCATGAAATAATTGTTTATGGCACAATAAATGATAATAAATCCACTTTTGTTATGCTTTAAATTAAGGATTTCAAAGAAATTTACAAAGCCTACGATAATAGCTGTTTTAAGACTGAAAGTTGCGGCCGGGCACAGTGGCTCACGCCTGTAATCTCAGCACTTTGGGAGGCCGAGGCAGGTGGATCACTTGAGGTCAGGAGTTCGAGACCAGCCTGGTCAACATGGTGAAACCTTGTCTTTACTAAAAATACAAAAAATTAGCCAGGCATAGTGGCACAAGCCTGTAATCCCAGCAACTTGGGAAGCTGAGGCAGGAGAATTGCTTGAACCCAGGATCGCGCCACTGCACTCCAGCCTGGGAGACAGAATGAGACCCTGTCTCAGAAAAAAAAAACAAAAAACAAAACAAAACTGAAAGTTGCACAGGATTTTCATATTTTAATGAAATCATGTAGGCAAAGGACTTTGTAAATTATAAATCAAAGTATATTTTATAGTTATCATTTTTAACTCCATTGAGTTTTGAAGGTAAATTTAAGTGTGTACATCTTTATATATCTCTGCCAGAAATTTAGTTTACAATATATTATAATTTCAATTGTAGAAGCTAATTAATTGAAGGAATGACATTCTAAATATAGTGAGTTACAGGTCATTACATTTTTCCCCCTGTGGAAAAAAGGATATGTAAATTAACTAATGTACTAATTGGTTTTATCTAAGAATATATTTTTGTAAGCAACTGTATTAATATTGATGTAGCTTACAGTAGCTTGAATTGAAACAAATTAAATTAATTTACTCGGCTTGAGTGGGGCTAGAATAAGTACATGCTGGTGAAGTGAACGTATGTCTCGTGAGTGAAGGAGACTTTCTCTCCTTAAATAATGATTTGGGCTCAACGTCAACAGAGAGGAGTAAGTAAGAAAACTGTACCTTACAAAAGATATGCCACAAAATAGTAGAGTATCATTTTACAAATAGCAAACAGAAGCTGGGAAATTAAATGATTTCCTCAAAGCCACACCTGGTAGAAACAAACTACCAGAGCTCCTGGCGTCTAGTCGTTTATTTTTCCTTAAGGGAATACCCAGGTTAGAGGATGTTCCATCTGAGAGCCATTAGAGAGCGAAAGGCTGGCACATTTGATCTAATGCTTTCTCCTGGGTCAGTGCATGCCAATTTTTACTGAGGATAGAAAGCACACCGAGATCTTGTCATACAGCAGATTCTAATCCAGTAGGTCTCAGGTAAGGCCTTGAGTTCTGCATCTTGGAGGAGCTAGCAAATAATACAGATGTTGCTGCTCTGTGGAATGTACTTTGAGGGTGAAGTGCCAAGTGAAAGGGAGAGGAAGTCCTATTTCCTCTTTCACAGGTTTCCTTCAATTCCCCGGCTCCCTTTCACTCCCTCAGAGCAGCAGATCAGTAAAGACAACTTCACAATGGCCTAAACACAGAAAAACTTTTGAAAAGGAGGTATAAGATTGACTTCAAGTTGATTCCCAAAGGGAGAATGGAAGTTTATTTTAAAAAACAAAGCACACTCATTGAGACTAAAATAAAAGCACAGCCAGTCTTTTCAGTTAAGCAGTCTGCCTAGCAAAAAATAGCCACCAATTCTATCAGAAGGCAAAACGGCACTGTACCTCAGGTTTGGACTTAATCTTCTTACATCTTGGTGGAGTCCATTTCAGGAGAATACGGTATGATGAAGAATCCTGTTCAAGCCTGAACCCTACCCTCTACCTCCTTCTCTAAATGGTTATTATAACCCTTTCTTTTTTTATTGTTTTTATTATTATTATACTTTAAGTTTTAGGGTACATGTGCACAATGTGCAGGTTAGTTACATATGTATACATGTGACATGCTGGTGTGCTGCACCCACTAACTCGTCATCTAGCATTAGGTATATCTCCCAGTGCTATCCCTCCCTCCTCCCCCCACCCCACAACAGTCCCCAGAGTGTGATGTTCCCCTTCCTGTGTCCATGTGTTCTCATTGTTCAGTTCCCACCTATGAGTGAGAATATGCGGTGTTTGGTTTTTTGTTCTTGCGCTAGTTTACTGAGACTGATGATTTCCAATTTCATCCATGTCCCTACAAAGGACATGAACTCATCATTTTTTATGGCTGCATAATATTCCATGGTGTATATGTGCCACATTTTCTTAATCCAGTCTATCATTGTTGGACATTTGGGTTGGTTCCAAGTCTTTGCTATTGTGAATAATGCCGCAATAAACATACGTGTGCATGTGTCTTTATAGCAGCATGATTTATAGTCCTTTGGGTATATACCCAGTAATGGGATGGCTGGGTCAAGTGGTATTTCTAGTTCTAGCCAAAATTGACAAATGGGATCTAATTAAACTAAAGAGCTTCTGCACAGCAAAAGAAACTACCATCAGAGTGAACAGGCAACCTACAAAATGGGAGAAAATTTTCGCAACCTACTCATCTGACAAAGGGCTAATATCCAGAATCTACAATGAACTCAAACAAATTTACAAGAAAAAAACAAACAACCCCATCAAAAAGTGGGCGAAGGACATGAACAGACACTTCTCAAAAGAAGGCATTTATGCAGCCGAAAAACACATGAAAAAATGCTCATCATCACTGGCCATCAGAGAAATGCAAATCAAAACCACAATGAGATACCATCTCACACCAGTTAGAATGGCAATCATTAAAAAGTCAGGAAACAACAGGAGCTGGAGAGGATGTGGAGAAATAGGAACACTTTTACACTGTTGGTGGGACTGTAAACTAGTTCAATCATTGTGGAAGTCAGTGTAACCCTTTCTTATAATCTGAATTTGTATTGCCCAATACTTGCATTCTCTGGAAAGGAAATTCTTCTATTTGATGATCTGTCAAGATTAAAAATTTACTTAGGCATGGAACATGCCAGGATGACACATAGTTATATCAGAACGAATCCTTTGTTGCAGCTGTTTCAAAGTAGTAATGAATACCAGGGACATTTAATTCACACATTTTCCATTGGGTGATGCTTGTTACTTGAAATACGAAAGTAATATTCATTATGCATCATTATTCTTTAAAAGTGTTTTTAAAATCAAGTTTCAAACCCTCTTCAAGCCTGCATGTGCAGGTGTTGGATTCCTGGTAGGTAAGCAGATATATCATGAAGTTCTAAGGTAAATAATTTAATTGAGGATGAACAAAACATGTGCATATTTCCTCAAACAAAATAAAAATCTGATGTGCTATGAATAGTTATATACAAATACTTTTATTTAGATAATTGCAGCAAAAGAAATGTGTGCAATGTAAAAAGAAATTGCAGATTGAAGCCATACTTAAGAATTTTATGAAAAAGAGTTTTTATTGCTATTCCATTACCTTATCTAGCCTATATTTTTAATAGGGGGAAAATGACATAAATTTCTCTGTATGTTGGTCTTTTTAATTTATGTGAACAGTATTCAAAATTCAGAAGAATACCAGGAAATACTAATAGATTTAGCATTTGGTAGGTAGGAAAGCAGACACGCTCGGTAATCACTCCTATGTACCTTAATGTCTGAGCAAGCATTAGACGATGTTTACTTTTTCAGTCAAGTAATTAGGAATCTACTACATGAGGGCATTTTAGAAATGGGAAATTAAGAGTTGTTTTCCTTGCAAGTGGTAGTAAAAAGCAGATAGTCAACTGCTGTTGATTAAAGAATCCATAATGATTTTGTCCCCCTTCCTTTAAAAAGTTATCTCAAAGAGATGGCAGGCAACAAGAGCAAAGAATGCCACTTGCTAGATTAACTTGCAGAATGAATCTGGAAAATTTCCAGACCTTAAAAATCACCTGCAACCCTATAAAAACAATATTGATTTCATTAACTTCCATGTAAAACTTGATAATCACAAATTTCAAAAGAACTATTTAAAGTCTATACTTTCTGACATTAGATGGTGTCCAAAAAATTGAAGTAGACTAAGAATTACTCCATCATATGTTTTAAGATGTTCTGTTCAGCATAACTATTAACAAAGAAAATGTAAAATGAACATCTTGTCTCAGTTATAAATTGCTGTACCACAAAGCACCACAAACTTAAGTGGTTTAGAACAATAATCATTTTGTTTGCTCAGAATTATGAGGGTCAGTAATTTAGGCTGGCTTATGTGGTGGTTTTTCTGCTGTTCTCACCTGGGTTCACTCAAGTAGCTACTGTGATCTCGCTGCTCAGCTGGAATTAAAGTGGCTTTCTTGTCCTATCTGTGGTTGATGGTAGCTATTAGCTGAGTTTTTCATGCCACAAAGTATCTCACCCTCAAGAAAACTGTCCTGGGCTTCTTTATAGTGATCTCAGAGTTCAAACAGGGCAGAGCAGAAGTTCAGTCTTCAGACTGAAAGTGGCACAGCAATCCTTCTGCTACATTCTCTTGATCTGAACAAGTCACAAAGCCCACACAGATTCAGAAGGTGAGAAATGGACTTCACCTCTTGACAAGAGGACAGACAACATCACATTGCAAAGGGGCACGCATCCAGGGATGAGAGGAGTTACCACATTCGTCCTTGAAAAATTCACAAATATGCCACACAAGAAAGCAACAAATGTTCATGTGTGTATAGTGTGTTTGTGTGTATATATCTCTTGTAAATAATAATTTGAGATGTATGAATTATATGAAGTGGTGGTAGGGAGACATATATATGGTAGGGAATTAGCAAAGCAATTTAGGACAACACCATAAATTGTATTCATTGCTTCTTTGCTTTGTGTTGGAGAATCCAAGTCAAAATAGAATTCTATTGTACACTCGGTTACAGCATAAGTTATAAGTTAGAGCATAAGTACTCTCTTTCCGAGAGTGATATTTTGTAGCAAGCTATTTGTATTCGTAGCAGGTGCGCGCACACACACACACACACATACACAGAGCCTTTGAAAGAACTGATGAGGTAAGATACCAACTGAATGCTTATGGGCTAATGCTTCTTCCCATAATATGCCCTCTGCCTTTCCAATCTCCAGTTGTTATTAATTTTTCTTTTTTCTTCCTACATATTAAAAAGTGGGTGTAGAGTGATGGCCAAGTAAGGAGATCAGCAAATCCTTTTCAAAAAGCAACTATAAAGCAGGACAAAACTGATCCATTGTATGTATGTTGTTTTCATACAACAATCAGAGACGGATTTATGCTTGAAAAACTGTTGAACTTCAGGTAAAAACAGTAGAATTCTGTGACATTCTTTCCTGGGGCTTCTCCCGTCTCAGGGCAGAACTTCTGCCAGGATGGAGCAAACCATGAGGACCAGCCTCTTTGCTGTTAAAGAAACTCAGTGTGAAACACAGCAGCATTGTTAACGAAAGTGGCTTCTCGGAGGCTCTGAGTTGAGACAAGCCAAATGCTCTTACCCCAAGGTTGCAGCTGGTTAGGGCAGGCATACTCCTGGCTGAGAAGAGAAAGGCCGCAAGCTATTCACACATTACATACATCCTTAAATTTGCACCAGAACACCTAGCCCCAGGCAAGAACTGATCTGCTTTCTGTCTCTGAAAATTTGCCTTTTCTGGACTTTTCATTAAGTGGAATCATACAATATGTAATCTTTTACATATATCTCCTTTCACTTAGCATAATGGTTTCTAAGTTCTTCCACATTGTACCATGAGGTGGGAGTTTGTTCTTTTCGATCATTAAATGATTTTCTTTTGCATGGTTATATCACATTTTCTTAATCCATTTACCAATTGATATTCATTTGGAATATTTACAGATTTTTCACTATTATTAATAATGCTTCCATCAAAATTCACATGTAAGTCTTTATATGTACATATGTTTGCATTTTTTCCTGATTAGACATTAAGGAGTAGAATTCTTGAGGCATATAGTAATTCTGTATAATTCCTTTTGAGCAACAGCCAAACTCTTTTTCAAAGTGGCTGTACATTTTACATTCCCACTAGCAATGTGTGAGGATTCCCATTTCTCCACATTCTTGTCACCACTTGTTATTATCCATCTTTTATTACATTCTAGTGTGTATATAACGATATCTCATTGTGGTTTTAATTTTCATTTTCCTGAAGACTAATTATACTGAGCATTTTTTTCATGTGCTTCTTGGCCACATATACCTTTTTTGATGAACTGTCTATTCAAATATTTTGCCCTCTAATTTTTTCATCTTATGACTTAGTGTTAAGTGTGTTTGTATATTTTGAAGTCCTTTATTAGACATGTGATTTGCAAATAAATTTTTCTGTCTAACACTTGCCTTTCATTTTCTTATCATTGTCTTTTGAAGTGTTAAACTTTTAACTTTTTATGAAGTCCAATGTATCACATTTCTTAAAAAGTGAATTGTGCTTTTCGTATTGTGTCTAAGAATTCTTTGCCCAACCAAAGGTAAGGATTTTCTCCTGTGTTTTCTTCTTGAAATGGTACAGTAATAATTATTACATTTAGGCCTATGATTTATTTAGAATTTTTTTTTGTGTAGTATGAGGTAAGGGCTGAAGTTCAAGTTTTTTGTTTGTTTGTTGCATGTGGATACACAATTATTCTAGTGCTAATTGTTGTGAAGGCTATCTTTTTTTGCCTTGATTCGTTTTGATCACTTTGTAAAAAAAAAAAAATCAATTGACTGTAAATATAAGAATTGATTCCTGGATTCTCATTTATGTTCAGTTGAGTCAACTGATCTATCTGCCTATATTTGTGCCAATACCACACTGTCTTGGTTACTCTGGAC